>NC_000005.10:62609807-63234807 GCF_000001405.40 Homo sapiens
GTGTCCTAATGTCCAGCAGGTGACTGCAAGGGTTGCTTCTGAAAATGAGGTTCTAACTGTTGTGTGTCCAGGTGCTACAGCAAATATGAGGTCAACTCGTAGTCACATGTGTAGGTCTGCTTCTGGCGCCTGCTCCTGGGACCACATTGGATGTGGCTGTTGGCGATACTGTAATTGTAGCAGTCCCATTTAGGGAAGCACTGCCTAGCTCTCAGGAGGGAATAACAGCAGTCATGGGTGAGGCAACAACCAGTTGTTGGCATCCACCGGCTGCCTCTGGCCCACCAAACCACAGTGGCAGCCATAGATGAGGTACTTGTAATATTACTGGATATATTTTATCATACTGTTTGAGTGAATAAAAGCATAGGCTTGAATGCTATGTTAACCTGGTTAACATAGAGGTACTCATATTTGTTACTTTATTGCTTGCCATCTGATTATTTCTTTTTTCCTTCAAAAATTACTGAAATGATTTTGTTTTTTTCTTTATCCTTTGGCACAAGATGATCTTTACAAAGTTTGTAGATAGATAATAGGAAAAAGCCAGCTATATATTGAAAAGCAGTTTGAAAGATAGTGAATATAAATTATTGCTTCTCATTTTGCATTGAGAAGGCAATTTTACTATTAATTTTTATCCATGTGTCTGTCTTTTGGTTGTCACTGGTTTGTTGTCACTTACGTGTTGGTTATCACATATCACATATATTTGCACCAAATTTGGTTATCATAAGGCCCAGTTTATAAAAATGTGTGCAAATCCTCACACTCCATTCTTTTAAGACTTAACAAAATTAACAATATTAAAAGCATTTCTCTGTTTACTCTTAGTTAAGTAATCAAATAATCAAGTGATAATAATCAAATGATCAAGTAATCAAATAATCCTACCTGCTACCATTGCACAACTAAATATATAATGGCAATAGAACTAGCATCTTCAAAATGAATCTTTTTTTTTCTTCTGTATTCATTCCACATACATTTTTTAATGCTTACCATGTGAAAACCATTGATCTTTATAATCAGTACTTCCTCTGAGAACCTATCTTCTAGGGTATTTTGATCAACAGTACATACATAGTATTTTTAAAGTGTTAGATATCATTAACTTATTACCAGGCCAGTTTCTTAAAATGGAAAGATGTACTTGTTTTTATCTATGCTTTGCTCACATTCTACCTGCTTCTCTAAGTTTGATTAACTGACTGTTGTACTGCTGTTGATACATCCTTATTTTCATTTCTAGATGATACACTGAAACATACAAAAAGCCATTGTAGGACATATAACTTTACCTATAAATATTTCAAAATTGTAAACCAAACATAGCTTTCCTTATAAATGAGGCCCACAAGCTCAATGTTAAACTTATCTCAAGTATTAGAAATACACTGTGGTCATGGGTAATTCAGGTCCTAAAAAGTGCAGAGTTGAAAGTGACATTAAAACAATCCAAGAAGATAGGAAATAATGAATTGAAATAATCCAACTGAGATGCAATAAAGATACAAATTGATAACCAGGCATCCTAAGGTAGCAGTTCTTCCTGTGATAGAGCTAAAATGTTAATCAAAAAATAGTTTCAGATTATAGAGGTTAAGATCCTTCACAGTAGGCTACATAATAGTAATCAAAGACACTGGAAAAGAAAATTCCCTTGAAAATGCCTTTGGAACTAAATAAAGTGATGATAGTGATGGTTATTTTTTAGTTGAGATTTCAAATTAATTGCCTGCTGACGTCAGTATTGTTCTTGAGTATTGCATAGCAGACGGCCTCACTGTATCTCCCTTATTTACTTGAATTGTTACTAAAAACCTTAATTGTGATGAATTCAGTAACTTTGCCCCTGTTCACTTGGAAACGTTGGCAACATGGTATTGGCTCAAGGTAAATAAAATCTTCAGGTTTGTAAATGAAGAATGTGGTCTCATTTGGGAGAACTTTTTTAGTAACTTAGGTAACATGCCAGGGTACATTAGACTGCCTTCATGGCAGTTTTTCCTATTTCCTGTTTTTCTCTTCTGCTTCTTTTTCTCAATAAATTGTAGTACTTACTGTCTTTTAATATAAGGGACTTGTCTTTCAAGGGAAGAAAAATTAAGTAAACTTTTTGAAGAATTGTTCTGTATGTGGAAGTTGCCATTTTGAAGAAATTGATTTTTCATTATAAAAGTAACCTATACTAAAAACCACAAAATGAATGATATGTTGTGAAATAACATTCCCCTAGGTAACCTTTACTAACATTATGCGATAAGTCCTTCCAAATATTTTATATACATACATAAAATATATGATCTATATGTATTTTAAATGTTAAAATTACGTTACATTCTGTTCTGGTGCTTGATTTTTCTTAAATGAAGAACTGCATAATTCAGTGAACCAGTATTTTCCAAACGATCTGTGAGTACATGTTAAAAAAATCATTCAAAGGTAAAGATTTATTCAGAGAGTAAGACAGGCCAACGGATTTTAATGTGACAGAGAATGGGGGTCTATTGATATGGTTTCAGAGTTCTTTTAAGAAACTACTATTTGTGAGTTTCAGTGTAGTTTCAAAGAAGAATATCCAAAATGGTCAGCAAAGGCTGTTAAATACTACTCCATTTTCCAGCTGCATATCTGAGAAAGACTGGATTTTCTTTACTTTAACCAAAACACATAATGCAACAGATTGAATGCAGAAATAGATACGAGAATCCGGCTTTCATTTAAGCCACACATTAGATTTCCAAGTATGTAAAGCAGTGCCATTTTTCTCACTAAAGAGATATTTTTATTTTGAAAAATAGTTATTTATAAAAATTATATTAACATGTAATGGATTTATTGATATTTTAAAGTGAGTTGATAAGTATTTTTGAATTTTCTAATTTCTGATCCAGTAAATATTGGTAGATTTAACCCATATAAGCAAATACTTCTTGAGATCACCAATAACTTTTAAATGTAAAAATATTAAGGGCCTTGAGGCCAAAATGAGAAACTACTCTTGAAAGACATTGAGATTGTTTCCATTTTTCAGTTATTATAAGCAGCGCTTCAGTAAACAACATCAAGTGCTGTCTTTATGTACTTCTAAAAGTTTGTAAGTCTGTAGGAAAAATTCTTAGAAGTAGATATGCTGGGCTGAAGGATATGTGTTTTTGAAATAGTGATAGATTATACCAAATTGCCAATTTATGTGCTCAGGAGTGGTTCATGAGTCATCCTACAGTCTGATCAATGGGATAAGTAGAAAGCAGTGTTTTGTTGTTTAATGTACTTTTTCTTAATTATGAGTGAGACTAAGAATTTTTTAGATGTTTATAGCTCATTGATATTTTTTTGTTTGATGAATGGCTTGTTCATATTTCCCTCTCTCACACATTTTTTTACTGGACATTTTGTTTGATTATCTGATTTTAAATAAGAGTCCCATGGTAGATTTTATTTCCCAAGAATAGCCATAATAATATCTCCTATTCCACATGCTCTTCTTTTTTTTTTTTTTTTTTTTTTTGAGGCAGAATCTTATTTTCTCACCCAGTTTGGAGTGCAGTAGTGTGATCTGGCTCACTGCAACCTCTATCTGATGGGCTCAAGCCATCCTCCCACCTCAGCCCTCCAAGTAGCAGGGACTACAGGTGCACACCACCACACCTGGCTAATTTTCATATTTTTTGTAGAGAAGAACTTTTGCCATGTTGCCCAGGCTCGTCTTGAACTCCCAAGCTCAGGCAATCGGCCCGCCTCAGCCTCCCAAAGTACTGGGATTACAGGTGTGAGCCACCACGCCTGGCACACATGCTCTTCTTAAAAATGTGATTTTGACATTCTTCCTTATTGGCAGGTTGGGTCTATATTCCTTCCCTTTGAAACTGGGCAAATTTGCTGATAGTTTATGATTTCCCAAGTCTCGATTATAAGATAGAGCTTCCACCTGGTTCTCTAAGGACACTTGTACTTGGAAACCAGCCACCATACTATAAGGAAGCCCATAAATCCATAAGAAGTAGGCCTCATTTTCCCCATCTGAGATCCCAGTTGACAGCCAGCATTAACTACTAAACTCATGAATCAGTGACCCTTAAGATGATTCCAGCCCCCGAAGGGCCTGAGTCACCCCAAGCCTTCAAGTCTTCCCTGTGTATATCCTAGCCACTTTAATTAATTTTTGCATGAACCCTTGCAAGGTGAAATTACCTATGACAGACTTTAAAACAGCTGTGGTGCAGTTTTATCTTTATTTTCTTTTTCGCATGTGCATTGTGTGTGAACATCATATTAATCATCTGATTTTCTGGAGGTGTCTCCTTGGAATAAAGTACTTTAAAATAAAACACATAGAAAAGGAAAGCTTTTGGTATAGAAACTATTCAGATATTATTTATGACTTTCTTTGAACTTAACAAGAGTTGATTTCATCCCCACAATTGTCTTACTGAGCTGCAAGAAACCTGATGAGTTTCTTAACCTTATTCAAAATGGCTTTATGTCATTGTGTGAATTAAGTTGAGGTAACTTTTACATACAGACAAAGAGGAGGAAGGATCTTTGTTTAATAGTGGTTCTCAACTGGGTACTATTTTGCCCTGCTCCTCGCCCCTTCCCGCCAGCATTGTCATTACAGGACAGGGAAGTGCTGCTGGCAGTAATGGGTGGGAGCCAAGGCTGTTGCTAAGTTCTGCAGTACGTAGAACTGAAATGCTGAAGAGTTACCTGACCCGCCCCCCCTCACCCCGCAGGATATGCGACAGGGGTGTGACTCATCCACAAGTGCTCAAGCCCCTTATGGGAGGGTGAGCATGCAGACAGGTAGGTGCAGGAGCCAGGGCAAATACCCCTGGGCTCCAGCCCCATGACAACATCCAGAGGTGGTAGCCTGCAACTCCGAAAACCCAAGTGTGCGTGTGTGTGTGTGTGTTACAGTCCACTTTTAGCTTTGCTGTCTGCAGACAGCTTAAGCGTTAACCAGCTCAGTGCCCTCTTAGTACGCAGGTCCTTGTCTGGCATCCAGGAAGAATCAGGTCACACACAGACTTGAAGATGGTGAATGTGGGGGTTTTATTGACTGGTGGAGGTGGCTCTCAGTGAGCTGTATGGGGAGCTGGAAAGGGTATGGAGTGGGAAGATGATCTTTCCCTAGACTTTAGCCATCCAGTGGCCAATCTCCTTTCCTACCACCCCAGCCGAACTCCTATTGGCGTTCTGATGCTCCTCTTCTTCCTTCCCTGCTGTGCCATTCTGCTGTTCTGCTCTTCTTTTCTCCTTATGGAGCTGTGGATTGCGGTCTATATAGGTACAGGATAAGGGGGTGTGGTGGGCCGTATGGAAACTTTTGGGCATGAAAACAGGAGTGCCTGTTCCCATTTAGGGCCTCGAGTTTCCAGGCTTGAGGGTGAGGCCTTTGCCAGGGAACTGCCCTCTTCTACCCAGTATTTCCGTTTTCTGTCTGTGTCAGAACAACCCCCTCCAATAACAAAGAATTATCTACCCAATGTTTGATAGTCCCAAGTTTGAGAAACCCTGAATTTAAGCCACCCATGTTTTGTTGGTTTAGTTTTGAGTTTAGATTTTGCAAGTATAATTATCTTGTTTCACTGAGCAGTTGCAGGAGTATCATTCAAGAAGTATTTATTAGGTGCATACCATGTGCCAAAATAGTAGATGGCTTATAGAGGGCCTTGTATGCCATAAGTGTAGCAGACAGAATAATCCCTCTCATCCCCCAGGGATGTGCATGTCCTAATCCCTGGAACCTGTGAATGTGTTTCATGTATCAAAGAACAAAATTTCAACAAAGTGAGTTTCAAAGATTTAATTAGCTTTTATTAGTGATTCATGAATCAGGCAGCATCCAATCTGCAAAATAGATGGGAGCTCTGAGGAGGTGGCAGAAGAGTTGGTTTTTATAAGGTAACTTGAACAGGAACAAGGAAACAGCATAGTACAAAAAGTGGATTGGTTAACATTTGTTTACTTTCCTTGGATGGGCTAAGGGAAAGGGTGCTTCCTTATCCTATCTCAGGTTTATTGGGCCCCTTTTGATTGGTTACTGTGAATCTCAATTTTAGAAAACTGGCCTGTTTTTAAATTTTGTTTGATTACATGGCATCTAGCACAAGTGACTGCAATCTGGTTATTTAACACATGACAAAATGGAATTTGCTGATCAAAGATAGGTACATTTGGATTATCTAGATAGGAACATTTGTCATGACAAGTCATTAAAAGTGGAAGATGGGGTGGAGGGGGAGGTGGGGGAGGAAGGGGGGTGGCAGTGGTGCAGAACAGAGAGGAGGAGGAGCCAGAACAGAAAACAAAGAGAACATATTTCTGTTACTGTGGCCCAAGGACAGCTAACTGGCTATGTGGACATATCTATCTAACGGCATTATTATTCACTGAGTGGAAGCAGTTAATCTGTAGGTAGCTAAATGTTGATGGGCAGGGTGGGCAGGAGGAGAAAGTTGAGATCCCGTAGTAGGAAAATGCCAGGAAGCTTTCTTAGATGTGGCTAAGCACAATCTCAAATCTTTTCTTGCCAAAAGTTTTCTACTCTTTCTGAAGATTCCTCAATAAATCAAAATATAATCAAATAACATTTAAAAATATATATACATCTGATCTGTGATAAAAACCAATGAGATGGCCAGGTATGGTGGCTCACACCTGTAATCCCAGCACTTTGGGAGGTCGAGGCGGGTGGATCACTTGAGACCAGCCTGGCCACCATGGTGTGACCCCATCTATACTAAAAATACAAAAATCAGCTGGGCACGGTGGCATGCCCCTGTAGTCCCTGCTACTTGGGAGGCTGAGGCATGAGAATCGCTTGAACCTGGGAGGCAGAGGTTGCAGTGAGCTGAGGCTGTGCCCCTGCACTCCAGCCTGGGGCACAGGGTGAGACTCTGACTCAAAAAAAAAAAAAAAAAAAAAAAAAATCAGTGAGAGAACAGGATCTGCTTTAGAAAAATTAGCCTCATAGCCAAACTTGGTTTATTTAACAATTTTGCTCTGTCAGCAGATGGTCAAGATGGAAAATTTTTAGCCCCTTATTCATCTCCATCACATTTTGTCATTTCTATAAATTATTGATACACCATTTGATGAAATCAAATTTTTGAAAGAGATTGAGGACACTGACTGACCCATTATTAAACTTTCTTGCCTTTAAAGGTTCTCATTCAACATTTCCTCTTTATAGCACCTGCACTTTTCAGTCCTTCACCTGATACTTGACCTTGTTGAGCATTTTTATCAAGAGACTTGAGATTCTCATAAGATTTGCTCAGTGATCTTGCTTCTTGGAACCACAAAGGCAATTAGAACAATAAGGAGATACAAGGGAGCAGCTGTGTCCTATAGATGTTCATACTTGTTCAGATTTCTCAGTCCCTGTAATAAAAATGTAGACAGAAATAAATGATATTCAGAAAACTCGGCATATCCATGACATTTAGATTTCAAATAGAAATCTCATCTGATTTTTCCTCACAGTTTATCTTCTTTCCATTCTCTGAATCACCTGGTGTCCACATATAATAGGAACAATGTATTAATTCACATGTTTGGTTTTATAGTATATTCTCTCCCATAGTGGACAAACAGGAATATTAATTATATTTCTGAGAGGGAAGTAATAGAATTAAAGGCAGTGCTGGATAGTGGCACTTTTAGATATCTAGCAGTCTGTTATTTTCTAATTTAGTAACATTAATGTGCCATAGCACACCCCTAAATATTCTATTACACTTTGTTATGTAGCCATTTTACTTTAATGACAATAAGATGAATGGAAGGAAAACAATTCCCTATTATTTAATTTAGTTATATATTAAAGTTGATTTTTTTTTTAATGTAAAGAGTTCGCCCCATTGCTGGAAACTGAATGGAGACAGTCCTAAATTGCACTGCCAAAACTGAGTTATAAGTAGAAATGCTTTTATAAAACATGTAAGAAATTATCTCAAAAAGCAACATAGTTTTATAGGATTCTAAAAATACATGTAAGATTATAACATTTTTATTGGTGCAAAATTTATCTTATTTTCCTACACATTTTCTTTTTGTGATAGTAAGTCTTCCCCACAGCCTTCTGTATAAACTGATGCTAAGGATAGCCTATGGTAGTCTTGTGAGCCTATGTTTAGTTGAGCTTAAGATGATCTAGTGGGTGTATAGTGACAGATCTGAACAATATGATCAGGAAACTTAATATCTATATATAAAAATTCTACTCTATAAGTAGAATATGTAAGTGTTCATGAAACATTTACAAAAACTGAGCATATTCTAGGCTAACAAAGAAAATCCCTGGTTTCTTAGAACAGAAATAGTACAGGTTAAATTATCTGACCACATTAAAGTAAAACCAGGTATTACACAAAGGTTGAGAGAAATATTGGTTTCATAAAGTTTTTTAAACAGTATTTTAAAGGGGAAGCTTGAAATTTTGAAGTAGATGACATACAACATTGAGATTGTTACACATAAAAACATGGGAGCAAAACTTAATTATTCCTAACCTTAAGTAATTTTATTATACAAGAATAAATGAAAATAAATGAACTCTACTTATGTCAAGATGTGAAAAAAAGGAAAAATACAGACATTAGAAAAAATCAGCCTTAGAAAAATAGAAGACATTAATAATTTTAAAAATTAGAAGACAGAAAAGTACTAAAATTGATGAATAAGTATTGTTTGCTTGTTCTTCTTCTTAAAAAACCCACAGAATAGATAAACCTGGCCAATTTAATCAAGGGGTGGAAGAATAAACATAAAATATTAGGGATAAGAAGGCATATAATATGGCTTCAGGTATTGTACATGCAAGTCTAGGCTAATCAATGGAAAAATCTTTTCAGGACAGTTTTCCCATATTAATTTTACCAAAAAAAAATTAAAAATAAACTTAGGACCTGATAGAAATAGATTTATAACCACGGAACAAAAAATTAGCCGGGCACAGTGGTGGGCGCCTGTAGTCCCACCTAGTCGGGAGGCTGTTTTAAATTGCCTCCTTCCCCCCAAAAGCCCCTCTCCTCAAATGTTTCTTGCTTGCTCATTGCAAGTGGTTTTACCAGAATGTACTATCAGTCTTTTTTTTTATGTAGTTTAATTCATTTAATATTACTAATGACAGGCCGGGCTGGGTGGCTTACGCCTGTAATGCCAGCACTTTGGGAGGCTAAGGCAGGTGGATCACTTGAGGTCAGGAGTTCAAGACCAGCCTGGCCAACATGGTGAAACCCCATCTCTACAAAAAATTAGCCAGGCATGGTATTGCACGCCTGTAGTCCCAGCTCCTTGAATTTGAATGGCTGAGGCAGAAGACTTGCCTGAACCCAGGAGGCGGAGGCTGTAGTGAGCCAAGATCTCACCACTGCACTCCAGCCTGGGAGACACAGCGAGACCCTGTTTCTAAAATGAAAAATTACTAATGACATTCTTTTAGCAATAGCTTGTCTTTCCACACTTCTTTCTTCTTTTGTTCCTCCATCCCTCCCTTCCTTTCTTCCTTTGTATCCTATTTTAAAGAATAGATCATTCTATGCTAGTTCAACTATTCTAGAACCTAGAAAAAAGAATAAAAAGAATAGATGGCTTTTTAAAATAAAAATAGATGCAAAAAATGTAAATTACTATCAGCAAATTTGATCTAACATTAAATTTAACATTTATTCCTGGTAAAATTTCTTATTGAAATAGGAATAGAATATTATGTCTTTACCATGATAAAATATCTGTTTGAAACTGCACAAACAGGCCGGGCGTGGTGGCTCACGCTTGTAATCCCAGCACTTTGGGAGGCCGAGGCAGGCGGATCACGAGGTCAGGAGCTCAAGACCATCCTGGTTAACACGGTGAAACCCTATCTCTACTAAAAATACAAAAAATTAGCCGGGCACGGTGGTGGGCGCCTGTAGTCCCACCTAGTCGGGAGGCTGAGGCAGGAGAATGGCGTGAACCCAGGAGGGTGGAGTTTGCAGTGAGCTGAGCCGAGATTGCGCCACTGCACTCCAGCCTGGGTGACAGGGCGAGACTCCACCTCAAAAAAAAAAAGAAACTGCACAAACATACCACTGGATAGTGAATATTCTAAATGCCAGAAAATTCTGTCTTCTGTAACAGACCTCTGGAATCTCAACTTAATGTAATAGTTTATTGCTCAGGAAAAACACAAGAGAGGCAGGAGCAGGAGTGGGTCTTGAAATCCGCAGTCTTTAAGGGATGATCCTGTCAACAAAAAGAGTCATACTCTGTAAAATATTTTAAGAGATTTATTCTGAGCCAAATGTGAGTGACCATGGCCTGTGATATAGGCCTCAGGAGGTCCTGAGAACATGTGCCCAAGGTGGTTGGGATACATCTTGGTTTTATACATTTTAGGGAGACGTGAGACTTCAGTCACATGCATTTAAGAAATACAGGGCTGGGCGCGATGCCTCACGCCTGTAATCCCAGCACTTTGGGAGGCCGAGGTGGGCGGATCACGAGGTCAGGAGATTGAGACCATTCTGGCTAACACGGTGAAACCCCATCTCTCCTAAAAATACAAAAAGTTAGCCGGGTGTGGTGGCGGGTGCCTGTAGTCCCAGCTACTCGGGAGGCTGAGGCAGGAGAATGGCATGAACCCGGGAGGCGGAGCTTGCGGTGAGCCAAGATTGTGCCACTGCACTCCAGCCTGGGCAACAGAGCGAGACTCTGTCTAAAAAAAAAAAAAAAAAAAAAAATACATTGGTCCAGAAAGGTGGGACAAAATGTAGAGGCAGGAGGCTTTCAGATTATTGGTAGATTTAAATTTTTCTGGTTGACAGTTGGTTGAGTTTTTCTAAAGACCTGGAGTCAATAGAAAAGAAATGTCTGGGTTGTGGAGACCAAAGTTTTATCATGCAGATGAAGCCTCCAGGTGGCAGGCTTCAAAGAGAATAAATTATAAATGTCTCTTATCAGACTTAAGGTCTGTGTTGATGCTAATACTGGAGAGGTATAATGAGGCACATCTGCTTGCCATCATGGCCTGAAGCAGTCTTTCAGGTTAAATTTTAAGAGTGTCCTGGCCAAAGAGGAAGTCCATTCAAACGGATGGTGGGTGGCGGAGGGCCTTACAATTTTATTTCTGGTTTACAATCGAGACTTATTGAAATGCATGGCTTCAACACATGGCTCTGTCTAGCAGGAAAACTGTGAAAAAGAATGAGTACGAGTAGTTTAAGAGTTAGGTTGAATAATGGCACTTATCATTTCTGCTCACATTCCATTGGCTGGAAATGTGGTCTGTGTGGCCTAGGAAAAAGAGTAAAAGAGTTTGATGATGATGATACAATGGTCTGTTACGCAGAGTTTCTAGCCAATGCGATGAGAAGAGAGTCTATGTAAGTTTTAAGTATTGGCAAAGAAGAGACGAAATTCAGAAGTCATTGTAATGATAATGTTGTAGTAAAAACCAGGTTCTTGTCACACGACCAGGAAGGATTAGGCTGGCAGACACTTTGAAGGGCGAGGGGGAACAGAATTATTGGGCAAAAATGGAAAAAAACTCAGCAAAGTGACAGGGGTACCTGTTAACAGGTCCCCATCTCGCAGATTGAATCTCAGGTTACCACACAGGAACAGGAGAGGCCAGGCTCCTCCCCCTGCAAATGGGGCATACATTTCCCAAGGCTCCACCCTGTCCTCCCACGGAGCAGGCGGGTTAGAGATTCTCCCAGACCTGCAGTCCGTTTTTCGGCCTTCAGGCTGTTTTAGGCTTGAAGGCTGGGTTTAAGGGGGAAGGGGAGTGGGGCCTTGGCTGCCTCCTGTCTCTGTCAGTAATTTAAGCCAGGAAAGTCCCTAAGAAGATCAACAGATCAACTATGAAGAGAATTTAATAAGTGATAATTATATATAAATGTATGTTGCTGTTATATGCTAGCAATAACTAGTTAGGAAAAGCAGGCTAAATGAACGTCTTTTACAAATTTGAATCTCATTTACCCTGTGATTTGAGGAATCCTTTGGAATTCAGGAAACAAAAACCAAAATCAAGAAGCGCACTAAACTTTTGGACAGTGGAGGAGTCAAACAATGATTAAAAAAAAAAGTCATCAACATTTCCTAGTATGCACACAGTAAAGTAAAACTCCCTCAAAATTGCCTCAGTGAGTCTAAAGGAGAAAGGAAACCTGAAAGGTTTCTGGCAAGTAATGGTAAATGGGTTTAAGTTTAAAGAGCTTGTAATTAGTAGCTGAAGGGTTTTTTTTTTCTTTTAAGTGTTACATGTTTTCTTTAGCCTGTTGTCTATATTCTTTTATTTTAATGCATATGGAAATACCTGTAGATGTTTTATTGTGTTTTCTTGAGAGGTTAGGCCTCAAAACGCTTGGCCCACGTTTTTCTGTAGCAGTGCTTCTTATTTTTGGATGTATATCACGATCACTTGGGGAGCTTTTAAATATTCTGGTACCTGAAACTACTTAAAATCAGAATCACTAGGAGTAGGACTTAGACATCAGCATTTTTTAAAGTTCCCCAAATGATTCCCTTATGCTGCCAAGTGAAGAACTATTGTATAAAGATTTGTTGTGACTTTGCTGAGGCTTCCCTTTCCTCCTTTATTCTTATTGTTAGTTTTAAATGAAATTATATATGTGAATGGCCTACCCTGTACCTAGCAGAAGCCTTGCTTGTGATTGGAGTTTAGTAAATGTGGATATTGTATTTTGATTCCCATTTAATTGCTCTGAAGATGATTGCATATTGAAACGTGAAGAAATAAGCAGATGTTCTGTTGCTCAGATCTAGGTTTGAAATAATTACTTTGTCTAATTGCTTGAGTTGTGTTTCTGTCAAGTTTACTCTCAGAGATTTAAATAAAGCACACTGCAGTAAAGGCATACTAGAGTAAGAATGCCCAAGTAATAATGGTCAAGGACTAATAGAAAGAAAAATAATTATGTCAGGAAACCTAGCTTACAAGGTAATTGCTAAATTGGAATTTTAATTTGTTCACTGAGACATGTATGTATATACGGTTATTTTTATCTCATGAAGTCTAGATCCCAGTGTTTCTAGACATAGCAATGTAAAATAGTTCCTTTACTTACAAGCTGGTCATTTAGAAATTGTATTCCAAGCTTCTCAAAGGACAGATTGGGTTTTACAGTGGGTATAGTTTGATGATTGAGCTTGTATTGCTGCGCCCTGTTGATTAAGTGGGTTCTGATTGGTATCTGCTGGACTCATACTCTTCATTAAGCCACAGAGTTAGGAGAGTTTATATCCAACAGATCTTAGAAACTTAGTTATTTTAGATATATTTCAGAAATTGACAGTTATCTGCAGCAAAACAATTAGTCAGAAAAGAAGGGAATTTTTAAACCAAAGATAATTTAATTAAGGAATTTTTGAAGACCACATGGTTAAATACATTGTTGTAGATCAATTTTCCTTTAAGATTTTTTGGCCTGTTACATACCTAGTGTATTTATATGTCTCCTACCAAGTTTCATGGAAAGGAAGCCTGAATATATTATTATTCTTAAAAAATGTTCTACATTTCTAAGTGACAAAAATTAAATTCAAATTTAGCAATTATTTAGTATTTTTCTAGGATGGAAAACACTTTAGCAAAATTCAATAGGAAATTGTTACCAGAAAGCAGTCCTGATCCAGATCCCAAGAGAGGGCTCTTGGATCTCACACAAGAAAGAATTCAGGTTGAGTCCATAGAGTGAAGTGGAAGCAAGCTTATTAAGAAATACAGGAATAAAAGAATGGCTACTCCATAGGCAGAGCAGCCCCGAGGGCTGCTGGCTGGCTATTTCTATGGGTATTTCTTTCTTTCTTTCTTCTTTTTCTTTTTTTTTTTTTTTTTTAAGACAGAGTTTTGCTCTTGTTGCCCAGGCTAGAGTGCAGTGGCACAATCTCGGCTCACTGCAGTCTCCGCCTCCCGAGTAGCTGAGTTTACAGGCACATGCCACCATGGCCAGCTAATTTTTTGTATTTTTCTAGTAGAGATAGGGTTTCATTGTATCATGTTGGCCAGGCCAGTCTCAAACTCCTGACCTCAGGTTATCCACCCGCCTCAGCCTTCCAAAGTGCAGGGATTACAGGCGTGAGCCACAATGCCCGGCCTTTTATGGGTATTACTTGATTATATGCTAAACAAAGGATGGATTGTTCATGAGATTTTTTGGGAAGGGGTGGTCAATTCTTAGAACTGAGGGTTCCTCCCCCCACCGTTTTTTTTGTTTTGTTTTTTTTGAGACAGAGTTTTGCTCTTGTTACCCAGGCTGGAGTGCAATGGCATGATCTCAGCTCACCACAACCTCCACCTCCCGGGTTCAGGCGATTCTCCTGCCTCAGTCTCCCAAGTAGCTGAGATTACAGGCATGCACCACCATGCCCAGCTAATTTTGTATTTTTAGTAGAGACGGGGTTTCTCCATGTTGGTCAGGCTGGTCTCAAACTCCTGACCTCAGGTGATCTGCCCACCTCAACCTCCCAAAGTGCTGGGATTACAGGCATGAGCCATGGCATCCAGCCAGTTCCTCCCCTTTTTAGACTATATAGGGTAACTTCTGGATGTTACCCTATACGTTACCCTACAAATACCACCATGGCATTTGTAAACCGTCATGGTGCTGGTGGGATTGTCTTTTAGCATGCTAATGCATTATAATTAACATGTAATGAGTGAAGATGACCACAGGTCACTTTTGTGGCCATCTTGGTTTTGGTGGGTTTTAGCCAGCTTCTTTACCGCAACCTATCTTATCAGCTAGGTCTTTATGACCTGTATCTTGTGCTGAACTCCTATCTCATCTTATGACTTAGAATGTCTAACGTCCTGGGAATGCAGCCCAGTAGGTCTCCACCTTATTTTATCCAGCCCCTATTCAAGATGGAGTTGCAGGCCGGGCACGGTGGCTCAGGCCTGTAATCCCAGCACTTTGGGAGGCTGAGGTGGGCGGATCATGAGGTCAGGAGATCGAGATCATCCTGGCTAACAGGGTGAAACCCCGTCTCTACTAAAAATAAAAACAATTTAACTGGGCATAGTGGCAGGCACCTGTAGTCCCAGCTACTCGGGAGGCTGAGGCAGGAGAATGGCGTGAACCCAGGAGGCGGAGCTTGCAGTGAGCCGAAATCGCGCCAGTGCACTCCAGCCTGAGCGACAGAGCGAGAGACTCAAAAAAAAAAAAAAAAAAAAGATGGAGTTGCACCGGTTCAAAGGCCTCTGACAAAACAACTTTACAGTAAGTAGTTTCTGAAAAATTATAATTGGGCATATAGGCTTAAAAAGTGAATAATGACATATGCCACATAACAAGGAAAATGAAAGATTTTGATTCACTAAATTCTTGCTGGGTGAAATTGCTTATTAATGTAGTGAAATATAATGGGAAACTTTGTTTCAAGGAATAGAAATCTCAAAAAGAAATTTGTAAGTAGCCCCACAGAAACTAAAATCTTGAACCACTTTAGAAGACTACTTCATAGGTTGAAGCATATGTCAAAAGGCTGTCATTACCAACAGAGGGAACTGCTGATACACACTTCAACTAGAACCATTCTGTCTTAGAGTAATAATTTTAAAATTAAGCAATACTGAGCCACGTGCTCATTAAAATCCGATGTGTAGACTTTAGAAGTGAATCTGGCTATTAACACTTCATTTATCTGGTGTTACCCCAGAGTCAGGAATTCTGGGTAATTATCTCTTGCTAATGACTGAAGCTTCTGAAGGTTCCTAATTTTATCTTAACTATTTCAATGGAAATACTTCTTAAATGATCACATACTTTCTTAGAAGCCAAGAGCATATGGAAGTAATGGAAAGAGAACAAAACCAGGAATTTTTCCGATCTATATTCTAGTTGTGATGAAGTCATTAACTTGAGAAAAACTAACCTTGAATGTCATTCAGAGCTTGGAGACATCAGCTTTTATCTCAAAATTGAACACAGGCCTAGCTGCTTAGAAATTCTATTATTAGACACTTATATAAGCTAATACATAAGATGAGATGTCAGTTGTAGAGTGGTTTGTCCTTATACCAAATGGCCACAGAGGGGTATACTTTTCTAATTGCTGAGTCCATTTTTTAGAGTAATCTTCTTAATTTGGAATACTTTTAGGTTTACAGGAAAGTAACAAAAATAGTACAAAGAGTTCCCATGTGCCCCTCACCCAGTTTTTCCTAATGTTAACATTGTATGTTACATTTTTCTTTCCTCTTCTTTTTCTTTTTTTTTTCGAGACGGAGTCTCGCTCTGTCACCCAGGCTGGAGTGCAATGGCACGATCTCAGCTCACTGCAACCTCCGCATCCCAGATTCAGGCGATTCTCCTGCCTCAGCCTCCCAAGTAGCTGGGACTACAGGCGTGCACCACCACGCCAGGCTAATTTTTGTATTTTCAGTAGAGACGGGGTTTCACCATATTGGCCAGGCTGGTCTCGAACTCCTGACCTTGTGATCTGCCTGCCTCAGCCTCCTAAAGTGCTGGGATTACAGGCATGAGCCACCGAGCCTGGCCCTACATTTTCCAAATATACATGGTACATTTATCAAAATTAAGAAACCAACATCGGTGCATTATTATTAAGTAAACTCCAGACTTTTATTTAGATTTTACCAGTTTTTCCGGTAACACTCTTGGTTGCAGGATTCAATCGGGTATATCACACATTGCACTTAGCCTGGGTCCAGGTGTGTTTTATGTATATGTATGTATGTGCATACCA
The DNA here is from genome assembly GCF_000001405.40 of Homo sapiens. Classification (NCBI taxonomy): domain Eukaryota; kingdom Metazoa; phylum Chordata; class Mammalia; order Primates; family Hominidae; genus Homo; species Homo sapiens. Next base: position 62,626,536 of record NC_000005.10, read on the forward strand.
CAGGGATAGAAGAAGCCAAAATATTTTCTTTTGTCATTGTTATCTTTAAGGAGTGGACTTCTGGGTTATTTTTCATGAAATTACACTCCTTTTGTTTTCCAAATATCCCAGTGGGAGACGAGGAGTCCCTTTTTTTTTTTTTTCAGCCAGAAGCATATACAGGAATTTAAATAGTATTGCAATCCAGGGTAGGGCAAACACTGTCTCCTTTCTCGATCCTGAGGGCATCACTGGGTTGCCACAGTGGCCTACCCTACCCTATCTTCCTAAGGAGAATGCTGGACAATTGTATTTAAATGTTCTTCAGCATGTTCTGTTTCTTTTAGAATGCTTTCTACTAGGCTTTGATGCTTTAAATGAATGAGTCCCCCAGCTCTTGAGAAATGCCTGATCAGAAAACATGTTCAGGGGGCGCTAGGGAACTGAAGTTAAGACTAATTGAATGAAATTTTCTTTGACAGATTTTTCCACCATGAGATTAGTACAGAATCTGTGTGAGAAGAGAGGCAGAAGCAATTTTGTTACTGTAGAAGAGATTACAAAGAACTTTTGTAAATTGCAGGTAGGAGAGACTTGTTTTGCTTTTTTGACAGTCTTGCTCCTCTCTGTATCCCACAGCTGGCCCTGAAGGACCCTGTTCATACAGTGTCACTGCAGCAGTTCATCTACGAGAAGCTCAAGGCACAGCAGGAGATGCTAGGAGAACAAGGTTTCCAGTCCCTCATGGAAACAGTGGATACGGAGATTGTCACCCAGCTACAGGAGTTTTTGCAAGGATTCTAAGAGCACATGACATGTGGCTGCCTCCCCTTTCAGAAACAAGCTGAGTAACCCAGCCTGCCGTTTGTATGTGAGAGCCTGCTGAGATGAAGAAATCACTTCATGAAAATAAGCAAAGACCACACATTTTTTACTACAAAATGTAAAGGATAAATGTAAATCCTGCATAACTAAAATCACAAACCTATTCCTCAAAAGAATTTAATTTTATATTTATGAGGGGGCCCTTCACTAAAAAGTACATGTAAAAGTACATTTGATGACAATAGCTGCTTAGTTTCCTGTTAAGAGAAGAAACTTTATCTTTTAATTATGTGCTCTTAATATTTGAAGATGAGAGTTAATACCTGAGATGTTTTTCTGCAACCAAAATTCATTAAATTTGGCTGCCTTATCCTTTTTTTAAGCTAATGAAACTACAGGTTTGAAAAATGACAAAGCTGTTCAGATGATGCTATTAAAGAAATGTGTGTACTAAGCAAAAATATATAAATAGTGACAAATACACATTACCAAGCTTATCTTGCAAGGGAGTTATTTTCATCTAACATAGAAAGTGTGTTTTATCAGACAAATGCTTTTATTTTCATTCTAATAATTTGATACAGAAATTAGTAAAGGCATTTTTTTCTTTTTTTTTCCAGTAAATACATTGGGTCTATAAATGTGCATTTGTAAGGGCCACAAAAGTGAACGTGTGGTACTGTAGTACCACGTGGGAGACCTCTGGTTATGGTTTAGTCCTAGTTCCTTTGTTACTCCTGTGAGCACCGAGAAGAACTGGGCGACTCCCAGTCCCACCTGTGCTGTGACAGTCCCACGTGGCTATGACAGACTGTTTAGTACTTACCCTTCTCAGGTTCCTCAGTGCAGGGGTGCATCAGGGCCTCAATAATAGGGGTATACCTGGGAGGATCCAGCAGTAATCCCCAGGGTACTAGGATTACTAGTACTCTGATGGAACTAGTCTTCCTTCCTTATTCCTCGAACATGCAGTACATAAAAAGGGGAAAAGGAGAAAAAAAAAGCCTTACTTTGTTTTACTTGCCATTTATTGTAAGGAAACTTTAAAGCATTTTTTAGGAAATACTCAAAAGCAAGGTTGGAAAATGTTTTATCTTTCTATAGAAAGTTGGGTACAGTATGTAACTGCGGGAAACCCACTGCCCCTTTGTAAGCTGTGGAACCCAAACTGTATGGGGATATTTGATGTTTTCAGAAAGAGGAAGAAAATATGGTCCAAATTAAATTTTCCAAAGATACCTCACCTTGGACTGATTTGTCTGACTACTTTTCTTGCTCCCCCCAAAAAATGAGTTCTTAAAAATTGCCCAGTGACTTATAGAGAATTTTCTTTTATACTCTAGCTTTGATTCTGTGCTAGTAGGTATCAGTATTGCAGGTGGCAAATCCTAGTTACCCTTTTAATTTATCTTCATTTAAAGACAAAAAGCTCCTTTCAAGTGATATTTCTTTATCAGTATTACTCAGTCCTGAAGACTGATCCAAGAAGAATTTCTTTTTGTTGACTTAATTATTTTCATTTGAAACACTAACTCATTAGTGTTATCAGAAATTCTCAAACATGCTCATTTTTCAGTTATAGTAAAGTACTCATCCTTCTAATTCCTGACAGATTTCATTATAGTGCCATACCAAATATTACTGAAATAGCTACCTTGCAAAAGAAGTAAAAAGCTTATCTCAGGGAAAGAGTTTGCTTCATTTTTAAAACTCACAAGTTTAAATAGGCTTGGTAAATAGCTCAGAAAAATAATTCATGTATCTTGAATTTCTAAGTGCTCAATTAAGACATAAAGTGTAATTATTGGTTTACAGAATTCTATTCATTAACAGAACTATATAGCAAATATATTAAGTTTAGGACAAACAACTCAGCCAGGCCTCTGGCCTCTGGGTGAACTGTGGCTCCTGAAACAAGGTAATGATCATTTATACTCCAAAAACATATTCCTTTTCTATTTATTTTCTATTCCAGAGACTTCTCCCAACCCTCTCACAAAGGCCCATGTGACTAACAATAACATTTGAAAGCTTCCTTATAAGTTGGTCCCTCCTCTCTCTCCTACTAGTCATTTTAGAGAATCCACATTATTGCATACAATTTTTAAAAAGATACAATTTTTCTTGAAAAATCCTCGCTTTAATCTTTATTTTACCCATTTCTTTATTCAGTTAGTGTTTATTGAGTTCTGTTTCATGCCATAATGCTGTACCACATTCTGAGATTAGAACAGAGTACCCACCTTCATGAAATTTCACAGTTGATTAGGAACACAGACTTGCCGACATGCTGTAAGAAAATAGGGGTTCCAATGGAAGTGCACATTCTAAAGCAGTTGGCCTGCAGGGGAAGGAGATTGTGTATGAAATAAAATGATGCTGTCACTGTATAATTTGATAGTTATTTAAAAACTGCTCCCTAATGGCATGGTTTGGTGAGGCTACTTAAGCGTCAGTGGCACTATACTGGAACTGGGTAACTCCCTGACTCCAGACTCGCATCAATTTGGAGTCACTCTAACATAAAAAATCATCAGGTTTTGAAAATATTGGATCTTTGTAGCCTCACGACTAATCTCTAATTCCATGAATTAAAACATAAGGCTCACCTACTAAGGGTTGTTGTCTTTTCTTCTTCTCCAAGTCATAAGCCTATTGTATAGAAATTTAAAAGTTGAAGAGCTAGTGAAGGTAAGATGCATGTCATGAAAACCAAAATACTTTCTTCTCCTAACTTTAGAAAAGAAAAAAATCTGCAGAGGCATGAAAAAAATAGTATAATGAACCCCAATATACCCATCATCTAGATTTACCAAACTGTTGACATTTTGCCATATTTACTCTCTTTATATATGTGTATCTGTATATAAATATACTTAACATATACACACATGTACTTTCGCTAACCATTTGAAAGTACAAACACTACAAAAGTTTATTATTATAAACCCTTTATCTCCAAATACTTTAGCAGACATCTGAGGATGCCATTCCTCTACATATCCACTAATGCCATTATACATCTAAGAAAATTCACAATAATGCAATAACATCTAATAAACAGTTCATATTCCAATTTTCCCTACTGCCACACAGATGTCCTTTGTATGACATATAATAAAGACATACAAAAATTTGGTTTTTGATCCAGAATCCTATATTATTTATTTATTTTAGACAGGGTATCACCCTGTCACCCAGGCTGGAATGCAGTGGCTTGATCTCAGCTCACTGCAGCCTCCACCTCCCTGGCTCAGGTGTTCCTCCCACCTCAGTCTCCCAGGCAGCTGGGACTACAGGCACTTGCCACCACGCGTGGCTAATTTTTGTATTTTTTTTGTGGAGACAGAGTTTCACCATATTGCCCAGGCTGGTCTCAAACTCCTGGGCTCAAGTGGCCCACCTTGGCCTCCCGAAGTGTTGGGATTACAGGCCTCAGCCACCATGCCCAGCTCCATTTAGTATTTATACATTGCATTTGGCTGCTTAATTTTTCAATCTAGAATTGTCTTCTTTTAGTGTCTTTGGCTTTTTAGAAGAATCCAAGGTAATTGCCCTGCAGAATATTCCTTATTGTGGAATTTTCTAATTGTTTCCTCATAATTTTATTCAGGTAAGCATTTTTGGCAACAACACTAATCTGGTAATGTACAATTTCTGTGACATCACATCAGGAGGCACATAAACTAAGCACCAGGCCTCTCTATTATAAGGATTATTATTATTATTACTATTTTTTTTTTTTTTTTGAGATGGAGTCTCTCACTGTCACCCAGGCTGGAGTGCAATGGCGCAATCTCTGCTCACTGCAGCCTCCACCTCCCGGGTTCAAGTGATGCTCCTGCCTCAGCCTCCCAAGTAGCTGGTACTACAGGCGCCTGCCACCACGCCCAGCTAATTCTTTGCATTTTTAGTAGAGATGGGTTTCACCATGTTGGCCAGGCTGGTCTTGAACTCCTGACCTCGTGATCCACCTTCCTCAGCCTCCTAAAGTGCTGGGATTACAGGCGTGAGCCACTGCACCTGGCTGGATAAATTTTTAAAGAGTTCTTATGGCTCTGGAAATTTCCAGTGGTTATTTTGTTGATTGTTTGTTTGTTTTAACCTGAATCAGAGCTCTTACCACCACCAGCTTGCCTGTTAATTTACAGAAGTTCTGCAACTTTCTTTTAACCTAGAAAAGTAGCATGGCTGAACTGGGGAAGAAGTATATTAAACTTGGTTCAAGTTTCATCAGTCTTAAGTCTCCGAAACTCCTTTATGTTACTGCAAACCCTTTAGTCAAGAGTCATCTTGGCCGGACGCGGTGGCTCACACCTGTAATCCCTGCTACTCAGGAGGCTGAGGCGGGAGAATTGCTTGAACCCGGGAGGCAGAGGTTGCAGTGAGCCAAGATCACGCCATTGCACTCCAGCCTAGGCGATGAGAGTGAAATGCCATGTCAAAAAAGAAAAAAAAGTCATCTCTCCAAGAGTTCTATTTCTCTCTCTCATTTTTAAGTTATGTAGTTCTTTGTGACTTCCAATATAACTTGAACTCACACACCACTAAAATGGAAGGCAAACACTGCCTTTTCCATTACCAAAATATCCTTTTTGGATTTGGAAACTTGGCAAAGATGCAGATATGCAGCAATACTTTATCTTTTTAGTGAGACTCAAATTTGGGCTGAGCTTAGAAACATGCTAGACTTGAGAGCATTACCTTTGAGTGTGGTTAAGGATAAGAAGCAGTACTTATCAGCTGGCAAAATGAGGAGAAAAAAATAATGATTTCCTTAAATGTGAAGCTTTGATCTTGATATCTTGGTAGGACTGTGACATCTGCTGGAAAAGCAGTTTAAAGTCACCTTTTTACCACCTAATAAACTACATTCTATCCCAAACATACCTTAATTATGTGGAATTTGGTGTCCCATGAAGTAGTAAAAACCATTCATCTGGTTGTAGAGCTGGAAGTTTTTACACAGCTTCATGCTGTTTGAAGTCGAGCTTTAGAGCACTTGTGGGTGAATACCTCAATGTCCTGGAAAGGGTTCTAGCTGTTGGTCTGAGAGTCTGTTTTTACTTCTGGGCAATTGGACTCCAGCCTGAGGGACTCCTTATGGTCTGAAGCACTGGGATAAAATTCAAAACTGAGAGTTGTTGACTACATTTTCTCTTGAATTCTTTCTTACCATATCAAGTGGAAGGTCCCTGATTGGCCAACGATCTTTAACAAGCAAGACGGTTTTGTTCTTTGTTCCAGCAAATGCTCGCATTTAACTCATCTGGGCCTGTCTGTTGGAATGTATTAGTTAAGTGTGCTTTGAGGAACTGTCTAATCCAGGAAGGAATATATTGGTATTTGGCGATCCAGCCCTTTTCCCTTCAATGTAAAACATTGATTTTCATGCCACTTTAATGTGCCAGTAGGTCACAAATAGAATGCAAGTAACTGCTAGAACAGGGAAGAGTCCAGGGAGGCTTAAAGCATTTCTATCTGTCTGCAACTAAGCAGGTGGCTTTAAAGTGGGAAATAGGTCTTTTGGCTAGAAATCTGCTTGTTGGGGTTTTTTGTTTTTTTGGTTTTTTTTGAGGTGAAGTCTTGTTCTGTCGCCCAGGCTGGAGTGCAGTGGTGTGATCTCGGCTCACTGCAAGCTACACCTCCCAGGTTCACACCATGTTCCTGCCTCAGCCTCCCGAGTAGCTAGGACTACAGGCACCCACCACCACACCCGGCTAATTTTTTTTAAAATTTTTTTTTAGTAGAGACGGGGTTTCGCTGTGTTAGCCAGGATGATCTCGATCTCCTGACCTCGTGATCTGCCTGCCTCGGCCTCCCAAAGTGCTGGGATTACAGGTGTGAGCCACCACGCCTGGCCTGGGGATTTTTATTGTAAGGGTTAGAGCAGAAAAGTCTGGAGATGAGACTGAGCAGACCTGCAAGTGAGCTTTCAGTTTTTCTCAGTTGCTTTAACCTGAAGTGAGATCAGCATCTCATTTCAAAAGAGGCAGGTCATTTCCACAGTGTTCTGTAGGGCAACTCCAAAGTGACTTTCTTTTCTTTTTGTAATGAACACTGCAATTTGAGCAAGAGTCTAGAAGAGCAAAACTTTTTGATTGACAGCAAAGTTGTAGCTCAGAAAAGTGCTCACTGAGCTCAGAAATGTATTGACAGCCAGGGGAGGAAAGTCTATTGACAGATCTGGAGGTAATCACAAGTTAATGAAGAGCTCTATTTAGGCAAGGGAGGCAGTTTGATTATTTCTTTTTTGAATTGAAAGGCATATGGCCTGGACTGTCTCTGGCAGTGAAATCAATACCATGAAATGGCCTTTTCCTTTCAGCCTTGTCTGTTCTTAAAGCACAATGCATTGAGGAATGCTCAACCAGGTGAGGAAATTCATTGTTTCAGTATATGTACAAGATAAACCTACTAAAGGCCACTCACAATTTGGAAGTATGGAAACCTAAATTTACTGAAATAATAAATTAGGGACTTGGCTATTTTAGAAAGCTCTTCTTTCAAAAGGTTCTTCGTTATAGTTACTATTTGGACTAAAGGAACAAGTTAGACTTTTAATTAACCTTTTTTTTTCTAGTGATAAAATTGCAGAGCAGGAATGGAATCAAGGAGATGATCTATTCTTAACCTAATCATTTCACAGATGAGGAAATGGACCAGAAAGATAAGGCCAACAGCCCTGGGTCCTTGGTACCTCCTTCAATACACTTTTTATTTTATTTTATTTATTTTATTTTATTTTATTTTCAAGATGGAGTTTTGCTCTGTCCCTAGGCTGGAGTGCAATGGCGCAATCTCAGCTCACTGCAACCTCTGCCTCCCGGGTTCAAGCGATTCTCCTGCCTCAGCCCCGAAGTAGCTGGGATTACAGGCATGTGCCATCAAGCCTGGCTAATTTTGTATTTTTAATAGAGATGGGGTTTTGCTGTGTTGGCCAGGCTGGTCTCGAACTCCTGACCTCGGGTGATCTGCCAGCCTTAGCCTTCCAAAGTGCTGGGATTACAGGTGTGAGCCACTGTGCCTGGCCGCTTTATTTATTATTAATATTATTATTATTACTGAGACAAAGTCTCACTCTGTCACCCAGGCTGGAGTTCAGTGGTGTGATCTCAGCTCACTGCAGCCTCTGCCACCCAGGTTCAAGGGATTCTCCTGCCTCAGCCTCCTGAGTAGATGGGACTACAGATGTGCACCACCAGGTCTGGCTAATTTTTCTTATTTTTAGTAGAGATGGGGTTTCACCATGTTGACCAGGCTGGCTAGTTCATTTGGCTAGTTTGGGAGTTCTGCCCGCCTCGGCCTCTCAAAGTGCTGGGATTTCAGGCATGAGCCACCGCGCCCAGCCTACTTCAATATACTTTATTTATTTTTATTTTTTTAGTTTTGAGACGGAGTCTCGCTCTGTCACCCAGGCTGGAGTGCAGTGGCACAATCTCGGCTCACTGCAAGCTCCGCCTCCTGGGTTCACGCCATTCTCCTGCCTCAGCCTCCCGAGTAGCTGGGACTACGGGCGCCCACCACCGTGCCCGGCTAATTTTTTGTATTTTTAGTAGAGACAGGGTTTCACTGTGTTAGCCAGGATGGTCTCGGTCTCCTGACCTCGTGATCTGCCCACCTCGGCCTCCCAAAGTGCTGGGATTACAGGCGTGAGCCACCGCACCCGGCAATATACTTTAAATTATACTTCCTTTAAAAAAATGTTAATGGTTCCCTAAATTTACAATATACATTTTAATCTACGTCTACCTTCAAATAACACTTCATGTGTAGTGCAGATACTTTATAACAGGGTAGTCCCAATTCCTCTCTCCCAACCCCTATGAAGTTGCTGTCTCTCATTTCACTTATTCATGGGTTATAATCATCTAATACATTATTACTGCTATTAAACAGTTACCCTTCAGTTCAAGTAAGAATTTTAAAAATTAAAGATTTGGTTTTGCCTTTATTTCTTCTCTGACAGTTGTCCTTTCTTTATAGAGATCCAAGTTTGACGTATATCATTTTCCTTCTACTATTTCTTGCATGGCAGGCCTGATGGCAACGAATTCCCTGTCTGTGTCTGAGAAAGTCTTTTTCCTTAACTTTTGAAGGATATTTTTACTGATACAAGATTCCATATTTTTCTTCTTTCGGCCCTTTATTTTCACTTCACACATTTCTTGCTTGCATGGTTTCTGATGAGAAGTCCACTATAATTCTTATCCATGTTCTTCTATAGGCTAAACAAAAATTAAAAATCTGCCTCTGCCTTCTTTGTCTCTCTTAATTTTTGGTTTCCTACAGCAGGGGTCCCCAATGCCCAGGCTGCAGACCTGTACTGGTCAGTGGCCCATTAGGAATCAGGCCACATGTCAGGAGGTAAGCAGCGATCATTACTGCCTGAGTTCCGCCTCCTGTCAGATCAGCAGCAGCATTAGATTTTCACAGGAGCTTGAACCCTATTGTGAACTGTGCATGCAAGGGATCTAGGTTGCATACTCCTTATGCGAATCTAACTGATTATCTGAGGTGGAACAGTTTCATCCCAAAACCATCTCCCCGCCACCATGGAAATATTGTCTTCCACGAAACCAGTCCCTGATGCCAAAAAGGTTGGGGACTGCAGTTCTACAGTGTAAATCTGATATGCCTAGGTGTAGTTTGTTTGTTTGTTTGTTTTAGTTTGTTTCTGTTACACTGTTTTTTGGTTTCTAGCATTAGATTACCAGAATTTCCATCTCTGTGCTTACATTATCCATCTGTTTCTTGCATGTTGCCTACTTTTCCCATTTGAGCCCTTAACAATGATTTTTGAATTCCCTGTCTGGTAAATCCAGCAGCCATATCATATTGGAGTCTGGTTTTGATGCTTTGATGCTTGCTTGATCTGTGTTTTTTTTTTTTTTTTTTTTGAGACGGAGTCTCACCCTGTTGCCCAGGCTGGAGTGCAGTCTCACCCTGTTGCCCAGGCTGGAGTGCAGTGGCCTGATCTCGGCTCACTGAAACCTCTGTCTCCCGGGTTCAAGAGATTCTCCTGCCTCAGCCTCCCCAGCAGCTGGGATTACAGGCGCCTGCCACCACGCCTGGCTAATTTTTGTATTTTTAATAGAGATGGGGTTTCACCATGTTGGCCAGGCTGGTCTCGAACTCCTGACCTCGTGATCCTCCCACCTCAGCCTCCCAAAGTGCTGGGATTACAGGCACGAGCCACCGTGCCCAGCCCTTGATCTGTCTTCTTACTTGCTTTTTAGCATACCTTGTAATTTTTATTGAAAGTTGGACATGTATTGGGTAATAGGGACTGAGATAAATAGGCATTTAGTGTGAGGATTTATGTTCATTTGTCTAGGAGCTGGGCTTTGTTTAGCCCTGTTGGTGTGGTGGTAAGGCACAAGGGAGAGGAGTGTTCTCAATCTTAACGATTAAATCTCAAGTCTCTTAGTGGGCTTGAGTCTCTGGCCTGGGACCTTCACTTGTGCTTCGTTTTGGAAAGCTTTCCTATCCCCCTCAGGTGAGACAGGAAGAGGAGAAATGGCTGGAGCGAGAGGAGTGCCTTTCCCCATGGCTCTAGAACAAGCCTAAAGCCTGGTTAAGTCTTTCCCCCGAAGAGTTTATTTTCTTTTATCATTTTTATTATGAAGAAAGCTCTGGACGTATTTCATAAGAATCACTCTTCCCCTCCTGCAAGAACTATGATGGCATCTTTCTCTGATCTTCACAATGAGAAACTGGTGGGATTCCTAGAGGTAATGTTCACAAAACCAAGAGGCTTTCCCCAAGACTGTTCCCAGAAGTGAGCCTACCAGTTTAGAGATCCAACACTTCTGCTCCAGGTAAGTTGATCTCAGCTTTGTCTCTGGATTTGCTGGAGACAGTTTGCAAACTCTGGAGACAGTTTGCCCTGTAATGAGTCCAAGTCATTGGTTTTCAGTTTGTCCAGCTTTTTCTTATAAAAGCAAAGAGTGACAACTTCCAAGCTTTTTATATGATGAAACTCATACAGGAAGTCCAACGTCTCCATGTGGCCTTCCATTATATAAATAACCTAACCCGAGCATCGGCAGAGGGAAAATTCCTCCAAAGACTTTTTGTTTCTGAAATAATTTAGAAAGAGCAGTTGAAAAACATAGCAAGAAAAACTTTCTGAGCAAATTACATGGTCAATTGCTTTTTAGTAACATTTTTTTCTCATTATAAAAGCAACACGTGCTGATGGTAAACAGTTGAAAATACGATAAGGTGTATTGAAGGAAATGTAATTTGCCTGCAATCTTACTAAGAGATAACCAGTTAACATTTTGCCGTATTTTATTTTTCATGACTGTGTATAGCTAGAAACACATACCTTTAAAATTGGAATCATTACTAGTGTTCTTTTATTAGCCTGTTGTCCTTTTCTTACCTGACTGTAATATTTAACCATTTTCCCATGTCAGTTAAATATTCTTTAGAAATATGTTTGGAGCATCTGCATAAAAATGTGTTATAAGGGAGTGTCATTATTTAACTGTTACCTGTTTGACAATAATACCACAATGACCATCCTTGTGCATAAATTCTTGTGTACAGCTCTTAAATTTTTCTTAAAGCTACTGGATACAATTGCTAGGTAAAGAGTTATCAATATTAAGGCGATATTAATATTCTAAGGCTTTTGATATATGCCAACTGTGTTTTGGGTGGTAAAGGTCTTCTTGAGAGAGGTGCCCTAAGAGGTGTGGTTTTTGTTTGTTTGTTTGAGACAGAGTCTCGCTCTGTCAGCCCAGGCTGGAGTGCAGTGGCACGATCTTGGCTCACCACAAGCTCCGCCTCCTGGGTTCACATCATTCTCCTGCCTCAGCCTCCTGAGTAGCTGGGACTACAGGCGCCTGCCACCACGCCCGGCTAATTTTTTTTTTTTTTTTTGTATTTTTAGTAGAGACAGGGTTTCACTGTGTTAGCCAGGATGGTCTCAATCTCCTGACCTGGTGATCCGCCCACCTCAGCCTCCCAAAGTGCTGGGATTACAGGCGCAAGCCACCATGGACGGCCTCCTAAGAGGTGTTTTAAGAGCCCAGCATCACATAGGACTCATATTCTTCTCACCTGCATTTGACACCAGTGGGATGCTTCCTCTGACCACACCTTTTGTTGAGCACAGCATATTTTGTGACATTTGTATCATATTATGAGAAATAGTACAGAGGAAAGAATGCGAGCTTTATAATCAGCAACCTGGGTGCTGTGGTCAGAATGTTTGTATCCCCCTGAAAACTCATATGTTGAAATCCTTACTTCCAAGGTGATGAGGGTGGGAGGTGATTAGGTCATTGGGGTGGAGCCCTCATGAATGGGATCAGTGTCATTCTAAAAGAGGCCTTAGGGAAACCCCCCCCACCCCTCCCACCATGTGAGAACAGAACAAGAAAGCGCCATGTGTGAGGATGTGAGCCCTCACCAGACACTGAACCTGTAAGTGCCTTGACCTTGGACTTCCCAGCCTCCAGAACTGTGAGACATAAATTTCTGTTGTTTTTTTTTATAAAAGTCATCCAGTCTATGGTATTTTCTTATATAGTAGCCTGAAAAGACTAAGATACTGGGGTGAGTCTTTAAGTATCTACAACTTAAGTAACTTAATTTTCTTGAGTTGCTTCAATCTTCTCATTTGTAAAATGAGGATAATAGCTTTCTTTCCAGAGGTAGTTGTGAAAATTAAGTCATTCATTCAACTTTCATTGAATAAATGTTATTGAGTGCCTACATATAACAGGCACTATGCTGGGTGCTGAGGATACAATGATAAACAAAAGCAGAGAAGACTATTTTGTTTTGAGCTTTCTGTCCACCAGAGGAGACATCCATCAAATAAGCCTGCAAGTAAGTGTAAAAGTGGAATGGTGACCTGGAGCACTAAGAGCACCTGCAAGGCAGGTCTGACCTCAGGGAGTTAGAGAAGGGTAGGCAGGTCTGTGGAGGTGATGATGGGGTGGGGAGGTGTGAAGGATGAGGAGGTGACTGGATATTGGGCTAAGACACTGAGTCTTCTAGTCAGAGGGAACAACATGCAGAAAGGACTCTAAGAACCACAGGAAGAAGAGGAAGTATGGAAAGGCAATAAAAACAGATTTGCAATTTAAAGCCAGAATCTTGACTGCAACAGGTGGGGATGGTGGGGTGGGAGGAGGTGGGGAACGACCACAGGCTGGTCAGTTTAGAAGCTATTATAAATCCAGGTGGTAATGGTCAGAATGGAAATAAATGAATTTAATAAGTAATCTCAGTAGGAATTCATGAAGTTAGTGAGACAAATTTCTGGTTTGTGGCCTTGCCCGGCAGCATCATGGCTTAGCACAGCCACAGAGGTTATGTTTGGCAGATAATGCTACCAAAAGTCAGAAGACATGATGGGGCACAATAATAGACAATGGATTCTAAGCTGGATACAAAGGAAGTACAGGTTGGGGAAAGCAACACTGGGGAGAATAGAGGGTTCAAACGTCCTAATGAGGTTAGAACATTGGTGGTAGGAGTGGTAGCTAAGCAGCCTGGAAGGACTGGCAGGCAATGGTAGTGAGAAATGGAGATAACTGAGATTACTGCTTCAGAAGATGGAATGGTTTTGGTGATAACAAGGTTCAGGGTGTGATGGTGGAAGAGATTTCTACTTGATGTTAACCATCCCTCTCCTCCTACCCTCTGCAGGAGGTCACTGCCCAAAGGAAAAAGGTTTTTGTTGTACAAGTGGGAGGCATAATAGTCTAGCACAGTGCCTGGCTCAGAGCAGGTGCTCTATGAATGAGAGATTCCTCGAGGTAGCATTGGACTGCTGCTGCCAGTGCTAAGCTGTCTCCTGGGCCCATACTCTGTACAGTCATTTTAGAACTTCTTCCTGGAACCAGACCTCTTTAGGGGCTAGAATATGTCTATTTTGCTGAACTCAACTTTATACTGAATAGTGTATGGCAAAGTTTCTGTGATGTGGTTTAAATAACATCTCGTAGTCAAAAACCATTCATTCCCTAAGACTATATCTCCAGTGTTTAAGCCACATTCTGATCATTATTTGACCTGTATTCATTTACCTCTCCAGGAATACATCCATTCTGTAAGATGAGAAATGTAGATTGTAACAACAGCCAGAAGGATGTTGTATTGGTTTGCTAATGCTGCCATAACAAAGCACCACAAACTGGGTGGCTTAGAACAACAGATATTAATGATCTCATAATTCTGCAGGCTAAGTCCAAAGTTGAGGTGTCATCAGGCTTGGTTCCTTCTGAAACTCATAAGAGAGAAGCCTTCCTTGCCTCTTCTACCTTCTGGTGTTTGCCAGTAGTCTCTGGTGTTCCTCAGCTTCTACATGCATCATGCCAGTCTCTGCCTCTGTTGTTACGTAGTCATCTTCCCCCTCTGTTCTTCGTTCCTCTTTTTTTATTTTTTTTTTATTTTTTTGAGACAGAATCTTGTTCTGTCACCCAGGCTGGAGTGCAGTGGAGCGATCCCGGCTCACTGCAACCTCTGCCTCCTGGGTTCAAGAGATTCTCCTGCTTCAGCCTCCCAAATAGCTGGGATTACAGGAGTGTACCACCATGCCCAGCTAATTTTTGTATCTTTAGTAGAGACAGGGTTTCACCATGTTGGCCAGGCTGGCCTCGAACTCCTGATCTCAAGTGATCCACCTGGCTTGGCCTCCCAAAGTGCTGGGATTACAGGCATGAGCCACCGCACCTGGTCCTTCTCTCCTCTTATAAGGACATCAGTCATACTGGATTCAGGGCCCACCCTACTCCAGTATGACCTCATCTTAACTAATTACATCTGCAAGGACCCCATTTCCAAATGAGATCATATTCTGAGGTAGTAGGAATTAGAACTTCAACATATCTTTTTTTTTTTTTCAGAGGTGGGGAGATAGAGACACAATTCAACCCATAACAGATGGGCTTAAAAGAACCCAACTAAATATTTCTCTCTTCACATTTTCCTGGTGGTAATATGTCTGATAACTGGGAGCCCCACTACTGTAGGTTGGAATTGTTGATCTAAATAAAACCTAGTTCTGAATCCCCTAGGAAGCGAGGTGAGTTTTACCTCAGTTTAGGGGCTAAATCTCTGCAGACAGGAACACCTGGCTACTGTGGTGGCAGGACTTTGAGGGATTCGATGAGGACAGCACCTCAATCATTATCAAGCTTCCTGCAAGGGAGTCGAATGTTCAAGATTCAGTTACTAATCTTGCTTCAGTGCAGTTGCTCAAAAGTATAAACAATTTATTGTGAAATCTTGAAGATGTTCCTTGGTTTCCATCTTATTTTTTAGTTACATTAAATAATGACCAAGAACCACAATTAGATGTTCATGCATTATAACAAGGTGTTGCAGTTGCACAGGAGAACTGGATTTTGCTGAGCCTAAGGAGAATGCAAAACGCATTGCAATAAACAAAATCCACTTCAGCATCATTCAGTTCAATTTAAAATGATAGTGGCATTCAGGCTGCGTACAGCAGCATTACACTTTAACACCATTCATGATTTGGCCTCCAGACTACAAC
This sequence comes from Homo sapiens, assembly GCF_000001405.40. Taxonomy (NCBI): domain Eukaryota; kingdom Metazoa; phylum Chordata; class Mammalia; order Primates; family Hominidae; genus Homo; species Homo sapiens. Next base: position 62,641,864 of record NC_000005.10, read on the forward strand.
AACATTCAATTTAGTTACTCTTTTGAATTGTGTGCTAGAAGCATGGACTTTGGAATCAGACAGATTTGAATTTGCTTTCAGGCTCTAAATCCTGTTTTTTTCCCACTGTGGAAGGCAGAATAATGTTCCCCCAAAGATGTGTATTCCCTAATCCCCATCAACTGTGAATATGTTCATTTACATGGCAAAAAGGACTTTGCAGATTTGATTCAGGTACAGACTCTAGAGAGGAGAGTATCTTGCATTATCCAAGTGGGCGCAGTCTAATTACTTAATCCTTAAAAGCAGAGAACCTTTCCCAGCTGTGGTTAGAGAGAGAGGTGATGAAGGAAAAAGTGTCAGAGAGATGTGGTGTTGCTGACATTGAAGATGGATAAAGGGACCACGAATTAAGAAATGCAGGCAGCCTCTAGACACTGGAAAGGTAAGAAAGCAGATTCTTTCCTAGAGCTCCCAAAAGGGACACAGCCTTGCCAATGCCTTGATTTTAGAACCTCTTGTCTGCAAAACCATAAGGTCATAAAGTTGTCTCATTTTAAGCCACTAAGTTTGTGGTCCTTTGTTAAAGCCACAATAGACAACCAATATACTTTCTAGCTGTATGACTTTCTGAGTCTTGGCTTCCTCAACCATAAAAAATGGTAATGATCTTATGGAGTGTGTATATGTGTGGATGAACTGAGATTATGTATGTAAAGTCCGTTGTTAATCATTTCATGTTTTAGTGTTGGAAGCCCAGTCCTAAAGAGTCTGATTATTTTCCCTGCCCTCCAGTGTGGACCCAGCTGCCAGCTGGTGAGCGTCTGCATCTGGGTGTGGTGCCCAGGCCTTGCTATTGGTGTGATGTATGCACCAGCAGCAGCTACCTCGTCTTGGGAGCTCATTAGGATCGGGATCGCCGAATCTCAGGCACTCACCTCAGACTGACTGACTTAGAATCTGGATTTTTAGGCAAGATCCCCAGGTGATTCCTAGGCATTTTGAAGTCTGAGAGACACTGGACTAGTAGTTTTCCAACATCACATATGCTAACAGAACAGACGCCTGGGCCCAGAATTTATGGACGTGGGCCTTCAACGTGTGTATTTTTAATATGCTTCTGGGTTATTTCTAATGCACAGAGTGTGGATAACTATCCAAATAAATGCTTAGAAGTGTACTTTAATATATGAGATTAAAATCAGAATTGCAAAATTTTAAATTAGAACTTTTTTCTCTAAGGAAAACAGCTGTGCTACATAAGTGTGTATTACTAAGTACTGTATTTTAAAAAGATACATAAAGGAATAAACATAAAAGAACAGCAGAGACACATTCTTGCTAGTTCTTAACTGTTATGATTCCAGTTCTGGCTTTATCATATCATAGACTCTTCTTTCAGAAGACTCATCCCGTGTGCTTCATGCAGAAGTAATTAGATAAACCTGTGGAACTTTGGCATTAAAAGCTTTCAGCTGCTTTCTCTTTAAGAAGAGAACTTGTTAACTGCTTATTACAATGATCAGAAGACAAGAAAGCTCTCTCTGTTCTAGGAGTACGTGCATCCCTTCTTCCACAGACAGAAGCATAAAGAGCGAGTTGAGCAGCTTTAATTGGGGCAGCTCAGCCATGCTTCCAGGGGGCCAAGATCCAGAGGACAGTTACATTCCAAGAACCAAAACTAGAGTGACTTCTCTCCAGAATGCCCAGGCCAGAAGATGCAGAGATGAGAGCTCCAGGCTGAGTCTGGAGAGAGGGCTTGGATTCAGCCCCTCACCCAGGAGCTCCAACAGAGAGTAAGGGCTAGGGACAGGAGCTAAAATTGAGAAGAGAAGAGAGGGCTGAGTGGAGAAGAGAGGGCTGAGTGCCCAGAAGGGCAGCAGGTGAGGAAGGCAGTGTGATGTTCCTGGACAGTTGCCACGGACAGCTGTGAGGCACTTGTGGCTCTTGTTTCTTAAGCAGCAAGGGTGTGGTGCAGGTGCATTGGGCTGCCTTTTAGCTGCAATGTGGAGGTGAGCCATGTACCCTCATTGCTTCCACCATAAAAAGCAGAGACTTAGACCCAGCCAAGAGGAGGCCTAGAGAAAACTTGTTGTTGTAGCCATCGAGGGCTTGGCAGCCCTGCATACTAACTGCGAGGGCTGGTATGAAGGAGAACAGGGCCCCGGATGGCCTTGGCTGACCCAACTCTGCTTCCTCCGGCTTCAGTACTATGAATGTATGGAGGATGCAATATCCTGATAAGGAGGAAGTGGGAAACAACCCGGCTTTGTCCTCATGCCTCCCAAAATGAGACGTTCTTCTGCACTTCTGCCCAGTGAGCTAAGTGGTGCCAAGGGTGGAACACCCGAAGCAGAGCACTTTCAGGGTCCCTCAGCTGTGGCGCGATGTGCGGCGGGCACGGACAAGACTCCACTCACCCCGCACAGGTCTCCGAACCTTGGGGCACCAGCTTGGCATGGATCCTAGGCTTCTGATATCCTTGCCACCTACTGGTGAGTAATACAGCTGCTTTGCCTGATGTGTGAGAGTGTTCTGTCTCACCGGACTCATGCACGTGGCAGAGAACCTTTGCACTGTGAGGACCATACTTTACAGGTATTCAGACCTCTAGAAATAGCCTCCTGAGGTCTCACCAGGCCTGACTTACTGGCCCAGAGCATCAAAGGTTGTGCCCACAGAGGAGTGTTTTCTTTAGGGTCTGGCCATGCAGGGCTGTACAGAGTAAACACACCTGATAGCAATAACTTAAGCATACCCTGAGAATGACTTTGTATGGGAGATGCACCTGAATGTGGTCTTGAGTTCCAAGCTGAGGAACCCAGAGTAGCCAACCTGGAGGGTCATTCCATATCAATGAGGAACATCTGAGCCCCAGCCCCGTCCTGTAACATGCAGGCCATACAGGGGCTCGTGGCCTTTTTGTTTAAGGTTGAAAGAAGGTTGTCAGTTGGAGGTGGTTAGGGAGAGGGTGTTAAGTGCTATAGAAACTGCATGCTTTTTTTCAGGTGGTTGTGGTTCTTCTGTCCAGCCAGCCACCACTGGACTCTCACTTGTATGTAAGTCCCCAGTAAAACCTGTCTCGTTTGCTGGCTCTAGGTCTCTTCTTCGTTCTTTGAACCTGGTGTCATCCTCCATTGGAGTCAATAGGGGTTTAGCACAACAGTCTGCAGGCAGAAACTTCTGTACTATTCTGGATTCTCCACTTCAGTGAACACACAATTACAATTTCCTGTTAGAAGAAAATAAAAAGATGTTTTTTTGTACACTTCTTTCACAGTCCTAAAATATGTATATAATACCTCCTGTTTCATTAAGGTTGACTTCTCCCAGAATAGACCACTTAAAATGACATTTAGATAAACCTCCATGTGGTATAAAATAGAGATCCCTGATTTTGCCAGAGATTCCGGGGGCCCAACTGAAAACTTGATTGAATTTTATTCTCAGCTACTGGCTGCTTGTAGCTTAAAGCCAGTGCGATCAAACACTCCTGTGGGTCAGGTTTGCATGTTTGTGTTTAGAAACAGGGTCATGTTCTCTCACCCAGGCTGGAGTGCAGTAGTGTGATCATAACTCACTGTAACCTTGAACTCCTGGGCTCAAGTGATCCTCCCCGGTAGCTGGGACTACAGGCATACACCACCATGCCCAGCTAATTTTTAACTTTTTTTTTTTTTTTTTTTTTTTTTTTTTTTAGAGACAGGGTATCACTGCATTGTCCAGGCTGTTCTCAAACTCTTGGCCTCAAGTGTTCCTCCCACCTTGGCCTCCCAAAGTGCAGGGATTATAGGCATGACTCACTGAACTAGGCCTGTGACGTGTGATGCGGATTTTTTAAAAAGATATTTCTCTTTTCTCTTTCCTCTTCTTTGTTCCTCCCTTCCTCTTATTCACCTGTCCTCTGATTCTCACAGGTAGAGTCTAAAACCACTATTGTCTAATGCCATTAAATCATATCAAATTATACATCACAGCCCTATGTAATTTCCAATGTGATTCTGACCTGTCAAACTACAACATCAGACTTTCCCAGTGATAGGGACAGTCAGTGCAAGAAAGCCCAGGAGAGAGCGAGCTTTGGGCCAACTCAACTGGATGGCCATGGCCTGATGGTATTAAGCATTAACCATTCAAGTAACTTCCCTTGGAGTCTACATCTACCTTAGAGCCCATGCTTAGAGAAACTGCATTGGTGGAGTACAGGGTCTGCTCTCCTCTGAAGTGGCACTCCTCATTATAGACTAACATTTGGCATTCTACTACTTTGATTGAAAAACTATATAAAAGTCAGACTCTTAAGTCTGAAAGCCACTCATTAGGTGGTCCCATTTCTCAAAGAATACATAGGGCCCTTTCTTCTCCATTCTGCACCCTTGATTACAACCCAGCAAATAACAATGACAAAAATAATTGATAGTGGTAATATTAATTTGATTGTCACAATATCCTTGTGAAATAGGTTGTATTAGTCTGTTCTTGTGTTGCTGTAAAGGAATATCTGAGACCGGATAATTTATAAGGAGAAGAGGTTTAACTGGCTCATGGTTCTGCAGGCTGTGCAAGCATGGCGCTGGCATCTGCTTGCCTTCTCAGGGAGCTTTTACTTATGGTGGAAGACAAAGCAAGAGCAGGCATGTCACATGGTGGAAGCAGGAGCAAGACACAACAAGTGGGAGACGCCACACATTTTTAAACAGCCAGATCTCGCGATAACTCACCATTGTGAGGACACACCATGGGGATGGTGCTAAACCATTCATGAGAAATTCAACCCCATGATCAAATCACCTCCACCAGGCCCCACTTCTGACATTGGGGATTGCAGTTCAACATGAGATTTAGAGGGAACGATGTCCAAACTATATCTTAGGTAGCTTATTGCCTTGATTTTCTAGATATGAAAATAGGCTTAGAAGGCCAGGTGATCACCCCTGGATCATATACCTGGTCAACTGGTGGTGCTGGGGCACCAATCACCATGCTCCTCACCATGTCACCATACCCCCTTGCCATCATTCTGCCATCTCCCTTCCCTGCCTCCTCACTCATACCTGCCAGGCCACCACCCCTCCTTCCTCCCTCTGCCACACAGCCTTCTCAGGCTCTGTCCTCGTCCTACACCCAGCCTTCCCGTGCATGCACTGCCTGGTCCCATGATGCCCTTGGGCCCTACTCATTTAAAAGTCCCTCTCTTTAGGGATGTGCATGTTTGTGGATTGTCTGAAAGCAAAGAAGATCTGCCAGAGCCTACACTGGCTTCATTGGTCTACAAGCCAAAAACTCCTGGCAAAGGAAGAGGTGCTGCTTCTCCCAGCTGCTGAGGGCCATCCTTGGCAATGAACATGTCCACAGTGTGTGGTCCACATGCATACCTGTGGTAGTTGGAGCCAGGCTCTGGAAGATGGCCCAACTCCCCCTGCTTAGCCTGCCTCTGCTCACCAAGATGCTCTAGGATCTCTTTTGCTGTTTAGGCAAAACCCAAAAGGGTATTGTATCAAAACTGTGCTTCCTTCAAACAGATAAAGAATCCAGTTAGAGCAATCCTGCTGCCTCTTTGCAGTTGCCAGGTCTGTGTGATTTATGTAGATAACTATTTGCCTATGGTTGTTGGAAGCAGATGTTCACATATAAAGAAAACCCTGCTGAGCAGTGGCTGCCCTTGACAAGGCAGAGCAATGGTCTTTGAAGGGGTCTCAGGGCAGGAAGTTCTGTTCTTTAAGCCAGAGAAACCAGAATGGAGAAATTAAAAATTGTAAAGCCAAGTTTCTGAAAAGCAACTTAAGTCAGATGGTGTCTTCTGAGATCGCCAAGCCCTCTGTCCTGCTAAGGCAGCCATTGATGTCATCCCTTTTGGATTTGCAGGTATAGCCTGCAAAGAAGGTGTAATAGAAGGTGAAGAACTTATTAGTTGAATCATTTGAACCCACTGCAGACACAGTGGCAGCCCTGACCTCCAGAGACTAGCCTTGTTCAGCCAGCAGCTATGGGCCAGCACTTCCCATGTATCAGGAACAGCTCTGAAGTGCTTACATGTATTAACTTATTCACTTTTCCCAGTATCACCTCCCTCTACAGAGAAGAAATTGAGGTGCCAGAGGTTAAGTGATTTGCCCAAGGTCATACAGCATGCTAGTGGCAGAGCAGAGCTTTGAAGCCAGGCTTCCAGCTCCAGCACCATGCTCTTGGCTCCTGAGCTATGCAGAGAAGGATAAATCAGGATTCCAGAGCTCCCTCCCAAGCCATTCTCTGCAGAAGGCAAACGCCCCAGGATAAAATGCTATCCAGGCAAGGCATGAGGAAATCTAGAATGATTGGAGCTGGGCACCAACACCACCTCATAAGTGTGTGGGGCTTTACACTTTATGGAGCACTTATGGTTGGGGAATCAAGTGGAAGAGAAAGCCTATTTCTTGTGGCAGTACTTGAGACAGAGTATGGAGAGTTCTTCCTTCATGACCAGCCCTCAGCCAAGACGAAAAACCCCAGATCATGAGGTGAGGCACAGTGCACCCTGGCCGGGAGGGGATGGAACCATGGAGCAGACCAGGGAGGCTGTCCCAGCTGTGGCCTGGCTGGCCCACCGGCCCCCTTCCTGCCACAGCCCCTTCAGGCTTCCTGCAGAGAGCAGAGGTCAGGTGCTGGGAGGGGAACTTGACCTGTTCCCTACCCCCTCCGGCCCTCTCCAAGGTCAGGGTCTGAAGAGAAGTCTCCTGTGAGGCTCAGATGATTCTGGAAGCAAGGCTGGCAGCTGCCTCTCAGCTGAGATTGTGTGAAGCAAGAGCAGAACCAGCCGGTCATGGGATGTGAACTCTCACCTTCCCCAAGAGGCTGTTGCTGCACACTGATGGGCAAGGGTGAGGCTTTCTAGAGATTAGGGTCAGATCAGAGGAGGTGGGCAGTAACATGGAGTTTAACCAGAGGGAGCATTTAAACTGGACAGTCAAACCTGACAAATGTACCCAAATTTGAATATTTACCCAAGAGGGACTACAGTTTCAAATAAAACCAATTTTTAAAAATGCCACTGTGGCTTGAATTTACTGGATTGGGACAAATTTCATTTCCCGACTGAGTGGGAATAGAGACTCCCCTATTAAAGGAAACAGCATACAGTCAGAAAAATAAGCTTCCTGTCTGTGCATAGATGATTTGAGAGTGCTGGTTTATATGGTCCACACATGCATGAACACATTTATCTTGACAAAGCCTAGTGAGGAAGGGCTGGAAAGGGGAATGAATGAGTGGCAGCTTCCCGCTTGAAATTTCACATAGAGGGTTTCTGCTTGGCATTCCTCCTATAGAGCTCACATTTTCACCAGGGGAGACAATCACTTAAAAATGTAGACACACACACACACACACACACACACACACACTGTTGCTAGGAAGAAAATCTGAGCTGTGTATAGGGACTGAGAAGGTGATGCCGGGGATGCTGTTTGAGAAGGGTGGTCTTAGAAAGCGCTCTCTTAAGGTGATATTTAAGCAGAGACCTGAGTGGAAATGGAGCTAAATACTGGTTGAGATGGGTGATGGGAGTGGGGCGGGTTGTTTGTGTTATGAACTGAATGTTTGTATCTCCCCATAATTCATATGTTGAAGCTGTAACGCCCAATATGATGAATTTACAGGTGGGGCCTTTGGGAGGCAATTAGGTTCAGGGTTCAGATGAGGTCATGAGGGTGGGCCCCCTATGGTGGGATTCGTGTCTTTATAAGAAAAGGAAGGGGACAGAGCAGAGCTCGCCCCCTCTCTCCCCTCAGCTGTGAGGACACAGTGAGACGGCAGGCAGGCAGCCATCTGCAGGCCAGGAAGAGGGCACTTATCAGGAACTGAATCTGCTGATGCCTGGGTCTTAGACTTCACAGGCTTCAGAACTGTGAGAAATACATGTGTATTGTTGAAGCCACCCAGTGTAGGTATTTTGATGTAGCAGCCTGTGCTGCCTAATGTAGTTTGTTTTTGTCTGGTTTTATCTGTTTTGTAGTCTGGCCATGGAGTGACCGTCTACTCTTACCCATTTTAGAACTTCTGGAGTTAACCCTCAAGGGGGTGTCCCTGCAGAGTTGAGATGACATCACTGGCTTCAGGAAGGTGCACAGGAGCAGTCACATGAATCAGAGAGGTCATCATGGTAGGAAAGGAAAGGAGTCTGTGATATTCTCACTCCCTTAGTTCACATATAGGCAAGCCTAGGGTGACCAACTAATTTATGCTCCAAACCAAACTTAGGAAATTTTTAATATCTGCACCAGGGAAACATACATAAACCAAGACTTTTGTCATAAACCAGGAATTTGTCAGAGCACATCAGAACATAGGTTATCCTAGTTTAGTTTCCAGTTTGGGTGAGAGATTGCGCTAATCCAGTCCTAGTTCCAGATTTTCTTGTGGTGCCCTGGGGCACAGTTAGCATTGCCTCAGGCTTCCTTCGGCAGCTGGATGGTGACAAGGCCTAGATTTGGGTTTAGGGGAAGGGAGGGTCCTTCTTAGACCTCATACCTAAGTGACAAGTAATAGTAATTTTAAAAGTATCCTGCCGTGGTCACGTGTAAGTATACTTCTGTGAGCAGATTTACAGTTCGGGATGGAAGTGGTTTGGGCAGATTTCTGACATTCCTGCATCCTCATCTCTCACTTCATCCTAACACCAGTAAGGGCAGTTGGAATGCAGCAGCTCAGAATCAAAGCTCTGGCACCAAAGTGCTTGGGTTTTAAATATGGCTCTGTCACCTTCTAGCTGCATGACATTGGGCAATTACTTAACCTTCCTGTGCTCCATTGTCTAAATGTATATAACAACGCCTTGATAGGGGTACATAAAGATTAAATGAGTTAACACATGTAAAGCACTCAGAATAGTGCCTGATGTATATTAAAGTGCTCCATCAATGTTGGCTATTATAATATTATCATTATATTTATTTATTTAGAGACAGGGTCTCACTCTGTCACCCAGGCTGGAGTACAGTGGGATGATCTCAGCTTACTGTAGCCTTGACCTCCTGGGTTCAAGTGATCCTCCCACCTCCAACTCCTGAGGGGACTATGGGTGCATGCCACCATGCCTGGCTAATTTTTGTATTTTTTTGTAGAGAAGGGGGTTTCACTATGTTGCCCAGGCTGGTCTCAAACTTACTATGTTTTAATAGCTGCTTCCCTAAGAGATTATTATCCCACTTAACGGATATGGAAACTGGGTTCAAATGTGGGTTGTTGCATCCAGAGAAAATGGAAAAGCTTTGAACCAGGCCTAGGAATAAGGGCAAGGTTGATGATGAAAAGAAGGGGATGGAGAAGTCTAGGCAGGGAGGAGCCACTGTGTGGAATCAGAGGGACACTCAGTGTGGTCACGGGATTGCAGTAGGACCAACTCTACTGGCAAAGACAGTTTCAGCTGGGGAAAGTGGGCAAGAAGAGCTGGCCATGGAGAAGATTATGAGATAGAAACCGTACATAGGGTCTCCTACAGCTGGCTTCTCCTCCTGGCTACCTGAGGTGTCTCTGCTTCCAGGAGAAGTTGGGTATTTTCCCAGCAAGTCTTGGCTAAGAGCTGATTGGGTGTTTGGGAGGCAGCACCATCTTGCCCTCTGATGAGTCCTGGCCTTTGTGTTAAGGTGTGCTGGGCAAGTGCAGTGAAGTAGAGTGTCTCTCCCAGGGCATGGGTCACCCAGCTCTCTGGCAGAGATAGTTTATTTAAGTTTCAGCTTCCATTTCTCTGTTAGTTGTGACTCTTTCAGTTGTGAGGTTGGAATCCAATTTATACTGGCTTAAGAAAAGCAGGAATTGATTGGCTCACTTAATTGATATAGTTGGGCTATATTGGCTTCAGGTGCAGTCTGATCCAAGTGCTCAAACAGTGTGGCAGGACCCAGTTTCTCCATTTCTTGGCTGTGTCTTCTATGGTGTTGGCTTCCTGGGCAGCTCCAGGTATGTGTCATCTGACTTATGGAAGTTCCAGCAAAAAAAGCAAATGGCTTATCACCTGCTGCCCCAACAAAAGTCTTACTACATCTCATTGGTCCTTATTAGGCCACAGACCTGACTCTGGACCAATCACTGTGGCCAAAAGACTGTGGGCCTGGGTCATATGCCTGCCTCCGGAATTAGCAATAGCATCATAAGCAGGTGAGCAGAGGGGAGCGCACTGCCAGGAGAAGAACACCTGGCTGCTGTATGGCAGATACAACAATAATAAATAAAGCAGCCCCTTTGCAGTGAACCAAAAGAGAAGTAAAAATGAGATCTGTGTGTCTAGAATATAGGCCAAGTAACTTAGTTATCCTGGAGAACAACGTCTCAGCAGTTTTCTTCTTACTTGATCTAGGATTCCTCCGGCTTTGCCATGTGGGCCCTGTGCACACAACTGTTGGCTTATTTTTTTCTTTTTCTTTCTTTTTTTTTTTTTTGGAGACAGGGTCTCATTTTATCATCCAGACTGGAGTGCAGTGGTACAATCTCATCTCACTGTTTGCTTACTTTTAAGCCTGCCTATTTGCGGCCATCAATATTCCAGCTCCATTTTTCTAAATGAAAGTATATGACCTTTGCTCCTCTTTGTTTTTCATTCAACATTGACTTCACCAGTGTCTCCCTCCCATTCTGCCGCTGCCTGATATGAAAGCTGCGTTCCAGGGACTCAGCACTGTCATCTTATCCAAACTTGATCCTTATTTCAGGACACAACTTAGGACGTTCCTCCCCTCTCCCTCCCGGACCTGAAAGAGTTACTTGGTAGATCAACTTCTGTGATCCCTGGCTGAGCTCTGTGATGAATGGGACCCATGTCCTTTAATGCTTAAATCCTCTTATATAAGTATTTTGGCATTTCTGAGTAGGATGAAAGCTGGTAAAATGTAGGTTTAGTAAATTAATTCTGTGATTAAGGTTGTAGAACTGTAAGTTGGGGCTAGTCAATGCAGGGCTTTCAGTGCCAGGCCAGGGTGTCTGCACTTGTGTCTTGCTGATGGTGGCAGCCATTGAATATTTTGAGTAGAAGAGGGACACCCTTCTCCCATGGCACCTTTCTTTGAGCATATAGCAATTGTTAAGCCCTATACACCTGTCCTTTCCATATATGATCTTATTTCATAGCCACAATAATCCTGTGAAAGAAGAATCCTCTTTTTTCTTTTTTTTTTTTTTCTCTCTCTCTCTCTTCCCACCCCCCAGCACCAGAAACAGGGTCTCACTATGTCTACCAGGCTGGAGTGCAGTGGCACCAACAAAGGTCTTATTGCATATCCTTGATGCTTATTGGGCCACAGACCTGACTCTGGACCAACCACTGTGGCCAAAAGACTGTGGGCCTGGGTCACATGCCTGTGACCGTTTATAGCTCACTGCAGTCTCAAACTCCTGGGCTGAAGCGATCTTCCTGCCTTGGCCTCCTGGGTAACTGGAATGACAGGCATGCACCACCACACCCAGCTAATTTTTTTTTTTAGTTGTAGAGATGAAGTTCTCACTATGCTGCCCAGGATGATCTCAGCCTCCTGGACTCAAGTGAGCCTCCTGGCTTGGCCTCCCAAAGTGCTGAAATTACAGGTGTGAGCCACTGCACCCGGCTAAGAAGCCCCTTTTAAATGGCAGCTACTCACCTGAAATCACACCTCATTCTTGGCAGGAATCCCTAAGAACATAGAGGACATACAGAAAACCAATCATCCGACCTAACCCCAAGTGCCATGGGACAGTGGCAGCCACTGCATTGCCATTTCACTCTACAGGATATTAAGCCCTGAGGGAGGGGTTCATCCCTCTCGATCTGTTTGGCAGAGTGGCTGAGGAAGACATGAGGTTAAAATAACAGTGAAAAGGAAATGATGCAATTCCCCCTCCAATCAGTTGTTTCCCTCTTTGCTTTTTGCTTTCCCAGAGTGGGAACATCTGAGCCCCTGCATTTCTGTGCTTCCTCCTGGCTGTCAGGTCAATCATCTTGTCGCTGCTTTTTTTGTTTCATGTCCTTTGTATCCGGTCTTCACATGCTCACCTCCCTTCCTCTCCATGACCCTTTTCCCCATGGAATGGCTTCTTGGACTTGTTTGACTACACCCGCTTCCCCATTTGCTTCATGAACGTCGCATCACTTCACTTCTTTGTCTTCCAGTCCTTACTTAGTGCACTTGCTTAGCTGTCTCCCGTGTTAAAGTTCTGATGCCCTTGTCTGTTTACACTGGTCTGTTTTCCAGTGCAGTCTCACTTCTCTGCTGCTTCTCTGGCATAGTCCAATTTTCACTTCCATCAAGGGCAGCCAGCTGTGTACCTGAGCTTCAGACTTGATTTTTGTTCTTTTTTGTCTTTTTCTTTTTTCTTTTTTTTTTTTTTTTGAGACAAAGTCTGGCTCTGTTGCTCAGGCTGGAGTGCAGTGGCACGACCTCAGGTCACTGCAACCTCTGCCTCCAGGTTCAAGCAATTCTCCTGCCTCAGCGTCCAGAGTAGCAGGGATTATAGGCACCTGCCACCACGCCTAGCTACTTTTTTGTCTTTTTAGTAGAGATGCGGTTTCACCATGTTGGCCAGGCTGGTCTCAAACTCCTGACCTCAAGTTATCCACCCACCTCGGCCTCCCAAAGTGCTGGGATGACAGGCGTGAGCCACTGCACCTGGGCTTGCTTTTTCTTCTTAATATGGTTTCTCCTTTGTGACTTCCTGTGTTCAGAATCCAGCCTCATCACACATTAGCTATGTGGTTCTGGCAAAGTTACTGTCTCTCTCTATTCCTCGGTGTCCTCCTCTGTAAAATGGAGATGGTGCTAGTATTTCTCTTGCAGGATTCTCATGAAGATTAAATGAGATATTTAATATATGGAAAGTGTTAAGGACATTTCCTGGCACATAGTAGTTAGCCAGTACACGTTCTTACTATTGTGTTGTTGGTAGTATTATATGGTTCTGCCATTTTGATTCACAAGAATTCCTCAAAAGCAGCAAACACAGAGGCAGCTTCATGGTGGAGGGACAGAGGGCAGGTTTGAGGGTGGCTAGGTGGAAGGACCACGTGTGTGTCCCCTGCCAGTTTAGTTTTCCCTGACTCATCCCTTTTAAAGACTTGGGAGGAAAGTTGCCTGTCCTTCAAGGACAAGGGGAAGACATTGTTCTTGGTTACCAGATATGTGATAAAATGAAGAATAAAGTCATTTGGGTAAACATTGACTTGGTAGAAATTTCTTTTAAAGCATAATGAAATGAAAACAAGCAATGCTCAGTAGGATCAGCACTCCATCTGTTTTGTTCCCTTCTGATGCTGCATCAAGATTCCTAAATGTAGTTTGGATTTTGAGAACATCTGGAATCAGCCAAGCACATTTCTGAAGGATTGACATTATCATCTGTATTTCTTGCTGCTTAGTTAGGCCTGCTGACTGTGCATTGACCTCCAAAGATGAGGCCCACCAGTGTGTTCATTCAGACAGTGTCCACAGCTCAGGGTAACTTAAGGATCCCTGTGGGGACTGTGTGTGTGTGTGTGTGTGTATGTGTGTGTGTGTGTGTGTGTGTGTGTGTGTGTCTGCATGCATGCACAATTTACCTTTGTTTCTGATTATAAAGGTAATAATGTTCATTACTGAGAGACTGGAAAAAGAAAAGAAAAAGGTAAAGAAGCATTCATAGTCAACAAACATTCATAATCCAATCACCAAGAAATAGCCACCCTTAATATTGTGATGCATATGTGAAGGATTTTACACATATACACACATATATATATTACTCCATGTTTTTTTTAAAGCCTAACTATGACGATATTGAAAATACTTTTAGAGGAAGTTGGGGGGTGGAGCCAAGATGGCCGAATAGGAACAGCTCCAGTCTACATCTCCCAGCATGGGCGATGCAGAAGATGGGTGATTTCTGCATTTCCGGCTGAGGTACCGGGTTCATCTTACTAGGGAGTGTCGGAAAGTGGGTGCAGGACAGTGGGTGCAGTGCACAGAGCGTGAGCCAAAGCAGGGCGAGGCATCGCCTCACCCGGGAAGCACAAGGGGTCAGGGAATTCCCTTTCCTAGTCAAAGAAAGGGGTGACAGACAGCACCTGGAAAATGGGGTTACTCCCACCCTAATACTGCGCTTTTCCAACGGTCTTAGCAAACGACACACCAGAAGATTATATCCCGCGCCTGGCTCAGAGGGTCCTACACGCGCAGAGCCTCGCTCATTGCTAGCACAGCAGTCTGAGATCAAACTGCAAGGTGGCAGTGAGGCTGGGGGAGGGGCGCGTGCCATTGCCGAGGCTGGAGTAGGTAAACAAAGCAGCCAGGAAGCTCGAACTGGATGGAGCCCACTGCAGCTCAAGGAGGCTCCCCTGCCTCTATAGACTCCACCTCTGGGGGACAGGGCATAGCCAAACAAAAGGCAGCAGAATCCTCTGCAGACTTAAATGTCCCTGTCTGACAGCTTTGAAGACAGTAGTGGTTCTCCCAGCATGCAGCTGGAGATCTGAGAACAGACAGACTGGCTCCTCAAGTGGGTCCCTGACCCCCGAGTAGCCTAACTGGGAGGCATCCCCCAATAGGGGCAGACTGACACCTCACACGGCCGGGTACTCCTCTGAGACAAAACTTCCAGAGGAACAATCAGGCAGCAACATTTGCTGTTCACCAATATCCGCTGTTCTGCAGCCTCCGCTGCTGATACCCAGGCAAACAAGGTCTGGAGTGGACCTCCAGCAAACTCCAACAGACCTGCAGCTGAGGGTCCTGACTGTTAGAAGGAAAACTAACAAACGGAAAGGACATCCACACCAAAACCCCATCTGTACATCACCATCATCAAAGACCAAAGGTAGATAAAACCACAAAGATGGGGAAAAAACAGAGCAGAAAAACTGGAAACTCTAAAAATCAGAGTGCCTCTCCTCCTCCAAAGGAACGCAGCTCCTCACCAGCAACGGAACAAAGCTGGACGGAGAATGTCTTTGATGAGTTGAGAGAAGAAAGCTTCAGACAATCAAACTACTCTGAGCTAAAGGAGGAAGTCCGAACCCATGGCAAAGAAGTTAAAAACCTTGAAAAAAAAATTAGACGAATGGCTAACTAGAATAACCAATGCAGAGAAGTCCTTAAAGGACCTGACGGAGCTGAAAACCATGGCATGAGAACTACGTGACAAATGCACAAGCCTCAGTAACCGATGCGAACAACTGGAAGAAAGGGTATCGGTGATGGAAGACGAAATGAGTGAAATGAAGCACGAAGAGAAGTTTAGAGAAAAAAAGAAAAAAAAGAAACAAACAAAGCCTCCAAGAAATATGGGACTATGTGAAAAGACCAAACCTCTGTCTGATTGGTGTACCTGAAAGTGACGGGGAGAATGGAACCAAGTTGGAAAACACTCTGCAGGATATTATCCAGGAGAACTTCCCCAATCTAGCAAGGCAGGCCAACATTCAGATTCAGGAAATACAGAGAACGCCACAAAGATACTCCTCGAGAAGAGCAACTCCAAGACACATAATTGTCAGATTCATCAAAGTTGAAATGAAGGAAAAAATGTTAAGGGCAGCCAGAGAGAAAGGTCGGGTTACCCACAAAGGGAAGCCCATCAGACTAAAAGCTGATCTCTCAGCAGAAACTCTACAAGCCAGAAGAGAGTAGGGACAATATTCAACATTCTTAAAGAAAAGAATTTTCAACCCAGAATTTCATATCCAGCCAAACTAAGCTTCATAAGTGAAGGAGAAATAAAATCCTTTACAGACAATCAAATGCTGAGAGGTTTTGTCACCACCAGGCCTGCCTTACAAGAGCTCCTGAAGGAAGCACTAAACATGGAAAGGAACAACCAGTACCAGCCACTGCAAAAACATTCCAAATTGTAAAGACCATCGAGGGTAGGAAGAAACTGCATCAACTAATGAGCAAAATAACCAGCTAACATAGTAATGATGGGATCAAATTCACAAATAACAATATTAACCTTAAATGTAAATGGGCTAAATGCTCCAATTAAAAGACACAGATTGGCAAATTGGATAAAGAGTCAAGACCCATCAGTGTGCTGTATTCAGGAAACCCATCTCACATGCAGAGACACACATAGGCTCAAAATAAAGGGGTGGAGGAAGATCTAACAAGCAAATGGAAAAACAAAAAAAGGCAGGTGTTGCAATCCTGGTCTCTGATAAAACACACTGTAAACCAACAAAGATCAAAAGAGACAAAGAAGGCCATTATGTAATGGTAAAGGGATCAATTCAACAAGAAGAGCTAACTATCCTAAATATATAGGCACCCAATACAGGAGCACCCAGATTCATAAAGCAAGTCCTTAGAGACCTACAAAGAGACTTAGACTCCCACACAATAATAATGGAAAACTTTAACACCCCATTGTCAACATGAGACACATCAACGAGACAGAAAGTTAACAAGAATATCCAGGAATTGAACTCAGCTCTGCACCAAGTGGACCTAATAGACATCTACAGAACTCTCCACCCCAAATCAACAGAATATACATTCTTTTCAGCACCACACCATGCCTATTCCAAAATTGACCATATAGTTGGAAGTAAAGCACTCCTCAGCAAATGTAAAAGAACAGAAATTATAACAAACTGTCTCTCAGACCACAGTGCAATCAAACTAGAACTCAGGATTAAGAAACTCACTCAAAACCGCTCAACTACATGGAAACTGAACAACCTGCTCCTGAATGACTACTGGGTACATGACAAAATGAAGGCAGAAATAAAGATGTTCTTTGAAACCCACAAGAACAAAGACAGAATGTACCAGAATCTCTGGGACACATTCACAGCAGTGTGTAGAGGGAAATTTATAGCACTAAATGCCCACAAGAGAAAGCAGGAAAGATCTAAAATTGATACCCTAACATCACAATTAAAAGAACTAGAGAAGCAAGAGCAAACACATTCAAAATCTAGCAGAAGGCAAGAAATAACTAAGATCAGAGCAGAACTGAAGGAGATACAGACACAAAAAATCCTTCAAAAAATCAATGAATCCAGGAGCTGGTTTTTTTTTTTTAAAAGATCAACAAAATTGATAGACCGCTAGCAAGACTAATAAAGAAGAAAAGAGAGAAGAATCAAATAGACACAATAAAAAATGATAAAGGGGATATCACCAGCAATCCCACAGAAATACAAACTACCATCAGGGAATACTATAAACACCTCTACACAAATAAACTAGAAAATCTAGAAGAAATGGATAAATTCCTCTACACATACACTCTCCCAAGACTAAACCAGGAAGAAGTTGAATCTCTGAATAGACCAATAACAGGCTCCGAAATTGAGGCAACAACTAATAGCTTACCAACCAAAAAAAGTCCAGGACCAGATGGATTCACAGCCGAATTCTACCAGAGGTACAGGGAGGAGCTGGTACCATTCCTTCTGTAACTATTCCAATCAATAGAAAAAGAGGGAATCCTCCCTAACTCATTTGATGAGGCCAGCATCATCCTGTTACCAAAGCCTGGCAGAGACACAACAAAAAAAGAGAATTTTAGACCAATACCCCTGATGAACATCAATGCAAAAATCCTCAACAAAATACTGGCAAACCGAATCCAGCAGCACATCAAAAAGCTTATCCACCATGATCAAGTGGGCTTCATCCCTGGGGTACAAGGCTGGTTCAACGTATGCAAATCAGTAAACATAATCCAGCATATAAACAGAATCAATGACAAAAACCACATGATTATCTCAATAGATGCAGAAAAGGTCTTTGACAAAATTCAACAACCTTCATGGTAAAAACTCTCAATAAATTAGGTATTGATGGGACGTATCTCAAAATAATAAGAGCTATCTATGACAAACCCACAGCCAATATCGTACTGAATGGGCAAAAACTGGAAGCATTCCCTTTGAAAAATGGCATAAGACAGGGATGCCCTCTCTCACCACTCCTATTCAACATAGTGTTGGAAGTTCTGGCCAGGGCAATCAGGCAGGAGAAGGAAATAAAGGGCATTCAATTAGGAAAAGAGGAAGTCAAATTGTCCCTGTTTGCAGATGACATGATTGTATATCTAGAAAACCCCATTGTCTCAGCCCAAAATCTCCTTAAGCTGATAAGCAACTTCAGCAAAGTCTCAGGATACAAAATCAATGTGCAAAAATCACAAGCATTCTTATACACCAATAACTGACAAACAGAGAGCCAAATCATGAGTGAACTCCCATTCACAATTGCTTCAAAGAGAATAAAATACCTAGGAATCCAACTGACAAGGGACGTAAAGGACCTGTTCAAGGAGAATTACAAACCACTGCTCAAGGAAATAAAAGAGGATACAAACAAATGGAAGAACATTCCATACTCATGGGTAGGAAGAATCAATATCGTGGAAATGGCCATACTGCCCAAGGTAATTTATAGATTCAATGCCATCCCCATCAAGCTACCAATGACTTTCTTCACAGAATTGGTAAAACCTACCTTAAACTTCATATGGAACCAGAAAAAGAGCCTGCATCGCCAAGTCAGTCCTAAGCCAAAAGAACAAAGCTGGAGGCATCACGCTACCTCACTTCAAACTATACTACAAGGCTACAGTAACCAAAACAGCATGGTACTGGTACCAAAACAGAGATATAGACCAATGGAACAGAACAGAGCCCTCAGAAATAATGCCACATATCTACAACTATCTGATCTTTGACAAACCTGAGAAAAACAAGCAATGGGGAAAGGATTCCCTATTTAATAAATGGTGCTGGGAGAACTGGCTAGCCATATGTAGAAAGCTGAAACTAGATCCCTTCCTTACACCTTATCTAATAGGTTTTTAGACAAATTTATTTCAAGCTGGTACTGTAAGGTGGAAACCCAGTGATGGATGTGACTTGCTTCCCCCACGGACCTTGCATTCTAATGGTGATATGGACAGGAGACAGGGAAATACTGGGTAGAAGAGGGCAGTTCCCTGGCAAAGGCCCCACCCTCAGGCCTGGAAACCTGCGGCCCTAAATTGGGAACAGGCATTCCTGTTTTCATGCTCAAAGGCTGCCTTTTGGCCCACCATGCCACCCCATCCTGTACCCATATAAACCCCAAGCCCCACGCTCCACAAGCAGATGAACAGAGGAACAGAAGAGCAGACGAGCAGCAGAGGAGAGGAGAGAAGGAGCGTCTGAATGTCAAGAGGAGTTTGGCTGGGGATAGTCGGAGAGGAGATCAGCTGCTGGATGGCCAAACTCCAGGGGAAGATCATCTTCCCACTCCATCCCTGATCCAGCTGCCCATCCATTCTGCTGAGAGCCACCTTCACAACTTAATAAAAACCCTGCATTCACCATCCTTCAAGTGTATGTGTGACCTGATTTTTCCTGGATGCTGGACAAGAGCTCGGGATGTGGGAAGCTGTCACACTGGCCCTCTGCCCTTGCAAAAAGTCAGAGGGTCCACTGAGCTGTTTTACACTTAAGCTGTCTGCAGATGGCAGAGCTAAGAGAGTGCACTGTAACACACACCCACCTGGGCTTCGGGAGCCGCAGGCACCCACAACTGGATGTGGTCATGGGGCCAGAGTCCAGGGGTGCTCACTCCGGCTCCTGTACCTGCCTGTCTGCGTGCTCCCCTTCCCATAAGGGGTTTGAGCGTGCACAGAGGCCAAACAAGCCATATCCCTGTTGCATGTTCTGCGAGGAGGGTCAGGAAACTCTCCCGTTTCAATGGGCAAACTCAGGAACAGGCCATGATGAGAAGAGGGCTTGTCATCCGCAGCTACCTGGAGCACTATGGCAATAATTTACATCTTGAAAAAATTGTTCCTGACTTCAAAATACAGAGGAACTTAGATTGCTAACTGGAGCCTGGAATCTTATTAAAGGTAATTCTTGGATAACGAAAATATTTTTCTTCCATAGTTATAGAGTTTAGATTTTTAAGTAGTTTTACATTTTTTTAAGCAATTTATACTTCTCATGAAAACCTTTTTCATTGAGACTGTGTAGTTTATTAAGATAAAGATGGTTATTGTATTTCTTTATAATTAGAAAACTCCTCCAAAAATATTTTGTAAATTCTCATTGTCTTTTTTTCTTTTTTCTTTTTTCTTTTGAGACAGAGTCTCATTCTGTTGCCCTGGCTGGAGTGCAGAGTCTCAATCTTGGCTCATTGCAACCTCCACCTCCCGGGTTCAAGTGATTCCCGTGCCTTGGCCTCCTGAGTAGCTGAGATTACAGGCGTGCACCACCACACCCAGCTAATTTTTTTTTTAATTTTTATTTTACTTTAAGTTCCAGGATACATGTACAGAACATGCAGGTTTGTTACATAGGTATATGTGTGCCATGGTGCTTTGCTGCACCTATCACACCCAGCTAATTTTTGTATTTTTAGTAGAGATGGGGTTTCATCAGTTGGCCAAGCAGGTCTCAAACAACCCGCCTGCCTTGGTACTTTGTAATCCCAAAGTGCTGGGATTACAGGCGTGAGCCACCATGCCCAGCCTTTCATTGTCTTTAAAATGAATTTTTATAAAACTCAAAATCTTATAGTTATTTATTGTCTACTGTGTTTGTATGGTCTGAATCATTTATTTTCTGCTTTAATGTGTATGATATCCTCTCTGTATGGCCCTTGGTAGATTTCATATTTTTCCTAACATTTTGGTTAGTGATTATTGTTATGTTTAATATAGTAATCGTGTAAAGTTCTGAAAGTTTCCTAATATGACCACTTGGACTGAATCCTTTAAATGTTCATGTTTAGGACTTTCAGTTTTTGCTATGTGGTGAACTGGATAACGTGAAAATCTTTCCCACCACAAATATATAGAGATGCTATTTATCCTATAATATACAGTCTTTTAAATACATAGCCAGGCCTTCCAAAAAAAAAAGAGAAGTTGCCAGGGACCAGAAAAATAGTTACAGCACAGGAAGTAACACTGCCGTTTCTCTAGGGTAGGATGGGAGTTATAAAGAAGGAGTTGTCAGTGTCATTAATTGAGGGGTTTATGATTTAATTCTCACACAAGTATAGGAGATAATGCCTTGGGCTCATGCAAGGTAGTGTTGAAACTGAAACATCATAAATCTAGAACTCTTAAAGGGATACATCAGTAGTTAAAGGGTAGATTAAGCACACATCCACCCTAAAAGCCACTCACCAGCAAAATCTAGACCTGTCCATAGGTTCGCCAGTAGCCACATCTGGCTGTTAAGCCCGTGAAATATAGCTAGTCCAGATTTAAATGTGCTCCAAGTTTAAAATACATACTGAATTTCAAAAACCTAGTATGAAAAAAGTAAGTTATCTCATTAATAATTTTTATATTGATTACATGTCAAAATAATATCTTTGATATATTAGAATAAAATGTTATTAAAATTAATTTTCCCAATTTCTTTTCATCTTTTAAATGTAGCCACAAGAAAATTTAAAATTGGCCGGGCATGGTGGCTCATGCCTGTAATCCCAACACTTTGGGAGCCCGAGGTGGGTGGATCACCTGAGGTCAGGAGTTCAAAACTAGCCTAACCAATACGGTGAAACCCTGTCTCTACTAAATACAAAAAATTAGCCAGGTGTGGTGGTACGTACCTGTAATCCCAGCTAATTGGGAGGCTGAGGCAGGAGAATCGCTTAAACCCAGGAGGCGGAGGTTGCAGTGAGCTGAGACTGAGGCATTTGCACTCCAGCCTGGGCAACAAGAGCGAAACCCCATCTCAAAAAAAAAATAAATAAAATAAAATAAAATTTAAAATTATATATGTGGCTCTCATTTGTAGCTTACATTATATTTCTACAAGTTCAGTATCCTTTATCCAAAGTGTTTGGGACCAGAAGTGTTTTAGATTTCAGATTTTTTTGAATTTTGGAACATTTGCAAATATTTAATGAGATATCTTAGGGATGAGATTATGATCTAAACACAAAATTCATTTGTTTTTTGTTTTTTTTTTTGACACAGAGTCTCACTCTGTCACCCAGGCTGGAGTGCAGTGGTGTGATACCCAGCTCACTGCTGTCTCCCAGGTTCAAGCAATTCTCTGCCTCAACCTCCCGAGTAGCTGGGATTACAGGCGCCCACCACCACGCCTGGCGAATTTTTGTATTTTTAGTAGAGACGGGGTTTCACCATCTTGGCCAGGCTGGTCTTGAATCTGCCTGGTGGATCTGACCTCGTGATCCACCTGCCTCGGCCTCCCAAAGTGCTGGGATTACAGGTGTGAGCCACCACGCCTGGACTTTCATTTGTATTTTGTATGTACATTATACATAGTCTGAATATAATTTTATACAATATCTTAATTTTTTTTTTTTTGAGAAAGAGTCTTGCTCTGTTGCCCAGGCTGGAGTGCAGTGGTGCGATCTCAGCTTACTGCAAACTCCACCTTCCGGGTTCAAGCAATTCTCCTGCCTCAGCCTCCCGAGTAGCTGGGATTACAGGCATCCACCACCATGCCCAGCTAATTGTTGTATTTTCAGTAGAGACATGGTTTCACCATGTTGGCTAGGCTGGTCTCGAACTCCCTGACCTCAAGTGATCCACCCACCTTGGCCTCCCAAAGTGCTGAGATTAAAGGCGCGAGCCACTATGCCTGGCCTAATTTTATACAATATTTTAAATAATTCTGTGCATGAAATAAAGTTTGTGTTAGATACTTAAGTGTGAATTTTTCTACTTGTGACATCACGTTGGTGCTCAAAACCTTTTGAATTTTGGAGCATTTCAGATTTCAGATTTTAGGATTGGGGATGCTCAACCTGTATTGGGTAGCACTGGTATGGAAGACCAGGTTTGCCATAGGATCTGGATGGGGCAAATGTCTCCTCTAAGAATTCATAAACCTAGATTTGCTCACATATAAAAATTTGTCTCAGACAAGTAACAGTCTATGGAGGTATATAGCATCAAATCAGGTGGCCCTGAATTCCCACAAAGTCTGCTGAATATTGTGTCACAGTTTAAAATTACAGGCCTGGCATGGTGGCTCATGCCTGTAATCCCAGCACTTTGGGAGGCTGAGGCAGGAGGATTGCTTGAGTCCAGGAGTTCGAGACCAGCCTGGACAACATGGCAAAACCCCATCTCTACTAAAAAATACAAAAATTAGCCATGCATGGTGGCGTTCCTGTAGTCCCAGTTACTCGAGGCTGAGGTAGGCAAATCACCTGAGCCTAGGAGATCAAGACTGCAGTGAGCCGAAATCGTGCCACTGCACTCCAGCCAGGGCAACTGGAATGAGATCCTGCTTCAAATAATAATAAAATAAAAATATAGACTACATAATGAAATCAACCCTCCACAAGGGACTAAGGATCTGCAGACACTATAAATAGTGGGATTAGCCATCCTAGAGCTTCCACAATTAGAACAATTTGATAGATATGATAAGATAAATTATTTCAAAATGACAACAAAGGACATAAAAGAAAAATGAACAATAATTGGGAGTTCAATAAATAAACTATGGAACATCAATATAACCTACATGCTATCTGAGCTTCCTATCCATTGATATTTAAGTGAAATTAGCTCAAGCGCTCTCTCTGATATTCTATGCGAAATTTGTTGTTGTTGTTGAGAGGGAGTCTTGCTCTGTTGCCCAGGCTGGAGTGCAGTGGTGGAATCTCGGCTCACTGCAACCTCCACCTCTTGGATTCAAGCAATTCTTCTGCCTCAGCCTCCTAAGTAGCTGGGGTTACAGACATGCGTCACCATGCCCAGCTAATTTTTGTATTTTTAGTAGAGACAAGGTTTCACCATGTTGGCCAGGCTGGTGTCGAACTCTCAACCTCAGGTGATCCACCCAAAGTTCTGGGATTACTTTTCAAAGGCATGAGCCCCTGCGCCTGGCCTCTATGGGAAAATTAATACTCTCTTTAAGACTTTTTTGAATTTCCAGGGACCAAGTTCTTTTGGGCACTTACAGTGCTGAGCTCTGGCTCTTAATCAACCCTAGGTTTCACCATCCCCCAGGCTGAAAGTCACCCCACACACATCACTCATCTTTGTTTGGAGCATCTTCAAACTACTCTGGTGAGGCACCTGTATTCATTGGAGGCTTTATTAAAGGTTGGGGGGTGGGTGTTGGTGTTATGTTAGTGGCATTGTAGAGTCCCGAACATTTCTCCCCCCACCATATTGCTGTACCTGTTTCCCTGTCCACCTAGTTTAGTCCTTTGCTTTCAGTTCCAAAGACTCACAAAGGATATGTCTATTCTGGGTTCATGCTCTTTAGTTAACTAGGAGGATTGGGAGGGTTTAGGAGTGTTAGATTTGACTTTGGCGGTCTCTGCAAATAGAATGACACTGTAAATTTTCCCCATTGATAGCAATTATGTAACCCCCATGCTCAGAAAGCAGAAGCATTTACTACCAGTTTTTTTTAACACATTTACTCATAAATATGTAAATTTACATGTAAAACTTATTTATATCATCACACTACTTATATATAATTCCATGTAGCTATTAAAGTTGATACTATATTGTTAAGTGAAAAAAAAGCAGGATATAAAACAATATGAACCTAATTAAAAAAATTTTTTTTGAGAGAGTGTTTCACTTTGTCACCCAGGCTGGAGTGCAGTGGCGCAAACAGCTCACTGTAAGCTCTGCCTCTTGGACTCAAGCGATCCTTCTTCCTCAGCCCCCCAAGTGGCTGGGACTACAGGCGTGGACAACCACACCGGGCTAATTTTTGTATTTTTTGTAGAGACAGTGTTTCGCCGTGTTGCCCAAGCTGGTCTCAAATTCCAGAACTCAAGGATCTGTCCACCTCTACCTCCTATAGTGTTGGGATTACAGATGTGAGCCACTGGTCCTAATTTTGTTTTAAAAAATATGCCGACGGCCAGGCGTGGTGGCTCACGCCTGTAATCCCAGCACTTTGGGAGGCTGAGGCGGGTGGATCATGAGGTCAGGAGTTCGAGACCAGCCTGGCCAACATGGTGAAACCCTGTCTCTAATAAAAAATACAAAACTTAGCCAGGTGTGGTGGCAGGCGCCTGTAATCCCAGCTACTCGGGAGGCTGAGGCAGGAGAATTGCTTGAACCTGGGAGGTGGAGGTTGCAGTGAGCCGAGATCATGCCACTGCACTCCAGCCTGGGTGACAGAGCAAGACTCTGTCTCAAAAGCAAAAAAAAAAAAAAAAAAAAAAAAAAGAAAAGAAAAAAATGCAGAGATGCACAGAAAAAAGATTAGAAGGTATTTACCGAAAGGTTAACAGTGAATGGTTAGATTGTAGATGCATTAGTCTGCTCAGACTGCCATAAGGAAATATCACAAACTGAGTGGTTTAAACAACGGAAATCTATTAATTTATTTTCTTGCAGTTCTAGAGGCTAGAAGCTGCCTTCTCACTGTGTCCTCACATGGGCTTTCCTCTGTATGTGCATGGAGAGAGAGATATCTGGGCTTTCTGCTTGCAAGGACACCAGTCCTATTGGATTAGGGTCCCATGCTTATGATTTCATTTAACCTTAATTAGCTCTTTAAAGGCCCCATCTCCAAATACAGTCACATTGGAGGTTAGGGCTTCAACATACGAATTTTGATGGGACACAATTCAGTCCATAGCAATGGGTATTTTCTTCCTTATATATTTTTCTGTATCATTTAAGAAACCATAATGAACATGTATTACTCTTGTAATCAGAAAATGAAAGGTTACTTTAGTAAAAGAGATTCTATTGTCTAGATTGAGCAAAACCATCATACACAGAACCTTTACCAAACTGCATCTCAGTAAAGTCTGTTGTTCCATGGTCCATATTGATTGCAAACATTTACTGAATCCCTCCCTTTGGGTTTAGAGAAAGGACTAAATTACAAAGGACTAGGAATGGTAGAAGAATCTTTGGGGTCCTGGTGGGGCCAGAGCTGGCTGTGGAATGCTGGGAAGAACTTAGTGATCTGAGTGTGTGTCCTGAGATGGCCTACCCTGGGGGGCACTTTTTTATGTGCACTTTCCTCTTATTCCAGACTCCACAGGATCTGTTCTCAATGCTAGATTTACAGAAGGCAGTGGTAAATCTCATTAATCCACAAGGACCCATGAGGGCTCATCTGACATCAAGGGCTGACAGTAATGACTGGAGTATTCTGAGCCATCCCTAAGGCAGGATGCTCTTGGCAATTTTATATTTAAGCCTTCATCTCCACCTCTGAAGTTTTGATCTCCTGACTGGAGAGTTTGAATGGAAATGGGGACTGTTTCCAAAATAGGAAGATGCATCCTGACCAACCCCATCAAGGTTAAGAGCATGAACTTTGGAGCTGCACTGCTTGCAATTAAGTCCTGGTTCCATCGTTACCCCCTGCGTGACCATGGGCAAATTATTAGCCTCTCAGTGCCTCAGTTTCTTCATCTGTGAAGTAAGGATATAATTTTTCCTATGTCCTAAGGATTAAATGAGTGAAACTCATCAGTAGCACTAAATAGGGCATAAGCTCTATATAAGTGTAATTTGATAAACAGATAACTACGGGTAGTGATAACCTCTATCTCAGTAAGGTCAGGACGCCAAAGGCAGGTTCTCTAATTCTCTCAAGAGTCTCTGACCATTGCTAAACTGAATACAGCACGGTCCCCATGCACTGCATCAAGCTCCTGGGTGAAACTGACCAACGTCATGAAATGTTACAGCTGAGGGGACCCTCAGAGTTGCAGTTCAGCCCCTTTATTTTGTACTTGGAAAAACAGACCCAGGAGGCCTGAGTCACTTGCTCAGCTGCACACAGCTGGTTTATGGCAGGACCACAGCCAGAATGCCTGGCTCCAAACACAGTTTTCTTATGTTAAGTTGAAATTACTTTTTCCCCCTCCATAAATATCTGATATAGCCAAGCATGCATGTAATTTGGTAAGAGGAAATAATTCATGAGTAAGTCTCTTTCTGAATAAATAGATTACATTTATTAGCATGCTTTCAGATTACAAATTATCTAATCATTATCCTTATTGAAAATACTCCATGTCCTTGCGATAGTTTGCTGAGAATGGTTTCCAGCTTCATCCATGTCCCTACAAAGGACATGAACTCATCCTTTTTTATGACTGCGTAGTATTCCACGGTGTATATGTGCCACAGTTTCTTAATCCAGTCAGGGATAGCATTAGGAGATATACCTAATGTTAAATGATGAGTTAATGGGTGCAGCACACCAACATGGCACATGTATGCATATGTAACAAACCTGCACATTGTGCACATGTACCCTAAAACTTAAAGTATAATTAAAAAAAAAATACTCCATGTCAAACATAAATTGTAGCTCTGAGAATGTGAACTATATTGCTGGTGAACTTTGTCCTAGGCTAAAGTCTTTCCCTCCTTCAGTCTTTTATTTACATTCTCACTTCTTTTCTTCTATTCCTGTGGAATGTTGCCAAATGGTGCTCCTATATTTAATAATATTAAGTTTTAAAAATCCACTACTTTAACACGTCTAATTTTCTGAGAGTTATCTTTTTGTTCTTGTCCATATGCACATAGATTTTTACATAGTTGTTTTCTTTTTTTTTTTTATTATACTTTAAGTTTTAGGGTACATGTGCACATTGTGCAGGTTAGTTACATATGTATACATGTGCCATGCTGGTGCGCTGCACCCACTAACTCGTCATCTAGCATTAGGTATATCTCCCAATGCTATCCCTCCCCACCACCCCCCACCCCACCGCAGTCCCCAGAGTGTGATATTCCCCTTCCTGTGTCCATGTGATCTCATTGTTCAATTCCCACCTATGAGTGAGAATATGCGGTGTTTGTTTTTTTGTTCTTGCGATAGTTTACTGAGAATGATGATTTCCAATTTCATCCATGTCCCTACAAAGGACATGAACTCATCATTTTTTATGGCTGCGTAGTATTCCATGGTGTATATGTGCCACATTTTCTTAATCCAGTCTATCATTGTTGGACATTTGGGTTGGTTCCAAGTCTTTGCTATTGTGAATAATGCCGCAATAAACATACGTGTGCATGTGTCTTTATAGCAGCATGATTTATAGTCATTTGGGTATATACCCAGTAATGGGATGGCTGGGTCAAATGGTATTTCTAGTTCGAGATCCCTGAGGAATCGCCACACTGACTTCCACAATGGTTGAACTAGTTTACAGTCCCACCAACAGTGTAAAAGTGTTCCTATTTCTCCACATCCTCTCAATATCCAGAATCTACAATGAACTCAAACAAATTTACAAGAAAAAAGCATACGTAGTTGTTTTCACGGTACTCACAAAACTTTGAAGTCTGCTTTTCTCATCTGATGATATTTATAAACATTTTATATGTCCACAAATATCCCATAAACACCAATTTTTAATGAATGCATAATTCATTATAATCAAACTAGCCATAAAACTATTAAGTTATTTTCTTATTGCTAACATTTGAATTGTCTCTGTTTTGGGTTGTTGAATGTGATGCTATAATATATGCTTTTTTACATAGACTCAGAACTGGAATTATGTGGTCAGAGGTAAGAATATTTTCATAGCCAAAAAGATATATTGCCTGAATATTTTTCATCAACAATGCCACCAGCAGTGTATATCATTTTTACCCCACTCTTACTAACACTGAGCATCTAACAGCTTTCACTCGCAAACAAGTGTGCTTGTACCAAGAAAGTGTTGTTAAAGTAATGACAGATCATTTCTGAGTGTTATGTGGAATTATAATTTCCCAAATTGGAAAATTTCCCTTTTTCATTTTACACTAAATTAGTAAAACCTATAAGTACTATAGCTTTAATTTACATAATAGTGCTTTGCATAATAGGTATTCCATATTAACTGATTGATTTAATTGTATATCCTATAAGATAATAATCATGGTACCCTACAGCGGAAAAGGGAAGTGGAAAAGAGGGATATAAAAGGGGTGATGAGGAGGGAAAATGTGGGTGAGATGTCATCAGATTACACCAAAGGGAAAACCAGGAACATCTCCTCCAGGGACAGGGTCATAACCCTATCCACTAGTACTCTGAACATAGCCAAGTCTGTCCACATCTATTCCTGACTCCAGAACTTGACTCTCCCCACTCTTTCCCTCCCTCCACCCCCAACATCCCTAATGACTGAGCTTCCCCTTCATTCCTTCTCTCCTGGTTCGACTTGCCCTATCACCTGTGCTCGCTTATTCCTTAAGGTGTACGGTGCAATCCTCAGCCTTGTGAGGGATGCAAGGATTAACCATGTGGGCCCTGCCTTTCTGGAGTTCGAAGTCTGATAGGAGAAGACATGAATAAACAGCAGAATGTGAACAATGCCGTAAGAAGGCTACAGATGGGGTGCTTTGGGAGCTTTCTTCCAGAAGTGGCATTGAGACTGGACTGGGAGGCCCTGAAAGAATTTGGACATTGGATCTGACACTGTCCCCCAGCTTACCAGGATCCTCCGTGCTCTCCAGATCCCTACTGCCTCAGTCACCAAGCCGGGTCCCCCCAAAGCTGAATATGCCAGAGGGGCATGCAGAACGTTTGAAAACTTACCAGACATTATTTCCCTCTCAAATTGCAAGATGGTTTTGCTGTTTCCTATTTTATTTCTTTTTGATATTTCCTTTTTTAGTGAAGTGAAACATATCTTTTAAAAAGTGAGTGTGCTTGAACTGTGTGAGGCAGTACAAGGGGTGCCAGTGTAGTCCCCAGGTATGTGAGAGAAGGCAGCTGATTGGACTGGTCCATGCCTGTACCTTATCGATCTTTGTGCTTTACTGACCACTCTCTGTGCTGGACCAGTTGTTAGAGATTTCAGTTAATGTTCCTGGGAGAAGGAACATTGGGCATTTCTTGTAATGTAAGGAGAATGCAAGTGACTAGGTGATCAGTCTATGATGTTAGGTGACCAGGGCCCTGGAGCCAATTGTGATGCCTCATCAGAAAAGAATGTACTTGCTGAATGTGTGAGAATTGGATTATGTGCTCTTTTCTTTTTAGTTATTATCTCTTTAGTTATTATTGTCTTTGCTTAATTCTCTTCTGTGCCAACCCAAGCCTCTTCAACTATTTCTCTTTCTGTAATTGCAGAGCTCTGTTAGTCCAAGTTGGACTAACAGTTGATCCTTTCACAATATTTACCACATTTACCAGGCTGGCTGAATATTATAGAATTAGAGAGATGTCATCCCAAGTGATGCAGTGTTGGAGGGAGAAGCTCAACCCCCTGAAGACTTCTAAATGTTTCTAAATGCATGTTTAATTTCAGAATACATATTGTAATTGCTAAATTGTTATGACAAGACATAGACAGACATATTTATCTTCCACTTTTCCAAGTTTTAATAATCACGGTAATGAAGTTGTTGTATATCCTCCCCACCCCTAAAGAGACAAAAGGGCATCCAGGGAGTGGATCCCACTCACACCCAAATGAACTCTTAGATTACTGAGGCCAGACTGGTTCTTACCTAGCTGTCCTCAGAACACCATGCCTAGAACTTTCATGTTTAGGGTTTGACCACACAAGCCATTGGTCAGTTGGGTTTCCCATAACAATCAAGGAGCTCTGGTTGAGAGAGTTGTGCACCTTTCATGGGATGGGCTTAGAGTGAGGTCAGGCTCCTAGTCAGAGCGTCTGTGATGCATCTTGAGTTTTCGTTACTCTCAGTCTATTCATCTGAAACCAGTCCCCCTTCCTATTCTGCCATTTAGGAAAATCGTAGATGGTCTGTAAATTGAATCTATGCCCAGTGGTCCTGAGTAGTGAGATTTATTCAGAATATAATTAAAACAGATATAATATGCCCCTTCTGCCTACCATAGGACCTGATCGCTTGCCCAAAAGGCTCTGGAGTCAGGAGTGACTTTGGGCATAGAGAGAGTAATTTTTCAAGTCATTATTTTCCTGGGGCTTGGAATATGTGGATGTTGTCAAATAACTTTTTTTTTCTTTTTGTCAAAACTAGTTCCTCTTTGGGGATATAACCTGACACTATAGTAATTCTGTGTTCCTTGGACTCTCTTTTAAGCACTACATGAACTAAAGAATGATTAAATTCTGATTCTTTTTTTTTTATTATACTTTAAGTTTTAGGGTACATGTGCACAATGTGCAGGTTTGTTACATGTGTATACATGTGCCATGTTGGTGTGCTGCACCCATTAACTCGTCATTTGACATTAGGTATATCTCCTAATGCTATCCCTCCCCGCTCCCCCAACCCCACAACAGGCCCTGGTGTGTGATGTTCCCCTTCCTGTGTCCATGTGTTCTCATTGTTCAATTCCCACCTATGAGTGAGAACATGTGGTGTCTGGTTTTTTGTCCTTGTGACAGTTTGCTGAGAATGATGGTTTCCAGCTTCATCCATGTCCCTACAAAGGACATGAACTCATCCTTTTTTATGGCTGCATAGTATTCCATGGTGTATATGTGCCACATTTTCTTAATCCAGTCTGTCATTGTTGGACATTTGGGTTGGTTCCAAGTCTTTGCTATTGTGAATAGTGCCACAATAAACATCTGTGTGCATGTGTCTTTATAGCAGCATGATTTATAATCCTTTGGGTATATACCCAGTAATGGGATGGCTGGGTCAAATGGTATTTCTAGTTCGAGATCCCTGAGGAATCGCCACACTGACTTCCGCAATGGTTGAACTAGTTTACAGTCCCACCAACAGTGTAAAAGTGTTCCTATTTCTCCACATCCTCTCCAGCACCTGTTGTTTCCTGACTTTTTAATGATCGTCATTCTAACTAGTGTGAGATGGTATCTCATTGTGGTTTTGATTTGCATTTCTCTGATGGCCAGTGATGATGAGCATTTTTTCATGTGTTTTTTGGCTGCATAAATGTCTTCTTTTGAGAAGTGTCTGTTCATATCCTTCACCCACTTTTTGATGGGGTTGTTTGTTTTTTTCTTGTAAATTTGTTTGAGTTCATTGTAGATTCTCGATATTAGCCCTTTGTCAGATGAGTAGGTTGCGAAAATTTTCTCCCATTCTGTAGGTTGCCTGTTCACTCTGATGGTGGTTTCTTTTGCTGTGCAGAAGCTCTTTAGTTTAATTAGATCCCATTTGTCAATTTTGGCTTTTGTTGCCATTGCTTTTGGTGTTTTAGACATGAAGTCCTTGCTCATGCCTATGTCCTGAATGGTATTGCCTAGGTTTTCTTCTAGGGTTTTTATGGTTTTAGGTCTAACATTTAAGTCTTTAATCCATCTTGAATTAATTTTTGTATAAGGTGTAAGGAAGGGATCCAGTTTCAGCTTTCTACATATGGCTAGCCAGTTCTCCCAGCACCATTTATTAAATAGGGAATCCTTTCCCCATTGCTTGTTTTTGTCAGGTTTGTCAAAGATCAGATAGTTGTAGATATGCGGCATTATTTCTGAGGGCTCTGTTCAGTTCCACTGGTTTATAGCTCTGTTTTGGTACCAGTACCATGCTGTTTTGGTTACTGTAGCCTTGTAGTATAGTTTGAAGTGAGGTAGCGTGATGCCTCCAGCTTTGTTCTTTTGGCTTAGGATTGACTTGGCGATGAGGGCTGTTTTTCGGTTCCATAGGAACTTTAAAGTAGTTTTTTCCAATTCTGTGAAGAAAGTCATTGGTAGCTTGATGGGGATGGCATTGAATCTATAAATTACCTTGGGCAGTATGGCCATTTTCACGATATTGATTCTTCCTACCCATGAGTATGGAATGTTCTTCCATTTGTTTGTATCCTCTTTTATTTCCTTGAGCAGTGGTTTGTAGTTCTCCTTGAAGAGGTCCTTCACATCCCTTGTAAGTTGGATTCCTAGGTATTTTATTCTCTTTGAAGCAATTGTGAATGGGAGTTCACTCATGATTTGTCTCTCTGTTTGTCAGTTATTGTTGTATAAGAATGCTTGTGATTTTTGCACGTTGATTTTGTATCCTGAGACTTTGCTGAAGTTGCTTATCAGCTTAAGGAGATTTTGGGCTGAGATGATGGTGTTTTCTAAATATACAATCATGTCATCTGCAAACAGGGACAATTTGACTTCCTCTTTTCCTAATTGAATACCCTTTATTTCCTTCTCCTGCCTGATTGCCCTGGCCAGAACTTCCAACACTATGTTGAATAGGAGTGGTGAGAGAGGGCATCGCTGTCTTGTGGCAGTTTTCAAAGGGAATGCTTCCAGTTTTTGCCCATTCAGTATGATTATATGCTGTGGGTTTGTCATAGATAGTTCTTATTATTTTGAGATACGTCCCATCAATACCTAATTTATTGAGAGTTTTTAGCATGAAGGGTTGTTGAATTTTGTCAAAGGCCTTTTCTGCATCTATTGAGATAATGATGTGGTTTTTGTCTTTGGTTCTGTTTATATGCTGGATTACGTTTATTGATTTTCATACGTTGAACCAGCCTTGCATCCCAGGGATGAAGCCCACTTGATCATGGTGGATAAGGTTTTTGATGTGTTGCTGGATTCAGTTTGCCAGTATTTTATTGAGGATTTTTGCATCAATGTTCATCAAGGATATTGGTCTAAAATTCTCTTTTTTGGTTGTGTCTCTGCCTGGCTTTGGTATCAGGATGATGCTGGCCTCATAAAATGAGTTAGGGAGGATTCCCTCTTTTACTATTGATTGGAATAGTTTCAGAAGGAATGGTACCAGCTCCTCCCTGTACCTCTGGTAGAATTTGGCTGTGAATCCATCTGGTCCTGGACTTTTTTTGGTTGGTAAGCTATTAATTATTGCCTCAATTTCAGAGCCTGTTATTGGTCTATTCAGAGATTCAACTTCTTCCTGGTTTAGTCTTGGGAGAGTGTGTGTGTCGAGGAATTTATCCATTTCTTCTAGATTTTCTAGTTTATTTGCGTAGAGGTGTTTGTAGTATTCTGATGGTAGTTTGTATTTCTGTGGGATCGGTGGTGAAATCCCCTTTGTCATTTTTTATTGCGTCTATTTGATTCTTCTCTCTTTTCTTCTTTATTAGTCTTGCTAGCAGTCTATCAATTTTGTTGATCATTTCAAAAAACCAGCTCCTGGATTCATTGATTTTTTGAAGGGTTTTTTGTGTCTGTATTTCCTTCAGTTCTGCTCTGATCTTAGTTATTTCTTGCCTTCTGCTAGCTTCTGAATGTGTTAGCTCTTGCTTCTCTAGTTCTTTTAATTGTGATGTTAGGATGTCCACTTTAGATCTTTCCTGCTTTCTCTTGTGGGCATTTAGTGCTATAAATTTCCATCTACACACTGCTTTGAATGTGTCCCAGAGATTCTGGTATGTTGTGTCTTTGTTCTTGTTGGCTTCAAAGAACGTTTTTATTTCCTCCTTCATTTCGTTATGTACCCAGTAGTCATTCAGGTGCAGGTTGTTCAGTTTCCACGTGGTTGAGTGGTTTCCAGTGAGTTTCTTAATCCCGAGTTCTAGTTTGATTGCACTGTGGTCTGAGAGACAGTTTGTTATAATTTCTGTTATTTTACATTTGCTAAGGAGTGCTTTACTTCCAATTATGTGGTCAACTTTTGAATAGGTGTGGTGTGGTGCTGAAAAGAATTTATATTCTGTTGATTTGGGGTGGAGAGTTCTGTAGATGTCTATTAGGTCCACTTGGTGCAGAGCTGAGTTCAATTCCTGTATATTCTTGTTAACTTTCTGTCTCGTTGATGTGTCTCATGTTGACAGTAGGGTGTTAAAGTCTCCCATTATTATTGTGTGGGAGTCTAAGTCTCTTTGTAGGTCACTAGGGACTTGCTTTATGAATCTGGGTGCTCCTGTATTGGGTACATGTATATTTAGAATAGTTAGTTCTTCTTGTTGAATTGATCCCTTTACCATTACATAATGGCCTTCTTTGTCTCTTTTGATCTTTGTTGGTTTAAAGTCTGTTTTTTCAGAGACTAGGATTGCAACCCTTACTTTTTTTGTTTTCCATTTGCTTGGTAGATCTTCCTCCATCCCTTTATTTTGAGTCTATGTGTGTCTGCACATGAGATGGGTTTCCTGAATACAGCACACTGATGGGTCTTGACTCTTTATCCAATTTGCCAGTCTGTGCCTTTTAATTGGAGCATTTAGCCCATTTACATTTAAGGTTAATATTGTTATGTGTGAATTTGAACCTGTCATGATGATGTTAGCTGGTTATTTTGCTCATTAGTTGATGCAGTTTCTTCCTAGCCTTGATGGTCTTTACAATTTGGCATGTTTTTGCAGTGGCTGGTGCTGGTTGTTTTTTTCCATGTTTAGTGCTTCCTTTCAGAGCTTTTTTAGGGCAGGCCTGGTGGTGACAAAATCTCTCAGCATTTGCTTGTCTGTAAAGTATTTTATTTCTCCTTCACTTATGAAGCTTAGTTTGGCTGGGTATGAAATTCTGTATTGAAAATTCTTTTCTTTAAGAATGTTGAATATTGGCCCCCACTGTCTTCTGGCTTGTAGAGTTTCTGCAGAGAGATCAGCTGTTAGTCTAATGGGCTTCCCTTTATGGGTAACCCAACCTTTCTCTCTGGCTACCCTTAACATTTTTTCCTTCATTTCAACTTTGGTGAATCTGACAATTATGTGTCTTGGAGTTGCTCTTCTCGAGGAGTATCTTTGTGGCGTTCTCTGTATTTCCTGAATCTGAATGTTGGCCTGCCTTGCTAGATTGGGGAAGTTCTCCTGGATAATATCCTGCAGAGTGTTTTCCAACTTGGTTCCATTCTCCCCGTCACTTTCAGGTACACCAATCAGACAGAGGTTTGGTCTTTTCACATAGTCCCATATTTCTTGGAGGGTTTGTTTGTTTCTTTTTTTTCTTTTTTTCTCTAAACTTCTCTTCGTGCTTCATTTCACTCATTTCGTCTTCCATCACCGATACCCTTTCTTCCAGTTGTTCGCATCGGTTACTGAGGCTTGTGCATTTGTCACGTAGTTCTCATGCCATGGTTTTCAGCTCCGTCAGGTCCTTTAAGGACTTCTCTGCATTGATTATTCTAGTTATCTATTTGTCTATTTTTTTTTTTCAAAGTTTTTAACTTCTTTGCCATTGGTTTGAACTTCCTCCTTTAGCTTGGAGTAGTTTGATCTTCTGAAGGCTTCCTCTCTCACCTCGTCAAAGTCATTCTCCGTCCAGCTTTGTTCCGTTGCTGGTGAGGAGCTGCGTTCCTTTGGAGGAGAAGAGGCCCTCTGATTTTTAGAGTTTCCAGTTTCTATGCTCTGTTTTTTCCCCATCTTTGTGGTTTTTATCTACCTTTGGTCTTTGATGATGGTGACGTACAGATGGGTTTTTGGTGTGGATGTCCTTTCTGTTTGTTAGTTTTCCTTCTAACAGTCAGGACCCTCAGCTGCAGGTCTGTTGGAGTTTACTGGAGGTCCACTCCAGACCCTCTTTGCCTGGGTATCAGCAGCAGTGGCTGCAGAACAGCGGATATTGGTGAACCGCAAATGCTGCTGCCTGATTGTTCCTCTGGAAGTTTTGTCTCAGAGGAGTACCCGGTCATGTGAGGTGTCAGTCCGCTCCTACTAGGGGGTGCTTCCCAGTTAGGCTACTCAGGGGTTAGGGACCCACTTGAGGAGGCAGTCTGCCCGTTCTCAGATCTCAAGCTGTGTGCTGGGAGAACCACTACTGTCTTCAAAGCTGTCAGACAGGGACATTTAAGTCTGCAGACGTTATTGCTGTCTTTTGTTTGTCTGTGCCCTGCCCCCAGAGGTGGAGCCTACAGAGTCAGGCAGGCCTCCTTGAGCTGTGGTGGGCTCCACCCAGTTCGAGCTTCCGGGCTGCTTTGTTTACCTACTCAATCCTGAGCAATGGCGGGCGCCCTTCCCCCAGCCTGGCTGCCACCTTGCAGTTTGATCTCAGACTGCTGTGCTAGCAATGAGCGAGGCTCTGCGCGTGTAGGACCCTCTGAGCCAGGCGCGGGATATAATCTCCTGGTGTGCCGTTTGTGAAGCCTGTTGGAAAAGCGCAGTATTAGAATGGGAGTGACCTGATTTTCCAGGTGCCATCTGTCACCCCTTTCTTTGACTAGGAAAGGGAATTCCCTGATCCCTTGCACTTCCCGGGTGAGGCGATGCCTCGCCCTGCTTCGGCTCATGCACAGTGTGCTGCACCCACTGTCCTGCACCCACTTTCCGGCACTCCTCTGTGAGATGAACCCGGTACCTCAGTTGGAAATGCAGAAATCACCTGTCTTCTGTGTCACTCATGCTGGGAGCTGTAGACTGGAGCTGTTCCTATTCAGCCATCTTGGCTCCACCTAACTAAATTACGATTCTTGAGTGTGGATGCACTTCATAGATCATTCTGTTCTGCCTAGAGTCCTTATGCATTTTCAACAGCATTACTGTTTGAATAAGTCAGGATAGACTTGCATATGTCAGGGTATAAGGTACATCCTGAAATCTTGGTGGCTCAACATCGCAGTTTTATTACTCACTCACGTAAAGTTGATCTGGGTCGGGTGGCCCTCCTTAATCTTGAAGCTGCACTATCTGATACATGGAGATTTCGAGGTCACTGCTAAAAGGGAAAAGAGGGAAGGGGGAGACACACTGGTTTTTAGCTGCTTCAGCCCAGAAGTAGCATAGTCCATCGGCCTGAATTGGTCACATGGTCCCAACAAGGAAGAAAGGAGATGTGGGAGCATTTAGTGAGTACCAACCCACTGTCTCTGCCACATTATTCTTTCCTCAAAATGGTTGTAACAACCTGGTGTGGTGGCTCATGCCTGTAATCACAATACTTCTGGAGGTTGAGGTGGGAGGATCACTTGAGGCCAGGAGTTGGAGACCAGACTGGGAAACACCCCTATCTCTATTTAAAAATAAAACAAAACTGGGCATGGTGGTGCATGCCTGTAGTCCCAGCTACTTGGGAGGCTGAGGCAGGAAGATTGCTTGAGCCAAGGAGTTTGAGGCTGCAGTGAGCCATGATTGTGCCACTGCAGCCCAGCCTGAGTGACAGAGTGAGACCCTGCCTCAAGAAAAAAGATGATAACTTAGAAGGTAAAAGTAATTCATCTTGCTCTAAAAGTGCCTCAAAATTTAAAAATAGCAGTTCTCTTTAATGGCTTCTGTTTCACAGGTTTCCTAGAACAACTGATTTCTACTTCTGCAAATCATACTAACTGATATGCTTGGGACCTGCTGGCACACTCTCAGCTAGTAGGTTAGTCCCTAGGTATCCTCACTCACTTTGTTATAGGACTGCCAAGTTTGTATGCCCACTGTGCAGCAACAGACCAATACACTGAGACAGCAGGGTTTGCAGCAGACAAGTTGTTTAATAATTGCAAGATGACTGAATGAGGAAACAGGAGGAATTCTCGAGACTCAAATTCATTTCATTGAGGGGTTCTGGGCAAGGATCTTTCAGGGGATTGGAGAGGGCAAGGGGTTAGAAAATTGGGGTTATCGTTTGGTCAGGGTAAGGGGGATGAAGTCATTAGAATATGGAAAGTGCATTCTTCCATGAGTCAGTTTCTTGCTGAGCCCTTCAGACCAGCAGGTGTTGATCATTTTATCAGCATGCAGAACCTAAAGGGGAAATTTAAACAGAAATCTTATTGTTTCACAATGTCTTAGATTTTATCTATAGAACAGAAAAGAAAGAGTCTGTGGCAAGGCTATGTTATCCTGGGGTAGTAAGCAGCAACCAGCTACCTGGAAGTGGGCCAAAGGGCAGGCTGGCTTGATGATTACTGATGTTGTGCTTCAAACCTAGTTGAATTTTATTTTTTTCCTCCTTAATTGATTTTATAAAATTTTATTTGGGGCTGGTTTCAACTTCTGTTCTCACCCCTTGAGTTGTCTGTTGAGCAGGTGTAGGAGACTATTTATAAAAAATGTTCACAACGAATCCCCTTCTCTGAGTCTTGGCTGGCCAATGACTTGCTTATGGACTGTGATGAAAGTGACACTGTGCTGGATCTGAATCTAGGCCTCAAGGGGCCTTGCAC
This sequence comes from Homo sapiens, assembly GCF_000001405.40. Classification (NCBI taxonomy): domain Eukaryota; kingdom Metazoa; phylum Chordata; class Mammalia; order Primates; family Hominidae; genus Homo; species Homo sapiens. The sequence continues at coordinate 62,680,651 of NC_000005.10, forward strand.
ACTGTAACTCACTGAACAAACCCAGGTAGCCTGCTGGATGATGGCCCAGTCGCCCTCTTCACCTCACCCAACATTCAGCCAGCCCTAGAAGCACAGCTGCCCAGCTGACTTGCAGCTGACACATGAAGGAGCTCAGTGCAGCCCAGCCTAGATCCCTGAATGCAGAATTGTGAGTTGAAGACTTAGTGTAGGTAGGTCTTTTAAATCACCGAGTTTTGAGGATGGTTTGTAATGAAGCCATGACTGATACACCGAGGGCTAGTATACTCCCGGGAGATTTACGCCAGCTGTATTGCTTAGTAATTATGTCATTTACTTTAATATTACTTTAAAAGGATGACATATGAGTCTGAGAATGAAAATTATTCATTTGAAAACGAAACAGAATGTATTGTAAAGGCTTGATAAAAATATCATTAAAAAATGTCAAATAAGATGTAGGTGAGACCCCTGTAATAAACGAAGAGAAAGTTATAAAAATATAGGATTCTGCCCTCAGATTATTTCCTACATCTCTTTAAGTTTTTGGTCCATATTGACAAATTGAAACTGGGTGTGGATTATGAGAGTAAGACTGAGGCTGCTGTACAAAGAAGCCTAACAGTAATTTGATGGCTTAAAGAAGACTGAATTCTATTTACTTGTTTGTTTTTCTACTTAGGAGTCCAAGGTGAGTATTCTGGGTCAGAGGGAAGTCTGTTGCCTGTAATCATTCAGGGATACAGGGCTTTTTTTGTTTGTTTTTTTAAATCATTTTGATCTTCAGACCCATAGGGCCTTGTTGATACCTAAATGGTCAAAAACATGTTTTCATGGATTCTGGAATCAGAAAGAGTAAAGAGAACATGGAGGAGCCAGAACTCTTGCCTTAAGGCATCAGTCCAGAAGCGGTACACATCACTTTTGCAAGCATTCTATTGACAAAAACTCAGTCACATGACCATACCTACTGTGAGGGAGACCTGGAAGTGTACAGTATTGGGACAGAAACGTGCTGAGCTATAATCCTTTTATTATAGAGAGGGAGAGAATGTATTTAGGTAAAGAGCCAGCAGCCTCCAACAATGGGGAGCTTGTTGAGTCTCCAGACAATAGGGAGCTTGAATGAACGGACCCATACCCAGTGGAAAGGCCTTGGTGAATAGATATGCATTTTTGTGTTTTAAATTAAAATAACACATTTATGATAGGAAGTATCTGTTTTTATGACTGGTAGCCTTGACTTCGTACCATTAATTGACCAGTTATAATGATCTTGCTTATGATAGACATGGGGACTTTTTATTCTTTCTTTCTCTTGGCTCTTCAATATCTCTCTATAATATTTTCCCTTTTGTTTTCACTCTTGGGGGATCAAGAATATGGCAGACATTGAGTGCCTACATGTTATTTTGAAATGACATATACATTTCTGAAGTAGCCTCCTGTTTTTACAAGAAAATGTAGTGTTAGCTCAGTGCTTGAGATGTGGCCAACTCACTAAGATAAGTCAGGAAGAAAACTAATGTCTAAATATATCCATTCGCTAGTCAGTGCCAAAAGAAGAAAAGGTTAAAATTGAAGATGAAGAGAACTCTGATATTGCCACAATACCAGGCCTGATAAACAAGTTAAAATAACTCCATTATCTTGGGAGCCGAGGACAGGAGGGCTTGATGTCTGGCAACACATTGAACTGATGGAAATCCCTGTCAGAGCTGCTGTCAGCAAATCCTCTGAATTTGTACTTCTGCACCAAGAAGAGCCATTCAGAAGATTTGAAGAAATGGATGCTGACCTGTGATTTAAGCATGTGCCATTTAAAAATCTCATAGTTTGAGGCCAGCTCTTCCCAGCTTGTCCCTGAGACCAGAAGACTCCAGTCTCAGATGTGTCCCCATTCAGGATGCCTACACTCCTTAGTCTCAGGTGCTTTTTAAACAATCATTAGCCTCAGCTGGGCGCGGTGGCTCACACCTGTAATCCCAGCACTTTGGGAGGTCGAGGCCAGTGGATCACTTGAGGTTAGGAGTTTGAGACCAGCCTGGCCAATGTGGTGAAACCCTGTTTCTACTAAAAATAGAAAAATTAGCTGGGCATGGTGGCAGGTGCCTGTAGTCACAGCTACTTGGGAGGCTGAGGCAGGAGGATTGCTTGAACCCAGGAGGCAGAGGTTGCAGTGAGCTGAGATGGAGGTTGCAGGAGGCGACAGACAGAGTGAGACTTCATCTCAAAAAAGCAAAAAAGGAATCATTAGCTTTAACATCTCACCTCCTCCCACCCCCCAACCTTGCACATCTCCCTCAGTTTACGTAGGTGGGCCTGATGCTGGCAAAGGAATTTGAAATAAAAGAATATTGTCAAACTGGAGAGGAAGTCCTATTTTCTCCATTTGTCTAACAGAGTTTTCTGAAAAGTTGGCCTGAAAGTGATAATGTTGAAGAGGCCGAACAGACATGCAGCAATAGCACATAGCGTTTGACATTGGCAAAGTGTGAGAGAGCTGGGTTTTGGTGTCTGAGCTTCCTGATACCATGTCTGCTTAGGACTGACTTGGGAGATACTGTTTATTAAATGCAGAATTTTTTCTTTTTATTATTTATTAAAGAGAAACAGGGCTCTGCTGCAAGAAGTCAGAAATTCACAGCTGCTACATTCTCCATGTAGGCTTGGATTGTGAGGATCCTGATAGTTCCTCTTTTTGAATACCTACTATGTGCCAGGCACTGAACTAAAAGCTTTAAATCATTTCATTCCGTCTCTACAACACTCCTGTGATCATTGTCTTCCTTTACAGACCAGGGAATTAAGTATATGCGGACGTTAATTGGCTTTCCTAACATCATCCATCTATCAAATCGTGGAGCTGATATTCAAATCCAGTTTTCCTTTCTTAGTCATAGTATAGGATGAAGGGCATGCAGGAGCAGTGCTGATTCCAGAAAAAAAAAAAAAAAATGGTGCGCTTCAGAGTTCAGCATTCCCGGAAAAAAGGTCTTTCTGTATTGCTCACTTTATGAAGGATGCTTGAAAGCACATGAAGGAAAAGGAAAGTTATACTTTCGGATAATGCAGCTGAGAGAGTTACTCCTGGTCTCCCTAGAGCCACAGTCAGACGAACATTCCTCCATGTTTTGTAGTGTCAAGGCCTGAGCATGGTCTTGTCTTCCCCTCTCTGATTCTGCCTGTGCTCCTTGGCAGCTCTGCTCTGGTCAGGTATGTTCCCATAGGTGGTTCTGTTACAGCACTTCCTCCATGGAGATTGTGCCAGGGGCCCATTTCATCAGCCTGATCCCTAGCTTGAAACCCACTCAGAATATGTCACTTCTGAATTTCCACATAGCTTTGGGGTTTAGGAATGTCAGTTGTTTTTTTTTCCTGTTCTTTCTAGAAATCTATGTTTTAAACCAGAGAGGAATAAGCTATTCACATGCTCTTAAGATTTATTAAAAGTACCATCTGGTTTTGGTAAATGATTGTGAATGATGAAATCTCCATTAGAACCTGGACTTCACAGTCACAGTGCATACTGATTGGCGGTATGGGAATGAGGAGGAGGAGGAGGAGGAGGCTGAGGACTGAGGCAGGCAGGAGAAGAAAGATGTGAACTCAGCAAATGAAGGGTGCCCCTCCACTGTGCTCTTGTAGCATTCTGTACTTCCCCCTCCAGGGCACTAACATGGCTGGTTCATTTTTCTGTCTTCCCTTCTGGACTGTGACTCCTTGAAGGTAGTGCCTGACATTTACCAGGTGATCAATAAATATTTACTGGATTAGTGCACCGATGAATAAGAGCTCTGATCTTCAAGTGAAAAAAAATAAAGTGCTGAAACTCACTCTAATCCCCACCCTTAGAATGGAATAGATTTGAGAAGGCCATTTGATTTGATACTTACATGCTCAGAGCCATACTTGAATGTTTTGCCCTAACAAGTTTTTCACACCTGACTGCACATTGCAATCACCTGAGTATTTTTTTTTTTAAATGATAGAGTCAGCACTCTATCTTCCTTTGCCTGAGATTCTAATTTAATTGGCCTACCATGGGCCACTGGAAATTTATATATAATTTTTTTTTTTTTGAGACAGGGTCTCACTCTGTTGCCCAGGCTGGAGTGGAGGGGTGCGATCTCAGCTCACTGCAATCTCTGCCTCCAGGTTCAAGTGATTCTTCTCCCTCAGCCTCCTGAGTAGCTGGGACTACAGGCACCCACCACCACATCCAGCTAAGTTTTGTATTTTTAGCAGAGACAGGGTTTTACCATGTTGGCCAGGCTAGTCTCGAACTCCTGACCTCAGGTGATCCACCCGCCTCGGCCTCCCAAAGTGCTGGGATTCCAGGCGTGATCCACCGTGTCTGGCCAAAGTTGATATTAAAAAAAAATAAAACTTCTTAGGTGTTTCTATTGAGCAATGAGTGTTGAAAACCACTGTTCCATGTGTACCTGGAGCAACTAGTATCTTATGGCTGACATAGCATGGAAAGGAGTTTTATCCTGCAGAATCTGAGCCTTGTGGGAAAAAGATACCCTCAAACATTTACTCAAAGAAGACAAGGACATTTCCTGGAAGCCCCACTAGGTCTTGGCTCAGGTGCTCCTCTTAAAAAACTACCCATCTGTGGGACATTGAAGCAGGTGTTTCACTGTTGTCCTAAGAGAGGTTTGGCATCTTTGCCACATCATCTCTCTCCTCCCAGTGTTCTAGTCTAAGAACAATGGCTTGATAACCCTGAGAAGGAATTTAAATGTGTAGACATAACTTCCTGGCAGAAATAGCTAAATTGAATATGCTAAGGTTAGGAACAAATGTGTAAGTCTCTCCTGCCCTGAGGATAGAGTTTTGAACTATATTAAAATGCTAGGATATGCCTGAAAAGTTCTGTGTGTGCAGTCCACAGAACAACAACCAGGGTTGGTTTTCCTAAGCTATTATAATAATGGCTTAAAAAGTTCTATGGCTTCACTGATTTTTTGAATCTATGTGCCCCTGTGATGGAGTTCGTGCATAAGACTACTCAGGTCTGATTCATTTTTGCTGAATGCTGGGGGAAAAGCAGAAAGTGGGGGAGATCAACAATATTTTTCTTTTGCTGTTAAACCCTCTGTGTGTCCTTAGCATATCTGTATCTAGCTTGCCATTTCCTTTTCCTTTAATGATTTTAAAAAATGGATTTGGCCTCACGCCTTTATCCTGTGTCCTTTAAAGAAAAACGAAGGATGTGTACAGCTGTCACTGCCTTGGAGTTTCTAGGTACAGGCACAAAATGTGCTTTTCCAGGGTAATTTGCAGAGAAATGGACCTTTACAAACACTAAGCAATATCCCCTACATGAGTGGCTGATAGTTTTATATACAGGAGTTTTGATTAATTGGTGTCAAGAACTGTGGAAGGTCTGAGATTTTACCCCCTTGCAAGCTAACAAATTAGCCTGTCAGTATTTCATGGATGCTGGCACAAGACTGGAGACTCCGGAGTGAGAAACAAAAGGCTTTACTATCCACAGCATTAGCAGGGGCCAGAATATCAGCTATTTCTTGTGCCTTGGTGATGCAAACAGGACCAAGTGACACCTGCATAGGCAGTGGGTTGTGTTATAGGAGACAACCTCTGACCTTATGAAACCAGAATCTTTTATACTGGGCAAAGCATACCTGTCCTATTATCTGGAGAGCAACACTGTCTCTTCCAAGGCTACTCTCCAAACAAAGATCTTTGAGAAGATACTCTGGAACAAGGACAATCAGTGTCTCTGCTTATAAGATACACAGAAATGCCAGCCATGCATAAAGAATTGTAAAACAGGAAGCACATGGAATGTTAATAAAAGTGTGGATAAAGATGAAATCTGAGGGAGATGGCGAACTTTATAAAATTCCCCAGACCCCATCTCAAATGTAACAAGTGAGTACACAGTTTGCTTATGTATTAGCGAGCATTTGCTATCTAATAGACCATGCCACAACTTAGTAGGTCAAAACAACAACCACTTATTTGGCTTAGGATTCTGTGGGTTGGTTGGGTGGTCCTTCTGGTCCTGGCGGGCTCAGCTGATGTCAGTTGAGCTCATGTGTGCATCAGCTGATGGTTCTGTTGTTGTTAGACTGTCAGTCCAGACAATAGAAACAACTGGCCAAGTGTCTCTCGTTACCCAGTAGGCTGGCCCAGGCATCTTCACATGCTGACAGTCAAGGGGTTCTCAAGAGCAGCAGGACAGCAATGTGATGTTCAGGGAAAACTGGGTATATTTGTTCAAACATGTTGGTTTGAACCCCACTCTTGGTACCAAAATCTGTATTAGTCAGAGTTCAACTAGAAAAGCAGAACCAGCAGGAGATCTATACCTATATATGTTTGTACATCTATGTATCCATATATCTATATCCATATCCATATCTTATGTCTGTCTATGTATCTATCTTTTTGAGACAGAGTCTTGCTCTCTTGCCCAGGCTGGAGTGCAGTGGCATGATCTTGGCTCACTGCAACCTCCACCTCCACCTCCTGGGTTCAAGTGATTCTCCTGCCTCAGTCTCCCAAGTAGCTGGGATTACAGGCACCCACCACCATGCCCAGATAATTTTTGTATTTTTAGTAGAGATAGGGTTTCACCATATTGGCCAGGCTGGTCTCAAATTCCTGACCTCAGGTGATCTGCCCACCTCAGCTCCCAAAGTGCTAGGAATACAGACATGAGCCACCATGCCCAGCCCCATCCATCAATTTATTACAAGGAATTGGCCTATGAAATTGGGACTCACTAAACAAATCTGAAATTCATAGGACAGATCCTCAACATTGAAAGATCATAGGCAGGCTGGAACTCACAGGCACAGATTGAGACTACTATACACAGGAAGCATTTCTTCTCTTCTCAGGGAAGTCTTAGCTGTGCTTTGGAGGTATTTTATCTGATTGATTAGGCCCATCCAGATTATTTAAGAGAATTTCCCTTATTCAAAGTCAGTTTATCTGATAATTCAATTATATCTGCAGAATATCTAGCGGTACCTACATTAGTGTTTGGATAACTGGACACTATAGTCCAACTAAGTTGACATTAGAAAAAACCATCACAATGGGCCTGGATTAAAGAAAGATAGGGTAGAAAAGAGACTTGAGCATGTGCTCAAAGTTCTGAATGTATTCCTTGGTGCTTCCCTAGGGACTGCTGAAGAGTAGCTCATTCAGTAAACTAATAATTTTCTAATGTAATAATAACTGTCAAATACAATAATAACATACCCCAATTGTGACCCATGTGAAAAAGACTAAGGGATGTTGGTGAGACTCTGAAACGCTAAACTTAAAGGGTAGGCGCCAGGAGTGGGTGGATGTGAACAAGCCTTGGGGGACTGTGAATTGGTGACCTGCCTTTGATTTCACAGGGACTTATTCTCAAGTCTTGGACATACCACTACACTTTCCTTTCCTCTCAGGTTCCTCACCTGTAGGTAATTACTTCCAATAATAATTTAGCTTAAGTCTTATATGTTGTAAAACGCTGCATCTTCATGCACATATGTATACACATATGCAGAGACACATACATAATACTCTACATACATATGTATATGCATCTTCTCAACAAGCCTTTCTGCAGAGGCATTCAGACAAAGGCAACATTTGAAGAACAGAAAACTGAAGTCAGTAATCTTAACTGACACAACTTCACATTGCACTTTTTAAGTTTCATTTAAAACTTTGGGTCAGAATGTATACACTAAGGTATTATTTGGACAAGTAACACTTCCTGGGTTCCTGGGAAGCTTGCTTTTTTTTTTTCCTTTTAGAAAATAAAAGGGTCTTGTTCTGTCACCCAGGCTGAGGGCTGGAGTGCAGTGGTGCAATCATAGCTCACTATAACCTCAAACTCCTGGGCTCAAATGATCCTCCTGCCTCAGCCTCCTGAGTAGCTGGGACTACACATGCATGCCACCATGACCAGCTAATTTTTTAATTTTTAATTTTTGTAGAGACATCTTGCTATGTTGCCCAGGCTGGTCTCAAACTCCTGGACTCAAGTGATCCTCCCACCTTGGCTTCCCAAAGTGCTGGGATTTCAGGTGTGAGCCACCATGCCTGGACCCCGGGAAGCTTTTTGCCTCTTCTCCTGTCCCCTCCAAATATGCCATCTGCCTCCCAATGCCTAACATTTTATTAACAACAGAAAAGCCTTCCTTTCATTCAATATAAGAAATAAGTTTAAAATATAAAATATACTTGGGAGAGTTAAGAAGGTAAGTGACGTGTTCACACCAAGACATTTTATTTCAAGCCAATGACAGATTATTCCACTTCTTTTTTAGGTTTTGATGAAATATAGGAATGCCTGCTTAAAGGGCTCAGTAGACAGGAGGGACCACCACTATTTGAAGAGATGAGAGTTGAAAGATAGTAGAAGACTGAAGAGGGGTATTGATGCTTGGTAGTTTGGTTGAGAGCTGGCCCAACCAACCTACAATACAGAAGTTTCAAGAAGTTCTGTTGACTTGTGCTTTTTAAAAATCCTTCTTAAGAAAACAATCATAGTTATATGTTTGGCTAGTCAAGTCCATGCCATTATAATGAGTTTGCATCAGATTTATTTGAGTGTGTTAAAAGGGAAACAGGCTGGGCATGGTAATCCTAACACTTTGGGAAACTGTAATTCCAGCACCTGTAATCCCAGCACTTTGGGAGGTTGAGACAGGAGGATTGCACAAGCCCAGGAGTTTGAGACCAGCCTGAGCAACATAGTGAGACCCCATCTTTACAAAAAATAAAAATAATTAGCTGGGTGTGGTAGTGTGTTCTTGTATTCCCCACTATTTGGGAGGTTGAGGCAGGAGGATCACTTGAGTCTGGGAGGTTGAGGCTGCAGTGAGCCGTGATTGCACCACTGCACTCCAGTCTGGGTGACAGAGCAAGACCCTGCCTCAAAAAAAAAAAAAAAAAGAAAAAAATTTTTTTACAAGAGGAAAATTGATCATGATCATATTTCTTCCTTTTCCAGCTATAACTCCCGGAAATAGGTATAAACAAATGCTGGTGTGTGGGACTTTTTGGCAAAATCATCCCAGGATTTCCTCAGGAGACAGGAAAAGACTTGAAGTCCTAAAAATGTATCTTTAGGGCAAAATAAACCCACGCCAGTTGGGTGTGGCCATCAACACTCCCAGAGGCGGAGTCTGCATTTTAGCAATGGTAGCGGGCCTGCTCCATGAGTATCTGATGAGATAGCTCCTTGGAAAGTGGGTTGTGAACCATAAAACACCACATCTGTTGCGTTATTAGGTGAAAGCCTATTGGAAAATCATGGGGAAATATTTTTTCACAATTGCAGCTTCTGGCTTGGTGAACACACGGAAGTGCTGCCAGGGGGCCCCGGGAGGGCATGGGGACTCCGTGCCCCAACCCCACTTCCGTGCCCTGCACATCTCTTCCACTCAACTATTCCTAAGTTGTATCCTTTATCATAACCCAGTAAACATAACTGAAAAAAATCAAAAGTGAAACTACTTAAAGCAAGATTTAAAAACATCTAAATGCTGAAGTGATTAGAAAGGGTTTCAGTTCTTGATAAAAAACAAAGTTCAGGAGTGTTCCTCAAAATGGAAAAGAACTGTAAAAGCCACTAACTCTTCTCTGAAGTTTAAAGTAGACCAGATGACTCAGGGCTTTTATTAGAAAAGTTTTTGCACAATAGCTGTTTCACCTTTTGGTGAAACAGCTGAAACTCAGGCAGAAATGCTAAGGAAAAGCTAAAGTCCTACTTCAATTTATTTAAACTGCCAGTTAGCAGGAGCCTAATGTATGCAAGTCAAACCCACTGCCGTCTTCCTGGCCCCGGGTCCTGACTCCTAAAGTGGCCACAGGAGACCCTGGCCTTAGAAAGAAATCTCTCCTGACCTCTCTAAGGATTATGCCGGGTTTGCCTGCCCCACTCTTCCCCCAGCAGAGGGTGAGAGAGCCTCTGACCATTCTTAAAGGCCGCCCTCCTTCACAAAGCTCCGGGACTTTCGAGTAGACAGGTCATGGTGGGGAGTGCTGGGGAGCTCCTGCTGTTTAATTTGGTTTGACTAACAGAAAGTGTATGCAGAGTGGCCCTCTTACCTCCAAGTGGCTCTGGTGTGCTCAGTCCCCAAGTTTCCTATTTATGTTAGTAAAATTTTTGGTACTCTGAGTCCCTTTGGTTTGTGGTCATTGGAAGAGACAGAGGTTGACCCCTTTGTTCACCCTCATCCTGGACAGCATCTGGATGGGTCTTGCCCTCCTGCCTTACTGAGTCCAGTGCTAGGGGAGAGGACACAGCAGGCCCCTGCCCCTGAAGGAGACTGCATTGGAATTTTTGCCAGGTGGCCCTGACACATAGGAATGCCCAACTACTGTGACTACCCTCTGAGATAAAAAGCTGTCCTACTGATTTTAGAAGGCCAAAATTAGAGGTCATTTTGGAGGTCATGCCAGTGGACATATAACAGTTTGAAATGCTTGTTCCCCGGTGCCGTAAAGAAATAGTACTTGAACTTAAATTTATTCAGCAAGGCCATTTTTATTTTCTGCAGAAAGGGTACACTTGGCAGCAGTTTTGCCACGAGAGTACCCCGAACAAAGGAGACAGGGTCATTTATAACCTGACGCGTCCACCCTTCTGCTGTGTCCGGTTTCCATTGGCTGGAACAGGACCTCACATTCTGTATTTGTCCCGATTGGCTAGCAACTTAGAACTTATTAAAAGAGGCAAAGCTAGAGGAGAAAAAAGGAAGGAGGAAGTAACTTGTGGAATGCTGAGAAAGGTAAAAACACCTTTAAATAAGGAAGAGAAACAGGCTATGAACTAATGCCTGCTTGGACCAGTATAAGCATGCCAGGGCAAATATTTAGGCTAAATTGTGGGAGCTAAGAACATAAAGTATATTGGTTTTCTTATTACGACTAGCAGATATTTAAGAATGTTAGCACAGGTTTTTGAATAAATTTTGCTTCTAAGAGAAGTTATTATTTATTCCTAATTAAATGGAGAGGAAAGTCTTTGAAGAGGAACCTCTATTTTTACATAGAACCTTGCCTGGTAGCGCAAACTAGAATCAAGGAGTCACAGAGAGTTAGAACTGGAAGAACCTGAGTGATCTGTCTCCCAGCCCAATTTCTTCCCGTACCAGTGTGGAGATGGAGAGTGAAAGTGACCCATCCTGGGCTGCCCAGCCAGCGGAGTTAACACAAGAACCTGGGGTTTCATCCTGCCAGTTGAGGTTGCATTGTATATGTTTGTTTTCCATTCTTTTTTTTTTTTTTTTTTTTTTTTTTTTTGAGACAGGGTCTAGCTCTGTCAGGCTGGACGGAATATAGTGGCATGATCTTGGCTTGCTGCAACCTCTGCCTCTTGGGCTTAAGTGTCCTCCCATCTCAGCCTTCTGAGTAGCTGGGACTACAGGTGCACACCACCATGTATTTTTTTGTATTTTTTGTAGAGATGGGGTTTCGCCGTGTTGCCCATGCTGGCCTCAAATGCCTCAGCCTCCCAAAGTGTTGGGATTACAGGTGTGAGCCACTGCACCTGGCCTGCTTTCCATTCTTACCTCTGTGTTAATGACACAGCATTTTCAAGACAGTTTTGTTCCTATTCTTTACCCTCTGCAAAGGGTGTTCTTGATACACAGACACACACACACACACACTTATATGTTTTAGGCAATTGCAGATATTTGCTTCTAGTCCAGGGTGCCAGTTACAGAGGTCCCCATATCTGCTGCTTTGAGGCTAATGCTGAGCTGTGGGATTATTCTTTTCATGAGCCCCCTGGCTCTGCTGCTTGGTTGCAGGGCTGGCTCAGATGACTAAGAACACAGGACCACAGGAGCAATGGTCCAGTGAGGTATGCAGTGGAGCTCTGGCTCCACCAGCCTCACAGCATGAAATTAAGACGTCATCTCTGGTCTTTGCTGAAGAAGATCATATCTACTAGTACTGTGCTCTCTTTGCATGCCAGAGATTTGACCAGGTGATGTAAATAGAGGATGTCAAGCTCCTCCATTGTAGATTAAGCCTATAAAGTATTCTTACTGGTGAATTTGCCTTAGCCTCCTGTGATAGCAGTTTATTTATATACCTCATAGAAACTGAAATCCAGTCAAAGAAATGACCTAAGAGACTTGTTTCTTTAGATAGGTAATCCAGACAATAACTACTATTGCCTGGGATTTATGATGTGCTTTTTCTTCCAAGAGCCCTGTGTGCTTTCAAAGCAGCCCATTCATCTTCAAGCACCCCTGAGAGGGATAACTGTCAACAGACTGTTTTCTGCAGGAGGATGTAAAGCAAAGATATGCTGTCTAAAATCACAGGAGGTCGTCCACAGACAAGTATCTGGAGCTCTGCACACCTGGCCCAAAATACACTTGAGCAGGTGATGTTGACTTTAAGATGGCTTCATATTGAATGGGATTTGCAAACACATGTAAGGCCATGGGCGCTGCAGGCCCTTGGTGGTTGATCATAGTGTTCTTTCCTGTTGAGTCAGTTTGCAGACTCAGAATCCTTCCCAGCAGTGCTCTACAAGTAGTCACTTCACTTGGTGTTAGCAAGCAGATTAGATCCTCTGTCATTTGTGAGCAGAAGTTGGTCTAAAATGCTAAGCAGCATTTGTCTTCTGCCTGAAGTCTTCATCAAAATCCCAAAGTGGCTGTTGAAAGGTGACATCATTCTGACCTTAAAATGCAATAAGGTTAGCTGTCATTTGACTTTACACTGAAAATTGAGGTGGAAAATAGGATAATATAAGAATCAGTGGCCCCTAAGGAGCAGGATTTTGGAGAGTTAAGAACCTGGGGTTTCATCTTGCCAATTTCAGGATTCTCTGTCATCACCTGGTTGAGGCTGTGAGCTCAGGATTGAGGTGAGACCTATCATTTGTCTTTGTCAACTCAGCTATTTTCTGTTGTTATGGTTAAAGATACTTTCGGTTGTATGTGAAGGCCAGGTCCTTTGTGTTCACTTTCAGTGTTGGGCTAAAGCTGTAAAAAATCATCAAAATTAATAAAAGTAGCGGATCAGTCTGGAGCCCGCAGAGGTCCATGCAGACTGGAAAATCCAGGAAGAGTAACTGTCCCCTTCTGCACTTCAGGAAGGGAAGGAGTAATTTTTTTTTCAATTTCAAGAAGAGGAAAGCTCAAGATTTGCTCAACTCAAGGATATAATTAGCTAACAAGGTTTTTTTGAGAGAAGCAAGTTTGCCTTTAACAGATTTTGTATCCCCAAATTTGGAAGATGACAGAAGAAACTCAAGATCATTTGAAGATAACTAATTATAACAGTTTCACCTTTGAATTGACACTAAATGGGTGGCAGAGGTGGAAACACCCTTGTAACTTCAATATTTTCAGGTCTATAAAATGGAGAAACGGGGATGGACATATTTTTAGCATTTAGCATGTTGACAGCCACTGATTTTAAAATAAGTGCAGATTGCAAAGCCCACTGATTTCATGATGTCTAAGACAAGAGCTTTTTGAGCTATCTAAACAGCCTTTGGCTTTCCTTAGGGCTGCCCTAGGTAGAACTGCCAAGGAAATTAAGCTTTCCACTCTGGTGTTGATGCACTAATCCCTGCAAACATTCTGTGAATATTTTTCCATCCTAGGCCATCCATTTTCCCACCCTGTCCCCTGGTCTCCAGAAAGGTGGCCCACCAGGAGCCAACTCTTACTTCATAGCTCCTCTGTGGTCCCACCTCTTCTCTCTTCTAGTCTTCCCTGTCTAGACCTGCTGTCCACACTAACTCACTGATGCTCATGTTCCATTGTTGTGGGTTCTTGGATTACTGTGTCACCATGGATGGTTGTTGTGTTACCACCTCCCAAGCAGAATGGATACATGTTAACCCAGGACTTCTGCAGACACATGAGTGGAAAGGGTCTGCACTGTAGAAGCTGTGGAGAGGGGGTAGATTGAGGACTTCTCCAATTGTTGACCATTGCCCTTGTACTTCACCAGTACTGGCCAGTCTCCCCTGCTCCTTTTGGTCCAGACTATCACTCACACTTCCCAGGCACAGGGATCCATAATAAGTACTGCCTGTCTATACCTATGTATTGGAGAAAGCTGGAAACAATCACCTGTGGGCTCTTGTGCTTTGTCATTTCATAGTAAACCACTGGAGGCGGTTATGCTCATATGTGCTCATGAGAACTTTTTTCATTTTTTTAATTTGAGATAGAGTCTTGCTCTGTCACCCAGACTGGAGTGCAGTGGCATAATCTCTGCTTACTGTAACCTCTGCCTCCCAGGTTCAAGCAATTCTCCTGTTTCAGCCTCTCAAGTAGCTGGGACTACAGGTGCGTGCCACCACACCCAGCTAAGTTTTGAATTTTTGGTAGAGATGGGGTTTTGCCTGTTGACCAGTCTGGTCTTGAACTCCTGGCCTCAAGTGATCTACCCACCTCAGTGATCCTAGCACCTCCTGAGGGAGCATGGCCTTGCTGGTACCTTGCTTTTGTTCCAGTGAAACTGATTTTGGACTTCCAGTCTCCAGAATATCACAATAAATTTTGGTTATTTAAGTTTGAGGCCATTTGTCCAGCAGCTACAGGAAATTAGTGTCTACCCCCACCTACGGCCATCGGATTATTACTACCCTTCACAGGAAACAGGTTCAGTGGAGTCAAGTCACCTACTTCAGTCACTGCTTCAGGATTCATCTGAGGAACTCTGGAAGAAGCTTGTGAAGCAGCTGGTAGCAAGCAGAATATCCCGTCCTTACGCAGGTGTCTGTTTTTCATTTCTGCTGTTTTCCAGGCTTGCGTTAGCTCCATGGGTTCTTTGCTGCAGCTGAAGTTTGTGTACTTGGAGCTGGCACCAAATGCCTATAAAGTCATGATGATGAAGAACTTGGCCTCAAGTTGTGTAATCAGAACACACACATTCTTTCAGTTCCTTGGGTAGACTTAGTTCTTCTCCCATTCCCATAAAAGACTTATGGCAGTCCCTTAACTTTTAAGGCCACTTTTAGGTCATAAAAATTCTGCCATCTGTGATTAATATATGTAGTTCAGGCATAATGGCTGACTTTAAACCATGTGTATATATATATATAGTTTTTTTTTTTTTTCTGAGACAAAGTCTCTCTGTCACCCAGGCTACAGTGCAGTGGCACCATCTAGGCTCACTGCAACCTCTGCCTCCCAGGTTCAAGTGATTCTCCTGTCTGAGCCTCCCAAGTAGCTGGGACTACGGGCATGTACCACCACACCCGGCTTTTTGTATTTTCAGTAGAGATGGGGTTTCACCATGTTGGCCAGGCTGGTCTGGAACTCCTAGCCTCAAGTGACCACCTGCCTCGGGCTCCCAAAGTTCTGGGGTTACAGGCGTGAGCCACCGCACCCTGCCAGAAACTTATATTTCAAGCTGCTCTTTCTCCCTGCGAAGACCCACTGGAGCCTGGTGGCTTGCGTCGGGCTGCTCTTTCACCCTTTCCCAGCCTAGCAGTTTTATTATTTCTCTTCCATCTTGCCGGCCTCATTATGACACTCCAGGGCAGCAGCAGGGAGTAGGAGAAGGGAAAAGGCCAGGAAAGTTCTTCCTTGACTGATACTGTCAGGTGCTGACATTTTGTTTCCAGGTCTGGCAGGTGTTTAAAGCTGGCTCTTTCCTCATTTGCACTTCTGTAGTTTCTTCAGGCCCCCACCCCTTCGCTTCCTACCTCCTTCCACTCATGCCAATGGCTAGCTCTCTCTCACCTGCAGTTTCTCTTAGTGGGGGTCATGCTTCCACTGTGCGCAGTTACTTCCTCATGCTCAGCCCCAGGCCTCTGGTGGTACTCTGGTATCTTTCCTCTTAGGACTAGTTGCCCCTCCAGGCAGCTGTCTTGGAGGAAATCCAAGAAGGCCCCCCATCGGCTCCCTCACAAGAGTGGCCACATCTAGTTCATGAGAATGTACTCAGGCATCCTTGCATCCAGAGCCCAAAGCCATCCTTCATTCTTTGCTCCACCACTGAAGCAGATACCCAGCCAGATTGTTTTATGTGGGCGTCACAGGGTCCCCTACACTCAGAGGACACATGTCAGATTCTGAGTGGTCCTGTTGTGGCTCCTTTTCTTAGGTTTGAGGTGAGAAGCCCCTGTGGGGCCATTTGAACTCAGTATACCAGTAGGTCTCTCATAAATACTCCTAATTCCAACCTCCATCCTCTTATGTGAGAGAAGAGTAGGTGTGAAATGGAAGACGGGATCAAGGGTGGGAGTTCCAAAATGGATTTTGATCACTTCTAATATAAATCCTACACCATGATGTTCTCACATTCACTTTAGAATGTGGCACTATTAGTCCTGATGCCTCCGCTAGAACTTCTTTTTATTTATTTATTTATTTTTTTTTTTGAGATGGAGTCTCACTCTGCCATCCAGGCTGGAGTGCAGTGGCACGATCTCGGCTCACTGCAAGCTCTGCCTCCCGGGTTCACGCTATTCTCCTGCCTCAGCCTTCCAAGTAGCTGGGACTACAGGCACCCGCCACCACGCCTGGCTAATTTTTTTGTATTTTTAGTAGAGACGGAGTTTCACTGTGTTAGCCAGGATGGTCTCGATCTCCTGACCTCGTGATCTGCCTGCCTCAGCCTCCCAAAGTGCTGGGATTACAGGCGTGAGCCACCACGCCCAGCCCTCCGCTAGAACTTCTATTGCACATCTTCTCACATGTCTATTTACCAGAGAAGCCAAACACTAGGGCCATTGCTCACCTGTAAAGGTAGTCTATTGTATTCCTTTTGGAGTCTAGGAAAAATCCCATTCCTTGAAAGCTTGCCTTAGTAATGCCGTAGCCCTCTAGTAAAGGTCTGTGCCCAGACCTTGCTCTGGAAATGTGCCCTCAGCACACGGTTGAAATTCAATAAATGGAAAGTAATATTAACACATAAAATAAGGATCTCATCAAAGAAGAACAAAGAGCTGCTGTGTGCTTTGTGTACCTACCCTTGTGGGGGAGTCTACAGAGTATCCCAGTGAAGAACCCCAAGGATTCTGCTTAGAGCTAGAATGGAGCTGTTGAGTTCTGGAACTGAGAGCTTATGGCTTCTGCTTAGTAGGTAAACTTTCCTCTCTTCACTTGCATATGAGTTGGGCAGAACTGACTGCTTTGCATGTGTTTGAAAAGCACCATGAAAATGCTATTGATGGAGTCTTTGTGCTTGGCCTGGTGGGTTAACTGAAAACTGATCAGAGCACCAAAGTTAATTGAACTCAATTGTTAATAATAGTTAATAGGACAGATGGTTGGTGACAGAACAGACTTGCTGATCATTACTTTGTGCTCACTTGGCAAAATAATGTGAAAAAAAACTCATATCTCAACTGGCAAATAGTGCCTTTATGCATTCATATACAAATGCTTCCTGGGAGAAGATATAAGATACTACTGTTTTTATAAAGATGACTTTTCTCCTGATGTGGAACCAGGAAGATGACCTCCATCACCAAGTTAAGCCATTCTGACCTTAAAGGAACTGGCCCATCTGTGGAGTTAGGGCTTCAACATAATTTTGGAGGGACACAATTCTATCCATAATGAATGCCTCATCATGTTACTACTTACTGAATAGTCTATGTTCCTTTCTCTCCCACCTCGGTCATATATCCGGTTTCCATATATGTGGGGTTCTATATTACACAGTATTTCATTCTGGGTTCTACATTCTATTCCATGGATCTATTTGCTACACTTGTGCCAAGATTATGCCCTGAACTACTAAAGCTTTGCAATAAGTCATGAAAAACAAAAACAAAAAACAGAAAAGAAAAGAAACTGGCCCGTTAGTCATTTGCCTTGTCCCAGTTCACTGTTACTGTATAAAAACTACTCCCAGGCCAGGTGTGGTGGGTCACACCTGTAATCTCAGCACTTTGGGAGGCCAAGGTGGGTGGATCACCTGAGGTCAAAAGTTTGAGACCAGCCTGGCCAACATGGTGAAACCCCTGTCTCTACTGAAAATACAAAAATTAGCTGGGCATGGTGGCAGGTGCCTGTAATCCCAGCTACTCAGGAGGCTGAAGCAGGAGAGTCACTTGAACCCAGGAGGCAGACATTGCAGTGAACTGAGATCACACTATTGCACTCCAGCCTGGGTGACAAGAGTGAAACTCCATCTCAAAAACAAAAACAACCACAAAAATGACTCCCAAATTTAGTTTAAAACAAAAAGCATTTCTTATTGCTTGTGGGCCTGTACATCAACTGAGTGCTTCTTTGTCTTAGCTTGGCTGACTTACGTGACTTCAGGCAGCTGTGGATTGCATGCACACCTCTTCTGATCTTGGCTGGTCTCTCATAAGGTCTATTAGAATATCTGTTGTCTTTCCACATGGTCTTCAGCAGGCTAGCTCAGATTTGTTCACATGGTCATGAGGGGTTCCAAAAGAAAAGAGTAGGGATGTGCAAGGCTTCCTGAGGCCTAGCCTTGGAGCAGGACCACCATCACTTCTGTTGCACTCTATTAGTTAAGGTCCAGATTAAAAATGTAAGGAGGAGACTCTACTACCCCTTAAATAGAGGAGCTGTAAAATCACACTGCAAAGGGCTTGGAAACCCAGAGGGCATTATTGGACTATCAATGGAATCAACCTATCATAGTCCACAAGCAAAAATTTCCAGAAGCTGCCATCCTGTTGTACAAGGCCACAACTGCCTTGGGGAACACAGAGGCTTTCAAACCACAAATGCAGCTCTGATCAGAATCCAGCCCGAGAGTTCCCATCCTGGTTTCTCCTGTCTGCTGCAGTTCCTGCTGCCAGGTAGTCACTGTCATGAGCTGCTTGTAAGCAGGATGCCTGGCAGTCCATATTTGCTAATTTAGATGTACAATATTTGAGTAAGAGACAAGAGGATTACTTTTATGATTAAATCAGGGAGAGTAAAATTTCAGTTGGATAAATAAATAATTTGAATGAAAGCTCTGGATTGTCAGTGAGGTTAAATGTCACTCTAAGTAAATAAGATTTCAAATATAATTGATTGATGGATTCAACAAGCACTTATTGAGCATCTACTGTGCACAGGACACTATAATTAATAGGTTAGGCTCTCAACCCTATTGCACACCAGAATTTGATTCAATTGTACTTGGGTACAACTTGGACATCAGTATTTTCTAAATTTACCCCAGTGATTCTCATGTGCATCCAGGGTTTAGAATACTGGATTAAATTATTGACTCAATTTGTGGAAACCAATCTACTCAAGTACACCATGGTTAGATTGTGGCTCTGAGCTTGGTTGTTAAGTATTCATTCTGCCAATCATATTTAGGGAAATCTAACCATAGGCATGGCACCATGTACTGTACTCATACTAGTAGGCAAGGGTGAAATCATGGAAATCCTACCTGTGGGAAGATTGGAGTGTAGGTAAGGGGATGAGATGGTAAGATAACATAGGGATAATTGTGGGAAATGCTATAAAGGTTTAAAAAGGCTAGGGCAGTGCTTCTCAAACTAGAATGCACATCTGAATCATCTGATATTAGTAAGATGCAGCTTCTGATTCAGTAGGGCTGGAACTGGGATTCTGTAATTTTGAAAACCTCCCAGGTGATGGTGATGCTGCTGCTCTCTGGACCATCCATAGCTCTAGCAGTCACAGCTGTTATACTACACAGTTTCTACCTTGGTCTTCCAGGGGATTTTTTTCCTATGGAAACATTTTTCTGATTTTATAGTGCAGATTGAATGGATATATGAATTTCCCTTATGGACATTTGCTTTGAAATGTAATTTTGCCAAATGAGCCAGTCCATGCACACTTACTTGGACTTTGGAGAATTCACGCAAGAGCTGGAGCCCTTGGTTAGCCCAGTTGTCCCCCTTGGAGGGACTGTGGCAAGTGGAAAGGGCAGAGGCTTGAAGTCACAGGACTGAGCTCAAATTTCTGCTGACTCTCAATAGGTAACTTTGAGAAAATCGATTAAACCTTCTGAGTTTCAGTTTTCTGTATGTAGAATAGAATGGGGTTGTTGAGTAAGTTAAGTAGTCATCTTTTTGAAGCAGCTGGCACAGTGTCCAGCGTGGAGTAGGCTCTCGTTTAATAATTGTTGTCCTTATGACTGTGTGCCAACCACAGTGCTAGGCCAATGGAGATAAGTGAGACTCAGACTCCACTTGAGAGGTGGAAGGGAAGCCAGACAAGAAACCCATACATGACAGAGGGCCTGATGGCTCCAGGGAAGAGCCAGTCTTTAGCCCAGGGTGCCTCTGTGCTAGGAGACAAGGGGACACTCGACTCTCTTGTGTGTGACCTCATTGTTGGAGAGTCTAAAGGAGATCTTCTCTTGTTTTTCAGACTGAAAAGGAAGCTCAGTAGGCAGTCCTTTCCCCCAAAAGGCTTGATTCTGACTCACTTTTTTTTTTTTCTACAAGAGTTGAACTGAAAATCCAAATGGGTCTAGAGGCTTTACAGGGAGATGCCATTTAAAATAGGAGAGGGTTCAAAATTCCTTTGGAGCAGTGAGTCTTTCCTTAGGGTGTAAGGAGAAACTACAGAACAATTCAGCCATTCTTCCTGGAAGAAGAAAGAAGAAAAAAGAAGAGGAAGCAGTTTCTCAGCTCTGTAAGGGAATGGAGAGTAGAGTTCTACATTGTCTGAAAGTCATTTTAAGGGAAGCAGTTTTGGTCACTGTACTTCCTCATACTCCAATGTGGACTTAGTAATCAGAGCTTCAAAAATTGAACCCTGACTCTGTTGCCACACTTTACATGATAAGAAAAAAATGCCTTTAGATTTTTTGGTGTGTATGATTGGAAGAGGTTAACAAATTCGTACCTTGTCTGATAATATGAAAACTGTTGCTACAGAAATTGTCACTTTAAAACAATCAAGGAATGATGTTAGAAATGTCAGGATTTTGAGAAACTGGAGAACTCAATATAGAATATTTGCTGATAGAGGCCAGGCGTGGTGGCTCACGCCTATAATCCCAGAACTTTGGGAGGCTGAGGCTGGCAGATCATGAGGTTAGGAGATGGAGACCATCCTGGCCAACATGGTGAAACCCCGTCTCTACTAAAAATACAAAAATTAGCCGAGCATGGTGGCATGTGCCTGTAGTCTCAGCTACTTAGGAGGCTGAGGCAGGAGAATCACTTGAAGTAGGGAGGTGAGGGTTGCAGTGAGCAGAGATGGCGCCACTGCACCCCAGCCTGGGCAAAAGAGTGAGACTCTGCCTCAAAAAAAAAAAAAAAAAAAAAAGAATATTTGCCGATAGAACCTTTGCATCTTGTTCTACAGCATTTGATGCACAAGTAATGGCCGTGATGGAAACAGGACACTTGCCTCTGGAGTATCAATTGTCCTAAATAGAGGTCCATGCAGTGGGTATTGAAATGCAGACTTTACAGGTAGGGTCTGATTCCCCAGAATCCATCAGGGCTACTTCCTGGTGGCAGCATGACACTTGCATGTCTTCTGAAGGAAGGAGAAAGAGCGTTGTCCCTGTCCCTTTTCCTTTCCAGTTTCTTTCCTCTTGATTTCAATTTCCACACTTCTGCTGGATATATCTTTTTAGATAACAAATCTTGTTATGTGACATCTTGTTTTACAACCTCCACAAGCTTCCTCCCTATTGTTTATAGGATGCATTCCAAACGTCAGAAGACCTCAGGCCTTACCAAGCTTCTCCCCCAGCTGCTCAGAGCATCTCCTGTTTCTGGAAGAGCCCCCACTTGCAACTCCAGAGTGAGCTGTCTCCTCTGATTGACATTTATCGCCTTCCCCCAGCATCCTGCCTGGGAAGTGCGGATGCATCCCAGCACTCTCTCAGATGGTGCTTTTGCCACCAAGCCATCCTCAGCTCTTTGAGAATCCATGAATCTCCCTCTTTTGGCCTCCCCTAGCTCTTGCTCACACCTCTTTGGTAGCACTTTCCACGTGGTTTTAGCATTACTTTTTTGTCTCCCACTCTGGACCTTGGGCTGTGTACTGGCTTCTAATAGGACTCAGTGAGGGATTACTGAGCAGCAATGTAACTAGCGGGAGTGGACCTCATTCCACTTTTCCTGCTCCACTTTATAAAGATTTTGTATGATTTGCCAGTGGTAAACTTGGTTTTACCATATCTGTGTCATAGAGATGTTTTGATGATACGTGCCGTTATCTATGGTAGGCTATTGATTCATATTGTCTGACTTTGCTACTTTGTGGGTAAATTATCAATCAGGAAATTGGTAATCTTTTATTTTTAAAGGTTTGGAGAGGACTCAAAGAATTTATTGACATGCCCATATGATTCTTCAGGGCTAGCCTTGTGCTTTGAAAAACCAGAAAGAACTCAAGTTTTCTAAAGGAGTTTAATTTTGTCTGGGAGGATAGTATGAGATAAGTGTGGACTTGTGGGTGATGGGGTTCAGGGCACGCTACCTCAGAATATAGCCTGCTGTCACACTGAATGTTTTAAGCTGAAGGCATATGAGAAACAGCAGGTGCGGGAAGGACTCCCTGACTTCCCTGAAGCGGGTCATTGGCCCTCATGTGGGAGGCACTCTCCCTGTACCTGGAGGAAAGGAGAATCCTTATCTCTGAGGATGCAGGGCTGCTGAGAGGAATCTGAACAGATTTTGCTGTCTCCCTGTTTCCTACTCTTGCTCACGCCCTTTTGCCCTCTCATGTTTTTCCATGGCTTTCCACTCCATCAAACCTAGAATGGAAACACTCAGGTTTCATTGTTTCTTCAGCCCTTCATTTCCTTACAAAAGCTCCATGTCATGTAAAACTTATATTGAGTAAATTTGCGTGCTTTTTTTTCTTGTTAATCTTTCTTTTGTTGCAAGGACCCAGCTGAGAACCTAAGGTGGATAGAGGAAATATTTTTCCTCCCCTACATGGGTAAAGAGAAAAGCCACAGGTACACAGTAGGCATTCAATAAAGATTGGCTCCCTGATGCCGGCGTGAACACAGGAAGAAGACAGCTGATAAAAGACAGTAATTTATTTCTACTTTGGAAATGGCTCCACCCCTTCTGATGATTCCTACAAAGAAAACATGAGGTTCTACTGATTTCAAAGCTCATAGAAAAACTTCAGAAAAATTTCAGAGAATTGCTGTAGTATCTCTCAGAGTCAGCTATCATGGAGAGGTACTTCTCACTTCTTTGAAGGAGACTGTTGTCAAATTTTTATAGAATTACTTCTCTGAAGAGCTCAAAGTACTGAACTGTATGTCTAAGAGCATGATTTTATTTATTTATTTATTATTTATTTATTTTAGAGAAAGAGTCTTGCTTTGTCACCCAGGCTGAAGTGCAGTGGTGTGATCTCGGCTCACCACAACCTTCGCCTCCTGGTTTCAAGCGATTCTCACCTCAGCTAAGGACATGACTATTAACATATTTTTTATTTGTATTTCTTCTGAAAACAGGTGAAGGATCAATATTTTCTATAACTTTACTGATTAGGATCAGGAGAAAATTTCCCTAAAGGGCTTTCATTAATATCTGAGGGCTACCCCGTAAGGCCAAGGTCTCGCTGGGTCACAGTGAAAAGTTTCCAAAGTAGGTCCTAGAATGAAATGTCAAAAGCGTTGGGATTAGTAAGGCTGGAGAAAGATTAAACTCACAAGTACTGAAGGCTGTGGTTCATGAGGAAGTGGGCGAGTCTGGTAAGTCTGGAACTTAGGACACTAATGAGAAAGGAATTAATTTATTTTTGTATTCAACGTTATTAAGCTCTTTTTACATGTTAGGTTCTACACGCTAGGCAGTAGGTATACAAAAGAAAAACAAGGAAAACTACCCTGCTCCTAAAGACATTTGCAGCTCAGTTAGAGACAGACGTAGAAACAAATTGTTGGAGGCTTTGGACAGCCATAGGCTAATTTGAAAATCCCATGTGGGAAATTATTGCCTAAGGTTATTTCACATATAAGGTGCTAAGAACAAAGTGCTTATCACCTCCAAATAGAAAAACTACCCCAAAGAGGAGCTGCAGAAAGTGCTCTGAAGAGCCTACAGAAAAGCCTGGGAACCCAATAGTAGTTTGCCCCTAGGGACAAAGCATGGGTTATTCAAGTTCTTAGCCTCTTATAGAGACCTCAGCCTTGGGTCTGCCTGACATCCCAGGCCTCAGTCCCCTACCCTTGAAGGAGCATTGTGAAGTGGGCGGCAAAGTCCCAGGTCGTTTCTTGGGTCATGGTTTCAAGGGTGGAGCTTTCCTTTATTTATTTATTTTAAGGCAGTCTCATTCTGTCACCCAGGCTGGAGTGCAGTGGCACCATCAATCTTGGCTCACTGCAACCTCTGCCTCCTGGGCTCAAACGAATCTCATGCTTCAGCCCCCTGAGTTAGTTGGGATTACAGGCATGCACCACCATGCCTAGGTAATTTTTGTATTTTTAGTAGAGATGGGGTTTCACCATGTTGGCCAGGCTGGTCTTGAACTCCTGGCCTCAAGGGACCCACCCACCTCAGCCTCCCAAAGTGCTGGGATTACAGGCATGAGACAAAAGCCCGTCCGGAGCTTTCCTTTAGATGCAGAGACTGAACTGCTCTTGCTCCCCAGGGCAGGACCTCTTTCATTCCTTCTCCCTCAGGATATTCAGTTTCTCCTATTTTGCATGGCTATGTTGGGGCTAAAATAGGCCTGGAGGTACTCTTGGGCTGGGAAGGCTGTGAGTGGGTGACTTGGTCAGCTCCACCCTAGGCCTTCAGGAGAAATCTTCTCTTCTCTCTCTTCTCTTTTCTTAGGAAAGCATTCCCTGGAGTTTATCATCAGAGTGACACAATCTAGAAGGCTGAGATGAGGATAGGGGAAGAGGCCCAGGGGCTGTTAGGCCTGCTTTGGTCCAGGCCTTGGTGGGCTCCTCCTTGGCTTGCAATGCTCCAACACTGGACACTTCAGCCTAGCTCTCCAGGAGACTCTGTTGTGCTTTGGGGCAAAAGCCACAGGAGAAGCCACTTAGGATTCAAGAATACTGAGTTTCAATAAAAAACTGAACCAATATACTTAACGAATTTGAACAAAAAGGTGAGGAAGAGGGTGGGAACATGCCTTCAAACCCATTGTGATTTGAACAATTTAGGGATAGCTGCCATAGCTGCTACCTAGCAACGTCTTAAAAGAATGATCAAAAGGATGTATTTTGGAACAAATATGTCACAATTGTCTCTTGAGTCAGTTTATAACAACTCCAAATGAGAAGTCTCAGGGCTGCCACAAGGCCCATGCTCTCAGACCAGGTGTGGATCTTTTCTACTCAGAAAACACATTGACTTCCCACAGCATGCACCTCTGAACTCCCATGGCTGAGACATGCACAGCCCATTTCCTCCTTCTGGACACCCTCAGAGCTGCTTTTCCCCAGTTTCTCCCACATGCCTTACAACAGCTCTCCTGTAATTTAAATTCCACCTTTTCAGAGCTACCCTAACCAATTTAGCGCCCTCTTGAAGCAGCAAGGCAGTGGCACCCTCTTAAGAGTGAATAACAGGTTCAACTTATTTTGGTTGCAATTTCACATTAGAAACAACTGGTATTTTTTAAAAAGTAGTAATAACTGGGTCCCGTCCTGGACAAATTGCATCAGTATGTCTGGGGGTGGTGATTCTGATGCATGGTGAGGATGCAGAACTATTGGTCTCACCCATCCCTCCTACCCTGTTTGATTATAGACTCCTGGAGGTGACGGTGGTGGTGTGATAGCATCTTCTGCTTCCTTGACTGTCCCTATCAACCTTGTTCCATGGTGGTGAATGCTTGCTGCTCACAACTGACTTTGCAACTTCTTTGAAGGCATCTTTTACCCAAGTGGCCCCATCAGACCCTCTCATCTTTCAGTTTAACATCTGAGAGAGGATTAGGAGAGAGGTGGGCTCACTTCCCACTTCTTTCAGGATGAGAGGGCATTGCCAGGGTCCTGCCCTGCTATCTTTAGAGGCAGAGAGCTGTTGCAAGCCAGCTGAGGGAGAACTCAGGAAAAGAAGGACAAACTTGTGACTAGGTGCCTAGATGCTGTCAGATCCAGCTGAGGGTAAGAGATTTGAGCTGGGCCTGAAGGAGGAAGGAGCCCATGTGGCAAGCCTCTATTGACTGTGTCTCAGAGCAAACAATGCAAAGTTTCTGCTTCGGTAGGGAGCAGTCAGAATAGACAGGCCCTGGAAATCTGCCGAGGGATGATGGGCCAGCCTCATACTGTGATTTCAGGGCTGCCATTTAAGTTTATTTTTATTGTCAATGAGGTTTGTGCCTTCAAGAAAAAAGCATCATCTTCATTAGGTGCAGGGTCATGGAAAAGACACAACTTGGAAGGCATGGATTTGAGATTGACCTTGGCTGAGATTGAGTGACTAGCCCCTCAGAGGCTGTTTTCCCATCTGTGAATTGGGTTGTGGTACAAGCTCTACTGAGGAGTTACATGGGATGAAATAAATGCCTTCCCTAGAAGGTGACAGCACACACTAGAAGTCACAGCCACCAGTTATTTTTCATATAACAAGGATCCCTTGAGGAAAGCCTGGAAGAAGCCTGGACATTCCCCAGACTGGAGTGTCCTCACTTCTTGATCAGATGTTGGTATTCCAGCCAGGGCTTTAGTAGCATAAACTAGAGAATGTGGCCGTCTGAAAACTCCTCCCCTAAGGGACTCATTTCTTCAGCTGTACCTGTCCTTCCTCCAACTCCTCCTCCCCTCGACTCTGCTTAGATCTCTGAACATGAATCTGAAGAATAAAACTGGAAATTCTTTGTGGTTTCTTATGCAATCTAATTCTCACTTGAGGAAAGAGTAGTGTATAAGATGCTTTCTTCTTTGCTTGAATGTTTTAGAGTTTGACCAACTATGGTTAGACAGTCTGGAATCAGTAATAATAAGTATCACTGAAATAAATTATAGATAAAAGTAGGACCACAAATTGGAAGCACAAGATGTCCAAGACAAGCATAACAGAAAGAATGAGAGCCAGATGCATAACTTCCTCAGCCCACCATTGACAGTGGAGGCTGCATTTTCTTGACACAAGATCAGAAGGTGGTTGAGGCTTTTGGACTGAATTTAAAATTCAACATGTGAATAACTGAATACATCAAGGTTCCCTCTAATTATCTCTGGCTAAGCTTGCTTGCCAGCCCCAAGGAAACAAACATATCAGTGTTATAAATCAACCTCTGACAGGGGCATCCATGGAGAAGTGAATGTGAAAGTCAAAGTTTTCGTGGAGTAACCCATGTGCTTTTCAATGAGAACTCAGTGGTTCTTTGCCCTTTGCACATTTGAATCATGTGTGGGGCTGTTAAAAATACAGATGCTCAGGCTTCAGCCCAGACCAATTAAATCAGAATCTCTGAGGGTAGAAAACCCACCTTGGTATTTTTCTATAGCTCTCCAGGTGATTCCAAGCTACAGATAAAATAAAAATCATTTGTTTAACCTGTGGCTGGGAGCGCTAACATTTCCAGACTCTTGTCAATATCCTCCTCCTTACCAAGGAAAGGGGTGTATCTGGGCTAGAAGTCTTAATTATTAGGAGCCCATGTGTAATAACTACTGCTGGATAAGTGAATGTAATGGGGCTAGTCCATAGCAAAAGGGGAAGAGACAGGATGAGGGAGAGCTGTTGCTCTTCTGTGTTGACTGACTTGACTTTCTCCCCTTTTACTTTTGATAATAATATGGAACACAAAGGAACTGTTATACGCACTGTGCAGTAACAGACCAATACACCAAGACAGCAGAGTTTGCAGCAGAGAAAGAGTGAGTGAGGAGACAGGAGGAACTATAAAATCCATCTCTCCAAGGAGGTCTAGGCTGGAGTTTTTAAGGGAATTGTGAAGGGCAAAAGCCTGGAAAATTAAGGCCATTGATCAGTCAGGGAAAAGGGGATGAAATTATCAGGATGTGGAAAGTGCTTTCTTTGGTGAGTCAGTGCCTTGTAAGGTCCTTCAGACAAGCTGAGAGCAGAAATTGTATCAATATGCAGGACCTAAGAGAAGATCTCAAATGGAAAACTTAACATTTCACAGTGTTCAAGTTGTTATCTATAGAACATTTAAGGGGAGTTGTAATCTAGGGCCTACATGATTCTGAGGCAATAGGCAGCAAACAGCTATGAGGAAGCGGGCCAGTGAGCAAGCTGACCTCATGATAATGCTGAATGTGCTGCAAGCTTGGTTTATTTTTTCTTCTTCCCCTCCCTTTTTCCCTGATTGATTTTATCAAGTTTACAGAAATGATTTCAGAACTACATTTATGTACCAGACTTGGTTCTGGGAACTTTACATAAAATGTCTCTTTTAATCTTTACAAATGAGTCTTACTCCAATTACAACAAGAAAACCAAGACTCAGAGGAGTTAAGCAGCTTGCTCAAGGGCTAGATAAGAGGTACTGTTGGGATTTGAAACTAGGACTGTTTGATCCCAAAAGCCAAGTGTCAGAATACCTCAGTCATGCTTTGGTAGAGTTCAGCACCAAAAACATGTAAATGGCACTGGGAAGAGTTCCAGAGGCATTGCCCTGGCAGGCCTCTGCTTCCAACAGCTGTGTTGGGAAATGTGCTGGAATCAATGGCATAATTAGGGTGTGACCTTCCCAGGCCTATCTCATCTTCCCAGAGACAGTATTCAGCAACAGGATAACCCAGGGGCTGTGTGTATCTTGGCTTCATTGAAGGCTCTTGTCCAATGGACCAGAGGCATTGGCAGAAAGGAAAACTGAGACCAGGAGAAAGAAAGAAAGATTGAGGAGTAGAAGGTATCTTTCCATTGACCAGAAGGTATCTTTCCATTGACCACTGCAAACTCTGATCACCTTGATATTTAAAGAAATAGCCCTGCCTCCAGTCCAGCATTTGTTGTTTTTATTAATGTTCATGAAATCCAGGAAACACAAATCTTAGAGGAGCTTGTAGGAGAGCAAAATCTTCTTCTACTCATCTTAGTTTCATTGGCTGGGGCCCTGCAATTTAGACTGACAAAATACAGATTAACGAGAGAAATACAGGAGTTTATTAATGTGTGCCCTGTAGACACACATGAGAGCGCTCAGATTAGTAACTCAAACAGGTGGTAAGAACTAGGACCTATGTATCATCTTAACAGAAGAATAATAACTTTTTAGAGAAATCACAAGGCAAAAGAAAAGGACTTTAAGCTTTCAAAGACAGCAAATTGTGGAAAGGTAAATCTATGGGGGAAACTAACAGAAGGTAGGAACTAGTTAGTAAAGTTTGTTTGTGTAGACTCCTCTGGCACCATTTCTGGGCTGATAAGCATCTAGAGTTGTTTCTCATGATTAACTTCTGTCCTTCCTGGTAGAGAGGGGAAGGGGTCAGTTTTACCAATTTGTGTCCTGCTTTTAGGCAAATAGGAAGAGGCAGACAGCTTGCTCTTTCCCTCCCTCCCTTCCTTCCTTCCTCCCTCTCTTCCTCACTTCCCCCTCCCTTCCTCCCTCCCTTCCTCCCTTCCTTCCTTCCTCCCTTCCTTCCTCCCTTCCTTTCTCCCTTCCTCCCTTCCTCCCTCTCTCCCTCCTCCCTTCCTCCTTCCCTCCCTCTCTCCCTTCCTCCCTTCCTCCCTCTTTCTTTTCTTTCTTTCTGACAGAGTCATGAAAGAAAGAGCCCAGGCTGGAGTGCAGTGGTATGATGATAGCTCACTGTAGTCTCGACCTGCTGGGCTCAAGCGATCCTCCCACCTCAGCCTCCCGAGTAGCTGGTACTGTAGGCACATGCCACTATGCCTGGCTAATTTTTGTATTTTTTTGTAGAGACAGGGTTTTGCCATGTTGCTTAGGCTGGTCTTGAACTCCCGGGCTTGTGATCCACCAATCTTGGCCTCCCAAAGTGCCGGAATTACAGGTATGGGAGAGATATTCTTACATCTACTTTTTCTCATTTGCTTCAGCTCAAAATCTTATGCTAAACTGGCAAATTTGAGGGTTGCTTATTTTGCTTCCCTCTAAACTTAAGCTGGAGCAAACCTCTCCTGGATGCACATCTCTGGAAGCCCCAGGTTCTGAATGGCAGCTGGATCTCAGGTGAGGACACTCTACCTGTTCTGGTATCTGTGGTTTGACATGGGTAGAGGTGGGGAGATTCCTAGTGAAACCAGTTATAACTTGTGGACCATGACAGTGGCCTATCAGATCTGAGTACAAATCTGCCCTACTTGGAATGCCTATGATGTCTTTGAAAATATCCATCTAGACTATTTCCAATCTCTCTCTCTTTTTTTTTCTTTTTTTTTTTTGAGATGGAGTTTTGCTCTTGTTGCCCATGCTAGAGTGCAATGGTGCAATCTCAGTTCACTGACTCACTGCAACCTCTGCCTTCCAGGTTCAAGCGATTCTCCTGCCTCAGCCTCCAAGTAGCTGAGATTACAGGTGCACGCCACCATGCCCGGCTAATTTTTTGTATTTTTAGTAGAAATGGGGTTTCACCATGTTGGCCAGGCTGGTCTCAAACTCCTGACCTCAGGTGATCCGCCCACCTTGGCCTCCCAAAGTGCTGGGATTACAGGTGTGTGCCACCGTGCCTGGCCGACTATTTCCAATCTCTTAAAAGACATGCTTTGTGGTTACAACCTGGGGACAAAAACAAGTTGTGCCTGTGTATAACCACCATCTTACTCATAGAACCTTAGATGGAGTTCCACCCATGGATTGTACTAGTAGTATTCTAGCCTCAAAGTTATTATTCTAGACACCTGTGACAATAATATAAAGCAAGTTCTGAAATTTTTGATATTTGGTTTCTAGCTCCTATATCTTTTCTAACACCAAAGTATTTTTGGAAAGTGCTCTCCAGACTTGATCTGTATCTAACCAACCATATGGAAAAAAGGGGAACATGTACTGCCAGAATATATATGTCTCTATCTGAAACAACTTCAGCACTTTGACACATATTACTAGCCAAGAGATCAGAGAGATGGCAGGTAATTACTATACCACAGGGCGATGTTTTCTTGTTTCTGAAGAAGCTGTATTGACTTGTGATTTGTGGGGGTAACAATAAGGAATCTCATAGACATATCTGACATATTTTTAAGATGAAAATATTCCAGGCCAGGATGAAATTTATTTAAAAATCAGTTGCTCTTATTTCTGAATCAAGGAATTAGAGTGGAGCCTCTGAGAAACAGGAGTGAAGGAGCAAAGATAGTTGCTGTCTTTCTCTTTGCCCCTTCAATATCAAAATGGCAACAGGAGTCAGAGTGTCCACAGGGAAGTGGGAAGAGCACTGGGCTGGTGGTCAGGAGACCTGGCTTAGCTGTTGAATGGGCACTGATGGGTGATTTCATCTCTCCTTGCCTCACTTTGCTCATTGGCTAATGGGAAGTTATAATGACTGCCCCATCTCACAGGGGTGTTCTGAGAATCCAGTGAGGTGTAAAATTTGGAAAGCATAAAGTGCTATACAAATATAAGATTATTAAACTCAGCTGCCTCCTCCCTATTTGCTATGCGTATGTTAATTAGTTTAATTATGCTTCCAGCTGAAAAATGATTGGCTGAAGTGTGGGGGAATCAGGTTACAATGTCAGATTGAGAAAGTCAAAATGGGTTGGTCTGGCTGACCAGATAGAAGTCTCTTTCTTTCTTATGCCCCTTTTGGTTGAAGAGAATGACCTTCCAGAAAGAGGCAGTGTGTACTTTATCCCAGGCCATGTAAATGCTGCTACAACAACAAATGGACTGAGTCCCTCTGCAGGAGAACATAGCCCCTTAGGAGATACATTTTCTTGATGAAAATCAATTCATAATAGAAAGTATTTACCACGTGTAGGTACTTAGCAGAGATGAAAGATCAGAAGTCATGGACTTTTGTTCGTTTGTCTTTTGAGACAGGGTCTCACTCTGTTGCCCAGGCTGAGTGCAGGAGTGTGATCATGGCTCACTGCGGCCTTGACCTCCTGGGCTCAAGTGATCCTCCCACCTCAGCCTCCTGAGTAGCTGGGACTACAGGTGAATGCCCCCACGCTGGCTAATTTTTTGTTTTTTGTAGAGATAGGGTTTCACTATGTTGCCCAGGTTGGTCTCAAACTCCTAGACTCAAGCCGTTGGCCCACCTCAGCCTCCTAAAGTGCTGGGATTACAGGCATGAGCTGCTGCACCTGGCCAGAAGTCATGGTTCTTATCCACAAGATGCTTATGCTTCAGCATAGAGAAGGACATAGTGCAGGCATAGAAAGACATGATGTTGGCTGGGCATGGTGGTTCACGCCTGTAGTCCCAGCACTTTGGGAGGCTGAGGCAGGCAGATCATCTGAGGTCGGGAGTTCAAGACCAGCCTGACCAACATGAAGAAACCCCGTCTCTACTAAAAATACAAAATTAGCCAGATGTGGTGGCACATGCCTGTAGTCCCAGCTACTCGGGAGGCTGAGGCAGAAGAATCACTTGTACCCGGGAGGAGGAGGGTGCGGTGAGCCGAGATCGCGCCATTAGCACTCCAGCCTGGGCAACAAGAGGGAAACTCCATCTGAAAAAGAAAAGAAAAGAAAAGAAAGACATTGTGTTAGGGTGGTTTCTAATACAAATGGGAGTTATTCTTACTCCTCACTTAGGGACAGGGTCTAGGGATAGGCAGGCTCCAAGATAAGCCAATATCACAGTTCTCTAAACTGCATCAGCACTTCCTTACATATTAAAGCCATCTGTTGGTAGTCGAAACTCTCTACTTAGAGAGTAGTTCTCATGCTTTTGGGTCTCAGTCCCCTTTACACTATTAAATCTTATTGAAGATCCTAAAGACGTTTTATTTGATTTATACATATTTATATTAGTTATCAAAATGGACACTTAAAATATTTAAGAATAACTATAATAAACCCATTACTTTTGAGCATACATAACAGATGCTTTATGACAAATAACTACATTATCCAAAACAAAAATTTAGTGAGAAGAGTGACATTGTTTCACTTTTTTTTTTTTTTTTTTTTTTTTTTGAGACGGAGTCTTGCTTTGTCGCCCAGGCTGGAGTGCAGTGGCGCAATCTCGGCTCACTGCAAGCTCCGCCTCCCTGGAAGCTCCGCCTCCCGGGTTCACGCCATTCATCTGCCTCAACCTCCCGAGTAGCTGGGACTACAGGCACCCACCACCACGCCCGGCTAATTTTTTTGTATTTTTAGTAGAGACGGGGTTTCACCATGTTAGCTAGGATGGTCTCCATCTCCTGACCTCGTGATCCACCCGCCTCAGCCTCCCAGGCATGAGCCACCATGCCCGGCCTGTTTGACATTTTAACAAATCTCTGTAATGTCTGGCTTACAGGAAAACAACTAGATTTTCGTATTTGTTTTTGCATTCAATCTGTCACAATCTGTTCTGTGGGAAGAAAATCTGGACTTAACCAGATATTCAGTTGGAAAAGGGAGAAGTATTTCATTAGTCTTTTCAGATAATTGAGAATATTCTTCTTTGATACTAAACTGCAGCTCAACAAGAGGTAATCTCTTAAAGGTTAGTTGCAGTGCAGAATCTGAGAACATACCAATGACTCTTTTGTCCTCTGTACATTAAAATCCGTTTGGTCTATCTTGCCCTTTAAATGGGCAAAATCCAGTATGTGGATTTTGTAGTATTGTGCATTGGCCATTTGGAAAATATTGGATTGCTGAGTTATGCAGCTGTTCCAAATATTGACACATTTTGTTACATGATATCAAAAAATTACCATTGTTAATATTACCCATCTCCTCAGAAAAGTCTGTAAGTATGTAGAAGCTGTCACAGTCATAGTGGTGGATATAAGTTTTCCAAAATTCTAATTTTTGCTTAACAGCTCAAATTTTTATTGTTGCCAGTAAATACTGCCAGTTTTCCTTGAAGTGACAGGCTTGCTCGTTTTGGTATTGAGAAAATGTCCACCAACCAGTTTGTCTGTCAGTCATGCTTTCAAGAATAAAGATGGTGCTCCATGAAGAAAGCAGCTGGTTCAGCTCGCAACTCAGTTACACAAATGCTTTTCCTTGAGACAACCTCAAGATAGCAGAAATGCTTTCTGTGCACTTTTTGTTTTGACACAAAGCTTATTAAAATAATGTGTGAGGGCTGAGATTTAATGAAATTGCTGTTTTTTACTGACTCAACAAGGAGATTTTTATTGAAACTGGCCTTTTCTTCTTACTGTGAGTGCATGGTGGGGAACAAGATGACCATCAGTACATCTCAGTGCCACTGCCTTGGTTTGTTGTTAACATGGCAGCAGTTTTACCCACCAGTGCTTCTGCAAATGTCGAAAACAGTGAAAAAGGCAAATGATGTGTTAGTATTATTATGACAACAATTTCAACCTCATGGACCACCCAAAAGGGTCTCAGGGACCTGCAAGGGTCTGTGGGCCACACTTTGAGGACTCCTGACTTAGAGGATATGACCTCCCTTAGGTGATTTGCCGCAGTCTTGTAGTCATTTTTCTCTCTCAGGTCTTTCGATGCTGAACACGGGAGAGACTGAGGTCTCAGGATGGCTGGAAAAGTTGGGATCCTTCACCACAAGGCACCAGATGCTGAACAATCTGTAAGAGAAGTTAGAATGGGCCTTGCAAACGTATGTCTCTAGGTTAAAGGTGAAGGTTACTGGGGCTACCTGATTTCTCTATCTCTTTTGGAATGTTCAGCGGTTATCACTATGTTCTGCATGTGGGAAAGGGATTATTTTATCTTTCCTTCTCCCTTTCCTTTGTATATGCCTGGTTCAGAATAATCAGTTTTTGATCCTTGAGTGAAGAGTTTTTATCTGAGAACTGTGACATAAAGAAACTCTCCAGATATCTCCTTGTCTTCCCTTAAGTTACCTGCAGTCCCCAGTGGGGTGGGGTGTTTCAAGGGGAATCCTGGTATAATAACTATCAGTGTGCAATCAGTCTATTTAATTTCTTAAAGACTAGTGCCAGAGTTCAGAGGAAGGAGCCTCCCTGGCAGCCAGGGCCCTCCCTGGAGGTGGTGTTCTGGAGCTGAGCATGAAAGAGGACTGGGTGAAGGGACAGCTTGGCTGGGAGAATGGCTGGGCTTATGCTTGGCTGGCAATGAGTTGTTAACTGCCATATTGTCTTCAGGCAGCTGAGGTCATAAAAAGGAAGAGAAAGGCTTTTGCCAAGTAGGAGACACGTAGGTCGCTTGCCTTCTTTGAAGAGTTTGTATACCAGCTGTCACATTTACTAGCTCTGTAACCTTGGGTAACTTTCTCCAACATTTTATGCCACAGTTTTCTTGTCTATACGATGGGAATTATGTTTACCTTATAGAGTTGTAAGGATTAAATTAGCACATATAACAAGAATGTTTAGGAGCAGTGCTGGCATGGAGTAAGTAGTCAATAAAATATAAACATCATTATTATTGTTATTTTTATTATTATATCACTTTATTGAATCCTTTCATAAACCAAAGTAACAGAGATGATTACCTCTATTAAGGCATAATTTTCAGAAAGATAAAATCATGAGTCTTATGCAAATATAAAGTGAATACACATCAAAGATTTTATTTACCTCATTAATGAAAGAACCATGAAGATGTTAATGATACATCAGAGAGCATTTGAAAGGGGAGGGAGCTTGTAGGCAATGTTGAGATGAGATTGCTGGGTAAGACACAAAACTGAGTAATGTTCAATGAAGCCCTAAACCATCATCTTTATGGTTATATCTGTCACCAAATAAAAATTATTTGCATTTCTACTGGACAAAAACATGCGATTTAAACTCTGCGCCTACAGAGTTGAAAGATATCCCAGACAATAGAAAAACAAACTCAGTACCATAATGAAAGAACTCCTGGTAATCCCTTCTGCTTATTTTGAAATTTTGGATAAATTTTCTGATAATGCCAAACTATGTATGGGGAAACTGAGTCTCAAAAAGGTGAAATAACTTGTGCAAACTTATACGGCTAGAAATGCCAGAGCCAGAATTCCAACGCCCATATATCCATGTTTTTTCACTAAATTAGTTACCTCCACTCAAGTAAAACTCACTCTTTAAGGAGATCACTAGAAAGTGGAGACCTGAAATTTCAAGTCTTCTCTGAGGGAGGTGGGAGGGCACAGGGAAGAGTTCAAACAAAACAAAATAGCAAAACTTCAGGATTCCCAGGACACAACAGTGTTGTCAATCTGCCCACCGTTAGCAAAATCGTGTTTTCTCTTCCCTCTCCTGCTTTTTAAAATTTACCATGAGATGAAATAAATTTTAGGGCAGTGCGATAGCCAAGTATGTGTGATATCACTTATAGGTTCAATTGTTATTCCTGGATTGGCAGAAAGTAAGTTTGTTACTAATTTAATAACTCAATATAAACTTCTGCTTACACTCAGTACAATTACTTTCAAATGGTAGTGAAATATTTTATTGTATTTAGATAAAAGATTTTCTAATATTTATGAGTGCCCCTTTCCTGGGTTATTCTTAGCAAGAATAAAATTAAACTTTTTAACATAAGTTTGAAGTAGAGGCAGTTGGTTGCTTTGAATTCTTTTTTAACTTTGTCAGAATTTGTCAAAACATGATCTAAAGCAAAAATGCATGGAGTAGGTGAACCGGAGTATGTTTATTTATAAACAGAAACTTGAGCCAAATGCAGCAGTAAATGAAAAACTGCAACAAATCACATTAATTTGTTTTTAAAAATAAAGCAAAACAAGTAGGATTTTTAAAACTCCCCAAAGTAACGAACCAGTTTAAACCAGATCTGAGTAATATTGGGATGAAAAACTTTTCATCTTAGTAATTGGTGCCAGAAAATATCTTAAAAAGAGCATTGTCTTAATTTAGGGAAACCTTTGTAATCCACTTAGGGGAGAAAGATGAGGCCCCGGTAGTGTGTACTGGAGGAATGTGATCCTCACATGACCTTGAAGGGAAGGAAAAATAACTCTCTCTCTACCCTTCTGAGTTCTTAGCTGGGACAGACCCCTGCAGCAAAAGACAGATTAACAAGAGAAAGACAAACAGAAGTGCATTAACATGTATATTTCATATACACATGGGAGATACCTGAGGAATGAGTAATTCTCAAGGATGTGGCTTAGACCTCTGGCTTATATGGCACCTTCAACAAAAAACAGTATGTTTTTAGAGAAGTGTTAAGACAAAGGAAAAAGACTTTGAGTCTCTAGGGGCAGCAAATTGTGGGAAGGCGCATATGTGGGAGTTAGCCAAGTTTGTTATGCAGATTCCTCTGGTGCTGTGCACAGGCTGAAAAGGGTCTAATGTTGAATCAGTGGTCAACTTTTCTCCTTCCTGGTAGTGAGGGAGGAGGACACCTTTCCTTTGTAAATTTGTGTCCTCCTTGTAGGCAAATGGAAGAGGGCAGAGAGCTTTTCTTATATCTACTTCTTCCCAATTGCCTTCAGGTCAAAATAATCCTTATGCCAAAGAGGCATATTTTGGGATGGCATATTCTTGTCTCCTACAGTAGATGTCTGTGTGATGGAGTGGGTGAGGCTGGACCGTGTCAGAGGAGGTTGGAGCCTGTGGGACAGGGTGGAGCAAGAGGCCTTGCTAGTGGAAGAGGGGGCAAGCCCTTTCATTTTATTAAAAAAAATTTTTTTTATTTCATTAGCTTTAGGGGTACAAGTGGTTTTTGGTTACATGGATGAATCATACAGTGGTGAAGTCTGGGATTTTTGTGTATTGTCACCTGCGTAGTGTACCTTTTACTTCAATAGGTAGTTTTTCGTCTCTTACTCCTCTCCCACCCTCCCAGCAAGCCCTCTGAGAACAGGGATCTTTCATAGCCATTCTAAAATTGTTTATTGTTTACTTTGCCACATTGCAAACCCTTCTGATTCCTTATGCTGCTAATGACTTGGGAGAGTATTGTTTTTTATTTTGTTTTGGTTGGTGGTGGCAAAGTTGCTGGAGAAATTCAAGGGAAAATGATTAACTCCACGAGTCATTCCAAGAGAACAACTTGAGAGGGAGGACCATGAGAGGCAGAGAGTCTCCAAGGAACATACCTTTAGAGCTGGTAGTGACCTTGGCAGTGCTGACCCCTGGAGGGTAGGATGTGTGGGACAAGGACCTCAACTTAAAGTTTTTAAATAACAAACAACAGGATAATGTTCCTTGGCATGTGACTTATGCAATGAATAAAACAAAGACAGGACATTTAAAGATTCTCTGGACCAGACTCCATTTCCCCGATTTCCATCACCTGCTGGCCCATCAAGGACTGGGTTGATGAAGCTTTTGCTAAGAGGCTTCAACCCTGATCTGAGTTGTCTGTAATTAGGTGTTCCTTGAATTTGATTTCCTAGAATATGGTAGCTCTGGACTAATGACTACAAATCTGTTATGGCTTAGTGCTTCTCTTTCTGTTATTAAGTAATGATGGAACAGCTGTGCACATATAGAGACTGTTCTAGATGCAGGAGAAGATGCCTCCTGCCCTGTGAGCCGGCAAAAAGGAGGCCACAGCCATAAGGCTCGGACTGATGGGCCACTCAATAGTCCACAACCACTGGAAGGAACATCAGGAGAAAATCTGTAGTGCGGAGGGGGTTAAATTCACTGAAGATCTGTTTTCCCTCAAGGAACCTTAAGGTTCTGGTTGAGAAGTCAGCTTTCTTTCTGGTCAGATAGCACTCTTTTCTAATTCTCAATATAAATTGCTCTTTTCCCCTTCTTGTAGCTTGTGGTTGAAAACCTGTAATTAATTTACAGAAGCATGTTTCCTGCAATTATAAGAGCAATTGCTCAGTGGAGGTGGGCAAAAAACGTGGCTGTGCTGTGCTTGGAAGTGAGGTATATTTTGCGAGTAAGTTATTAATCAAGTGCGGAAGTGAATAATTTCCTCGTAATATCCACTATCCCAGCTTCTCTGAGTGTCTTCATCTTCAAGATCCTAAGGCATTCTCAGCAATTGCCCCTGTGCCCAGAGAAATGGAAGGAGAAAAGCAGACCCCACCACCACTCCACTCGCTCTGGCTTTGCAATTCCTTGGATCATTGAGCTGCTTTGTGCCGGAGTTGTTTCAGCTGGAGAATCACCCTGACATTCCTGAACTGAAGCTGAGCCTGGTACTCCCCAAACTTGTGCCTCAGGGGTTTAGTGAACACCCCACTGACCTCCAAATTTCCCTTTACTTAGCTTCTGATTCTTTCCAGCCTCGGGGGCCTGGCGTGCCTTCAGGCAGCAGAAACACTGCTCTTTGCCTGTCTGTGCAGCAGCAGAGGGGCTGAAGGGCTGCATTTTCCTCTCTGCCCTCCCTCTGAAGCGGGCCTAGCTGAATTTTAACATTTTCACCCGCTTCTTTCTTTGGGTCTGGCCTTTTTTTTACTGTACGTCAGGCCAAAACTGTCTATTGTCTCTTTAGGATCTATCTAAAGGTTTTTTTCTAACATACATCATTTGATTTGGTCCCGTGGGGTCCCTGATGTGAAAGATATGTCAACAGTCCATTCGTTCTGGGGGCATTGAAAGTGTCCATTTCTCTGACAAATTGTGCTTGCTTTTCCCTCTGAGCAGCCGCTTCCTGGAAGAAAGCACCTTCTGCCAGAGCCACATTCACTCAGGCCCAGCTGATGCATGGCTGTCCTCAGGCTGGCCTCTAGAGGCACACCTCGGCACCAGGGCTGAGCCCCAGTGGCTAAACCCACACGTGTTCCCTCATGCACGGCACAGGCTGAATCTGTCACCTGGAAATGCTCCAGCAGCACTTGAGGTTTTCTATACTATGTGCGTGTGTTAGTTTCCTCTTACTGACATAACAAATGACCACAGACTTGCTGGTTTCAAACAATAGAAATTTATTGTTCTGCGGTTCATTAGCTCAAAAGTCCAAAGTCAATTTTACTCGGCTAAGGTCAAGGTATTGGCAGGGCTAGTTCCTCCCTTTCTGGGTTCTGGAGGTTGCCTTGATAGTTCTTGGTTCATGACCCCTTCTTTACATTGTTCCAATCTCTTGCTTCTGTTGCACCTGCTCCTACTTCAATGTCAAATCTCCCTCTGACAGTCTATTGGGGTGACATCTGGGGCCCACAGAATAATCCAGGATATTCTCCCTACCGCAATATCCTTAATAACACCTGCACATTCCCTTTGAGGATGTGGACATCTTTGGGGGCTGTTATTCAGCCTAGTGTATCATGTTTGAAAGTAAGGACAGTGACACTTCTCTTTTGAGCTTGCCCAGTCTGGCTGTTAAGAACCTCACTTTCTTTCAAAAGAATTCCTCTCTTCAGCTTCCTCCCCACATCTTTGTTAATTTGTTCTTGCTTCACACTGCTCTATTGTGACTACAAAATCCTAGTTCCGTGAGTCTGTGGACAAACTTTATCCCCTAGATGGGTTAGGCTGGGCAATGGCCATTTACATTTTTCTATAACATAACTGTTGCTACAGTTTGAACTCAAGAAAAAAAAAATCCGTTTGTTTTCTGACTAGTGTTCAGTTCTCCCAACATTTCTCACTGGAGATTTGCTTGTGCTTGCCCTGGCTTCATAGGCTTCAGTTCCAACTGGGGAAAAGCCTGTTAGGTGTGGAGAATGGTACAAGAAAACTGCTCATCCAGTAATGCTGACATTGGTGACAGCATTTGTGGTAGTGCCAGTTTGCATCACACTGCAATTTTCTCCAGTAGGGCTTAGTTGCTTGGGTGTAGATAACAAGAAGGTAGATAGCAGCACTGATCAGGGTTGAGGTTTTGCCAAGCGGGTGGGGTAGAAGGACAAAGAAAAAGGACAACTGATTTGCTAGGGAGAGTATTGTTTTACCCTGGCTGGGTGGAAACATTTATTTAATAAATTTATATAATGACTGCATGATAATAAAAGCTTTGTATTTGATTTCTCACAGAAGCTACCTGATAGGGTTGCTATCCTCATTTTAGACAGGGGGAAAGTGAGACGCACAGAGGTTAAATAACTTGCTCCAAGCCACATAGCTAGTAAGTGGCAGAGCTTAGATGCAACCCCAGGGAGTTTGGTTACAAGAAATTTCTTCCTTACTCTTCCACTGTGCTGTAAGTGCAAGAATTAGGTCAATGGACTGGAAGGAAAGAGAAGTCTCCAGGGACAAGCGTCTGTAAAGTCTAGGACATTTTAGGGAGCATGGACATGGAGTGGGCTGAAGATTTGATATGAGGCTTGGAGTATTTTGGGATTATGACAAATTCTAGAAGGCAGTTGTGGATGTGGGTAGCTGAAATGAAAGGAATTAAAGGTCATTGAAATTCAGGGGTCTGGAAAGTCTGAGGCCAGGTGTTGGCTGTGACACAGAGCACTGAGGTCATCTATAATAGAAGAGTGGAAGGACTTAGGGTAGAGAGGAAGAGAGGAAACCAGATGCCAGAGTCTGGCAAATGAAGGGGAAGAACTAGGAGGTCAGTAGGCAATGATGAGCAGGAGAAGATGGCGCTTCAAAGAAGGTGGGCATGTTATAAGCGTAATTGGAAATATCATTGATGAACAAGAACAATGCAATACCTCCATTTGATTCTGAAGTTACCTGGGCCATAGGAGAAGGAGCAGCCTCTCAGGGGGATGCTGTAAGTAGAACTGAATTTTAAATTTTAATTAATTTAAATTTTAAAATGGATACTGATTTGGTTATTGGAAAACGTTTAAGCATATTTGGAACAACTTGTGTATTGGAATTTACTTTTCGATTGTAAAGTTTATGAAACCTAGATACCACCCAAGGACTTCTAATGAAAATATAAGCATTCAAATTGAGATGTCCCAGCAGTGTAAAATATACACCGGATTCCAAAGAGGTAGTAGAAGAAAAGAAGGTAAAATATTTCATTCATAATTTTCTTGTCTTGATTACATATTGATGTTTGGGTATATTGAGTTAGAGAAGACGTTATTAAAGTTACTCCCACCCATTTCTTTTTACTTTTTAAATGTGGCTACTAGAAAATTTAAACTTACAGATGGGGCTTACGTCGTATTTCTATTGGGCAGTGCTATTGAGACCAAGGAAGACAGTGATGGGCACTGTACTGGAACTGGCCGCCTTGAGGTCTGAAGTGGAACTTCGTGTCATCATGAGGAAGAGAGAGCCCATGCACGCTGCAGCAGTGTCTATGATGGCAGTGTTTCAGGTGTCATGAAGTCTAGACATAGCGGCAGATGCGTGATGGAGTAGCTGGAATCAGGAGAAGTTATGGACATTTTGTTTACGGGAGTCATTCATATATGCTAATTGCCCATCTTCTAAGTAGAGAAGTATTTGAGAAAACTACTGGAAACAAAACTAAAGGAGTGACTTAGATAATTGGGGAGAGGAAGGATCCAACTCATGAAGGAAGAGGAAGGAGAGAGTAGCAGAGTGAGTGAGGGTTTTAGGTGTGCTCAGGTGTGTCAAAGTCCCTTGTACCAATCTTGGAAGATGCCAAAGTTTGAAAAGACAGACAATACTGTCAAAGATTAGAGAAAGTCATTAGTAGGCTAGACAGTCACACAAAGGGTAAGAACATAGGTTATTAAAGATGAGAGCTACAGGCATCCTTTCAGCTCTGGAAAAAGTATTACTCTTAAAA
This sequence comes from Homo sapiens, assembly GCF_000001405.40. Taxonomy (NCBI): domain Eukaryota; kingdom Metazoa; phylum Chordata; class Mammalia; order Primates; family Hominidae; genus Homo; species Homo sapiens. Next base: position 62,723,066 of record NC_000005.10, read on the forward strand.
ATGAGAATAGAAATTCTTGGCTTCCGCTAAGTGAAACAATTCTTATCATGGATAGCCTCTAGAGGTAGCATAGACCTCACCTTTTCTAACAGTATTTCCCTCTGGATAGATAGCAGTGTTAGTAAGAACTTTGAAGGTCAGCTTGTGTATATGAATCTCAAGATAAATTGCTCTGATGAATACTTGGGTATATATGTATGCATCTCACTCTCACCTATCTTCCATCGCCTGCCATCTTCCACTTCATGGCATAACATGATTGACATAATGAAGGCTTGTCAGTTTATTGCCCTCCCTGTGCAGCCAAATGCCTAATACGAGGCCACCAAAAGACGGTGGCTATCATGGAGGCTCAAAAGTGGCTAATTTTATATTGTCATTCGCAAGGAATGATGCAAGGATGCCCTGAGGTGAACTGTGTTAGCTTTGGGACTTTTCTGGCCTTAAGTTCCCTGTTCTGCTCCCCAATCAAACTTTATCTTTCTCTGGAGGAATGCTTTTAGGTAATGAAACAAAATAATTTGCTTTATGTGGCCGTGCTATTTGTCAACATCTTCTAGTAGCATTAAACACAATGCTCTATCATTCCTGCTTTCAAAAAGAGGACTTCTAGGACTCACCTCAATCAGGTGCTCAAAAGAGAGGGTTTCCATCTTGTTGGTGGTTGGAGTCAGGTGAAGATGTTTCTGGTCAGGCCATCTCTTAGCCATGCCTATCAACTCAGAATGACATGAGAACTCCCTCCCAGCTGCTCCTGCAGATCCAAATGCCCCCTAAGATAGCCCTGATTAGGAACAAGAGAAGCAGAAGGAGCAAAGGCCATGAGATCGGAGTCCCAAACCTTTTCCATTTATAAGCATCTCTGTGGACTGCATCAGCTGTCTGGCTGCCCCATTCTTTGGCACCTCATTATGTGGAATCAGAAGACACAGAACCCCAGTGGATAATTGCTTTGAGATAACATCTGTTGGCAATGACTTTGGTTCAGGCAGAGCTTAGCTTCTACATTATTAGTCTTTCTTCTTAGTACATTTTTAGGCTACAAACAAATTTCCCTTGACAGTCAAACAAAATTGAGGAACAGAGACTTTCTAAAGCCCTATTGATTAGCATATATTGCTTTTTAAAAATTTTCAGCCCTTTAGTGTATATTAAAGTGATTCATCCTAGTGAAGGTTGAGAGGGAACCAAGCTTTCTATGTTTACTCTATGTCCTGGGAACTTGTCTGTAATAGATCTGCACAGGGAAAAGGAACAGGACCAAGCACAGTGCTGGCAAACTGGCAGGCTTGAGATGCAGCCACCACTTAAAGTTGACTGCCATGTAAGTGCTCTTTCCAACCCAGTGACAACACACATGGAAGAGGGTTGAGAAAGATTTGTTCTGGCTCATCTGCTGACTCCCAAGGAGATTCACTAGATAGTTCCAAAGGAATTTATCCTGTTCTAAAAATTCTCCTGAAACGAAACCTCAAGACTTCCTTGATTAATCCATATTCAGCCTGTCAGGGAATTCTCTATGTGCTACTTTGCCTGAATTGTGTATGTGCTATTTTCTGTCTGTTTCCTCCAGCTTCGGCTTCAGTGATGTAAGTTTCCTGAGGGTAGCACTTGGTAAAGGAAAATGAGTTTTAAATGACTTATGTTTTCAAAAAGCCAAGGATGAGATTTTTTCTGTGATGTGGGAGGCAACTTCATTCTCCCCCATCATCTACATATTCTGTATCTTTTACATTTATGTTGAGGTAAAGCCTATGTTAAAAGTCTTGAACTGAAGATGTATTGCTCTGATACATATGGGGATATGTATGTGCCATGGATATGTATGTATGCATCTCTCTGTCACCTGTCTCCCATCTCCCACCATCTTCTACCTTCATGTCTTCTTCTCCCAAGAGCCTTTGCTAAATTTTATACAAAGTAATAGAAGAGTGAGCTAACTGCATCAGTATCTTGGCATTGTTGGGTTAGAACTACCATAAAGCTTGATACAGAATATTTAACTCCAAAGATATCTTACCAATAGCCCTATAATCACTCTTTAAATAAACATGAGCAGTGTAATTTTTTAAAGTATTGCTTAGAAAGATAAGTGATTTTATCTTTCAGATTTGAAACTTTGATGGAACTGTATTCTATTTTAAGAAACTTGAAACTATCCTCTTCAGCTGAAGTTTATGGTCTCGCCTGACACAGAGGATGTATTAAAACCCCAAAGCCCTCTGGGTATGTCCTGACTTTATGGCCTTGTGAGGTGGCATGTTTGGCAGATAATAATGTCCTACACTAGGGGCTTGGTTGAGAGAATAAAAGATAAATAGAATTTAGAGATTTCCACAGTCAAGGACTATTTAGTGGAGAGGATAAAACAAAAATAAATGAAGTCATATGGGGATAGTTTCGAAGTGGTTCAAAAATTGTCACTAGAACTTTGTATTCTTCCCTTTCAATATTTTGTCTCCAAAATAGCCATTCTACTGCATTAGTCTTTTATGTGACAAGTTGTCCGTGTTCTTTATAATTTGTTTCTACTAGAACATATCTGTCTTCTGTCTCATTCCATTATGGCCGGTTCTCTGCCATGGAGTTGATGAATTGAGTGGAACAAAGGCATTCTTCACGGATAATGTCTCTCATGCATATCATCTCATACATAACATGTTTTCATTTAAATAATTGCCTTCAGGGACATAATCTGAAGAAGTTAATAATGGTGAGAAAATGAGGGCACTATGCCTGTGCAAGGGTTTTACCTGTATGAGAACCTGCTCCAGAACTCTCCAGATGAACTGAAAAGACAGCTTCCTCCTCTACCAAAGCTCAACATAAACCCTAGTTATAAACAGCCCTTGCAAACTGACAGGCCACAATATTGGAGAAAACCAGGGCTTTACCTGAACTGTGGAGGACCCATATTTGGGAAGAAGAGAAAAAAGGCACGATGACAACGAAAAGTGTCTAGAAGTGCCTGATTCAAAGCCACTAGCCACATTTTCATCATTGCATAGTTTTATTGAAAGTGCCCCTCTAGAAAGTGAGGAGGGCCTTGGTGAAAGGAAGTGATCCTTTGTAAGAAGCTGGTTCTGTGTGTGCCAAGATCGCCCTCATTTGCTAGTAGACATAATGATTGTGGTCCTTAATGTGAGTGGTAAAAAGGTACATACATCATTATGATAGATCTTTATTCTAGGGAACTAGTTCTCATGAAGGGAGACTGTGGCTTATGCAGATTTAGTAATAATAATGGATAATAATAATGGATAGCTTTTATTACACATCTAAGGACTTAACATACCTTCTGTCTAATGCAATGACTCTTCAAAGTAAGTATATTAATTGTAGTCTACATTTTATAGACAAGGAAACTGAGTTTGATGGACTATAAGGTGTCTTGCTTATTCATGAACAGGGCAGAGGCTGCTCAGTGAGTCATTGGAAACAACTGCCCAGCCAGGGCCCTCTTTTGTGCACTTGGTTGTATCAAAGTTGGTTCAAATCAAGACATTTGGATGAGCTAACCTGGTCTCTTTAACGATTGTCTTTTAACATCATTTCCCAAATTGTGGTCCAGGAATATAGTGTTAGATGAGAAAGGATTCTAAGATCAAACGGTTTGCCAAATGTTAGGTTAAGAAAAATTAAACAAGCTTATTTATTGTGGAACTTCTCAGAGCCTTCAATATATTATTACTCATAGTGAATCTCCAAGAAGGAATATGTTAGGTAGATATTTCAAGGCTTACTTGACCACAGAAGCCTTTTGCAGCAGTTTCTTGAGTATAAGTGTTCTATAGGATACTCTCTGAGAAGTGAGACTCCATGCAAATGGCCACTCAGAGTGTAGAACTCTAACTGGAGGAAGTGCTTTTCTGTTGCTGGCAATCTCAGAATTTCTTGGTATACATTATGTGCTCAATAATTATTTTAGAATAAATCTTCACTGAATGAAATAATGTAGAGTTTAGGCCTCTTCCGTGCTAGACTGAGGAATCAGGACTGGTTTCTCATCTTATGAGAGGGTACTGGGCCCCATTTGTGGTGGGGGAGGTGCTCTGTGTGTGTGTGTATGTATGTGTATGTGTATGTGTATGTGTATGTGTATGTGTATGTGTATGTGTGAGTGCATGTATGCACATGCATTCTCTTAGCTTATTGATAAATGGAAATTCTTTTTTTAACCTTGATATTTATTACTAATAATCATATCAATAACATATTTCCATATCTCAAAATCATTAATTTTATTTAAGGAATAATACTTAGAAGAATTCATGGCCAGATACAATATTGAATTTGATGTTTGTAACAGGAGCTGAGTCAGCAATCCTCCCACAGTCAAGTTGGTCAGTCCTCTGCCTAAGGGCCTGTGAAATAAGTGGGCACCAGGACATTCCTCTTTGTCAAAAATGGAGGCACGATGAAGCAGAATGTCCCACGGAATAATATTTAGTGGGAGAGAAGACCTCTGTTGTTATGTCTCCTGCAAATTCTCTGTGTCGCTGTGGCCTTCCACCAACACCCATCACAGAGGCCTCTGTTGTGACGGTCTGTTCAAGCCAGTTTTCTGGGCAGGGAGGCCTCTCTGTCACTAAGCAGGCAGCCCTGACACAGTGGGGCCCTGCTGGGCTCTTGGCACCATTTGAGGTAGCTTTCCTCTTCCCCACTGGCTTGTTGGAGCAGAGAGGCAGTAAAACAACCCAAACCACACACAGCAGAGTGTGGCCAGTGTCTCTGTCTTATATAAGCTGATGGTCTCTCACACTGGTCCTTAGGCTGGGAAGATAGCAGGTGGGACCCAAGCTTTCATGCTCAAGGCATCCCCTAGAAAAGTCTGGTTCCTTCCATCAAATCTAGCCTCATCACACGGCTCATTTCTATTCATGGAAGGTGCTGTTCTCTTCTACAAAATCCCATTGAGTGTAATGAGCCCAGTGGGCTGGCCATGTAATTCTTTCTCCAGCTGAGCACAGTGATGATCGAGTTCTCTGTGGGTAGTAATGTTTCCTCATTCTACTCTGGAACCAGTCAACAGGAACTGAAGATGCTGTAGTGTATCATTCAGTGGATATGAGCTGAACAAATAGACCTCTGGCAGGGAACTCCATTGATTCATCTTTATCAGGAGTCAAAATGCAATCAGGTAAATTGGCCAATGGAAATTTGTGTATGTGTGCACCAAAAACATGTACATGCATGTTCGCAGTAGCATTATTTGTTACAGCCCCAAACTCAAAATATCTCAAATCTGTCTTAACAGTCTGATGGATAAGTTGTGGTATATTTACCCAATGGAATATTACACAGCAGAGACTAAGCAAACTGAAACCACAGCAACAACATGGATCGTCTCACAGACATAATGTGGAGCACAAGTAGCTGGACACGAAAGGAGTGAAATACTCTAGGATTTCATTTATATTTAACCTCAAAAACAGGCAAAGCTAATCTCTGGTGTTCAAAGCCACTTCTGGAGGATGACTGAGAAGACGACACAGGGAACTGTTCTGGGATGTTGGTGTTATTTCATTTCTTGATCTGATGGTGGTTTCATGAGTAAGTTTACTCAAAACAAACTCATTAGGCTAGGTGCAATGGCTCACGCCAGTAATCCCAGCAATTTGGGAGGCTGAGACAGGACGATGACTTGAGACCAGGGGTTTGAGACCAGCCTGGCCAACATAATGAGACCTTGTGTTTACAAAAAGTAAAAAAAAAAAAAAAAAAAAAAAAAATAGCTGGACGTGGTGGTGCGTACCTATAGTCCCAGCTACATGGGAGGCTAAGGTGGGAGGATTAGTGAGCCTGGGAGGTTGACGCCGCAGTGAGCTGAGATCGTGTCACTATGCTCTAGCCCAGGTGACAGAGTGAGACCCTGTCTCTAAAATAATAAATAAATAATAAAATTTATTGAACTGTAGACTTGTGTACTTTTATGTATGTGTGTTATACTCCAATAAAAAGTTTAACTAAATAATGTAAAAAATATAATGAAGGCTCATAAGTGGTCTGTTTCTGTCTTTTAGAGGATTTGTTTCTGAAATACAGGAAGAGAAGGTTGGCAGAGTATGATGAGGCCAGTTCCTTCTTCCAAACTCTTCCACTGGGAGGAGTGAATGAGAGTATGGGGTGTATCATTCTGGGGAGATCCCTCTATATGAGGATTAGGGGCATACATTTTTCCCAACGGTGTAGATTCCAACTTTATCTGATTCTGAAACACTTACTTTAACCAAAGGAATGGTTCAAAAGTCACATTTCAGACCAGTGTAGTGTGTATTTTAAGATCTTGGCTTTTGGGGGAATTCTTAGGTCTTCCAGATAGGTCCCTACTGCTTGGAGACATGCGGTCAGGGATCATAGAGATTCAAGAGTTTGTTGTTAATGGTTTGTTGCTGCACATCCATCAACAGATGAATTGTATGTTGATTTCATGGGAAATGGGAAAACCTAAGTAATTTTTGGTTAATGAGGATTTAAGCTGGGTAGTTGGCTTCTACTCTTTGTATACTGATGAATACTTTCATTAAACTGATCCTTTTATGGAAAGGATATATTAGGTAATGGAAAATTTCCACAAATGAGTATTTTTTATTTTTGCTAGAAACACTAATGAGAGAATAAAAAAAACTCTGAGTTTCTTTCATTACAGTGCCATCAAAGAGACAGGAATAGCTTAAAATAACCAGAACTTACATTTAAAATCACAAATTCAGCACTCAGCCTTGTCAAAACCCTCAAATGCACAGGCTCGACTGTCTAAGGCAACTCAGCATTAGCTTTATCAAGAGTGGATTCCTAGGACATGCCTAATTTGCGAGAAATCTTTGAGTTCAGAGAACTTGCTTAGTTGAAGTTTCATTATGCATGAAGTTGTTCATGTCTGGTTCCAGTGTTGAAATTCTGCAATTTGCCAGCTGTGGATTGAGAAAAAAATGCCTGAGAATTTTAAATGGGAAGACCAAGGCTAGGTCACCTTTTAAGGACTTTTTAAACTTTGGAGTATCAAGCAAAGAGACTGTAGACATGTATTAATTATGAAGGGATGACATAAGTACTTAAATAGTTATTATTAGTATGGTTCTAGCAAAATTAGATGCAAATTTTGTTTTTAGATCTATACCTCCTATAATGTCTCTCTACTTTTTTTTACTTCTCTAGATCCCACCCCCAACACAGCATTGCTCTAGGCTTGCCCTGTCTTGAACATGTGTGTTCTTTGTTCATTTGCTTGTTCTTCAATTCATTCACACACCCATTTATGCATATACCAAATATTAATATATAGATTTAGCACATACTATATTAATGGAATAGAATCAGTCTTAAGCAAAATATATGGTTTATTTTGGGCCTTCTAGAGATGATGTCTACCCTTTTGTACTTTCATTTGTTAGTGATTATAAAAAGAATTCTATATTAGTTGATTGAAAAGAATACATTGCAGGCTGATGGGGCACCTCTCAGTCAACATCTGGTGCTTTGGATTTGATTGTGCCAAGAGATTTTTCTTTTCCTCTTCTTTTGTTGTCTGATATATTGTGCAAAAAAAGAACTTTTCTGCCATCAATTAAGCCATCAGCTATGTACTTGCCAAAATGGCCTACTCGGGACAACTCAATTGACTACTTAGAACCATTCCTCTTTATTGAGGGAGCTGCGTGGTGACCTAGTCTTTGTAGCTGCGTGTAGGTCTCTGTGACTTTGCCTTCATCTCTCATCCATGGATAAGGCATCAGCAGAAGATGAGTCAGAAAGAGAGTCACATATGATGACAGGAAAGCAAGGTTGGATAACAGGAGGCCCCAACAACCCACAGCCATGGAGTGGTCTACTCCAAGTGGACTTTAAGCCAGTGGTCCCCAGCCTTTTTCACACCAAGGACCAGTTTTGTGGAAGACAGTTTTTCCACAGACCTGGGGTGGGGTATGGTTTTGGGATGAAACTGTTCCATCTCAAATCATCAGGCATTAGTTAGATTCTCATAAGGAGCTTGCACCCTAGATCCCTCCCATGTACAGTTCACAATAAGGTTCGTGCTCCTATGAGAATCTAATGCCATTGCTGATCTGACAGGAGGCAGAGCTCAGGCAGTAATGCTCACTGACACACCACTCACTTCCTGCTTTGTGGCCTGGTTCCTAACGGGCCATGGGTGTGGCCCGGGCACTGGGGATCCCTGCCTTAAGCTCTCCACTACCTTCAGGTTTCAGAATGTCTAACATCACTCTGGTGACTGTGCCTCCAGTCACTCTAGCAGTTCCAGTAGGTAAGTATTCAGGGGCCCAGTGACTTCCAGATGCTGCTTCTGATCAGAACATTTCAGAAAAAAGGATAAAATGACCTGAAGGGGACCATCCTAGCTTTCTGGACCCCATCTTATCCAGCTGCAAATGGAACAGCTTTTCTTTTTGATTAGCTCTAGAAAATGAAGGAGAATATCTTCCCTTTTGAAATTTCCTTCTTTTTTCCATTCCAAAATTTAAAAAACATTTCACAAAGATTGAATATATTCAAGGTGTATGGCATGATGATTTGACACATGTGTACATTGTGTAATGATTTGTGCCATCAAATTAATACATCCATTGCCACCCATCCTATAGAACCATTCTATACCCAGAACTTGTCATCTTATAACTTAACATTTTTTTCTGTTTTGAATTATCTGGTATCTTACCTATGATAGGATTACTGAAGAAGGGACAATGGGAGGTTAAGTAATTCATTCCTTTCTCATGTCCTCAAATCATGATGTAATTAATCCATGCAGGAGGTACAGCTACCAAATGCAAGTGATTTCTTTCTTTTTTGCTTTTTCTTAAAATTGAGATGGAGTCTCACTCTGTTGCCCAGACTGGAATGCAGTGACATGATCTCGGCTCACTGCAACCTCCACCTCCCAGGTTCAAGTGGTTCTCCTGCCTCAGTCTTCTGAATAGCTGGGATTACAGGTGCCCGCCACCATGGCTGGCTAATTTTTGTATTTTTTTTTAGGAGAGATGGGGTTTCACCATGTTGGCCAAGCTGGTCTTGAACTCCTGAACTCAAGTGTTTCGCCTGCCTCGGCCTCCCAAAGTGCTGGGATTATAGGTGTGAGCCACTGCATCTGGCCACAAGTGATTTCTTGAATATCTCAACTCAGTGGGATTCAAATATGAAGTGGTTGGTTTTTCTCCTATGACTTCCTTCAAACATGCTCCTTTAGGTTACCTTTTTGTTTGTTTGTTTGTTTTTAGGCAGAGTCTTGCTCTGCTGCCCAGGCTGGAGTGTAGTGGCACAATCTCAGCTGACTGCAACCTCTGCCTCCCGGGTTCAAGCGATTCTTGTGCTTCAGCCTTCCAAGTAGCTGAGACTAGAGGCATGCACAACCATGCCTGGCTAATTTTTGTATTGTTAGTAGAGACGGGGTTTCACCATGTTGGCCAGGCTGGTCTCGAACTTCTGCCCTCAGGTGATCCACCTTGGCCTCCCAGAGTGCTGGGATCTGCCCGACAGGGTTGACTTTCTTTCTGTATCATTTCAGAACTTCTTAGATCCTTTAAGTCTTCAATTATTTTCAGATATGGAAAAGTCTAGTTTTGCCTGGTTTATGTTGAAACTTCAATCTCACTTCCAGTTTAGTGCTGACCTCATTGCTGACCCCACAGCAAGCAAGGCCCCAGCTTGAGGGATTTGTATAGAAGGGGAGTGGCCACAGTCTGTTCTTTCTTCCTCCCTTTTCTGCTTTTAGCTCCTTCTGTGTTGAAGCAGATGAGAGAGAACTTGGAAAAGAGCCAAAATCTTCTGACTTTATTGCTGTATTGTGGTCAATGACTGCCTGTCCATGGCTGCTGTGTGGCTGGCATTCAAGTGTTAGCAATGTATCTCTGTCGGGTACATGAGTGGTTCCTTTGTTGGACACAGTCAGAGTCATCTTCAGTGCAGAGTTCCTTGACTTGGCCCAAGAAAAGAGAGAAGTCAGAGCACTTATCATAGCCAGCATTGTGTAACTCCAAAGATCCTAAGACTTCTGTTCTTGTGGACCAGTGGGCCTCCACATTGGCTGAGTGACTAGAATCATCTAGGGAGCCTTTAAAAGAAAACCAGTGGCTGGATTCAACCACATAAATTCTGACTTGATTAGTTGGGCTCAGGCATGAGTATTTTTGAAAAGCTCTCCAGCTTCTAATGTTTTTCTACGTCAGGTTTGAGAACTACTGACGTAGTTTGGTGAGATGGAAGGTGATGGTAGCAGCATTTGTTAGTGATTGCTACAGGGTTATGGCTGGTCGTTCCTTGGTGGCTCTCTTTAGAAAATGGGATACACAAAGCACCTATTGCTTTCTACCATGTGGCCTTTTCTGAAATGCACAATCAATGGGAAAATTTCATTCGACATTCTATTTTGCTGCAATTTTTGTGACTCTCCCTGGCCCTCTTGCCTATCTTGGCATCTCTTCCTATAAAGAGAAGGTTCACAGAAAAAGCTACAGTTGCTTTTTACCAACACAGGCCAAGAGGCTCAGACAGTTGGATAAATTCTGTAAAATTTTACTTCATTCTAGCAATTTCTGGAGCACTCTGGAGGGATCATGAACACATAGCACACTTCTTTTCCAACTAAGATTAACAAGAGTTTTCTTCAAGGAACCAGACACATCCAAGTGACATTTTATTTCCTCTCATTCCTATCTCCCCTTTCTCCAACACATTTTACTAGCAACTCCAGTATAAAAATAGTATCTTTGTTACTGAGATTTTTGTCTGCTCCTGCTACTTAGGCTACCATGGAGTTATTATCCTTCAGTCTCTTGACACAACCAAAATTGTTTCCATACTAACAGATTTTAATGTCAGAAACTGAGATGATGGCTTCAGGTGAAGAATAAATAACAAGAGCCAATGAACTTGAGGACCAGGCATACCACCCCAAATACAATGAAAGCCACTCAGAAAAAAACATGATTCAATACTAAAGCAGATTCATCCTGAAATAGAGATTCAAAAATTTCCCACAAATCATCAATGACTCTTTAAGTACAGTTCCTGTTGGCAGTAAATTTATACCATTTTTGGTATGAATGCCACCAAAAAGGAAACAGATTGCTTGACAAATTTTATATGGTTCAAGCTGGGAATATTTTGGCCATTTAAAGGAATTCACTTGTAAGTTCTTGCTGATAATTAGTGGCCTTGGGGATGTGACATTATACCCTAGTCATAGGTAATATGGAGTCCAATAAGTGCTTTTAGGTATACTTTGGTAAGAATGTGAAAATTCTCTTCCTCTCCATCTTTCCTTCTTCTGAAGGAGGTCAGGATATGCCACCTCAAAGTATGCTACTTTGACATATTAGTTATTTTGAGCTGGAGACACTTGAGAAACAGCAGTTGCAAGAAGAGCTCTCTGCCCTCCTCCCGCTTTTTGCCCAAAATAAGGGCAAAAATTCACGCCATCTCTTGTAGCAGGATGAGAAGAGCAACCCTTAGTACTGGAGACAGAGAGCTGGCATTGAGAAGAGTCTGCATAAACAGACCTTATGAAAATAACCGTTGTCTTCCATGAATTTCCCATATATATTTGCTGGTCACTTTCTCTTAATTTATTGGCCCTAGAAACTCCAACCTCTTTTCTTCATCTAGTCTGTACAATTTATTACCCTTTGTTAAAATGGTATATGAGCCTTCATGTTGAATTGCTTCTTTGGGTTTTCAATTTTCTCTGAAGCCCCTGTGCATGTTACATTAAAATTATGAATAAAATGTTTATGCCTTTTTTTCCTGTTAATCTGACCTTTGTCAGTTTAATTTGCAGGCCCCAGTCACTAAACATAAGAGAGTGGAGGAAAAGTTTGTCTCCTTACATCTCCCAAGGCACAATTTGGAGTCTTAAAATTCTAACTCGAAAGAGTTAGATCTGTGTCTTTTGCTAATAAACAAAAATGGGTAACATTAAATTTTTGTGGAAAAACACCTGATAAAGGCTCAAGGGATCTTAGTTCTTTTTTCCCCCCTGTCATTAACTAGTTCTGTGATTTAGAGAAAGTAACTTAACCTCTTTGGGCTCCAATTTTTTTGTTTGTAAATTAAGGAGGTGAGTCAAGCAATCTCTACTTATGTCCTTCACAGCTTTATTGTTCTATTTCTGACTTGTGACTTGTTCATTCATCACTTGATATACAAGGAGAATCAACTCTTCTCAACTATTGGCCCCTAAGAGAGTCTCATTAACAAATAAGGAGTGCATCGAGCAGATAAATTTTAATTTGGGATTACCTATGATTTAGTAGGAGAGATGGCTAATTATTAATCAAAATATGTACTTCCTTTTCATGAGTGTTGAATTTATCAGTAATCTTACACTTAAGTGAGGCCACAAGACTAGAATCTGCCACTAGAATATGAGAAAACCTAATGGATGCCACTGTTGAGTCAAGGTGGATAAGAAGCAGCTTGCCTTCTCTGTGTTGTCTTACCCCTTTTGTTTGCTGGACGTCAATGCCCAGAACAACCTTGGAAGCATAAGTTGAAAATGGTTCAGCTTCTGTCAGCCTGGGTGGAGCAGGGAACTATGCCCACTAGGAAAATCTATATTTTTTTCTACTGTGTTGACCCCTAATATTAAGGGGTTTACTTCTACCATAGCTAGTGTTATCTGACCAAAATTGTTTGAGATCTTATTTCCTCTGATTTTTCATCCTTCCTTCAAAGAAAGAAGCCTTATTTCAAAGGTGGAACACCCACAAGTAGATTTGACTCAATTCTCGAACAGCATTTGTTTTTTGTTTTTTTTTGTTTTTTTTTTAGGTGGAGTCTCACTTTGTTGCCTAGGCTGGAGTGCAGTGGCATGATCTCGGCTCACTGCAACCTCCACCCCCTGGGTTCAAGTGATTCTTCTGCCTCAGCCTTCAGAGTAGCTGGGATTACAGGTGTACACAACCACACCAGGCTAGTATTTTCTATTTTCAGTAGAGACAGGGTTTCACCATGTTGCCCAGGCTGGTCTTGAACTCCTGGCCTCAGGTGATCCAACTGCCTTGGCCTCCCAAAGCGCTGGGATTACAGGCGTGAGCCACTGCGCCTGGCCAAGCATTTGTTGATTAGTAATTTTATGTTTGAAGGTTGGAGAGCGGTGGTCTGTTTTCTGGAGGCGTGTAGTTAGGTTCCCTGAGAATGGTGTAGAAATGAGTGGTAGTTCGGGAAGTTGAGGAGATCTAATTCTACCAGCATTCAGCCCCTGGAGGAGGCAGAACCTGGATGGCTACATGGGCAAACATGAATACTAGAAACTGGAAGTCTTTGCAAGGATCACATAAACCTGGGGACTTTTCTGGACTGTGTAAGCCCTAGCATTTCATCTTTGATTATGATCACTTCTTGTAAGTTATCTCTGACATCTGAATGACCTTGTTCTTCTTGTCAACCTTGGCTAGTTGGAACATGAATTGAACTGAATTTGATTTAGAAAATAAAGAAATATAACATTTCTTGCATTTCTTGTTGTGGAACAATTGGTACAAGTTATAAATGAACTGGTTGATAATTCCTGTAGATGCTGTAAAGGTATATGAATAATGCATAGAATTCAGTTGTGGAAAGCTGTTCTTCACTCTGCTGGGTAGCTTAAGTGTCTCACAGGCTACACAAACACTGCCACCTTTGCTTTGTGAATGAGCTCAGGATATGTTAAATTCCATATATGCTTCTATCACTTTACCTCCAAATTTCCACCCCATTTAGTATGTGCTGTGGATTGCAAACACATTTTAACATCAGTTCAAGAAAAGGAGAGTTAGTAAAATAAATTGGCTGAGGCTACATCAAAACAAAGATTGAACAATGTTCACTAAATCAGACAGAAATAACTTTTAAGATTATTTTATCCTATTACCATCTTAGCTTGCCTAATTAGGCATCAGCTGTATCTAGAAAGTATCATGTGCAAAAAAAGTTAAAAAATGTGTGTCTGAGGTGTTAAATAGGGGATTAGATATTCTGAGATTCAAATATCTTTTTCTTTTAAGCAGACAATATCCGTGAGAAAGACAAGGTATTGTATTGGAAGAGAGGAGGGAAGGTATCAGGGCTAATTAGTAGAAATAGTGGTTAAGTCAGCAGTTTTAGGATTTATACAGAGTAAAAATAAGCAAGGAGAGAAAGCAGATGCGGTGGTTCACATTCTTTTAACCAGAATAGTGAAGTAAACAAGAACAGAGTTTGTCCACATGGATTAGAGGGCATAGCCGGATGTGTCTTAGTTCTGCTGACTTAGAAATGATTCTCCTACTTTGTAGTAATGGATTTTATAATTGAGGGGGAAAAAACTACATTAAAAGACAGTCAAAAGTAAGGCCAGGCATGGAGGCTAACTCCTGTAATCCCAGCACTTTGGGAGGCCAAGACAGATGATCACCTGAGCTCAGGAGTTTGAGATCAGCCTGGGCAACATGGTGTAATGCCATCTTTACCAAAAATACAAAAAATTAGCTGGGCATGGTGTTGCACGCCTATGTTCCCAGCTAGTTGGGAAGCTGTGATGGGAGGACTACTGGAGCCTGGGAGTCTGAGGTTGCAGTGAACTGCGATTGTGCCACTGCTCTCCAGCCTGGGTGAAAGAGTGAAACTGTCCCCCCAACCAGCCCCCTCCCCAAAAAAAGGACAGTCAAAAGTACTTAGAAATGGTGTTGCATATAGTCTAGCTAGGTCCATCTTGGGAAAAGATCTAGAGAGAAGGGTTGGCTGGGTTTGTGGCCAAGATGAAGAAGGAAGTCATGAAGGGAAAGGATTTGGAGTTGTGTATTAAAGGGTTAACTTTTGCTCAACACACTTAGAAGGGCTGCTGAGAATTGTGACCTGCTGTGTCTTCCTCTGATTCTTGTGGCATCAGAGCAGGTAATAAATCATGTAGCTGTATATCCTCATTCACTCTTCTGCCTTGGCCTGGAAGGAACAATGGCTGCAAAAGAGACAGAAGCTCCCTCTTTTCATTGTCTGTGGAAGTTCCCTATGTTCCTAGCAATCACCCTGGAGGCAGGGCATGTTAAAACAGGCAATGCACAACTTGTATTGATTTCCAATGTGGTATGATGCCACCTTCTCACTAAGACAAGGACTTAATCTTTATATCCTAATAGCACCTTGTACAGTACCAGGCATATACTGTGCATTCAATAACTTGAAGTGAATAAATATAGAACTGAGTGAACAAATGAAATATCTGGGAGAAAAATGGGATCTGGCCAGGTGTAGTGGCTCACGCCTGTAATCTCAACTCTTTGGGAGGCTGAGGCGGGAGGATCACTTGAGGCCAGGAGTTTGAGCACAGCCTGGGTAACATATTGAGACTCTGTCTATATAAAAATTTAAAAATGAGTCAGTCATGATGGTGCATACCTGTAGTCCCAGCTACTCAGGAGGCTGAGGTGAGAGGATTGCTTGTGCCCAGGAGTTTGAGGCTGCAGTGAGCTATAATCATACCACTGTACTCCAGCCTGGGTGACAGAGAGAGAGAGAGAGAGAGAGAGAGAGAGAGAGAGAGAGACTCTGTCTTTCTAAAAATAGATAAATAAATGAAAAGAAAAATGGGATCTGTTTTTTATCTACTTCTAGTGGTAGCGGCACACATACCTCTCTATGTCTAGATGTAAATTTAACATTGAAAAATGCATATTTTTTTGAGACAGGTTCTTGCTCTGTTACCAAGGCTGAGGTGCACTGGCATGATCATGGCTCACTGCAACCTCCAATTCCTGGACTCATGCAATCCTCCCACCTGAGCCTTCCAAGTAGCTGGGATTCAGGTGTGCTCCATCATGCCTGGCTAAATTTTTTTTTTTTTTAAATAGAGTCTTGCTGTTGCTCTGTTGCCCAGGCTGGAGTGCAATGGCGTGATCTCAGCTCAGTGCAACCTCTGTCTCCTGGCTCCAAGCAATTCTCCTGCCTCAGCCTCCTGAGTAGCTGGGATTACAGGTGTGCACCACCACACCTGGCTAATTTTTGTGTTGTTAGTAGAGACGGGGTTTCATCATATTGGTCAGGCTGGTCTCGAACTCCTGACCTCATGATCCACCCACCTCAGCCTCCCAAAGTGCTGGGATTACAGCCGTGAGCCACCGTGCCCAGCAAATTTTTTAACCTATTATTTGTAGAGATAGGGTCTCAAGTGTCCAGGCTGGTCTTGAATTCCTGGTCTCAAGTGGTCCTCCTGTCTCAGCCTTCTAAAGTGCTGGGATTACAGGCATGAACCACCACCACACCTGGCCCCAAAAATAAATTTTTAAGGTAAAATTATAAAATCAGCTTTGTTTTCTCACAATAACCTCTACATAAGCATTCTGTGAAGCTAATTTTTTTGTCCATTGAATAAAATTTTTAGATTGATTCCATAGCCTATTTGCTCACTCATTAATAAAGTCTGGCCTCATGAGCATTCAAAAAAGCCTGTTCAGTTCAGTATCACTGTTCCAGTGTTATAATCAAAATTCCTCTTTGCAGTCTAGCAATGGGGAAGGTGGGAATGGCTAATTATACTACATTTCTCCATCTGCTCTCCGTGACTTCCTCTCCCAGCCCACTAGCTACGCTTTCAGCTGGTGTTGGAAGCTGGGGATGGGAAGCTGGGGATGGGATGAAGGTAAGGGGGCAGGAAATGTCTTATTGGTAATTCTGCGAACTGTTACTGATACTTGCTGGGTTCAGAGGGTGTTCAAAGCTGACTGTCTTTCAGAGCAATATTTTTGGGCTCTTTGGAGACTTGCCCCATGTGGGAGTTCTCCCACAGTTCTGTTGAGGTGAGTGAATGTACCTGCTCTGACTGGTTGCTTAGGGTTTGCTTAGGATTTCTTTCCCTGGGAATCTAACTGTTTATCTTCAACCTCTTTCTACGGAGGGCTTCACACCTTCCAGGATGACCTTTTGATCAAGATCTAAGATAACCTCATACTAGCCCCCTCCCTCCCCTTGTCCCTCCCCATATCTGATCCACATAAAATATGCATCTTTCATCCATGATCAGTGGGAGTTTAGTTACTTTCCAACTATAGTACTCCTGTTATTAACTTCCTGGTAAGCAACTTCATCCACAGCCACTTCTCAGATGTGTCAGGCCTAACTAAGTCCACTGTGTCCCAAGCTCCAAGGGATCCCTATGACCCTCGCTGAGGGTTTCCGTGAAGACCCTGTCTCTAGGCTTGAACTGAAGACCAAGCATCCTACCCATCTCTTATGGAGGATGTAGGAGGTAGAGCTTGTACAGCTGTTCCAGAGAAATCTTCCTTCTGATCTCCTGCCTTATTTTAACCTGTAGCCTCAGTGCCAGTATGTTCAAGGGGCACAAACCCTTCTTTTGCTAGTCCTGCATGGTGGTGTACGTCACTCATTTTGAGATGTGAGAGTGGTTGGCTCCTATCATGGGGCCTCAAATGAAAGTGAGCCTGAAGTAGTTCCATATGTTCACTCTGATATGTAGATATGAAAAAAAATTCTTCATAGTTGGCTTTTTAAAGTTAACAAAAATGGGTCAAAGATGAAATGCACAAATAAATTTTGAATATTTCAATCTCTAGAGTTAAGAGACAGATGATTATTTTTAAAAAGTATTTCTACATAGAGTCAAAGATAATAATTTAGCCAGAAATCAGTTCTTCTGTCTTCTTGGCTTGGGGTGGAAGTGCTCTTTGTGCTTATGGAAGATTCAGTCAGTCTCTCTTTTTTTGTTTGTTTGTTTTGAGATGGGATCTGTTTTTTATCTACTTCTAGTGGTAGTGGTACACATACCTCTCTATGTCTAGATGTAAATTTAACTGTCCCCTTAGTTCTGCTGACTAAGTTTTGAGCCTGTCGCCCAGGCTGGAGTGCAGTGCCGCGATCTCAGCTCACTGCAAGCTCCGCCTCCCGGGTTCACGCCATTCTCCCGCCTCAGCCTCCTGAGTAGCTGGGACTACAGGCGCCCGCCACCACGCCCAGCTAATTTTTTGTACTTTTAGTAGAGACAGGGTTTCACCGTGTTAGCCAGGATGGTCTCGATCTCCTGACCTTGTGATCCACCCGCCTCGGCCTCCCAAAGTGCTGGGATAACAGGCGTGAGCCACCGCACCCGGCCTCAGTCAGTCTCTTTTACTTCTGTTTTACTCTGTGTTTTCTTTTCTTCTGGATCTATTTCAGTGACATTTATATTATTTATTTTTAATAAGTAATTTTTGGTATCTAAACACATTTGAGGATCAAGTCTCTGATTCATTCCTACTTTAAGTACCTAATGATTTTCTGCCCCGATTTCACTGACAAAATTTTGTTTTTAGTCTTTGAGAGAGGCTGACATGAATTCATAGCTCAATACTTCTTTGCGTTCAGGACCCACATTCTGTAGTGTTATTGGAGAATTCTGAACTTAAGTAGGAAGCTATTCTATCTTGACATACCTTTTGTAGTTGGGGGAAAATCTTTTAATATTCTTAAGGGAAAGAAACTTTAAAACTTCCCATTCTAAACAAACAAGTGTGTAATTTATGGTTTTGGGTTAATTTGATTACATACTTGTACATGAGAGGAATAGCTTTTTTGATGGATATTTAATTGGATTAATTTAAAGAGTATTTACTGAATATCTAGCATATGCCAGGCAGGGCTGTGGGCACAACAATGAACAGACCACAGTCCCTTTTCTATTCTGGTATATTTATTTATGTGCCTTTACAATTTTAGTTGTAAATAAGACACTTTACACTTCAAGTTTAACATTCTTGGGGGCATGTATTTGAAAGGAATATGAAAATAATATACATATTTTCCCTAAGTGAGGAAGTTGAAACAGGGGGATAGAGACTGAGATTTAAGAGTTCCATCCATATCCACCCCTGGCTTGCGAGGTCACCTTGCATAGACAGGCTTTATTTTCTCAAAGCCTCTTTTCCCTTGACAGCTCAGTACTATGGAGATCATAATTGTTTGCACAGTGTTTTGAAATCTTTAGAAGCAAGCTGCTGTATGTGTGAAATGTTATTCAAAAGACAAAATATTTGAGACGGGTGTTGGTTTTACTTTTCCTAAGGCAAGTACCTGTTATTTTTCTCAGTGAGCACAACCAGACAATACAGACTGTCAAATATTTATCATACAAATTTCTTGTGCTGTGATTTGGATCCTGAGAGAGGATTTTTGATTATTTATAATTGCTTACTTTTAGCAGGTGACCTGATTTTTTTCTTTTTCTTTTATAATTGTCTGATAAGTACTGCTTAAAAAGGAAACTTTAGAGTCAGAGAAATGCTATGTTCATTGAATTTGAAATTCTACAATGATGATGAACAGCTTTTGACCTTTGTCCTGTGCTTTCTCATCAAGATCTTTGAGCCATTCTTGTTGTTACATATTCACCAGACATAAAGGTGCCCGGCCCATGTCAAACAGTGTAGTTTGAATCTGCCGAGTTGCATGGCTGTGTCTTCCCAGGGAACTGATGTCATCTTCTCTGCTTACCAAAACTGCACATCCTCTTTTTTTCCTCCCCATGCTATCTTGGAAGCAGATTGGATTAACCTGACAGGATTTATTCTTAATGAAGTCTTTTTGGTTATTATCTAGTATCTTTTTTTCTTCAAAGAGCTGAAAATGTGATTTTTCGATGAGTGAAACCCAGATCTCTTGATAAAAGAGAAGATTCTCCTAACCAAATCTTGCCTTTTACTAGTCCTGGATGGTCCTCTCTTTGATGTTGATGTTGTATGTCTCACAGTAGAGGGAGTGTGGTCACTATGGGAACCATGAAGCACGTGTCCTTAAGAGTTTTCAGTTGTCTAATTTCTAGTACCATGTCTTTTGCAAAATAACCACAAAATAATTGCACCAATTTCAATAATTGCACCATTTAAGATGGGCTCAGCATGCTTCATGAGATGAACAACAAAACATAACACACACACATACAGGCAAGATAAGTGTGTGTGTAGTGTGTAATGAACATTTTAGCAATTACCTTGCAAAATCTGTCTCTTATGGATTGACTGCAGAATGTATTTTGTAACTTTATATGTTATACTCTTGGATTAATTATACCTCTGTACCAATGATCTTGGCAGCCAAACACTTCCTTTGCCATTGTTAAAAATGGGATCATAAGCTTATTATCTGTACTATTATGAACAAGTTAAGTTGTCTAGGCTAAGCAACTGAAAGTTGGTTAATCTTAAACAGATTCTCAAGTTGGAAGTATCTTTGGGCCATAGGCTACAAATTACTAATAAAGGAGAGGCCAGTCAGTTAAAGTAAATGAGTATAATCAATGTCATGAGTGTAGGGTAAAATAACTCATGTAAATGGTGCAAATCACCAGGCCTTCTCAAGCAAGGATCTTTTTCTCATTTTGGGTAGAGATGTGGGTTCACAGAAATATTTTTGGCAAGATAAAACAATAGTGAAAATGTGACATAACACATCAACTGTGACCTAAGAAATTCCAGTTTTGCAAATAAAAGGAGGATGTGTCAGGAACATATTTTTGTCTCTTTCCTGGCAAGTGCAACCTGGGCAACATGGCTTGGGTGGGTGCTGGCCTGAGTTTGTAAGCCTGGGTTTCTGGTTACCTGGTCTGGTAGTGCTGGGAGTTACCAAGCAGAGGGTCATTTCTGGTGTTTGTGGGTTCTTTCCTGCCAGGGCTCCTCTTTCTTTCCCATGTCTCTTCCATCTGCCATTCCTTCTCTCTCATATTTATACAGTGGCAGCAGGGAGGGAGGATTGGCATTCTGAGTGCTTTGAGATTCCCTTGTCCTACTTCAGTTGGCCGGGTTTTCATGCTCTAAGTTCTAAGGAGAGTTATCCAGTAGCTTTTATCTTTATCATGTATGTCATCTGCTCCAGACAATCATATCAACAAATGGCTGTTCTGTGTCAGAAGGATTTGAACCACATTCTTTGGAGGAAGAGAGTGATTAGCCTGCCTCCTCTTGCCCACTGCATTGGAAAATCCAGGAAGCACTGTCTGCTCACAGCCCTTTTCAGAAAAATGGCCCCCAGTAGTTATTTCTATAGAAACTGGCTTTGTTTTGTGCTGAATGACCTTGCCTTCTAATCTCAGCTGACAGGCTGGGAGGGCATATTCAAGGCCCCTGGGATCTATTACCATCCAAATATTGATGCTTCTCAAAACTGTATTTCTGGGTAGACTGTGCTGATGAGCTCCAACTCTAGATTGCCAACTCTTTCTCTGTATCTGTGTCTGCATATATCGGCTGCCTGCTAGACTTCTTCACATGGGTGTCTTACAAGCATCTTAAGTTCATTATATTCAAACTTGAACTCACCATCTTCTTCATCAAACCTGCTCTTTCTTCTTGATTCTCAATCTGTATAAATGGCACAACCAATCACCAGTAACCTGTGGCCAAATACCAGAGTAACTGACCACATTTTTCTCCCTCACCTCTATACTCAATGAATTGCCAAGTGTTACTGATACTACCTCCTAAAAATCTTCCACAATTACCTGCTTTCTCCTTCTATGCAGTTCCACCCAACTCGGCATCTCTATCCACCTACCGACCATCATTTGGATTTCCTACTAGGCAGCCTTGCTTTCACTCTTACTCTTCTCTAGTCTTCCTCTTCTCTCATCATCCTCACAACAACTTGTGAGAATGATCTTTATTAAATCTAAGTGTGGCTGGGCATGGTGGCTCACGCCTGTAATCCCAGCACTTTGGGAGGCTGAGGCGGGTGGATCACCTGAGGTCAGGAGTTCAAGACCAGCCTGGGCAACATGGTAAAACCCTGTCTTTGCTAAAAATACAAAAATTAGCTGGGTGTGGTGGTGGGCACTTGTAATCCCAGCTACTTGTGAGGCTGAGGAAGGAGAATCGCTTGAACCCAGAAGGCAGAGGTTGTAGTGAGCTGAGATCATGCCATTGCACTCCAGCCTGGGTGACAGAGTGAGACATCGTCTCAAAAAAAAAAAAAAAAAAAGTAAATGTGATTATGTCACTTTTCTGCCTAAAACTTGGTAGTGGCTTCCATTTCTGCTTACTGATTCCTGCTTTTGGCTACAGTCTTAGCTCTCCCCACACCCTAATTATACTGCATGCTCCAGTCCCCCCAAATTTACTTCATGTACCTTTTTGCCATGAAGGTCAGGTATCTTATTGTCCCTGGAGCTTTGTGTATTCTATTCTTCCTGAATTAGGATCATTCCTCCTCCCCAAACATACACACCTACGTGCATGTGCATATACATGTACATTTGGCCAACACCTTCATTGTAGATGTTACTACCTCTGGGAGATATTTTTGACCTACGGGTCTGGGTTGGGTATCTTCTAATGTGCTTTAGAGAATCATGCCCTTCTCAGACTGTTGTTATATTTATTATCTTATACTTTCCATATTTGCCCACCTCCCCAGCCCTACCCTTTAAGCTCGGTGAGGGCAGGGATCTTGTTTATCCTATTCAGTATTCTGGTTCTATTTTAAGTACACAAACCAATGACTAATCCATAGTATGTGCTCAATTAATATTTGTTTAAATTATTGATTAAAAGCCCACAATATATAGGTTGGATTTACAGGAAATCAAGGCACATATAGTGACTTGAAACATGTATGGGTGTTCTGTATCTGAACTGATTAAACCCATTTTTTTAAAAATGCAAATTTATAAAGAAATAAAGCAGTTGGAAGCTTATAGACTCTAGTTTCTGATGGGATGATAAAATTCTCTGGGCTCCCAGAGCTGCTGCTGGACCTGAAAAATGAAAAGTTTTGGTTCCAGTTCTTGGTGAGGCCTCTCCTTTCTCTTAATATTGGACATTTGGCCTCAGAGTGACTCTTTGGCAGTTGAGATGTTTTCTTGTGTCTCCTCATCTTCACATATGCTTATACTATGCCTACAAAATAGTTATTTATTTTTACATAAAGAACCTGCATAAAGAGACCTGTGGTGAGACCCTGCACCCAAAGCATAGTCTCCCTGTGATGAGACCCTGCACCCAACACAATCTCCCCACAATGAGACCCTGCACCAAACACACAGTCTCCCCGTGGTGAGACCCAGCAACCAACACACAGTCTATTTATTATCTTATACTTCCTATTTATTTTTACTATTTAGTAAGCCTATTTTCTTCCAAAGTTTAAGTTCAGTTTATAGGGCTTTAAGAAAAGCACAGCTTAACTTTTAGTGATTTCACATCAGAAAAAATGGGGAGGAAAAAGGGCCCATTTATTTTTACTGTCGCCAAAAAGTCTAAGTAAACACACATCTACACTTGTTTTCTTTTACTGTCATTTAAATATATCCATTTTTACATAGTCTGACACCATAAAGGACTAATTATCGATGGCTAAAATCTCGATGTCTTCATATCTCTATCTCCAGGTATCTGCTATCAGTGCTCAACAATGGACTAGATTTCTTAAATTATTTCAAACAGTGTTATTTTAAAAATATATTATTCTAGGACTAGCCTTCTCCCCACCCTACCTTTTTGGTTTGTTCAATGCTTTGACAAATCTTTATTCTTTGCTTGGCTCTGTTGTATCTTCAGCTGGTCCTTGACTTTACTCTGGATGAGATTAATTTTCCTCACCACCACCTTTATGTGCTTCAGATAAAGTCCCTCCCCCCATTCATTCAGTTTGGAGATCAACACTCCTCTCCTCAGTAGCTTTCTCTTCCTCTAATCTGCCTCTTTTTGAGTCAGGAATGTTCTTAGGAGTCGTGTGTGTGCATCAACACATGCTGGTGTTGTGACTGATGGAAAAATGCCAACAGATACCATTTAATTGCAAAGTATATAAAAATTCACCTGCCTTACCATGACTGCACAAAATAGACACACAGGATGTTCCCAGACTGATAAATGCTCTCCCTGATCTCTCAAGCTTTCTAACCTGCTAATGACTCCACCTGCCCAGAGTGAAGACGCTGCCAGCTACAAGAAGCTTCCCTACCACTTTGCAGGAATGCTTATATTCTCTGGGCCCTCTTAGCTGTTCTAGACACCCAGACTCTATGCCTGCCTGCTTACCAGGTGCAGGTATCCAGTGTAAACAATCTCAGACTCTTCCTGGATGTTAACTACAACGGTAAATTCTCCAGGTTACCTGTTCTACAGCAGAAACAGAGCTTCAGACCAGCCTGTGATCTATTTCTGCAAGCCAGTTTGATTTTTCTCTTTTATGTTCTACCTACAAAGTCAATAAAAAAGCAAAATATTTCACCAGAGGAAATATCATAGGCTGGCAGGAGTTAGCCCCCGAGAAAGCTCAAGGCATTATTCTCTGGAACTTTTATTCTCTGGATGCCCTTTCTGCAGAATATCTTTATTGTTTTCAACTAGATCTATAGCATCCACTGCTGGTAACAGAAGTAATCCCTAGAGACTTCTAGAAATAAAAAAACAGATATTGTTGGCAAAGACAACCATGAGACAGAATGAAATTGCAACCATCATATTTTGCACACCATAATGCAGCGTGATTAAAAGAAAAGCTAACGTATGTAAAATGCCTAGCCTGGTGCCTGCCTGCCACACAGTAGTTCCTCTAGCCACAATTGTTATTATTATTATTATTAATCCACCTCATTGCAATCAGTTACAATGGGAAATCACAGTGGCAGAGGCACATGACAACTGTTTCTGTTCTTGCAGAAGGCTATCTCAGGCTCAGCATGGTTGAATATGTGCTTTCTATACTCATGTTGCAACTGTAGTAGGTGATATGTAAGTAGCTACAACACTCTTTCATCACTTTGCTAGAATGAAAACCCAGTAGTGGTTCATATGGAGCCATTTTAGACTAAGAGTGCTGGTGATTAACGTTCAGGCTTATTTTCTAGAAAGAGAAATTGATATTCTGTCACCTTAAGACCTACGGCGTGCACTAAGTCTTGTGATTTTTTTTTTCCTCTTTGGCTGCCTAAAATATTTTCCCCCTTTCTAACAGTATGATGTTAGGCTAATTACCTCATCTGCACTGGAAGCAGCAGTGGAAGTATAATTGGGTGCACTGCCCTGCACTAGCCTAGAGGTGGGATTTGACCCAAGTTAGACCAACTGAATGTTCCCTCCCTGGAATATAAATCTTGGGTAGAGGGACAAAGAGATGGAATGTGATAGGAATCCATGCATCCCATTGGCAGACAGGTCTTGGTTAAAGATCATTCCTGACTCCTACCTCTTTATATCTGGATCCAACAGCTGTGTTCTGCCTGTTTCTAAGTCTGATTCTCCAATCTTTCCATTGGTTCTGTGGCTACCTTCTAATAAAGGCACCTCGTTTATGTTGGGCAGCCAGTTTCCATTGCCTAGAGTAAAGAAGTCTAGTTGTTATAAAAGCCTGCCCAATAGTGACAGGCCTGACACATGGGCTGCACACTTCTTTCTTCCTGGACTTAGTAAGAGCAGGAGAGTCAAGAGAAAATCACTTGCTTTCTCAAAGACCCCAGCCCCCAGAAGTGAGAAAGGTAAAGTGAAATTTCTCATCTCGTAGCTAAGGCTAATCTCCCTTACTGGATTACAAGCCCTTTTAATTATTAATTTGGCTCTTCCACTGAGGGAGAATAGCTTGCACATAGTAGGTGCTCTGTAAGTGCTAACTGCATTAACTGAGTTAACCCTCCAGGCCTCAAGAAATTCTTCCACCTCAGCTCCTGAGCAGCTGGCATCATAGACACCTACCACCATGACCAGTTAATTTTTAAAGTTTTTGTAGAGACAGAGTGTTGCTGTGTTGCCCAGGCTGGTCTTGAACTGGGCATAAGCGATCCTCCCACCTCAGCCTCCCAAAGGGTTGGGATTGAAGGCTTGAGCCATTGTACCCGGCCTTGGGTTCCAGTTCTGACTCTGGCATTATTAACAATGGGAACTTCGCTTAACCTTGGCCTCACTTTCTTCTTCCTAAGATTAGAATTTTAATATCTGCCTTGCCTACTTGTAAAAGTTGTTAGGGGGTAAACCTGCACTCTTCTTTTTCAGCACTTGTTACCCTCATAATCAAATCATAAACTTTATATTTAGCTGTTTTTATAATTAGCATGATGTGTGGGAAGGGACTGTGCCACACACTAAAGCAGGGAGTAAGCAGCTGGAAAAGGAAGACATGGGGTCTACCTTTGGCTCTGCCCAAGGCCCTCTCACTGTTGCCAAGCCCTTTTCTCCTTGGTCTTCAGTTTCCTGATTTATAAAGAGAGGAGTTTGGACTATATGATTTTGAGGTTGCTTCCACTTCGAACTTTCTATAATTCTATGGATGGAGAATTAGAATTATTTGGTGTGGGGCAGCTGACCTCATTTAGCAAGTCCAATCAGCTGCTTCTCTTCAACATCTTAGTCTAAGCCTCCATCATCTCTTGGTAATAGTCTCCTATCTCATAGATTGCACATTTGCTTCCTCTGATGTGCACTGAAGCCAGAGTTACATTTTTTTTTAAGAAAAACCAAATGCTTTTGCTCAGTATAAAGTTTGCCCTTGACACATCCACACCATCCCTAGCTCTCTGCAATGCTGCCACGCTGGCTTTCTGTGTCTCAGAAGTGTAATTTCCTTTTCCTGTGTTCAGGGCCTTGTGCATAGTTTCCAGTTCTCTGTCCATTTAATTCCTACTCATCTTTCAAGGCTTACCTTGAAGACCACCATCTCAGAAGAGCCTTTCATGATTTCCTAGATTAGGTCAGACTCCTGTTAGGTGTGCTTATAGCCCCCTGCCTACTTCTTTTTCAGCACTCGTTAACCTTGTCATCAAATAATAAGCTTTATAATTAGCTGTTCAAGGAAGACCTAATGCAATGGACTGAATATCTGGTTCCTCCAAAATTTATATGTTAAAATTCTAACCTCCAGTGTGAGAATATTAGGAGGTGGGGCCTTTGGGAGGTAATTAGGTTATGAGGGTAGAGCCCCCATGAATGGGTTAGTGCATTTATAAAAAGAAACCCAGATAGTTCTCTCATCTTCTCTACACCATGTGAGGACACAGCCAGAAGACAGCAGTCTGCAATCCAGAAGGGGGTTCTTGCAAGATCATGACCCAGCTGGCACCCTGATCCCAGACTTCCCAGCCTCCAGAACTGTGAGAAATAAATTTTTATTGTTTATAGGCCACCCATCTATGGTACTTTGTTATAGCAAACTGAATGGACTAAGATGTCTGCTATGGTTTGAATGCTTGTCCTTTCCTAAACTCATATTGAAATTTAATTGCCATTGTAACAGTGTTAAGAGGTGGGACCTTTAAGAGGTGATTAAGTTATGAGGGCTCCACCCTTGTGAGTGGGGTTGGTGCCATTATAAAAGGGCAAGTTCGGCGTGGTGGCTCACGTCTGTAATCCCAGCACTTTTGGAGGCCGAGGCAGGCAGACCACCTGAGGTCAGGAGTTCAAGACCAGCCTGGCCAACATGGTGAAACCCTGTCTCTACCAGAAATACAAAAATTAGCTGGGTGTGGTGGCACATGCCTGTAGTCCCAGCTACTTGGGAGGCTGAGGCAGGAAAATCGCTTGAACCTGGGAGGTGGAGGTTGCAGTGAGCTGAGATCACACCACTGCGCTCCAGACTAGGTGACAGAGTAAGACTCCGTCTCAAAAATAAATAAATAAATAAAAATAACAGGGCAAGTTCAGCCCCTTCTTTCTTTTTCTTGCCCTCTCGCCTACTGCCACGTGGTGATACAACAAGAAGGCTCTCATAAGATGTTGGTATGTTAATATTGAAATTTTCAGCCTCCAGAGCTGTGAACCAATAAATTTCTGTGCATTATAAATGACACAGTTTCAGGTATTCTGTTATAGCAACATGAAATGGACTAAGATAACATCCCACTAGGTGGTAAACTCCATAAAGACGGAGTGTATACCTGTTTGTTCACTGTTGTGTACTATCCCCTAGCAGAGTATTGGCACATTAATAATTATTGGTCAAATAAGAGACTTTCCCAGTTACTTGGTTATTCTGGGAGAAGTGAGATGCATGGAACTGAAATCCAAAGAATCAAAGGTGTTACATCAGGAGTTAGTTGAAATCTACAATGTAATGAATGAGTGACTATTTCTAGTGATACTTTCTCAAGTCCCACCTGTACCCCAATCCTCTCATTTTTATGTGGGAATTAATAAATTTGGGCTGCCTTAATTTTAGTCTACCATGTCAAATGGGGTGTGTCTTAGTTATCTATTTTTATATAGCCAATCCAACACTTAGTAGCTTAAAATTACAGCCATTTGTTAGCTTGTAGTTCAGTGAATTGTCAACTTGGGCAGGATTCGTGTGGGTTGGCTCATCTCTGCTCCACTTGGAGTTGGCTGGGCTCACTCATGCTTTTACGGTTAGTTGACACGTTGGCTGGCACTTCATTCACATGTCGAGTATCTCAGCTGGGAGGACTGGAATAGATGGGGTGGCAGGGCCACTCTTTCCCAGTGACCTCCCTCTCCAGGAAGGCTCTCATCCTTAAGGTGGCTAGCTGGGCTTGTTCACAAGATGTCAGTGTCCTAGAGG
Organism: Homo sapiens; assembly: GCF_000001405.40. Taxonomy (NCBI): domain Eukaryota; kingdom Metazoa; phylum Chordata; class Mammalia; order Primates; family Hominidae; genus Homo; species Homo sapiens. The sequence goes on from NC_000005.10 coordinate 62,751,527, forward strand.
GTGGGAACAGAAGCTGCAGGTGCTCTTGAAGCTGATGCTTGCAATTCACACAAGTCATTTCTGCCTCATTCTATTGGTCAAAGCATACCACAAGGCCAACTCAGATGCAAGCAGTTGGAAAATAGACTCCATGCAAAGAATATGTGGTTATATTTAATCTATCACAGGAGAGCATCCTAGAAGACACTGGGGAAAAAGCAGAAGTTAATATTCATGCATATGATAAACCTCACATTTTGAAGTAAGGAGTAGAAAATTTTAATAGAAAATCATTGCTTACTTCTACCATTAAATAAATGGTGAACAAATGTTTAAGGAATACTAATGTAAAGCGATATCATATTGTTATCCTGCTGGGGTCCCCATATGTCTTGATTGGGCTTGGTATAAAGGGCTAGTATAAATTGTTGGAAGTGGATACATCCTCTTGTCCAAGGGAGTATCCAAGGGAGGAGCTTTTTATGTCAGATGATTTAAAATCCCATAAACAGAGCTCAAAAGCAATACAGAAAAGGTCAAGGTTTTTCTTGGCAGGGGGTGGATTTTAAGGATCTTTGAGGCAGATTAAGAGTTTATTTATATTTTCTTTAAATCAACAGGTTTAGCATCACCCAGTTACTCAATTATCATTGTTTAGCTCCATTAACAGTTGTTTTCCCAATTGGAATAGTATGTCTGATTTAGGACCTGTCAACTTTCTTAAGGAACAGATATTTCCCGGAGCCTTTCCAAGCATGTACTCTTACCAAGTACTATTTGCCAATTAATGTTGTTTAAGCCAGTCTTTCTTTTCTAATAAATGTTCTGGCATGTACAATACTATTGTTGTAGGAAGACTTTACACTGAGATTAATCTTTGTGACAATATGCTTAGTTGCACATTTAACTTTTTAAAACGGAATTCAGGGGGCAGTTCCAAGATGGCCGAATAGGAACAGCTCCAGTCTGCAGCTCCCAGCATGAGCGTTGCAGAAGATGGGTGATTTCTGCATTTCCAACTGAGGTACCAGGTTCATCTCACAGGGGCTTGTCAGACAGTGGGTGCAGCCCATGGAGTAGGGTGGGGCATCACCTCACCTGGGAAGCACAAGGGGTCAGGGAATTCCCTTTCCTAGAAAAGGGAAGCCGTGACAGAGGGTACCTGGAAAATCGGGACACTCTCACCCTAATACTGCCCTTTTCCAATGGCCTTAGTAAACGGCACACCAGGAGATTATATCCCACGCCTGGTTCAGAGGGTCCCACGCCCACGGAGCCTCGCTCATTGCTAGCACAGCTGTCTGAGATCGAAACTGTGAGGCGGCAGCGAGGCTGGGGGAGGGGCGTCCACCATTGCTGAAGCTTGAGTAGGTAAACAAAGTGGCCAGGAAGCTCGAACTGGGTGGAGCCCACTTCAGCTCAAGGAGGCCTGCCTGCCTCTGTAGACTCCACCTCTGGGGGCAGGGCATAGCTGAACGAAAGGCAGCAGAAACTTCTGCAGACTTAAACGTCCCTGTCTGACAGCTTTGAAGAGAGTAGTGGTTCTCCCAGCATGGAGCTTGAGATCTGAGAACAGACAGACTGCTTCCTCAAGTGAGTACCTGACCCCTGAGTAGCCTAACTGGGAGGCATCTCCCAGTAGGGGGCGACTGACACCTCATAGGGCCGGGTACTCCTCTGAGATGAAGCTTCCAGAGGAAGTATCAGGCAGCAGCATCTGCCGTTCTGCAGACTCTGCTGGTGATACCCAGGCAAACAGGGTCTGGAGTGGACCCCCAGCAAACTCCAACAGACCTGCAGCTGAGGGTCCTGACTGTTAGAAGGAAAACTAACAAAGAGAAAGGACATCCACACCAAAACCCCATCTGTACGTCACCATTATCAAAGACCAAAGGTAGATAAAACCACAAAGATGGGGAGAAACCAGAGCAGAAAAGCTGAAAATTCTAAAAATCAGAGTGTCTCTTCTCCTCCAAAGGAGTGCAGCTCCTCAACAGCAATGGAACAAAGCTGGATGGAGAATGACTTTGATGAGTTGAGAGAAGAAGGCTTCAGACGATCAGTAATAACAAACTTCTCTGAGCTAAAGGAGGAAGTTCGAACCCATCGCAAAAAGCTAAAAACCTTGAAAAAAGATTAGACGAATGGCTAACTCGAATAACCAGTGTAGAGAAGTCCTTAAATGACCTGATGGAGCTGAAAACCATGGCACGAGAACTACGTGACACATGCACAACCTGCAGTAGCTGATTTGATCAAGTGGAAGAAAGGGTATCCGTGATTGAAGATCAAATAAATGAAACGAAGCGAGAAGTTTAGAGACAAAAGAATAAAAAGAAACGAACAAAGCCTCCAAGAAATATGGGACTATGTGAAAAGACCAAATCTATGTCTGATTGATGTACCTGAAAGTGACGGGGAGAATAGAGCCAAGTTGGAAAACACTCTTCGGGATATTATCCAGGAGAACTTCCCCAACCTAGCAAGGCAGGCCAACATTCAAATTCAGGAAATAGAGAGAATGCCACAAAGATACTCCTCGAGAAGAGCAACTCCAAGACACATAGTTGTCAGATTCACCAAAGTTGAAATGAAGGAAAAAATGTTAAGGGCAGCCAGAGAGAAAGGTTGGGTTACCCACAAAGGGAAACCCATCAGACTAATAGCTGATCTCTCTGCAGAAACTCTACAAGCCAGAAGAGAGTAGGGGCCAATATTCAACATTCTTAAAGGAAAGAATTTTCAACCCAGAATTTCATATCCAGCCAAACTAAGCTTCATAAGTGAAGGAGAAATAAAATACTTTACAGACAAAGCAAATGCTGAGAGATTTTGTCACCACCAGGCCTGCCTTACAAGTGCTCCTGAAGGAAGCACTGAACATGGAAAGGAACAACCAGTACCAGTCACTGCAAAAACATGTCAAATTATAAAGACCACTGATGCTAGGAAGAAACTGCATCAACTAATGAGCAAAATAACCAGCTAACATTATAATGCAGGATCAAATTCACACATAACAATATTAACCTTAAATGTAAATGGGCTAAATATTCCAATTAAAAGACACAGATTGGCATATTGGATAAAGAGTCAAGACCCATCAGTGTGCTGTATTCAGGAGACCCATCTCACATGCAGAGACACACACAGGCTCAAAATAAAGGGATGGAGGAAGATCTACCAGGCAAATGGAAAACAAAAAAGGTAGGGGTTGTAATCCTAGTCTCTGATAAAACAGACTTTAAACCAACAAAGATCAGAAGAGACAAAGAAGGCCATTATGTAATGGTAAAGGGATCAATTCAACAAGAAGAGCTAACTATCTTAAATATATATGCACCCAATACAGGAACACCCAGATTCATAAAGCAAGTCCTTAGAGACCTACACAGAGACTTAGACTTTCACACAATAATAATGGGGGACTTTAACACCCCACTGTCAACATTAGACAGATCAATGGGACAGAAAGTAAAAAAGGATATCCAGGAATTGAACTCAGCTCTGCACCAAGTGGACCTAATAGACATCTACAGAACTCTCCACCCCAAATCAACAGATTATACATTCTTCTCAGCACCACATCACACCTATTCCAAAATTGACCACATAGTTGGAAGTAAAGCACTCCTCAGCAAATGTAAAACAACAGAAATTATAACAAACTATCTCTCAGACCACAGTGCAATCAAACTAGAACTCAGGATTAAGAAACTCACTCAAAACTCCTCAACTACATGGAAACTGAACAACCTGCTCCTTAATGACTACTAGGTACATAACAAAATGAAGGCAGAAATAAAGATGTTCTTTGAAACCAACGAGAACAAAGACACAACATACCAGAATCTCTGGGACACATTCAAAGCAGTGTGTAGAGGGAAATTTATAGCACTAAATGCCCACAAGAGAAAGCAGGAAAGATCTAAAATTGACACCCTAACAACACAATTAAAAGAACTAGAGAAGCAAGAGCAAACACATTCAAAAGCTAGCAGGAGGCAAGAAATAACTAAGATCAGAGCAGAACTGAAGGACATAGCGACACAAAACCCCTTCAAAAAATCAATGAATCCTGGAGGTGGTTTTTTGAAAAGATCAACAAAATTGATAGACCACTAGCAAGACTAATAAAGAAGAAAAGAGAAAAGAATCAAATAGACTCAATAAAAAATGATAAAGGGGATATCACTACCGATCCCACAGAAATACAAACTACCATCAGAGAATACTATAAACACCTCTATGCAAATAAACTAGAAAATCTAGAAGAAATGGATAAATTCCTTTACACATACAGCCTCCCAAGACTAAACCAGGAAGAAGTTAAATACCTGAATAGACCAATAACAGCTTCTGAAATTGAAGCAATAATTAACAGCTTACCAACCAAAAAAAGTCCTGGACCAGATGCATTCACAGCCCAATTCTACCAGAGGTACAAAGAGAAGCTGGTACCATTCCTTCTGAAACTATTCCAATCAATAGAAAAAGAGGGAATCCTCCCTAATTCATTTTATGAGGCCAGCATCATCCTGATACCAAAGCCTGGCAGAGACACAACAAAAAAAGATAATTTAGACCAATATCCCTGATGAACATAAATGCAAAAATCCTCAATGAAATACTGGCAAACTGAATCCAGCAGCACATCAAAAAGCTTATCCACCACGATCAAGTTGGCTTCATCCCTGGGATGCAAGGCTGGTTCAACATATGCAAATCAATAAACGGAATCCATCATATAAACAGAAGCAAAGACAAAAACCACATGATTATCTCAATAGATGCAGAAAAGGCCTTTTACAAAATTCAACAGCCATTCATGCTAAAAACTCTCAATAAACTAGGTATTGATGGTACGAATTTCAAAATAGTAAGAGCTATCTATGACAGACCCACAGCTAATATCATACTGAATGGGCAAAATCTGGAAGCATTCCCTTTGAAAACTGGCACAAGACAGGGATGCCCTCTCTCACCACTCCTATTCAACATAGTGTTGGAAGTTCTGGCCAGGGCAATTGGGCAGGAGAAATAAATAAAGGGTATTCAATTAGGAAAAGAGGAAGTCAAATTGTCCCTGTTTGCAGATGACATGATTGTATATTTAGAAAACCCCATCATCTCAGCCCCAAATCTCCTTAAGCTGATAAGCAACTTCAGCAAAATCTCAGGATACAAAATCAATGTACAAAAATCACAAGCATTCCTATACACCAATAACAGACAGAGAGCCAAATCATGAATGAACTCCCATTCACAATTGCTTCAAAGAGAGTAAAACACCTAGGAATCCAACTTACAAGGGATGTGAAGGACCTCTTCAAGGAGAACTACAAACCACTGCTCAAGGAAATAAGAGAGGACACAAACAAATGGAAGACCATTCTATGCTCATGGGTAGGAAGAATCAATATCATGAAAATGGCCATACTGCCCAAGGTAATTTATAGATTCAATGCCATCCCCATCAAGCTACCAATGACTTTCTTCACAGAATTGGAAAAACCTACTTTAAAGTTCATATGGAACCAAAAAAGAGCCCACATTGCCAAGACAATCCTAAGCAAAAAGAACAAAGCTGGAGGCATCAGGCTACCTCAGTTCCAACTATACTACAAGGCTACAGTAACCAAAACAGCATGGTACTGGTGCCAGAACAGAGATATAGACCAGTGGAACAGAATAGAGCCCTCAGAATTAATACCACACATCTACAACCATCTGATCTTTGACAAACCTGACAAAAACAAGCAATGGGGAAAGGATTCCCTATTTAATAAATGGTGCTGGGAAAACTGGCTAGCCATATGTAGAAAGCTGAAACTGGATCCCTTCCTTACACCTTATACAAAAATTAATTCAAGATAGATTAAAGACTTAAATGTTAGACCTAAAACCATAAAAACCCTAGAAGAAAACCTAGGCATTACCATTCAGGACATAGGCATGGGCAAGGACTTCATGACTAAAACACCAAAAGGAATGGCAACAAAAGCCAAAACTGACAAATGGGATCTAATTAAACTAAAGAGCTTCTGCACAGCAAAAGAAACTACCATCAGAGTGAACAGGCAACCTACAGAATGGGAGAAAATTTTTACAATCTATCCATCTGACAAAGGGCTAATATGCAGTATCTACAAAGAACTTAAAGAAATTTACGAGAAAAAAATGAAACAACCCCATCAAAAAGTGGGCAAAGGATCTGAACAGACACTTCTCAAAAGAAGACATTTATGCAGCCAACAGACACATGAAAAAATGCTCATCATCACTGGCCATCAGAGAAATGCAAATCAAAACCACAATGAGATACCGTCTCACACCAGTTAGAATGGTGATCATTAAAAAGTCAGGAATCAACAGGTGCTGGAGAGGATGTGGAGAAATGGGAACATTTTTACACTGTTGGTGGGACTGTAAACTAGTTCAACCATTGTGGAAGTCAGTGTGGCGATTCCTCAAGGATCTAGAACTAGAAATACCATTTGGCCCAGCGACCCCATTACTGCGCATATACCCAAAGGACTATAAATCATGCTGCTATAAAGACACATGTACATGTATGTTTATTGCGGCACTATTCACAATAGCAAAGACTTGGAACCAACCCAAATGTCCAACAATGACCGACTGGATTAAGAAAATGTGGCACATATACACCATGGAATACTATGCAGCCATAAAAAATGATGAGTTCATGTCCTTTGTAGGGACATGGATGAAGCTGGAAACCCTCATTCTGAGCAAACTCTTCCAAGGACAGAAAACCAAACACCGCATGTTCTCACTCATAGGTGGGAACACTTGGACACAAGGTGGGGAACATCACACACCGGGGCCTGTCATGGTGGGGCGAGATGGGGAGGGATAGCATTAGGAGATATACCTAATGTAAATGACGAGTTAGTGGGCGCAGCACACCAAGATGACACATGTATACATATGTAACAAACCTGCACATTGTGCACATGTACCATAGAACTTAAAGTATAATAATAATAAAGAGAATTCATTGTCAGATGTCAGAGTTTATACAAAGATATGCGACTTTTAAGCTCCTTTTGTCTCCTGGAAGTTCATGTTTTCTATGTAATTATTTTTCTATTTTAATTAACTGTAGAAATTATGGTATTAATGGCTACCATGCATTGAGTGCCAGGTACTTTGCTGAGCATTTTACTCACCTGATTGAATTGAACCCTCTCAAATCATTTATCCCAGGCTTGTCCAACCCGCCGCCCATGGGCCACATGCAGCCCAGGATGGCTTTGAATGTGGCCCAACACAAATTAGTATGTCTTAAAACATTGAGATTTTTTTTCAATTTTTTTCTTTTGTTCATTAGCTATTGTTAGTAATAGTGTATTTTATGTGTGATCGAAGACAATTCTTCTTCCAATGTGGCCCTGGGAAGCCAAAAGATTGGACATCCCTGATTTACCCTATTAGGTATGGATTATTCTCATATTTTAGATGAGGAAACTGAGGCTTAGAGGAGTTAACTTTCCCTAAGTCATCTAGCTAGCACAATATGTTTTCTATTGCCTTTATTTCCATGAGTAAAATTTGAAGACAAAGTTTAGTTATTTTTCAAAGACATATTTTGTTCCTTTGATATAGAAATGAATTAGCACATGTTCATTTGTGTGACCTTAATGCCTATAAACTAGTGGTCCACGGCTGGACATCTGGATATTCACAGAATACAGTTGATTCTTGAACAACGACAGTTTAAACTGTGGGTCCACTTACACTCAGATGTTTTCAATACAGTTGGCCCTCTAGGTTGGAGCGTTTTTCATCCACAAACAAATGCAGATCAAAATGGAGTATTCTAAGGATACAAAGCCCATATGGAGGGCTGACTTTTCGTATCCACGGGTTCTCAGGACCACCTGCAGGACTTGGGTATGCGTGAATTATGGTATCTGCAGGTCGTCCTAGAAACAACCCCCGAAGATACTGAGGGACAACTGTATACTAAAGAGGTCCTCAATCCCCGAGCCATGGACTGGTACTAGTCTGTGGCATTAGGAACTAGGCTGGACAGCAGGAGGTGAGTGGCAGGAGAGTGAGCATTACCGTCTGAACTCTGCCTCCTGTCAGATCAGAGGTGGCATTCGATTCTTACAGGAGTGTGAACCCTATTGTGAATTGCGTGTGCAAGGGATCTAGTTTGTGCTCTGCTTATGAGAATCTAACTAATGCCTGATGATCTGAGGTGGACCAATTTCATCCCCAAACCATCCCCTACACCCTGCTATCCATGGAAGACAATTCTTCCATGAAACCGATCTTGGTCCCTGGTGCCAAAAAGGTTGGGGACTGCTGGTAGACTAAATTATGATGAATTTGAATTTAAGTTGAAAACAAAGTTATAGATCAAGGGCTGGCAAGCTTTCTCTGTAAAGGGCCAGAGAGTAAATATTTTCAGTTTTGTAGACAATATGATTTGTCACAACTACTCAACCTTGTCCTGTTGTACAAAACAAAAAAAAGTCATAATAGTATGTAAATAAATGGATATGTGTTTGTCTCACTAAAATTTTATTTATAAGACCAGATGGTGGGGTAAATTTGGCCTATAGGTTATAGTTTATCAACCTGTCCTAAAGGCCATTTTGTGTCCCTTTAGTCACCATTAATGTTATTCCACTAAACAAAGATATTGGAGTAAGTTTTTCATAAGATACAGTGGTTTAGCATAAAAAGGTCTGGAATACAGGAAAACCTGCTCCCATTCACATAAACTGACTTGGAATCAATCGCTTGTTGGCTTTAATCGTCTGCATAATGGCTTTCTTAGTCTAATTTTTTAGCAGCTAATTGAGTTAGAGTATCTATTGTAGAAGTCAAATGGACATGGCCCTGCCACTTTCATGACTGAGTGTACTTACCTGTCCCACAGTCTGGATTAAAAGAAAACCCCACCTTGTACCCTGAGACAAACCAAAAATAACAAGTTTGTTCTCTCTAGTTTAATTTCCAAAGTGAAAGAAACCTTGAGTATTTCCTGTAAGTTACTGACTCCTTAACAAAACAACTGTATCTCTGACTTTTGCAAAACTGATGTCTGAAGATACATTATGTCATATGTGAGAAAACTGTGTTTTCACATGTCAAACTGTGGGAAAACTGCTGTTTTTTTCCCACCATGAACTCAGATTAAGTATAAACTCAGTAACTTTGGCAATTTAAAAAGTAAATATACTCATTGTGTTTTAATTTGATGAGTAAGTTCTCCTGAAGTTTGACTCCTTTGCAAATTCTTTGCAAGCAAACTGCTGCTTTTATTTTTGGTATGCTTCGCCTCTGATTCTTCCTTTCACATATGTTAAGGTTTGGAGGACTGTTTGCTTATAGCCCAATGTGAACAGGATGAAAAATTTCCTACCAGAAACATAAATGTTGAGTAATTTAGGATTTTGAAGTTTGAGCAAGCTTGAGCAGGCTGGTCATGGCCTACTTTGACTAACAAGGGATACAGCTGTTGGACACTACAGCAAAAGAAATCTTTCCTTTGCCTGACTTTCTTCCATGGTGATAGAAGAGGAAAGATTTTGGGAAAATCAGAAAAAAAAACCTGGAAAAATTATTGGCGTATTAAAATATATAAAATCTTTGTGAAATCTTTATTGCCTTTCATTCAACTTTCATTCAACTTATGCTTCATTCACATGGTGCAGTAGACACAACAAGGGCAGTACAATAATTTGACATTCTACTTGCCTAATGGCTTCCATATTCATTGATCATAGGTTTCCAAAAGAGTTATGAATATGGAGTAAGGGGTCCTGCCTTTTACATTCCCAATATTCCATTACTGCATTTCTCTTCTGTGCTAAGATTGAGACCCAAGCCAAAATGACCCAGAAAAAGAATCCACATATTGGATTTGCTAATGAAAATCCCCCAAATCATAGTTTTCATCATAATGAGATTATAAGAGCTACTTCCATGACAATAGAGAAGGATATTTGGTTATATAGGGCAGATTGAATGCGTGTATTTATCCTCACTGCTTTCCAAAATGTCATGAGAATGACAATAAAGAAATGAATATACTTTTATAAGGACAGACGATAAGGAAAGAGAAGGCAGTAAATGAGCACCGTCAAAATTTTAGAACTGCATTGTCTAATGTACCCGCTAATTACATGTGGCTGTTTACATTTACATTAATTAAAACTAAATACAATTAAAATTTAGTTATTCAGTTTCATTAGCCACGTTTCAAGGGCTCCATAGATACATGTGGCTGGTGGCTACCTTATTGGATGGCACAGACATGGAACATTTCCATCATGGCAGAGAGTTCTATTGGACAGAGCTGTTTTAAAGATAGGAAGGTGTTGGAGGAACAGGAACTGGGTGAAGTTTCAGGTTGTTCTGTTCTCCTAAGTAACTCCTTGGATGTAGTGGGTTGAATGTTGGCTTCCAAAAGATATGGTCATGTACTAATCCCTGGAACCTATCAATGTAATTTGGTTGGAAAAAGGGTCTTTGCAGATGCACTTAAGTTAAGGTTCTCGTGATAGGATCATGCTGGACTATTGGGTGAACTCCAAATTCAGTGACAAGAGACCTTAGAGGAGAGGAGGAGGCCCTGTGAACATGGAGGTAGAGAGTGGAGTTATTTAGCGATGAGCCAAGGAATGCTTACAGCCACCAGAAGCTGGAAGAGGCAAGGAAGGATTCTCCCCTAGAGCCTTCAAAGAGAGTATGGCCTTGCCAACACCTGAATTTTTTACCTCTGGACTCTAGAACTGTGAGAGAATACATTTCTGATGTTTTAATTTGTTATGGCAGCCATAGAAAACTAATAAAGAGGGAAAGTCAAGAAGACTAAATGCTAAATAAATACGGAGGTTGAACTAGGAAGGCTTAGACTGGGAGAAACTAGACATCATGAGGGTGGGAGTAGGGTGCCCTCCTGTGAGAGTCTGAGAGCAAGACTTTCATCCAAAAGGGGCATTTATTAACAAAACGCTTTGGTATGTTACAGACTGTAAGAGTATTTCTCAGAGAAGAAGGGTCTTAGATGGGGCAGACACCCCAAACCGTGGCTACTATTCCCCCCCACAACTCAGTACCAAGGTCATGGTATTTGTCTTGTCCCTGAAGGCAGAGGGATAATTTGTGTTATCTCAGCCATGAACTGAGAAACTAACTGGCCTCAGTTCTCTGAGCACTTAGTCCCCTGAGTGTTTACTTCCTCTTTGAGAGTTTTAGAGCAAATTTATACCATACCCCATCCCTTCTTTGCCTTCTGCTTCAGTTTCACCTGTTTACCCAGTCTCTTCATTCCTGATAGATTTCTTCCCTCACTCTGTGGTTGAGGTCCACTGCTGAAATACATAGAACAAAAAGAAAACCAGACCCATCTCAAGAAGCATCCTTTAGTTTGTAGGGGACACCAAATGTAGCCTGCTGACATTTCTCCCTTCTGCAGGAATCTTGGATTTTTGGACTCTTGATTCTTCTAGAGAGGATCTTTTGGGCAGGATCCAGATTTTATGAGGCTTGAGGCTTTGTAATTTTAGGAGTACTATTTAAGAAAAGGAATTCACATTTATAAATACAAAATTAAGCATAAGTGTCAATATTTACTTAAAGCATAAAAAGAAATCACAACAAAGTACCAACTTAAAAAATCTGATAAATACCCTAGACATATAAAATAGAAAAATAGCAAAGATTTAAAAATTTAATTGCCTGTTGATATTATAGTTTTAATAACTCTACATCTTGAGATTGTTCTGGGGTGTTAAAATTTCATGTACTGCATTATTGAGTATATTCCTTAATATACTCAATATAAGAAAAATTTCTTTTGACTAGTAGTCAATGAGGACCCAATCTTTGTTTATACAGTTGACTCTTGAACAACTCAGGGGTTAGGGGCACTGACCCCCTGCACAGTCAAAAATCTGTGTATAATTTTTGACTCCCCCAAAACTTAACTACTAATAGCCCACTGTTGAAGCTATACAAATATCATAGATAGTCAATTTAACAGAGATATTGCAGGTTATATGTATTATATGCTGTATTCTTACAATAAGTTAAAGAAAATGTTATTAAAATCGCAGGGAAGAGAAAACATATTTACTGTTCATTAAGTGGGAGTGGATCATCCTAAAGGTCTTCATCCTTGTTGTCTTCATGTTCAATAGGCTGAAGAGGAGGAAGAAGAGGATGGGTTGGTCTTGATGTCTCACGGGTGGCAGAGGCAGAAGAAAATCCATCTGTAAGTGGACCTGTGCTGTTCAAACCCATGTTGTTCAAGGGTCACTGTAATTTTATAGGTCTTATGATTGGATAAATGTTCCTCAAATGAACTTTCAGCTTCTTGCAGTTCTTATTCCTCCTCCTCTCGCATACTCCCAACACTGGGTGCTGTAGGACCACTTATATTGTGATACAGCCTCTTGTCCTATATCTTCATGAGCCAGTGCTGGGGGAGTCGCATAGTGGCAGTAGGAATATTCTTCCTAGAAGCTATTCTTACTAGACAAGCTAGCAATAACTTAGCTGTATGTGGAAGTGGCTGTGAACCACATAAGTACATCTCATTAAATTTAAATGTATTTCCAACTCAACTTTCTCTCTTAGCTGGATCCCAAAATAACTGCAGCCACTTTAACACTCTCCTACTGCAATTGGTTGATTAAGACTGCTATTTCTTTCCACTACAACATCTGCTTGAAGAAGATGTTGAAGTAGAAGGAAACAGGGGTCCTAATCAACCAAATGCAGTTAAAATATTTTACTTTTGCATTTTTTACAAAAACATATAATCATGGTGACATTGTGAGGGCACTTTCAAGGGTCTTGGAAGGGGCCCATGCAAGTGAGGGGCCTGGAAATTCAGATTCATTAGCTTCACCACAGATCTACTTCTGTTTAACCAGTTCTTGAGTCTCTGCAGGGTCAGTAATTACAGATCAAATTAATTCATTCAGTTCTCTCAAGTGCTAGCGTTAGTCTTAGATTCTAAGAGCACTGACCTGAGAGACACATTTTCTCATTAGAATCTATTCTTCTAATTGGCAAAAATTATGTTCATACTTTATATTAGAATCTTTAAAGTAGATGAGTGACACAGTTATGATTCTAAAGAAACTTAAAGAGTGAATAACAAAGTGGCTTTAATAAAGAACTCCCCAGATCTTGTACTAGCACTTAGCTCTTTCTCCCCAATCATCTTTGGCTTCCATTCTGACATATACTACTTATGCAACATGCATACTCCCATCATTCTTGACCATATAGTTCTGCTTTTGTCTCAAAGGATGGGGCCTAACTGCGTGGTTGATTTTCACCCAAGCACCATCAATCAAAAAGGACCCTGCCATGCTTTTCTGACATATAATGTACACAGAGAAGTCCATTACTGAACAGAAAATACCTGCGAAGTTTGCTTTCTTAACTCCTCAGAAGTGATCATTTTGTTGAGCCAAGTGAGCTTTTTGGTACCACCCAGGTTCGGGATTTCATGATTCTGTGAGTCAATGGTGCTATACAGGCTGACAGTTTCAATCTTACCTGGCCAGTTGTTCAGAGTTACGGAAAACCTCACCCTCTTTATGGGGTCTCCTGGCTCAGAATTTCTGCCATATCTGGCATGGGGTGCACAAATAGAAGAATATCTTCTACTTAAAGACAGAAGATGTTGTCTGGGTCTCTGTGACTACCTGGGGGAGGGTAAGAAAGCCAACAGACTCTCCATGTGTTCCAAAAGGTAATTGAACTCAGGCGCCAAGAGAGGCAGAGGAAAAGCCAGTCTGGTAAGTTTCTGAGAATGAAAGTCCGCTAGACCATTCCCTAAGTGTGTGATTTCAGAAAAGTCACTTAACCTCCCGAGGTTCAGTTTCTCTGCTGTATGTGATAGGTGTTGTGAGGATTCAATAAATACATAAAAGGGAGGTGGTAGGAAGGTACTAGTTCAAGTTCATGTTGATTTTTTTTTTTTTAATGTTCACAATATTGGCAGGAGCAAGATAGAGAAGCTGAGAGAAAAGTTTGTGCATTGGGGGGACTGGGAAGGGAAGGGAGTGACCAAATTTAAAGTTCTATGTACATATATCTATACACATGTTTATGTATATGTATATGTGTATGTAAATATGTAGTTTTCAATAGGCCCCAAATAGCAATGTCAAGAAGAAAAATCATGCAATTTCTGGCTACTTGTAGTCTTTATTCTATGACTTGAAGACTATTGACGGCGTCTGGCTGTAAAAGTACCTCTCACTTTCTGGTGCCACCAGGAGGGCTGGGTTCTTTGGACTCAGCATAGGTTTGGGCTCCTGAACATCAACTGTGCTCTGAAGGTGTTTTTTGCACCGCATGAACTTGGAGCATCCAGAAGCTGCCGGTTTCTCAGTGCTTACGGGATTTTATTTCAGCTCTAATTTCCCCAAACCAGCACAGGTCCTAGAGGAACCTGTATGTCTTTAGCTATTTTAGTTTTTTTTCCCCACCTTGAAATTATTTCTAATAATTATATTTAATAATCTACTACCTAATATACATCAGCTGCCTGAAATAAGTAAAACAATATTTCTTGAGAATTTTGAGACTTGACACTTACCACTGAGTTTTGAATTAACACATAGCCTTTTATTTCATAGAAGGCCTTGTCAAAATTTGCTCTCATATATTATTTGAATAGAGCTGCCTAAAAGCTTTTTTTTCTTTCTTTAGTACTTTGCTAGAGAGTTGAAGGACTTCATTTTAACGTTGCAATCACTTGTTTTTAAACTTAAAATTTGAATAAATTTTTCATATTAGATTCTTCTAATTTCTGGCTATGATTTGCAAAAGATGATTTATTTTTTCATGGAACAAGATTTTCAGAAGTAATTAAAAGTAATTTCCTATTAGGGAGACCACTAACAAGACTAACACATTCTATAACTTCTTTAAGATTTAACAGCCTTTTGTATTTACTTGGCCTGGGAGATTAGGCTTTTAGTGGATAATGACTTTCATCATAACAATGAGAAAGACGGGACACTTCTATTATAACGGGCTGGGATCAAACTCTTCTATTAGAGCTTTTTAGTCTTGTTTCTGTGTTCCACATTGCTTTTTATAATTAGTTTCAAGTTTAATCATATGAAATTTGAGGGGAAAAGGAAAGGAGAACTTATGTGAAAATCCACATTTGTAAATGGATAAGTTTTAAGCTATTTAGCATAGACCTTGATGGCCTATGAAGGCAGAGATGCCCAAATGTAGAAATAAAGAGGTTTATCCCTGTGGTATAGCCATGGAATTATACTACTTTCTCCTCTAGAGATAGAGTAATATTCTGGGGCTAGAAGATTGTCCTTAAGAATAGGGACATTTTCTATGGGTGGGTATTAAACTAGATATTCTATTGTATAAAAATTCTTAATATAAAGTGGAATGTACCTTGTGAAGAGGTAACCTATAACAAAAGAATAATTGTCTTAATATATACTCTTACCGGTCAATAAGGCAGACATGAATGTTCCATTAAAAATAATGGACAGAAGTCAATATTTAAATATAAAAGAAGAAAGATACATAGTTAATAAACATAGAAAAAGATTCAATTTTATTAGTAATCAACAAATGAAAATGACAACAAAGTAAGATATCACTTTGCCTGTTAAATTTGAAGAGATCAGATCATTAATATCCCGCATTAGTGAAAGTGTGGGGACCAAACACTATTCATGCAAGTGGGGTGTGGGCGATCTGTACAAGTAGAAGCTTAGGGCAATGTAATGCACATATTAAACAAAACTTCAAAAAGCATATATATAGTCTGACTCAGCAATCCCACTTCTAGATTAATCTCAAGGAAATAATAGGACAAGTCCAAGAATATTATTGGTGGCTTTAGAAATACTTAAAAGTTATTTTAAAACATTAGTTAAATGTGTCATAGAACATTAATACAATTTAATATTTTGCAGCCACTAAAAAGAGTGATATATACATATAGCCTACTGAGAGGTAATTCTTCACGAGTCTCTCACGTTCACGTATGGCTTGAGAGTAGAGGTGCTGACTGCGTTAGCTCCAAACCAACTTTACAAGGATGCTTGCCTAGTGAACAACCTTGGAATAGAGAGACAGCATTTTCCTCCAGAGCAAAGCACTGGCATGCTTACTACCCAGTATAAAAGATTCTGATTCTTTTAAGGTTAGGGTTCTTCTCCTTTAACAAAGCCCAGGGCATGTGTGCAGGTATCACCTGGTCTTCTTTGCCCTGCAGGATTGGAAATTAATATAAGAAAATATTGACATTCTGCCTATTGTTATTTCTGTGAGTAATATTTATTGCTGACTCAGGAGTCTTGCATCTTTTATCAGTACAATGGACTGAATGTTTATGCCCTGCATAAATTCATATGTTGAAATCCTAACCCTCAAGATAATGGTATTAGGAGGTAGGATCCATGGGAGGTGTAATGGTTAATTTTAGATGTTAACTTGACTGGATTAAGCGACACCTGGATAGCTGATAAAGCATTATTTTTATGTATGTTTGTGAGGGCTTTTTCCAGTGGGATGAATAAAGAATATCACCCTCATCAATGCATCATCCAGTCAGTTTAGGGCCCAAATAGAACAAAAATGTAGTGGAAGATTTGCTCTCTCTGAGCTGGGACATCCAGCTTCTCTTGCCCTTAGATATCAGTGCTTGTGGTTCTCAGGCCTCTGGACTCATACTGAGACTTAGACTAGTGGCTCCCCTGGTTTTTGGGCTATCGGACTTGGACTGAATTATACCATTGGCTCTCCAGTGTGCAGACAGCAGATCATGGGAGTTCTCAGCCTCCATAATCACATGAACCAATTTTTATAATAAACCTTCTTAGGTATCTATCTATTCATTTATCCTACTGGTTCTGTTTCTCTGGAGAATCCTGATTAACACACCATTGTATAGTGGCTCATAATTTATTTAACCAGACTCCCATTGGTAGTTCCAGTTTTTGACTGTTACAAACAATGCTACAGTAAATCTTCTTGTATAGATACCTTGATGGATATATACCTGCAAACTAAAAACATTCTCAGATCTGTGCTGAAGTGTTTTGACCCCATGGATTGGTTGGGAGCCAGAGGCTGATTTTATAGTACTAGGTCAAAAATGTTTTTGAAAAATAAACAAAAGATATTAAATAGTATATTTAGTATGGCCTCATTTTGAATACATGAATAAGTAGAAGTCTGGAGGAAAGCTACAGAAATATTAGCAGTGGTTAATTCTGGGTTATAACCTTTATTCCTCTTTATAATCTTTCATATTTTCTGATATTTTTTGCACTATGCATGCATTACCTTTGTAATCAGAAGGGCAATAAAGTTACTAAAATTGAGAGGCAGTATGTAACAAAGCAAGGGCAGAAAATGGAATATAGACACAAGACATCAAAAGATGTGAATTAAAGGCTTCATGTTAAAGAAATGATGTGACAGATTTTAATTAAAATTGTTGGAGGCAGGCTTAGTATTTCTTGAGTTCAGGGGAAAGAAATGCTTCCCAATAGAGCAAATGTGGGGATTAGCAAACAGAGATACACATTTATTCTTTTATTCATTCTGCATTCTTATTTTTTTCTTATATTTACTAATCCATTCTATTTCTCTACTAGTTACTGTATGCCTAATCCTGCTTTAGATGCTATATAAGATGCAATATCAAGAACAGGTAATAATATGTAAAGCAACTAATAATATGCTTGATAGTAATTTTACCTAGAAATGGCTCCCAGTTTGTGGTTAATTGAGGACATTATTTTCTGTTTTACTGTTCTTTTGATCATCTTTATTACTCACTATTCTGTTTTCTACAATTGTGTGGATTTGTGAAAGAATGCCGACATAAAATGAAGAGTCATTAATTCAGCCACATGCTGATCAAATGAGTGTCTTGCAGAGAAATTAAGGTGAGTCCCTTGACACTTTAGCTGCTGATTTTTGAAAAAAAATGCAGGTGTGCATAAAATGATTTATTGATTAACAGACAGCTAGCAGTTTAAATGGAAATTTCCCCTTAGCTAGCAGTTTATATGAAAATGCGTATGATGCGTATGATGACAGCACTGAATTTGCACATTTTCTGGTTAGCAGTTGATATGGTTTGGATGTTTGTCCCTTCCAAATCTCATGTTAAAATTTGATCCCTAATGTTGGGCCAACATTAGGGGCCAGGTGGGAGGCGTTTGGATCATGAAAGTGGATCCTTTAAAAACTTCTTGGTGCCACAGCAAAATAAACTATCATCAGAATGAACAGGCAACCTACAGAATGGGAGAAAATTTTTGTAATCTATCCATCTGACAAAGGGCTAATATCCAGAATCTACAAAGAACTTAAGCAAATTTATAAGAAAAAAGCAAACAACCCCATCACAAAAAGGGCAAAGGATATGAACAGACAATTCTCAAAAGAAGACATTTATGCAGCCAACAGACACATGAAAAAATGCTCATCATCACTGGTCATTAGAGAAATGCAAATCAAAACCACAGTTGAGATACCATCTCACACCAGTTAGAATGGTGATCATTAAAAAGTCAGGGAACAACAGATGCTATAAAGGTTGTAGAAAAATAGGAACACTTTTACACAGTTGGTGGGAGTGTAAATTGTGGAAGACAGTGTGGAACCATTGTGGAAGACAGTGTGGCAATTCCTCAAGGATCTAGAACTAGAAATACCATTTGACCCAGCAATCCCATTACTGGGCATATAGCCAAAGGATTCTAAATCATTGTAAGATAAAGGCACATGCACATGTGTTTATTGCAGCACTATTCACAATAGCAAAGACTTGGAAACAACCCAAATGTCCATCAGTGATAGACTGGATTAAGAAAATGTGGCACATATACACCATGGAATACTATGCAGCCATAAAAAGGATGAGTTCATGTCCTTTGCAGGGACATAGATGAAGCTGGAAACCATCATTCTCAGCAAACTAACAGAGAAACAGAAAACCAAACACCACATGTTCTCACTCATAAGTGAGAGTGGAACAATGAGAACACTTGGACACAGGGAGGGGATCATTACACACTGGGGCCTGTGCGTGTTGGGGGCCTGGGGGGGGATAGCATTAGGAGAAATACCTAATGTAGGTGATGGGTTGATGGGTTCAGTAAACCACCATGGCACGTGTATACCTATGTAACAAAACTGCACCTTCTCCACATGTAACCCTGAACTTAAAGTATTAAAAAAACAAAACAAAAACTTCTTGGTGCCATCCTGGAGGGTAATGAGTGAGTTCTCATGCTATTAGTTCCCCTGGGAGCTGTTGTTAAAAATAGCCTGGTCTGGCACCTCCTCCCATCTTTGCTTCTTTTCTCGCCATGTGATGCCTGTTCCCATCGCCTCCCACTGTGAGTGGAAGCTCCCTGAGACCCTCACCAGAAGTAGATGTTGGTGCCATGCTCCTTGTACAACCTGTAGAACTGTAAGCCAAATAAATCTCTTTTCTTTATGAATTACCCAGCCTCAGGTATTCCTTTATAGCAATCCAAAATGGACTAAGACAGAAGCTGTCAAATTTAGACCTTCACACTTAACCTCTGTAGCAGGGAACTATTTTCTATTAATATTCTTTTTTAAACCTCTTCTCACCAGTAAAAATGAGTGTTCTGATTTTCAGGAATGCCATCTTGTGTCTTCTCTTCATTTGAGTCTTTTGTGTGGGTAACGTTAATGAGTCCCTCTGACTCTGTCATGACATATCTGACCTAGTACTCTGGAAAGAATATATCCTTTTAGTATACAGAAAGTCCTGGTAGGTCAGGAAGAATTTAGTTTATTCAAGTGGAGACATTCAGTTCATGCTGGGAGAAGTTAGTTTATTTGTTAAGTTTGTGGTGAGACTTTAAATTCTCACATTAAGTTTGACAGAGTAGTTGATGATATTTGGTCATGTTTTGGCTTCCTAACAGCCTCTGGCTGACTTAAAAATAAATCATTACAGACAGACCATTAAGTTTTATGAACTATGAATGTGCTTAAAAACCCATTTTAATGAAATGCTCAAAGTTTCTCCATGGGCCATTGCTTTTACCTGAGCCATGACTACATTTCAAATCCTACTGACCATTTCAAAGGTGATTATTCCACTCAGATGATAGCATGACTGGTGCCTTTGTAAAGCATTGACTGTGTTTGACCTCACAGCGAGGTGAGGTTGAAAACTTTGGTAGTATTACAGCAGTTCCCGCTTATCTGCGGGGATACGTTCCAAGACCCTCAGTGGATGCCTGAAACTGTGGATAGTACCAACCCTATATATACTAAGTTTTTTCATATACATACATAGCTATGATAAAGTTTAATTTATAAATTAGGCAGAGTATGAGATTAACAACAATAAGAAGGTAGAACAATTATAACAATATACTGTAATAAAAGCAAAATAAGGGTGACTTGAACCCTGTACTTCTATTGCACTGCAATATTGCAACAGTGATCCGATAACTGAGATGGCTTCTAAATGCCTAATAGGTGGGCAGGGTCTACAGAACAGATACACTGGATGAGGGATAATTCATCTCCAAAGCAGGATGGAGCTGAATGCTGTTCAATTAAAATCTTGTGAATTATTTCTTGAATTTTCCATTTAATATTTTTGGACCTTGGTTGGCCATGTGTAACTGAAACCACAGAAAATGAAACTATAGATAAGTGGTGGTGGTGGGGGGGCTACTGTACTGAGTATTTGTTAACTAAGTATTTGTAAAACTTTTGGTTATGGTGTGTGATTAAATTCCTTCTGACTGCATAAATGCTATGGTCTATGAAAAATGATGATTAAAAAGATTGTTTTTTGTTCACAACATTTATTTTATTATGTATTTATTTTTATTTAAGTTTTTCTTTTTTAGAGATAGGGTCTTTTATGTTGCCTAGGCTGGCCTCGAACTCCTAGCTTTAAGGAACTCCTGGGTTCAAGCGATTCTCCTGCCTCAGCCTCCATAGTAGATGGGACTACAGGAACATGCCATGGTGCCCAATCTACGTTTTTTAAAAAGTGAACTTTGTTTCCTCTAAAACAATAACTTGTCTCCAAATTTTTTTTGCTATTATGCACAAGGTGACGTAGATTCTTATTTTATAAAATCTGGAAAAAAAAATGGAAAGGAGTTTATCATGGTGGTTAGTAATTGAGTTTCTGTTCTGGTTGCACTATTTAAAGCTGCGTGATAGTAATTTAGGTGCCTAGATCCTCTGAGATTTCCTTTAAAATGAGAACAGCACCAGTATCATAGGTTATAAGTTACAAACTTATAAGTTACTATATATCTCTATATATGTATGAAAATGTATTGCTATTGTTGTTTTCACTGATATTTATATAGCAACTAGACTAGGCATCAAATTATTTTACAAAGAGCCTTATTATGGTTTCTCTATTCATTGGAAGCAGCATAGATGAGGAAGTTGCAGGGCCTAGGAATTTGATATTGATGAAGAAGCCCCATTTTCTTTCTATGTTCAATTATCTGGGTCCCCTCTCTTTTTTCTCCTTTGCTTAAAAAATACACCTTACCCACAAACCCTCTTTATCAAGACTCAGCATGCTTCAAGGTGACTTTATGGCCTTTGCTAAGACCCCCTGACCAAAGACCGTCAGAAACACAGCTACAGTAAAAATAAAAGGGTTAAATTTAATAGTTTGCCTCAGCAGGGAAGCATGCACACCGTGGATGACCTTGGGAAGTTCATCTTCAATTTACCCTTCTGTAACTTCCCTTTGGAAGTTAGAGAAGGGTAAATCTAGAGTTTTGAGGACTAGAGTTAGTCACCGAATAGTCCTGATGGGGACTAGTAGAATTTGTCAGCTAGGGTGAGCCTGTGTCTTATCTTGGAAGATAGGGCCCGAGCAAGTTGCCATTAAAGAATCTGAGCTTAGACTGTTTTCTTGATGCCACAATTTGGTCCAGTTTTGCAAGCTGTGAGTTCTGTTTCAATTCTCGGTTACCATCTTCTGGTCATTCTTCAGTCTAAACTGAAGGAGAGACCATTGTCTCTGGGACATGATCTATCAGATCTGCACTATTGTCTGGAGTCTGTTGATTAGAAGATTGCTCAGAGAATGTCATCTGCAGTTGAACTAGAGTTAGTCCCTCATGTTTCTTTAGTTGCAGAATGACCTGTTGCATCATCTGGTATGCCAGTGACTATACCGCAGCATTTCAGACTCTGGAGACATATACCTGGCACCTGCCAGATAGGCAAAACTAGGACAAGGATTATTACTACAGTTTGAAACATGCCCGTAACTGATTTAGATGTCCCTTTAATTTTGATATAGATTGTTTGACTTTGCCAATACCTGAGTAATTAGTCCTTAACCCAGTGGTTTGTTAGGGGTAAAGTTCTTGAGATTACCATGATTAAAAATGGAGATGTCTACTAACAATTAATTTATAACCTTAATCCAGCAGGAACAAAACAATGCAATGCAGCACATGGTAATCAGTGGTTTCTGCCTCTGGAGAGGTTTGTTTTCAAAGTACTGGGTGGAAGTCATCTTCAATACTCAGGCTGAAGAGTCCTAGAAATCATCATTCAGTCACAGGAGACTCTTCATGGTGCTGATGTTAATGGTGCCTGGGGATTACTCCCCTGTAGTATTAATAGACCAGGGTACCTGGTATAATCCTTTATTGAGGTTCTTTTGTTATTACTTCTACTATGGAAGATTCAGACCCTGATCTTACGCTTATGGCAGGGCCTTTTAGGTGAATATAAGGAAAAAGCAGAGATCATTTTCCATAATATGATTAAATGGCTCTGATTATTTTTTGTAATAAGTAACAACATTAGAGTGAAGGGGAGTGGAATTCTATAATAATTAATAATACAAAATGCTCTTATAAGAACTTAGTCCTTATAAGATTTTCCTAGAATTAGAACATGTTATGGACTGTGAAGGTATTGACAAATCTCTAGGCCTTCAATTTATCTCCAAAAGTATACTACGAATGTTACCAGTTGACAAGTATGTTTTAACAGAAAGGCAAAAATATTTTGTATATAGTTATTATATCAGTCTTTTATGTGAACATGTGTGTTTCTTTATATCTGAAAGGCATGTGACTATTGGAACATATTTATATTAACTCATTCTACTTTTATATAATCTTGGAAGTCTGAATTTTTCTTTTGACTTTACCCTCCCAAGGAAAATAAAACTTATCTTATGGAAAAATTTTTTTCAAGGTAACTGTGCCAACAGTTTGAGTAAACTTGGAAGATTCTGCAATGAGTAAACACTGCCCTATAGTCTTGGAAGAAGACTCAAACGTTTTACTCAAATTAATTATTTACATCTTTTAATTGGTAATAAATTCAATTGAATATGCGTATAAGCTTTGCAAGCTTCATTCCCACTCAAAAATAACAAATATATTCAGGTTGCTTTTTAAATTTAAAAAGTGAATATGTTGAGTCAGCTCTTGATTAATATTTGTTGATTCAAAAATACTGCCCAAAATTTACAAGTTGCTGATATTTTTGAGCAGAGAACCCAGATCATGAACCCAATGGTTTTAAAAGCCTAATTTTAATTTTTTTTCCTTCTCTATTTGCTATCCAAGTTTCAAAATTTGTTATTTGCTACTCAAGTGACAGTGTTAATAAAATGTGAAATTTGTTCTTATAATAACATGGAACCATTTCAGAAATAAGTTTAGTTTTATCTTGACATTTGTTTGACAATGGGAGACCATTATTGGATTGCAGGCTCACATCTGTCTAAGTTATTGTCTAATTAACCTGAAATATGCTTGCAGAGGCATAATTTTCTCTATATCATTGTTTCCCAACTTTTTTTTTTAATCACAAAGAGGACACATTTTTTTAAATTGACAACTCAATCTCTACATACATACAGTATTGCATGAATTATAAGTGGATCCAACAATCATATTATTGATACAAACTCATGAGCATTTGCATAAAGCTATTGCTCTAGGTTTTGGTGTGTTTTGTGCCAGCTACTTTAGTGAATAAACTAAACATAAAGGAACTCAGCTACTTGAATTCATGAGAATCAGCTTTCAAAAAAAGCATATATATCATCTCATAGAATACTTAATATGTCAAACCCAGGAAAATCAGTAACTAAGTGACAAAAGGAACACTTTTAAAGAAAAGTTGGTGATAAATATGTTAGGCTAAAATACTAAGAACTTTAGCAACTGGACCGAGGAACCAGAAAGTGTATGCACACTGGGAATTTTAACAAAAGATCCCCATGTTCTCCTGCACAGTGAGGACCACATTCCAAAAGCAGAATTCTGGGTTGCTACAATGTCATCTCTCCTACAAACCACTGTTTCAAAGGTGAAAGAAACAAGAGGTAATTCACATAAAAAGGTTTTAAAATTCTTCCCACTCAAAATAAAATAAAAATAATATAACCTGTATCAAATTATAAAGAAATTCTATTAAAATGTTGACCACATAAAGCAGTCAGACCATTTGCCTTCGCTGACTGCCTCAGAGGGCAGAGCATGTGTCACCTACAAGGAAGGGGAGAGAGGGGTAGAGTCCCTACTCTCCCCCGGCCTGTAGAGTCAGGGTGGAGAGGAGCCCTTTGGCTTCCCTGGGGTTTTGTTTCCTCACATAGGGAATTGAGGGAGGTGGGCTAGATGGCTTTAAGAGACTCCTCAACTAAAAGAATCAAAGTCAGCTTGAGATCCCATCTCTGAACAGACATATAGGGTGGCAAAAGAAATGGATTAAAAAACAGGTGGATGACGTCTTTCTCACCTTTTGATACCATCACTCAGAACTAATCTGTACTATAGTTGAAGAAAATCTTTGCCTGGTACTATTAAAGGGTATACAATGAGGCAGCTGACAATGAAATTTTTCATAAAAATGTATAAAAAGGCTATGTTAAGTTCGGGTGGAAAAAACAATGCACCACCATATTACTACCAGCAGTCAGGACGTCCTGTCTCGGATTTTAGGAGTCGCCGATCTGGTTGGGAGAAATGCTGAGGGAAGCTCAAGCCATTCAATAGCGATCTAAGGAGTGCACACAGTTCAGGAAAGGGATAAACAGGTGTCCAGGAAGGCAACTTTAATGAAACTGGTTCTAAAACAAAGGATGCAAGAGATCTAAATGATCCAAAAAGAGTGATGACTTCTCATTTTGTCCCCTACAGAGAATACAAATATCATTTCTTCCGGAATCCAACACACTGGCTTCATTTTCAAGATGTATCACTTTATTTTCCAGCACGTGACAGTCACATGATTTCTGCAGTGAGCCCCAAAGCTTCCACGAGCTTTCCTGGAACCTACGGCCAGAAGAGTCCTGAGATTTCGAATATTAAAGCTTTCTCCACAGCCACAAGTCCCTTTGATGTTTGGGTTATTGAACACAAACTCACTGGATAATTTGTCTTCAACATAGTCCATTTCTGTTCCTAAAAGTGTTAGCTGTGCTTTCTTTTCGATGAATACTCTGACTCCATCTTGAATAACTTCTTCATCAGAATCTCCTTTTGTCTTTGTATATTCTAGAGTATAAGAAAGGCCATTACAGCCCCTGGTTCGGACACCAACTTTTACACCTACATGCTCAGGCTTATCTTTAAGAAGTTGTTTTATCTTGTTTACTGCTGAAGGTGTCAGGGTGAGGGCTGCCCGGGTGGGCTGCAGCTTCCTCTTGCTCACAGCCCGGGCAGTTGCCCGGACTAAGGAAGGCGACATTTTCGCCGTCCCGGCGCCCCGGTGCCTGGGGCCGGAGGTTGGCTGCCTCAGCCTCTCTCCACGGACACGGCGGGCGCATTGGTTTCCCAACTTTTAAATTGTGCCTCTCATTAGCAAAATAGTTTGACAATGTCTCTCTCTAAAATGTGTGCATATTCCTTTTTTCTTCAAATCATATACATATAGTATTGTTATTCTGTATATTAAATACTAAGAAAGTCTAATTTCTAATTTTTGAGATAAAAGTATGAACAGAAATTCTATTATTTTAAAATTTTCTGGAGTATGTAACTTCACTTTGGAAACTGTAGTCCTATATTTCTGATTTGTAATAATTTTCCTGCTCTAATATTTCTTTGGGATACAACTTTTTTTCTGTCATTTGAACACCATGGAGCAGTGGCTCTCACCTGAGGGCAGAATCTGACGGCAGTTGCCTAAGAACTAGAGTTTAAAAAGGCCTGTCCGTGATCCTGATCCACCTCCCCCAGGACCACTGTATTCACCACCCAGCTACCCCATCTCATGAAGACGGTGACTAGTAGTAGCAACATGGCCTTAACATACCTTACCTGGGTAGCAAAATGGCATGACTAGCAATTTTTTATGCAGATTGTACTTGCCTAGATGTGGTAGAAAAACAGTGAGGCAGAATAATAAAAAAAAATTTGTGTCCTACTGAAAAAAGCTTACATGAAAAACTTTTAAAAAGAAGGGGTTTACATCTGTGTGTATTTAATGCAGTGGTCACTGTGCAATGCCACATGCAATTGTGTCTCTCTGTGAGCCAGGAGTTTTGCTGAGTATGTGTAAGTGGGTAAACTTAATGGTTATTTTGTAGCATCATTTTTTAAATGTGGTGGGAGAATCTGTGATTTAAGGAGTTTTATGGCGAATCTCATTTTGTGATGTAAATAGTCATTTTTTGAGTATAAATCCAAATTTTTGTATGCTGTTGGCCTAATGAGTTCCCTATCATAGACAATATTAGGTGATGGCAGGGAGGTGGGACTCCAAGGCTTTCATTGTACATGTAAATTAGAATGGCTAATTGAAGCAGATATCCAGATAATTCAGACCAAACTCTCCCTTTTTGTTTGAAATATACTTGGCTGAGTTGTTTAAAAAAACAAAAAACAAAAAACAAATCTGTGCTTCTTTTCTTAACCACGACCTCAGCAATCGTGAGCAAAATGTCTGAGGGAGTGTTCTAACAGGCCTAAGAGGAAGCTCTTAAAAGAGAGACCTGTGGTCATATAGACTTGAGAAACACTTCCTACTTGTCCCTTCTTTTGGAGAGTCATCATGCATTACAGACTATGAAAAGTCCTGCACAAAGGAAAACTTTTGAACTTAGTTTAACCCAGTGTTTTCTAAACTTCTGTGACAGACAACCCTTTATTTACATAAAATTTGCTAACTTACAGTCAAACTGGTGTTCTTTGAAAGTCCATTTTGAGAAATGCTGGTATAAATTAAAGCGGTATTTATATAGCCACAAGTGCTAAGAGTGCTAGTCAGTAATCCTAAGAAGCCAAGGATGATGGGGCATGAATGTCCACAGTTTCATACTGCTGCCACTGGTAGTTTGAGGGATTTGCTAAGGGGATCCTCCAGGCAAACACTGGGTTTATAATGGTTAGGCTTTATCCCCAAAGAGAAAAATAACCACTTAGTGGGCTGAGATTGGCCCATTAGTTTTCCCAGAGTCTCTTTTTCTCCTGAGCATCTCCTCCCACCCCAAATTTTTGCAACTTTTTAAGGGGATGAGAGGGATGGGGTGGAGCATCTTTTCCCAAGTGGAGAGATC
Organism: Homo sapiens; assembly: GCF_000001405.40. Lineage (NCBI taxonomy): Eukaryota > Metazoa > Chordata > Mammalia > Primates > Hominidae > Homo > Homo sapiens. The sequence goes on from NC_000005.10 coordinate 62,779,074, forward strand.
CCAAGGGCTCTGTCATGCAACACCGGGAAAACAGAAAACGTTAAGTAGAGACAAAGCCTTGAGCTCCCCCTAGAGGTAAGTATCTGATCATCTCTACTGTGGCAAGACACGAAAATACCATTTGTTTTTTTTTAAGATTTACATATCATGGACATCATTTAAAGTTCGATTTAAGAATCACCTGAATATTTTAGTTAAAAAGTAAAAGAGTAGTTATCTTTTAATATTAGTGCTTATTTGAGTTTAGATATTATTTTATAACTTACATTGTACCTCTCATCAGCGAAATAGTTTGAAACTGTCTCACTGTAAGTGTATATATTCTTTTTTCAAAATATGTACATGTAGTATTGTCATTCTGTATATTAAGTATTAAGAAAGTCTAATTTCCCTACAGCTGTTACAATGTTTACCAATAGCTACTCCTGTCTAAGGGCTATGAACTAGTCGGAATCTGCATGTTTTTGGTCAGAAACAGCCACATAGGGTCAGTACAGATGACCCAATCTGCAAATACTATGTCTTATGGAAACATAACTTTGGTTAATGTGACTTTTATGAGGATTTCGAATGCAAATTCTTCATCCTTATTCCCAAACTGAGCCACTGATGCACATTTATTTATTTATTTATTTCCTTTATTTATTCACCTGTATTTGGTAAACAGCAGGCACTTCTCTCAAATGTTATGACATTAAGGGATGCCTTACGACATTCCCTTAGGGTGCCTATGACATTTGTGATTCTGTTAAGATCACTTTGGCATTATGGTTGGTCTAACTTTGTTCACGAATGTGTTGTGTTCTGTTTTTATGATGTTTATGACCAGAGATGAAAGTAGGCTGTGCTCAGAGAGCTGGTCCCTGTTTAGCCTATCTCCTCCCACATTGTGATTTGGAGAAAATCATTTTCTCCAAAAGTTTTTCAGGGCCTTGGCATTTTATTTATTAATCATGAGATGCTGGCTGGGCGCGGTGGCTGATGCTTGTAATCCCAGCACTTTGGGAGGCCGAGGTGGGCAGATCACCTGAGGTCAGGAGTTTGAGACCAGTCTGACCAACATGGTGAAATCCCGTCTACTAAAAATATGAAATTAGCTAAGCATGGTGGCACACGCCTGTAATCCCAGCTGCTTGGGAGGTTGAAGCAGGAGAATCACTTGAACTGGGGAGGTGGAGGTTACAGTTAGCCGAGATCGTGCCATTACACTCTAGCCTGGGCAAAAAGAGCGAAACTCCGTCTCAAAAAAAATAAATAAAAATAAAAAAAAAATCATGAGACGCTACAATATCCAAAGGTGGACCCACACTCTTACTTATGCTAATGGAAGGGCAGTCCCACGTGGTAGCACATTGAGGCACATGTATCCTCAGGCGTGTGGGGAAGGTGCCGACGGGTCAGCAAAGTCACCATATGATTATAGCACGCCTCCCTAAAGGTTCATATTTCTCAGAGATGTAGGAGGAGGCCGTATTGTTTTGACATTAAAACCAAGACAAATTTGCTTGGGAGCAAATTAAAAAGACATGGAGGTTTACCACAAAACAAGAATGAATTTGGAAGCTTCCAACAGGCCCCAGGGCATACATTCACCGCTCTTTACAGTTAGTGGTGTTCCAATAGAAAGGCTTGAGAAGTGTTGCCTTGGGCCCCAGAGCCCGGGGTGACACCAGTGTGCCTGGAAGCCCACTCCAAGCTTGATCACAGCGTCATCTTCAAGCTCACTCGGGGTCACTGTACGTCTCTTCTCCCTACACGAGGGTTGTGGCATCTATTACACCACTACTGTGTGCCAGGCTGGGTGCCAAGCCCTTTATATACATTTACTCTTTGCAGGGGTCCTATGGTAAGAGCTGTTATCCCATTTTACAGATGACAAAACCAAGACACGAGGAATTGAAGTTTCTGTATTTGCCCTGTCAGTGAGTGCCTGAGGCAGAAACTGAATGCTTGGTCTGTTTAACTCTCCAGTGTGCAGTTCCAGCTCCAACCCTGTGGGAATGCTGGCTAGGCTGCTTCCTAGCGGTGAAGCGATGGGAGCGCAGGAGCGGAGCGGAGCTGGGGAATCCCACTCCTCCCATTCCTAGCCTGAATTTTAAGGGCTGAGCAGTATCAGTGGTGGTGTACCATGATTGCATTATCAATCTGCCTTTACAGAATCCAGGAGATATTCCACTGTGCACAGTTTGACGTAAGTCTTTTTTTTTTTTTTTTTTTTTGAGACGGAGTCTTGCTCTGTCGCCCAGGCTGGGGTGCAGTGGCGCGATCTCGGCTCACTGCAAGCCCCACCTCCCGGGTTCACGCCATTCTCCGGCCTCAGCCTCCCGCGTAGCTGGGACTACAGCGCCCACCACCACGCCCGTCTAATTTTTTGTGTTTTTAGTAGAGACGGGGTTTCACCGTGTTAGCCAGGATGGTCTCGATCTCCTGACCTTGTGATCCGCCCGCCTCGGCCTCCCAAAGTGCTGGGATTACAGGCGTGAGCCACCGCGCCCGGCCTGATGTAAGTCTTATATTTCAAAGTTTTATCATTTTGCCGAGTCGTGGTGAGCACAGTACCATAATTCACTCTATGGCCCAAAAGAGGAGGTCCCAGATAAATAAAGTGCTTGGAGGTTTTTAGGTCGTTTGTGCTGCTAAGTCAGAAAATGGAGAATGAAGACAATTTAGCACAACTTAAGAAATATGAATCGGGTGCTCACTATACACTAGCACTGGGCCCTACAGCTAGAAGAGATAGACATGCATACAAATCCCCTTTTTTTTTTTTTTTTTGCAGTTAAATGCTATGAGAAAGATAAAGTAATACCTTTTATCTTGGGTATTTTCTAGTTCATATTCTCAAAGAAGATCACTTCTTCTTTGATTTTGAGGGAGGTGGGCAGAGTATGCCCAGGTCAAGGTCCCTATCATTTGTTGGGGGCAGCATTGGACGACATCGTAGTTTCTTGGAGGTTCACAGTGGCTTTCTGTGGAGCAGGCACCAAGATTGAGGCAGTTCACGCATCACTTATTAAGACAAATTCCCTTTGTCTAGCACTGTGACTGTTGGCCTGATGAAGGGAAATTGTGAAAAATTTTGCTTGTTTCAGAATTTCAGCTTCCCGTTCTGGCCATCGCCTTGCCTCTGCTAATGTTATTTGTGTCCCAAGGTTTGAAATTATTTGGTTTATTAAGGGAGCCTGATATAAGGTGCTCCGTCAGTGTCATCTCATCTCCTAAATACTGCCCGCAGTTCCAGGAGGAAGGGATTTAATAGACTCTCGTTCCTTTAGGAAGCTTAATTTGAAATTCATTTGGGCACAGAAATTTTATGGGTACAATCAGATCCAGATATTGCTTAATGAAGTTCTAGGCAGATGTACAGTGAATGATCTGTGCCTACTCCAAATCCTCAGTTACGCTCCTCTGATATACCATTAACTTTTAGAAAACCTGAATCTATGACCCAAATTCTAATTAATCCTAAGAATAATGAGGTACAAAGGCATTATTTTTTCCTTTTTTAAGTTTTCTTTCTCTTGCTAACAAAGAATTTTAAATTGTGGCTCTAGCATTTAAGTGCATACATTTTGAATTTACAAAGTATGGAGAATAACATGAAATCATCAGCAGGTCAATGAATTAGATTTTATTTCTGTGTGTGTGGTAACATTAAACATCTATGGTACAACTTTCATTTATTCTTGTGTCAACTATTGCTTAGAGTAATTCAGTATCATAATCTATATTTAACTTATTCTACTTTATAAAGGACTTTAAAATAACATACATTATCTTCCATAACATATGCTATGACATTGGTATTATTATCCCCACTTCGTACTTGAGGACACTGAAATTTAGGAAAGATTAGTTAACTTGCCTAATTTCACACAGTTGTGGTCCTAGGAAAGAAACATATATTTTAATAGCCAGCCCAGGTTTTTTTTTTTCCATTAAATGATCAGATTCTCTGCTATTATGTTTTTGGTTTTAGTTAATAGACATATTGGTTGCTATTGACATTTGGCACATCTGGCTTGCTGTTCTTAATGACCAGTGGGCTCTGGGCACTCAAATATCGACCAGTGCCAGACAGCTAATGTCAATGAGTGTGGTGGGCTGGGTGTCAGAACAAGGAGTGGTGGGGACAATGGCAAATTGGAGAGTGTACACTCCATTTAAAAAAGGGTTCCCTTACCTATTCCCACTGGGCATGCTGGCCTGGTGTTGCAAAATATTCTAAAATTTTAAGAGGAGCCAGAGATCTGGATTTTGTGTGGAATCTCTCCATTCTAAGTGTTGGCAACCAAATTTTTTTTTCCCTTTTAAACTCTGCAAGCCAAACAAAACCCATCTATTAGGTGGATTCAGTTCATGACTGCTAGTTGTGACATGGGCTTGCTTTTTACTTTTTTGGAGGTACATGTGAAGGAGGAGTGAGTGGGTGGGGTAAGGCCAGCATCACTTACTCGGGCTATAGATGGTTCTTTTCCTGAAGCCAGGAAGTCTGAGCAAAGCTGGGGAGCCTGTGGGTTTCCGGGCTGCTTAATGTGGGCTATTCTGGGACTGCCTTCTTCTTCCAGAACTATCTGAAATGAGGGAGACTTCCTTATAATTAGGGGCTGACCACTGAGCTCCGTGGCATTGCCCACTCTCCAGTAGTTAGTTGAACTTTGTTTAGTATCTTTATTATTATTTCTTTGCTTCCTTCATTTCTTTCCTCTTCTTGGGAGATTTCATTTTCAGCTGCAATCAGTAACATTTGCAATGAAACTGAAAATCAACTGAAACTGTTGCAAATGAAACTGAAATGAGTAACATTTGCAATCTTCCGAGACAGAAGACTTTAGAAGAGGGTGAACTTTTTTTGTTGTTGTTATTGTTATTCTTTAAGTTCTGGGGTACATGTGCAGAACATGCAGGTTTGTTACATAGGTATACGCCTGCCATGGTAGTTTGCTGTACCCATCAACCTGTCATCTATATTAGGTATTTCTCCTAATGCTATCCCTCCCCTAGCCCCCCACCCCCCGACAGGCGCCAGTGTGTGATATTCCCCTCCCTGTGTCCATGTGTTCTCATTGTTCGACTCTCACTTACGAGCGAGAACATGTGGTGTTTGGTTTTCTGTTCCTGTGTTAGTTTGCTGAGAATGATGGTTTCTACCTTCATCCATGTCCCTACAAAGGACACGAACTCATCCTTTTTTATGACTGCATAGTATTCCACTGTATATATGTGCCACATTTTCTTTATCCAGTCTATCACTGATGGGCATTTGGGTTGGTTCCAAGCCTTTGCTATTGGGAATCGTGCTGCAGTAAACATACGTGTACATGTGTCTTTATAGTGGAATGATTTATATTCCTTTGGGTATATACCCAGTAATGAGATTGCTGGGTCAAATGGTATTTTTGGCTCTAGATCCTTGAGGAATCACCACACTGTCTTCCATAAAGGCCGAATTAATTTACGTTCCCGCCAACAGTGTAAAAGCATTCCTATTTCTCCATATCCTCTCCAGCATCTGTTGTTAGAAGAGGTCTAACTTGTTTTAAACTAGATTTCCTTTTGTTTGTGTGATCTATGGATTTTATTTATTCAGTTTCCTGTCCCTGCAAGCACAGAAAGTTGAAAACTAATTTGATTCAATTTTCCCAGATGCAATCTCATGTGTATTTTATGTTAGTTTTTAAGGTTTTTGAATTTTAACCAAACTCGGCACAAAGTGACTATGTTACTGTTATACGCCACATGCTCCGCTGCACAAATACATAAGCATTAGACTTAGGTTTTTCTCTATTGTAAAGAAATTCAGACCTTCTCTGAGTGTCTAATAAAATTCCATCTAGATTAACATGTGCTTTTGACCAAGAGATTCTTTTACTGTATCAATGTAATGGTTTGAACATTTTTCATCTTTGGAGATATGATGAAAAGGTGGCAAAAGCATGTAATGAAGAAGGTTCAGAAACTCTAGAATTAAAACCTATTATTTACTGAGCACTTATTATTTGCCAGGCACTGTGCTAATACTTCACAGTCATCCCACATTATCTCATTTAATCCGTTAAACCATGTGTAATATACCTATCAGTTATACTTTAAAGATGAGAAAATTGGCCGGGCACGGTGGCTTACGTCTGTAATCCCAGCACTTTGGGAGGCCGAGGTGGGCGGATCACGAGGTCAGAAGATGGAGACCATCCTGGCTAGCACGATGAAACCCCGTCTCTACTGAAAATACAAAAAATTAGCCAGGCGTGGTGGCGGGCGCCTGTAGTCCCAGCTGCTCCGGAGGCTGGGGTGGGAGAATGGCCTGAACCCGGGAGGCGGAGCTTGCATTGAGCTGAGATCGCGCCACTGCACTCCAGCCTGGGCGACGGAGTGAGACTCCTTCTCAAAAAAAAAAAAAAAAAAAAAAAAAGAAAAAAAAGAAGATGAGAAAATTAAGTCACAGATTCAGTACTTTGCCCAAAATCCTATGAGTAGTCAGGGGTGGAACTTGGATTCAAACTCAGGCTTATTTGATCCACAAAGTGTCACATTTCTAACCACCATGTTATATAGCATTGTTATCAAAGAATGATTTCTGCTTCAGGAGCTATGCAACAGAATAAGCAAAGAAAAGAGACTAGTTGGGGTGAGATGTGAATATCACTCTGTGCAATTAAGATGGCGCAAGACCCTTGGCAGATAGAGCAGAAGCACACTGGTCATACTTAGCAGGACATCGAACGTCATGTACTTCCTAGGACTGGTGTAGAATTAAACTGGGAATGCTGGCGACAGCCGCAAACTCCTCTTGCTTGCTGAGGAATGTATGGGTGTATAGTATGTGAGACTTTATGCCTTCAGCAGTTCATGACACTGGTGTTAAATGACCATTGGAGGAAACAGTGTCAAGTTTTACGATAAGGTGGAATATTGATTTCTGTAATGTTCTGCATGAATTTAATGGCTGCTTTGTGTTTCAGTATATGAATGTGCCTTAATTTATTCAACCAGTTCTATTAAGAGATACTGAGAATTTAATATCTATATATTTTGATCTCCAACAAGTTGTTGCCAAAGCTAGTCACTTTGAATTGGGCTTCACCATCTCTAGACTCTCGTTTGGATTTTAGTGTTTGGTATCACATTAGTCACAGTACATTGCATTTGTGAACAATAAAATCCAAATACTTCATCTTTGGCAACCAAAGCCTTCCATGATGTTCCATTTCAAGACATGGCTAGTTAACAAGATAGGTGCCAAGATCTGTAGTTGAACCTATTCTGGGTACTGTTTGTGCTGCCACACAAACTGCTGCTAAAATAGTTTGCTTCTAGAATGTAGACAACCTGCTGAAATCAACATAACTGGGATATATGGAAGAATGAAGCTATTGTCTTAATACTTGTCCCTCTTGAATCAGCAACTAAATTATAGCTTTATCAGTCTTCACTGGTCAAGTGTTTGCTATCTGTGGATTGTTAAATGCTGACAAGTTTTAAAGCCTATAGTGGGACAGTTTATATGTATTTTGTTTATTGAGTGCATTTAATTTACACATTAACGAAGCTAAGTTAAAATATGTATTTTATGGCTGCTGTTTTTTTTCCTAATAGTTGTTAACATATGTAGGTAGCAAGATTAAAAAAACAAAGAATTTAAAACTAATAACCTTGGAAGAAATTCCAGACTAGGTACATTTGGGATTGCCAGGAATGTTCTTTCATGATAAAGTTATTCAATTATCATCTCAGCCTTTGCTTCCTTATGGGATATTAGTGTAATTGATGTGATAACTTATTTAAGTTTGTGGTAAATAATTCAAATGGTCTAGAGTATGTAGGGAAAATAAATGCTTCTTACTCCTTTGAGGGCTCTCTTTGAGGAACTCTGTATTGACGGATTTTTCTTTTATCTTTCTAGAAACTATGACTACAAATATATTTACTTATAGTCACATTGGCATCTATGAACCATATATTTATTATATTTAATGATAGACCTATTTAAAAACATCTGTCTTTGTTTTTCCATAAATGGGATGATAATGTTCTCAGTTCTCCTATAACTTACTTTTTTCACTGAATAGCACCTCTTTAACATATTTTTCCATTGTTATTATGGGATGACCAATAAGTGTACTCGTACTCGAAGTTCTATGTCTTTGGAAATATCTAGGTGTGAAAAATGGCTGAGGAGTGTGCTTGGACCCCACAACCCTATGTACAGGTGCTCTGCTATGGCTTCCTGGTAGACTGGGGGCTCCACTGTGAAAAAGCACAGTTGGAATCCAGTTCTCACCACATAATATCTGCTTGATCTTGAGGAAGCTACCTAACCTTTCTTTGCTTCAGTTTAGTTTAATTGTAAAATGGGGATAATAATACTCTTGTTTCCTAGGTTGTGAGGATTAAATATAATGTAAAGTAGTTAGCATAATTTCTGACACATGGTAAGTTCTCAATAAGTGTTATTATGTTGAGCCTGAGGTGGGTTACAGCTTTGTATTTACTTTCTGAGAATTTAAATATGAAGTTATCTTCTATGCATATTAATATGGGTGTTCGTAAGCATGGGCCACTTAATTTTAAAAAAAAAGCTTTAAAAATCAAATTGGGCTAGTCTTAACATGTCAGTCAAATTTGAAAAGGTTCATTTTTATGCAAATAAACTATCAATCTACTAATGAATTGTATACAAGTTGTATATAATATTTTATTTTACATATTCTGAAAGATGAGGAGAAATTATACCAGATTTTTAGAAGACTAAAAATTGAAAGAGGTAAAAAATTTTTTATGAAAAAAGTTAAAGATGCTGAGATTCATGAACCTAGTTAATAGAAGTTTAAGGGATGACTGCTATTTTCAACACTATGAAGTTTGGTAGAAAAAGGAGTATATATGGGAAAATAGAATCAGATTATCCCCTGGAGAGAGAAAAGGAAGAAACTGTGTAATGGATGCAACAGCTATCAGGAAAGGTTGAGGAGGCTTTGAGGTATATTTGGGTGTGTTTTTACACACACGTACACACTCACATACATGCTTGCTCCTCCAGATCTTCTCTGCCTTGCTGTACGCTGCTAGCCCTGTGTGCACTGTGCTCTCTGGCTTCCAGCTGGCCCAGTGGAGGTACCAGCTGGAGATTGGAGGGCAAGAGGAGAGTGAGGTCCAGATGTTCATTCTGCCGGCTTCCTCCTGGTGATTGTAATTGGTGTGGCTGCTGTTGTTCTCTATGACAGCTCTTGTTTATTTCCTCAGGGTCCTTCTATAGTTGTTTTGTTTATTTATTCATTGGTTCATTGTTTGTCCTATCAGAATGTAAGTCCCAAGAAAGTAGGGACCCTGTCTATGTTGTTCACATTAATATCTTCAGGCTAGCACAGTACTTGGGTCATAGTGGGTGCTCAATGAATAATTGTTCCATAAATGCATAATAACACAAAGACTTATTAGCACAGCCAATGGTCTTTATCAATATGTTCCATATGTAAGCTCTTTGACATTACTTTGTACCTGTGATCTGCCCAATGAAACTTACATTTTCAGAGGGCAGATGCTTTATGCTAAAAAAAAAAAAAAATTCTCCATAGTGCCTAAGATCACAGAGAGCACACCTAAGCATTCAAACGTATTTATGGATTCGTTGACTACCAGCACATGCTATATTGTTATAATTATTAATTAATACATTCAACAAATATTATTGAACCCCTACTATGTGCTAAGCATTGTTTTAGTTCCCGGATACATCAGTGAACAAAATAAAGACCCCTGGAATCTTTGGGAGGGAGAAAGACAGTATATATAACCATAAAAAATGAGTAAAATATATAGTACATTAGAAGATGATAAATACTGTGACAACATTAAAGACGAGAAGAGCATGCTCAGGAAGATGGAAAAGTGGGTGCTGAGACAGGAATGGGGGAGCAGGTTGTGATGAAAACAGGATGTCTAGGAGAGGCCTTACTGAGAAGATGATATTTAAACAAAGACATGAAGAAGTCAAAGGAGGTAGGCAAGCTAATACCTTGTAAAGAGGTTTTACTCCAAATGGCAAGAACAGCCAGTGCGATGCCCTAAGGCAGGTGCATGTTCAAGGAATTGCAAGGAGGCCTGTGTGACTGGAGCAGATTAAGGGGCAGAGAAATAGAAGATGAGGTCTTGGAAGCAAGGGGAAGGACCTGTAGCCTTTGTAAGAATTGGGGAGCTGTTTTGAGCAGAGTTTTGAGCAGCGGGGTGACACAATCTGACTTCTGATTTAGAAGGATCACTTGCTTCTTTGTTGAAGGGTACAAAGCAGGAGGCAGGGAAACTGATTAGGAGGCCTCGTAGCAACCCAGGTGAGAGATGGTGGTGACTCAGAGAGGGCCATGGCAGTAGAGAGGAGTGGTCAAACTCTGGACGTGTTCTGAAGGTTTCTGTAGCTACTTGACAGCCAGGTTTAGCACACATTTTACCTTTAAATTGGGACATAGAAGAAGAGTAGGAAAGCATCTTCAGGTAAATGTTTTTGTGTGGTAATTGTGACTAGCATACCTCTGGGTACCTTTCATTAAATACACTGCAGGCATCTGTTTCTCTAATCTGTTCTACATTTCATGGACAAAACTGTGTTGACAAGCCTTTGAGGCAGAAAAGGAATATAGAGGAAAACAGTTATCTATTCATTTCAATTTGGGGGATGTATGCAAGTAAGTATAATACTTTCAAAATTCATTTAATTTTGAATGGGCTAATGTCATCTTCCTGGCTGATCTAGGGGTCCCTAAATTTAAGGGTCTCAACAAACAGTGATTTAAGCATATTCTATTTGAATATTCAAATTTCAAAATTTCTATTTGAAACCCCAAATTGGTAGTTTTTGTTTAATCTTATATAACTGGAAAATGGCAATGTGGATAGTATTCTGTTTGATCTGCAACATTTCATTATGACAAAATTAATTTATATAGTGATTTGATTGAAAATTCAAAAAAGTTAATGACAGTTCCTTGGTATAGTAAAAAAAAGCTGGTTGTTAGATTTGGGCTGTGGGTAAGTGAATGTTTCTTATTTTCTTACATTAAAATGCGAATCTGTAACAGAGATCATGACCTATCCCGGTAAATTTTACGTCAAGAGGAAATGTTATGAAAATATTTGCTGTGGAGTGATATAAGCCGCACTTGGAGAAAATCTGTCTAATTTACAACTATTCCTCGAGGGTCTACAATGTACCAGGCACTGTTCTAGGCAAGGGGATCTATCAGTGAACAAAACATTTCTGCGCATGAAATTGACATTCAAGTGAAGGAGGGAAGAAAACATTGACATAATGTCAGTTAATTGTATGTGCTATAAAAATAAGCATGTAAATAAATGAAGAGTATACATTGAATAGGGTTGTTAAGGAAGGTCTTTGTGAGGATTTGGCATTTAAGGAGAGGCTTGAATGAAGTAGAGCTGTGAGCCATGTAAATATATTGTGCAAGAGCATCCCAGACCAGGCAGATAGCCAAGGGCAGAACACGGAGGTGGGGACTTTACAGCTGTTAGTATAAATCCCCAGGTCTGTTTGCCACTGTGCTTAGAATAATAGCTGTGCTCTTGGATGTTCCCTGCAGAGTGCAAGTGGCTGTGGACAGGTTGGTGTGACTGGTGTCTCTACCTCCAAGCAGGTGCTCTGGGACTCAAAAATATTGGGTCCTCTGTGACTACCCCTTATCTACTCAGCCATCAATTCCTGATGGTGCCTTTCATATGTCTTCGTATTCACTTGTTCACAGGCTTTGTATTCAGAGGCTCACAATCATCATCTTCCTATGTGCTTGACAATTCCTACCTAATTTGCTACACAGGGATTGTTGGAAGGTCATTCTGTTTTCCTAGTTCATCTGGTTTCCTGTTTGTCTTCTGAAGCCACAAAGAACAAATCTGTGCTTTTTTCCTTCCTTTTTGCATGTCAGTTGCAATGCTTTGAATGTGTCTCCCAAAGTTTATCTGATGAAAACTTAATCCCAGTACAACAGTGTTGAGATGTGGGACCTTTAAGAGGTGTTCAGGTTATAAGGGCTCTGCCCTAATGATTAGACTAATGCCATTATTTTGGGAGTGGGTTCATTTTCACGAGAGTGAGTTTGTTATAAAAGTGAGTTTGGCCCCCCTTGTGCTTTTTAATCCTCTTGCTATCCACCATGGAATGCTGCAGCAAGAAGGTCCTCACTAGATGGCAGCACTTTGATATTGGACTACCCAGCCTCCAGAACTGTAAGAAACAAATCTCTGTTCTTTGTAAATTATCGAGGTATTCTATTATAGCAGCATAAAATGGACTAAGATGGCAGTCTTCAAATATTTGCAGACAGCCATTGTATAATTCCTTTCAGCATTTTCTTTTCCAGACTGAATCTCCTGGTTCCATTGATAGTTTGTCTATGAGATGTTTCTAACTCTCTGACTTCTTTGTTGCCCATTTTTTGGCATATTTTTGAGTTTGTCAAAATTTCTTAAAAATTTTATGCTTAGTATTTACAGCATATATTATGTTCCAGATATGCTCTAACCCATTAGTCTCAAGGATGAAAGGACTAAATACTCCCTTGATCTGAACGTTGTGTTTCCTTAATCTGAACACTATACTTTGATTCAAAAATTACATCATTTTGTTCTGCAAATGTATCTTATAATTAATTCATATGTATCATATAAACATGAGGCTCAACCTTGCTCAAAAGTGAGACTGATATAAATTAAATTCAGACTGTACCCTCTGTGTGTCTTTAGGCAAATTATATTTAACCTCTTAGAGTCAAATTTTCTTAATTATAAAATTGTACACATAATCTAATTTATTTCTCACTTGTTGTAATAATCAAGATTATTCATAAAAGGTAGACTTCTAGAAAGCATTTAGTGATGTTATGTCTTTTTTACTTACACCATTATCCATTCTGCAGGGTAAACTTTCCTGTCAGTTAGTGTATGAAAAGAAGGAAGCTAAAAGTCATCCCACCCTGTCAGGTTATGAATGTATTGCCCTGTGACCCCTGGAGAAGACTGACCTGGCACATAATAGGACCTCAATAAATACATATTTGTTGAATGGCTTTATAAAGTCTTATTTCAGGTAGAAAGGGTAAATTGCTTGTGGATTGGCTGCTGATAAATGGGCGTGGTCTCCTAGTTTGCCTATTGTAGAGCTAGCTTTGTCTGCTTATGTTTGTCACAATTATAAAGAGTTGGCAAGATGATATAATGAATGCCATTAGTAAATTATATAGAAAAGAGTTGCTGTTTGCAGAGCTGTTAATTTAGTCTGACCACTGGAGAGCCATTTAGTGCTTTGGAATAGATAATTTGTTAAATGACACATAAGGAAGTTGAAAAAAATTAATGCTCGTCTCCAAAGAGCAATTTACTCCTTTTTTTCGATTCAAGCTAAATATTTGTTCAGAGCTTTGACTTCCTTATAAGAGAGAAACTATAAAATGACAATACAATAATCTTTTTATTTTCTTATTTAGAACAATGAAACCTGAGGAAGAAACTTAATATTGAGAATGAATACTGGCACACCTAGAGGAATTTCTACAAAGAATATAAGATTACCAAACTGAACATAAGAAACCATAAATGACATGTACACTGTTGGAAATATATCTAAATTTGCATAGAACTTTGTCAGATAAATCACAGCTAAACCTGTTGAATTTTTTATAATCAAGAGTAATAAGTGTGGCTATCAATGTGCATTTTAATCCAAGTTTCTTAGAAGTCTGTAATTGTTCCAGGTTGGTGAGATACAGTTTCTAACACAAAGTACAGAATTTCTCTCATCAGAGTAAGAGATTCTTGTGCCTGTGTGTCTGTTCTCTCCTACCTGAGTATATAATGTCTCTGCTGGATTACCCAAGACCGTTCTGTTCACAAAGAGCCTGAAGTGGAAGAATCTGTGGGTATTTACATGTTCTCAAACCTGTCTGGATTGTTGTAACTACAAGGGAAAGTATTAGGCCAATTCAAATGCTAACTTTGCAAAAGCACTCAACCAAAAACAATTCAGCATCACTGTCTTAAAAGAATTTGGGCAAACTAAAGAAGCAAATTTATTTTATTTTATTTTATTTTATTTTATTTTTTGAGACTGAGTCTCACTCTCGCCCAGGCTGGAGTGCAGTGGCACGATCTCAGCTCACTGTAACCTCTGCCTCCCAGTTTCAAGTGATTCTCCTGCCTCAGCCTCCTGAGTAGCTGGGATTACAGGTGCCTGCCACCATGCCCAGCTAATGTTTGTATTTTTGGTAGAGATGGGGTTTCACCATGTTGGTCAGGCTGGTCTCAAACTCCCGACCTCGTGATCCACCCACCTTGGCCTCCCAAAGTGCTGGGATTATAGGCGTGAGCCACTGTGCCCAGTTGTAAACTTTAAATTAATACAATATAAAGCCTACATAACTCCCTGGGAATGTCAAACTTGTGGGACTCACAGTGGATATACATGAAAGGCCATATCCTGAGATCCAAAGGAAAAGCTGATTTAAATGACAAGATATGTTATATTTACCAATGCATATATTTAATGAATCAAGCACACAGTCCTCATCTATTCAGCAATTTCAGCAATTTCAGTGCTTTTCCTGCTTGCCTTGAAAATTTCATCTAGGAGTTCACAAAGGAATACTCTTTGAAGCTTCATCATCAAAAGGATTTTTCCCCAGGGAAGTCGAGTTTTTAGTTGTCTTTTATTGTCATCAATCCTTAGTCTAGGTCTGTCCTCTGGTGATGGGTTGTGTTTACAGCAACAGTGTTCCTGGACCCAGAGATCCTCAGGCAACATTATAGTGACCATTTATTCTGACCCCCTAAATGGAAATGAGGTCTAATGAATGAGGCTTATAATGTTATTTGGTTTTCCTGGAATAAAATAACCTGGAAACAGTGGTTGGAAATCACTGGCTTGGAGAAGCCAAGAGTGCTTGCTGTCTTCAACAGTTCAGTATGTGCTGCTAATTACATCAATATACACCAGTGAGCACCTGACCAATCTCTTTGCACGGAAACCTTTGTCAATCTTGTGCTCCCTTTCTTCTGTAGTTCCTGGTCCAGGCTGCATGGATAATGAGGGAGTAGGAAAGAGCTAACACAGTTCACCTTGGCTTCATCCAAAAGCCAATTCTTGTCTTCCCAGCTACATCCCTCTGACAGTTCCAACTCCTTTATCGTCTGCATTTTAGCATCCCTTTCATGAAGAGCTATTTGAAAATCAACCAAAAATTACATACAAGCCTTAAATTGAAGTTTGCCAATTTAGGTGCAGTAATTGCAGAAGAAAGAAAAACAGTTACTAGAGGAGTTGAGGAGAAAGATCACTACATGGTAGGTAAGAGAAGATTGCCCAAATAGGGAGAGCAAGGATAATTTTTAAGATCATGGCATTGGTGTGCACAAACTTAGCTTCCTTTGGGACAGGCCTCATAGGGTAGTGAGACACCATCTCCTTTAAATGTGATGGCAACACTTGACTCATTCTAAATTACAGGCATCCCTAATTTTTATGCCAAGAAAGATTTTCTCCAATGTAATGTGGGAAGACCAGATGGCCTTGTCATTGCTATCAGTGGATCACGGAGCTCTTGAGAGCATGCCGAGGGCTCTGGCTTTAGCTAATTAACGTGAGCTCCGAGTCAGAGGCAAGAATTAAGCAATCAACTCCTTTCTTGAATTCTTATACATTTTGGAATTGTGCCCATGATTAGCTTGCTCTGAAAAGTCTCAATATAGAAAAAAAAGTATCACTTGGGCTAAGCAAAGAATTATAGGAAAACTCCCATATGTACTTGGAAAGAGAAATTAAATGTCTAATTAGGGCAAGATAAAACCAGATAGAGCCAAATCTATAATACTTTTTTGTAGGAGAAATATTTATTTCTATTAATAGAGGTTGTGTAAAGTTTTGAGAGTTAGGCGGAATCAGGTAGCCTCTGATTAAGTTGCATTTTAATATTTCATACAATTTTTGAGGAAAATAAAGCCCCTATTAGTCAAGTGGATATTGTAAATGACGTCAAGATTATTTTTCTGCGTGAAAGAGTGCATCATAAATCTCTTTTTCCTTCAGTCTTTCTTGTGTTTATTATTTCTACATACACAGCATCCAATAGAGTGACTAACACATAGTGAATATTTAAAAATGTTTGCTGAAAAAAATGACTAGATTTGGAACAAGATTCTGTGTGGTACTGTCGCTGCTATATGGTTATTGCATGGGAAGCTTTGAATCCATTTATTAACTTGTTTGCTAAACAAACAATTGTTGATCTCCTGCTGTGGGCCTAGGTATGGAGTTCTAGGGATAAGAATAAAACAGACAAAAATAAAACAAAAGCTGAACATCTACAACTTTGAGTTAGTATGACCCTTTGAATTTGTGAAGATTATTGATATTGATATGATATTTCTTGTAATATGATACAGTTCTTCCAATATTGCAGCAACATGATGATTAAATACAAAAAACCCCAACCCCAAACAATAGCTTTTTGGACTCACAACCCAAGTATGTGCATTTCTTTCATTTCCTTGTCTCCTTGCTTGACTCCCATTACCCTATTTTTTTTTTAAGATGGAGTCTCACTCTGTCACCCAGAGTGGAGGGCAGTGGTGCAATCTTGGCTCACTACAATCTCCGCCTTCCAGCTTCAAGCTATTCTCCTGCCTCAGGCTCCTGAGTTGCTAGGACTACAGGCATGCACTATCACAGCCAGCTAATTTTCATAGTTTTAGTAGAGATGGGGTTTCACTATGTTGGCCAGGCTGGTCTCGAGCTCCTGACCTCAGGTGATCCACCCGAGGTCTCCCAAAGTGTTGGGATTACAGATGTGAGCCACTGTGCCTGGCCCCATTACCTTACTTTACAGATTGCTTCCATTGTCCAGCAATTTACAAGAAGAGAGCTGCTTCTATATCCCAGGTCAATGTTGCTTTCAGGCAGTGGAGCCAAAGGGTAGAGAAGAATGAGATAATGTGGATCTATAGCCATGTGCTTTTTCCCCTGTGCTGGCCTGGAAAGAATGTCCAAAGCTCTCACAGATGTGCACACTCAAACTAACATTTATTTTATGAAAGCTCTTTCCTTTGGCATGCAGCCTTTGTCTACAACACAGCTTTCTGACAAAATTCTCCCAAGGCTTTTTCTTAAGGTGGTGCAAGCTCTAGGCTTGGGGTGTCCAATATGGTAGCCACTAACTGCATGTATCAGGCCCTTGAAATGTGTCTGGTGTGACTGAGGAACTAAACTTCTAATTTCATTTAATTTTAATTAATTTAAAGCTAACTTTAAAACTGGTAATTCAGTTTTGGAAATGTTTCAAGAATGTTTGGAACAACTTGGTGCCTCTGCAAATCTGTTTTTTTCAACTGTTAATTTCATGAAATCTAAATACAGATCAAGTATTTCCGATGAAAATTTAGTGTCCAAATTGAGATGTAAAGTGCAAAATATGTACCAGATTTCAAAACAGTACAAAATGTAAACTATCTCAAATAATTTTTAAAATATTGATTACATGTTGAAATGAGAATATTTTAGATATATTGGATAAAATAAAATAAATTATTAAATAGATTTTTCCTTTTTGTTACTCTAAATGTCTTCTGCAAAATTTAAAACTATATGTGTGTCTTGCATTATATTTCTATTAGGTAGTGTTGCTTTAGACAAAGTGTAATTATTGGAGGAACCCACCCCCAATATTTCAACATAGGTTCTTTCTATTTTCCATAAGTGTCGGCTGGCTGAGAAATAAAGAGAGACAGTATAAAGAGAGGAATTTTATAGCTGGGCCACCAGGGGTGACTGTGATGCCTGCCTGAGTCTCAGACCGGCAAGTTTTTATTAAGGGTTTCAATAGGGGAGGGGGTGTAAGAACAGGGAGTAGGTACAAAGATCACATGCTTCAAAAGGCAAAAAGCAGAACCACTGATAAGGGTCCAACAAAGATCACAGGGCAAAGGGCAAAAGCAGAACCACTGTTAAGGGTCTGTGTTCAGTGGTGCACGTATTGTCTTGATAAACATCTTAACAGAAAACAGAGTTTGAGAGCAGAGAACTGGCCTGACCACAGATTTACCAGGGCAAAGTTTTCCCAACCCTAGTAAGCCTCAGGGTTCTGCAGGAGACCAGGGTTTATCTCAGTCCTTATCTCAACTGCACGAGACAGACATTCCCAGAGCGGCCATTTATAGACCTCCCCCCAAGAATGCATTCCTTTCCCAGGGTATTAATATTAATATTCCTTGCTAGGAAAAGAATTTAGCGATCTCTCTCCTACTTGCACGTCTGTTTATAGGCTCTCTGGAAGAAGAAAAATATGGCTCTTTTTGCCTGACCCCGCAGGCAGTCAGACCTTATGGTTGTCTTCCCTTGTTCCCTAAAAATTGCTGTTATTCTGTTCTTTTTCAAGGTGCACTGATTTCATATTGTTCAAACACACATGTTTTACAATCAATTTGTATAGTTAACACAATTATCACAGTGGTCCTGAGGTGACGTACATCCTCAGCTTACGAAGATAACAAGATTAAGAGATTAAAGACAGGCCTAAGAAGTTATAGAAGTATTATTTGTGAACTGATAAATGTCCATATTAAGATGAAATCTTCACAAGTTATGTTCCTCTGCCATGGCTCCAGCTGGTCCCTCCGTTTGGGGGTCCCTGACTTCCCACAACATGTAATAACTTCCTCTAATTACTATTAGCTACTTTTTCCTCATTGTGAAGTAGTTACCATAAGATGCAAGTGCCTACCCCAGAGTAGCCAGGAGTGGCCTGCAGTTTCGGTCTTCATTGAGCCCTTAACTCTACTTCCTCATCTTACCAGTCAAAAGAATTCTATCTACTTTTTGCCCTTCTTATCCTTCCTGTCCTTCTCCTCATTCTTCTCCCTCTACTCCTCCTACATCTATAGACCTGCACAGTTTCTCCTGAGTTAAATAATTTCATTCATGTTATTTCTACTGCCTAACTTTGACAACTTTCCCTCTTCTATATGTTATAGATTTCTCCTTTGAAATTCCCCCTCTGACCAATACAGACTTTGTAATTCACCTTATATTGATTGCAATATTGAATATGGGCTAACGTTTCCAGGAGGAAATAAAATAATTGAAATGCCAAGTAAAAAACACGTTAGGCTAGGTGCAGTGGCTGAGGCCTGTGATCCCAGCACTTTGGGAGGCTTAGGCGGGAGGATCATGAGGTCAAGAGATTGACACCATCTTGGCCAACATGGTGAAACCCTGTCTCTGCTAAAAATACAAAAATTAGCTGGGCATGGTGGCATGTGGCTGTAATTCCAGCTACTCAGGAGGCTGAGGCATGAGAATCACTTGAACCCAGGAGGTTGAGGTTGCAGTGAGCCAAGATCGCGCCACTGCACTCCAGCCTGATGACAGAGTGAGACTCGGTCTCAAGAAACAAGCAAAAATACAGATTAGTTTGTTGCTGTATGCAATTGTTCTAAATTATTTTCTAAATCATTTTCTTAAATGACTTTTTCTTTGTTGATCAGAGGTGTGACTGTGTAGTGAGCAAACTGAATGTGGGAAAATAGTGGGTGTCAAAAATAACTTTAGCTTCAGTAGTCTGAATGCATAAATGCATAGTGGTATAGTTAGTAGGAATAAGCAAACGAAGGAGAGGAGTTTTTTGGGCAGACATAGGACATCTTAAATTGGGCATATTAGTTGTGGAGTGCTGGCAGGCATGCAATGAGCTCAAAGTATCTCAGCAGGTAGCAACAAATGAAAGCCTAGAGCTGTGTACTATCCAATATGGTAGCCACTAGCCATCACATTTAAACTAAAATGAATTATGTGCATAATGGTCACATGTGACTAGTGGTTGCTGTATTGACCAGCACAGATGAGAACCTTTTTTTTTTTTATTATACTAAGTTTTAGGGTACATGTGCACATTGTGCAGGTTAGTTACATATGTATACATGTGCCAGGCTGGTGCGCTGCACCCACTAACTCGTCATCTAGCATTAGGTATATCTCCTGATGCTATCTCTCCCCCCTCCCCCAACCCCACAACAGTCCCCAGAGTGTGATATTCCCCTTCCTGTGTCCATGTGATCTCATTGTTCAGTTCCCACCTATGAGTGAGAATATGCGGTGTTTGGTTTTTTGTTCTTGTGATAGTTTACTGAGAATGATGATTTCCAATTTCATCCATGTCCCTACAAAGGACATGAACTCATCATTTTTTATGGCTGCATAGTATTCCATGTTGTATATGTGCCACATTTTCTTAATCCAGTCTATCATTGTTGGACATTTGGGTTGGTTCCAAGTCTTTGCTATTGTGAATAATGCCGCAATAAACATACGTGTGCATGTGTCTTTATAGCAGCATGATTTATAGTCCTTTGGGTATATACCCAGTAATGGGATGGCTGGGTCAAATGGTATTTCCAGTTCTAGATCCCTGAGGAATTGCCACACTGACTTCCACCATGGTTGAACTAGTTTACAGTCCCACCAACAATGTAAAAGTGTTCCTATTTCTCCACATCCTCTCCAGCACCTGTTGTTTCCTGACTTTTTAATGATTGCCATTCTAACTGGTGTGAGATGGTATCTCATTGTGGTTTTGATTTGCATTTCTCTGATGGCCAGTGATGGTGAGCATTTTTTCATGTGTTTTTTGGCTGCATAAATGTCTTCTTTTGAGAAGTGTCTGTTCATGTCCTTCGCCCACTTTTTGATGGGGTTGTTTGTTTTTTTCTTGTAAATTTTTTTGAGTTCATTGTAGATTCTCGATATTAGCCCTTTGTCAGATGAGTAGGTTGCAAAAATTTTCTCCCATTTTGTAGGTTGCCTGTTCACTCTGATGGTAGTTTCTTTTGCTGTGCAGAAGCTCTTGAGTTTAATTAGATCCCATTTGTCAATTTTGTCTTTTGTTGCCATTGCTTTTGGTGTTTTAGACATGAAGTCCTTGCCCATGCCTATGTCCTGAATGGTAATGCCTAGGTTTTCTTCTAGGGTTTTTATGGTTTTAGGTCTAATGTTTAAGTCTTTAATCCATCTTGAATGAATTTTTGTATAAGGTGTAAGGAAGGGATCCAGTTTCAGCTTTCTACATATGGCTAGCCAGTTTTCCCAGCACCATTTATTAAATAGGGAATCCTTTCCCCATTGCTTGTTTTTGTCAGGTTTGTCAAAGATCAGATAGTTGTAGATATGCGGCATTATTTCTGAGGGCTCTGTTCTGTTCCATTGATCTATATCTCTCTTTTGGTACCAGTACCATGCTGTTTTGGTTACTGTAGCCTTGTAGTATAGTTTGAAGTCAGGTAGCGTGATGCCTCCAGCTTTGTTCTTTTGGCTTAGGATTGACTTGGCGATGCGGGCTCTTTTTTGGTTCCATATGAACTTTAAAGTAGTTTTTTCCAATTCTGTGAAGAAAGTCATTGGTAGCTTGATGGGGATGGCATGGAATCTGTAAATTACCTTGGGCAGTATGGCCATTTTCACGATATTGATTCTTCCTACCCATGAGCATGGAATGTTCTTCCATTTGTTTGTATCCTCTTTTATTTCCTGGAGCAGTGGTTTGTAGTTCTCCTTGAAGAGGTCCTTCACATCCCTTGTAAGTTGGATTCCTAGGTATTTTATTCTCTTTGAAGCAATTGTGAATGGGAGTTCATTCATGATTTGGCTCTCTGTTTGTCTGTTTTTGGTGTATAAGAATGCTTGTGATTTTTGTACATTGATTTTGTATCCTGAGACTTTGCTGAAGTTGCTTATCAGCTTAAGGAGATTTTGGGCTGAGACAATGGGGTTTTCTAGATATACAATCATGTCGTCTGCAAACAGGGACAATTTGACTTCCTCTTTTCCTAATTGAATACCCTTTATTTCCTTCTCCTGCCTAATTGCCCTGGCCAGAACTTCCAACACTATGTTGAATAGGAGTGGTGAGAGAGGGCATCCCTGTCTTGTGGCAGTTTTCAAAGGGAATACTTCCAGTTTTTGCCCATTCAGTATGATATTGGCTGTGGGTTTGTCATAGATAGCTCTTATTATTTTGAGATACGTCCCATCAATACATAATTTATTGAGTTTTTAGCATGAATGGCTGTTGAATTTTGTCAAAGGCTTTTTCTGCATCTATTGAGATAATCATGTGGTTTTTGTCTTTGGCTCTGTTTATATGCTGGATTACATTTATTGATTTGCGTATATTGAACCAGCCTTGCATCCCAGGGATGAAGCCCACTTGATCATGGTGGATAAGCTTTTTGATGTGCTGCTGGATTCATTTTGCCAGTATTTTATTGAGGATTTTTGCATCAATGTTCATCAAAGATATTGGTCTAAAATTCTCTTTTTTTGTTGTGTCTCTGCCTGGCTTTGGTATCAGAATGATGCTGGCCTCATAAAATGAGTTAGGGAGGATTCCCTCTTTTTCTATTGATTGGAATAGTTTCAGAAG
Organism: Homo sapiens; assembly: GCF_000001405.40. Taxonomy (NCBI): domain Eukaryota; kingdom Metazoa; phylum Chordata; class Mammalia; order Primates; family Hominidae; genus Homo; species Homo sapiens. The sequence continues at coordinate 62,801,540 of NC_000005.10, forward strand.
GAATGGTACCAGTTCCTCCTTGTACCTCTGGTAGAATTCGGCTGTGAATCCATCTGGTCCTGGACTCTTTTTGGTTGGTAAGCTATTGATTATTGCCACATTTTCAGCTCCTGTTATTGGTCTATTCAGGGATTCAAGTTCTTCCTGGTTTAGTCTTGGGAGAGTGTATGTGTCCAGGAATTTATCCATTTCTTCTAGGTTTTCTAGTTTATTTGTGTAGAGGTGTTTGTAGTATTCCCTGATGGTAGTTTCTATTTCTGTGGGAGCAGTGGTGATATCCCCTTTATCATTTTTTATTGCGTCTATTTGATTCTTCTTTCTTTTTTTCTTTATTAGTCTTGCTAGTGGTCTATCAATTTTGTTGATCATTTCAAAAAACCAGCTCCTGGATTCATTAATTTTTTGAAGGGTTTTTTGTGTCTCTGTTTCCTTCAGTTCTGCTCTGATTTTAGTTATTTCTTGCCTTCTGCTAGCTTTTGAATGTGTTTGGTCTTGCTTTTCTAGTTCTTTTAATTGTGATGTTAGGGTGTCAATTTTGAATCTTTCCTGCTTTCTCTTGTGGGCATTTAGTGCTATAAATTTCCCTCTACACACTGCTTTGAATGCGTCCCAGAGATTCTGGTATGTTGTGTCTTTGTTCTCATTGGTTTCAAAGAACATCTTTATTTCTGCCTTCATTTCGTTATGTACCCAGTAGTCATTCAGGAGCAGGTTATTCAGTTTCCATGTAGTTGAGCAGTTTTGAGTGAGATTCTTAATCCAGACTTCTAGTTTGATTGCACTGTGGTCTGAGAGATAGTTTGTTATAATTTCTGTTCTTTTACATTTGCTGAGGAGAGCTTTACTTCCAAGTTTGTGGTCAATTTTGGAATAGGTGTGGTGTGTTGCTGAAAAAAATGTATATTCTGTTGATTTGGGGTGGAGAGTTCTGTAGATGTCTATCAGGTCCGCTTGGTGCAGAGCTGAGTTCAATTCCTGGGTATCCTTGTTGACTTTCTGTCTTGTTGATCTGTCTAATGTTGACAGTGGGGTGTTAAAGTCTCCCATTGTTAATGTGTGGGAGTCTAAGTCTCTTTGTAGGTCACTCAGGACTTGCTTTATGAATCTTGGTGCTCCTGTATTGGGTGCATATATATTTAGGATAGTTAGCTCTTCTTGTTGAATTGATCCCTTTACCATTATGTAATGGCCTTCTTTGTCTCTTTTGATCTTTGTTGGTTTAAAGTCTGTTTTATCAGAGACTAGGATTGCAACCCCTTCCTTTTTTTGTTTTCCATTGGCTTGGTAGATCTTCCTCCATCCTTTTATTTTGAGCCTATGTATGTCTCTGCACATGAGATGGGTTTCCTGAATACAGCACACTGATGGGTCTTGACTTTTTATCCAATTTGCCAGTCTGTGTCTTTTAATTGGAGCATTTAGTCCATTGACATTTAAAGTTAATATTGTTATGTGTGAATTTGATCCTGTCATTATGATGTTAGCTGGTTATTTTGCTCGTTAGTTGATGCAGTTTCTTCCTAGTCTCGATGGTCTTTACATTTTGCCATGATTTTGCAGCGGCTGGTACCAGTTGTTCCTTTCCATGTTTAGTGCTTCCTTCAGGAGCTCTTGTAAGGCAGGCCTGGTGGTGACAAAATCTCTCAGCATTTGCTTGTCTGTAAAGGATTTTATTTCTCCTTCACTTATGAAGCTTAGTTTGGCTGGATATGAAATTCTGGGTTGAAAATTCTTTTCTTTAAGAATGTTGAATATTGGCCCCCACTCTCTTCTGGCTTGTAGGGTTTCTGCCGAGAGATCCTCTGTTAGTCTGATGGGCTTCCCTTTGAGGGTAACCCGACCTTTCTCTCTGGCTGCCCTTAACATTTTTTCCTTCATTTCAACTTTGGTGAATCTGACAATTATGTGTCTTGGAGTTGCTCTTCTCGAGGAGTATCTCTGTGGCATTCTCTGTATTTCCTGAATCTGAATGTTGGTCTGCCTTGCTAGATTGGGGAAGTTCTCCTGGATAATATCCTGCAGAGTGTTTTCCAACTTGGTTCCATTCTCCGCATCACTTTCAGGTACACCAATCAGACATAGATTTGGTCTTTTCACATAGTCCCATATTTCTTGGAGGCTTTGCTCATTTCTTTTTATTCTTTTTTCTCTAGACTTCACTTCTCGCTTCATTTCATTCATTTCATCTTCCATCGCTGATACCCTTTCTTCCAGTTGATCGCGTCAGCTCCTGAGGCTTCTGCATTCTTCATGTAGTTCTCGAGCCTTGGTTTTCAGCTCCATCATCTCCTTTAAGCACTTCTCTGTATTGGTTATTCTAGTTATACATTCTTCTAAATTTTTTTCAAAGTTTTCAGCTTCTTTGCCTTTGGTTTGAATGTCCTCCCGTAGCTCAGAGTAATTTGATCGTCTGAAGCCTTCTTCTCTCAGCTCATCAAAGTCATTCTCCATCCAGCTTTGTTCCGTTGCTGGTGAGGAACTGCGTTCCTTTGGAGGAGGAGAGGCGCTCTGCGTTTTAGAGTTTCCAGTTTTTCTGTTCTGTTTTTTCCCCATCTTTGTGGTTTTATCTACTTTTGGTCTTTGATGATGGTGATGTACAGATGGGTTTTTGGTGTGGATGTCCTTTCTGTTTGTTAGTTTTCCTTCTAACAGAGAGGACCCTCAGCTGCAGGTCTGTTGGAGTACCCTGCCATGTGAGATGTCAGTGTGCCCCTGCTGGGGGGTGCCTCCCAGTTAGGCTGCTTGGGGGTCAGGGGTCAGGGACCCACTTGAGGAGGCAGTTTGCCTGTTCTCAGATCTCCAGCTGCGTGCTGGCAGAACCACTGCTCTCTTCAAAGCTGTCAGAAAGGGACATTTAAGTCTGCAGAGGTTACTGCTGTCTTTTTGTTTGTCTGTGCCCTGCCCCCAGAGGTGGAGCCTACAGAGGCAGGCAGGCCTCCTTGAGCTGTGGTGGGCTCCACCCAGTTCGAGCTTCCCGGCTGCTTTGTTTACCTAATCAAGCCTGGGCAATGGCGGGCGCCCCTCCCGCAGCCTCGCTGCCGCCTTGCAGTTTGATCTCAGACTGCTGTGCTAGCAATCAGTGAGACTCCGTGGGCGCAGGACCCTCTGAGCCAGGTGCAGGATACAATCTCGTGGTGCGCCGTTTTGTAAGCCCGTCGGAAAAGCGCAGTATTCGGGTGGGAGTGTCCCGACTTTCAGGTGCCGTCCGTCACCCCTTTCTTTGACTCAGAAAGGGAACTCCCTGACCCCTTGCGCTTCCCAAGTGAGGCAATGCCTCGCCCTGCCTCGGCTCGTGCACGGTGCGCGCACCCACTGACCTGCGCCCACTGTCTGGCACTCCCTAGTGAGATGAACCCGGTACCTCACATGGAAATGCAGAAATCACCCGTCTTCTGTGTCGCTCACGCTGAGAGCTGTAGACCGGAGCTGTTCCTATTTGGCCATTTGGCTCCTCCCCCGAGAACCTTTTTTTATCATGACAGAAAGCTCTATTAGACAGCGTTACTCTTAGAGTTGGGGCTGGTTGTGGTTGGAAGATTTGGGGGGTAACTGATATAGAGATATGCTATGGTTTGGATATGGGTTGTTTGCACCCCCCCATACCCCACTAAGTCTCATGTTGAAATTTGATCCCCAATGTTGGTGGTAGGGCCTGGTGGGAGATGTTTGGGCTAAGGGGGTGGCTGTCTTATGAATGACTTGGTGCAGTCCTTGTGGTAATGAGTTCTTGATCTGTTAGTTCTTGTGAGAGTTCCCATGAGACCTGATTGTTAGAAAGAGCCTATCACCTTCCCCTTCTCTCTTGCTTCCTCTCTCGTCATGTGATCTGCACACACTGGCTCCTGTTCACCTTCCACCATGAGTGGAAGCTTCATGAGACCCTCCTCAGATGCAGATATTGATGCTATGCTTTTTGTACAATCTGCAGAATTGTGAGCCAAATAAACCACTTTTCTTTGTAAATTAACCAGCCTCAGGTATTCCTTTATAGGAACACAAATGGACTAAGACAAGATGATAGCTGAAACTGGGAACTAGATGAAATCACTGAGGTTGAGAGAGAGTGTTATGAGAGAAGACACAGAGGACCTAATCTAGGAAGACTCCAGTTTTAACAGAATAAGTAGAAGAGGGCCAATAAAAAAAAAAGACATTCTACTTTTCTGGTTCTATTGTTTTGCATAAAATGAAAAGGATAACATTGTATAAGCTTCGAAGCTCCTTATATAATGGCTATTGAGTACCACAAGGAACAATATATTCAAACTATAGTTTTGTGAAAGAAACACGTTTTTGTGAAAGAAACACATTTTTTTGCACCAAAGCGAAATATTAAACTGTGGCATTGGATCACTTCTGCAAGGGAATGAGTGAGATAATTGGGGGATTTTTTTTTCTAATAACTTTAAATGACTTCAGGTTTAGAGCTTAGATAATTAACAGTACAATAGAATTTCTTTCAAATGCAATTTTCCTTAAGCTTTTGGCAAGTGCAGGGTGACATTCAATCTATGACTGAATTCTGAGACAAGTAAGTGCCTGTGTTACAGGTGTTCTGTTCTTTTGGTTACAGCAAGTACTGTATTCTTTAGGGCCAGATGTGGGGGAAGCAGAATCATGGACTTCTGTAGGAGTTTCAGAGCCTGACTTGAATTCCTGTACAGACAGGGCTACTCAACTTCTCTATAGATGGGGTCTTTGGGAGACTTGAGGATGGCTGAAAATAGTACTGATGCTTTCCTTGGATGTAGTCACATCCTTGAATTCATAAATTGGCTCATGGGGTTGGATAAATATTTAATTGAAAATGTAATTATGCTTCACATAACATGAAACACATACTTTGAGAGTAAAATGATAAAAGTACAACTATTATAAAATGACTAATTTGACCACTAAGCAAGGTCTCTTGGAAGTTTTTTGATTTCATGGCCCTGAAAAATATCTAGTTTAAGAGAGGATTACATCATGAAGCGTGAATAAGATAAATGAGATATGAAAGGAATCCTAAATGGGACTACTCAGTGTGGATATTTATTATTTTCAACGTAACTGTTAGCAAATGTCTATCATGTTTTCATTTAGTTTAGCCGATGTAGAGCTCCACTTCCTGAGAAGTATATTGGGTTGTTTCCTCTATGTCCCTATGAAAAAAATAAAAGAAAAGAAAAAGGAAGTAAATTGGGCTTTTATCTGCTATTTTGAACTACTCTTACGTGGAAATTATTAAAATGTATTATAAGTGAAAAGCTTTTTTCATTTTTTTCTTTCTTTTTAAAATTATTATACTTTAAGTTCTGGGGTACATGTGCAGACTGTGCAGATTTGTTACATAGGTATACGTGTGCCATGGTGGTTTGCTGCACCCATCAACCCATCATCTACATTAGGTATTTCTCCTAATGCTATCCTTCCCCCAGCCCCCCACCCCCCGAGAGGCCCCTGTGTGTGATGTTCCCCTCTCTGTGTCCATGTGTTCTCATTGCTCAACTCCTACTTATGAGTGAGAACATGTGGTATTTGGTTTTCTGTTCTTGTGTTAGTTTGCTGAGAATGATGGGTTCCAGCTTCATCCATGACCCTGCAAAGGACATGAACTCATCCTTTTTTATGGCTGCATAGTATTGCACAGTGTATATATGCCACATTTTCTTTATCCAGTCTATCACTGATGGGCATTTGGGTTGGTTCCAAGTCTTTGCTATTGTGAACAGTGCCGCAGTAAACATATGTGTGCATGTGTCTTTATAGTAGAATGATTTATAATCCTTTGGGTATACACCTAGTAATGGGATTGCTGGATCAAATGGTATTTCTAGTTCTAGATCCTTGAGGAATTGCAACACTGTCTTCCACAATGGCTGCACTAATTTACCCTCCCACCAACAGTGTAAAAGCATTCCTATTTCTCCACATCCTCTCCAACATCTGTTGTTTCCTGACTTTTTACTGATTGCCATTCTAACTGGCATGAGATGGTGTCTCATTGTGGTTTTAATTTGCATTTCTCTAATGACCAGTGATGATGAGCTTTTTTTCATATGTTTGCTGGCCCCATAAAGGTCTTCTTTTGAGAAGTGTCTGTTTATATCCTCTGCCCACTTTTTGATGTGGTTGTTTTTTTCTTGTAAATTTATGTTCTTTATAGACTCTGGATATTAGCCCTTTGTCAAATGGATAGATTGCAAAAATTTTCTCCAATTTTGTAGGTTGCCTGTTTACTTTGATGATAGTTTCTTTTGCTGTGCAGAAGCTCTTTAGTTTAATTAGATGCCATTTGTCAGTTTTGGCTTTTGTTGCCATTGCTTTTGGTGTTTTAGTCATGAAGTCTTTGCCCATGTCTATGTCCTGAATGGTATTGCCTAGGGTTTCTTCTAGGGTTTTTATGGTTTTAGGTCTTACATTTAATTCTCTAATCCATATTGAGTTAATTTTTGTATAAGGTGTAAGGAAGGGGTCCAGTTTTAGTTTTCTGCGTATGGCTAGCCAATTTTCCCAACACCATTTATTAAATAGGGAATCCTTTCCCCATGGCATGTTTTTGTCAGGTTTGTCAAAGATCAGATGGTTGTAGATGTGTGGTGTTATTTCTGAGGCCTCTGTTCTGTTCAATTGGTCTATATCTCTGTTTTTATATGAGTACCACGCTGTTTTGGTTACTGTAGCCTTGTAGTATAGTTTGAAGTCAGGTAACATGACGCCTGCCGCTTTGTTCTTTTGCCTTTGGATTGCCTTGGCTATGCGAGCTCTTTTTTGGTTCCATATGAAATTTGAAGTAGTTTTTTCCAATTCTTTGAAGAAAGTCAATGGTAGCTTGATGGGGATAGCATTCAATCTATAAATTACTTTGAACTGTATGGCCATTTTCATGATATTGATTCTTCCTATCCATGAGCATGGAATGTTTTTCCATTTGTTTGTGTCTTCTCTTATTTCCTTGAGCAGTGGTTTGTAGTTCTCCTTGAAGAGGTCCTTCACATCCCTTGTAAGTTGGATTCCTAGGTGTTTTACTCTCTTTGAAGCAATTGTGAATGGGAGTTCACTCATGATTTGGCTCTCTGTTTGTCTGTTATTGGTGTATAGGAATGCTTGTGATTTTTGCACATTGATTTTGTATCCTGAGACTTTGCTGAATTTGCTTATCAGCTTAAGGAGATTTTGGGCTGAGATGATGGGGTTTTCTAAATATACAATCATGTCGTCTGCACACAGGGACAATTTGACTTCCTCTTTTCCTAACTGAATACCCTTTATTTCTTTCTCTTGTCTGATTGCCTTGGCCAGAACTTCCAACACTATGTTGAATAGGAGTGGTGAGAGAGGGCATCCTTGTCTTATGCCAGTTTTCAAAGGGAATGCTTCCAGTTTTTGCCCATTCAGTATGATATTGGGTGTGGGTTTGCCATAAATGGCTCTTATTATTTTGAGATACATTCCATCAATACCTAGTTTGAGAGTTTTTAGCATGAAATGCTGTTGAATTTTGTTGAAGGCCTTTTCTGCATCTATTGAGATATCATGTGGTTTTTGTCATTGGTTCTGTTTATGTCATAGATTACGTTTGTTGATTTGCGTATGTTGAACCAGCCTTGCATCCTGGGGATGAAGCCAACTTGATCATGGTGGATAAGCTTTTAGATGTGCTGCAGGATTAGGTTTGCCTGTATTTTATTGAGGATTTTCACACCGATGTTCATCAGGGATATTAGCCTGAAATTTTCCTTTTTTTGTTGTGTCTCTGCCAGGTTTTGGTATCAGGATGATGCTGGCCTCGTAAAATGAGTTAGGGAGGATTCCCTCTTTTTCACTTACTTTTGTATGATGGGCATTTGTGGGTAACTGAAACTGCAGAAAGTAAAACTGGATGAAGGAGGACAGCTGTACATGAAAACATTTATTAAAATTGGCTGCTTCTTGTGAAATAAAAAGTTTGTGTGATTCAAGGAATACTTCAATTACTCAAACAATTTATTTTGAGAATAAAAATGTAAACAACAAAGGAATTTACTTGGTAATATTTCTTCCCTGATTTGGCTATTAGGCAGTGTTATTCATACATTTCAGTATTTGCATGTGTGTTTGTGTGTATAGATGTTTGTTGCCTTACATGTATTCAAAGTGACAGTCTAAACAGGGTTGCTAGTTGTATGTTTATACAAGGAAAATATTCATATTTATTTCTTTGAAAAATGTACCAGTTTCAGCTGGGTACGGTGGCACATGCCTGTAATCCCAGCACTTTGGGAGGCCAAGGTGGGGTAGATCACCTGAAGTCAGGAGTTCAAGGTCAGCCTGTCCAACATGGCGAAACCCTGTCTCTACTAAAAATAGAAAAATTAGCTGGTCGTGGTGGCAGGTGCCTGTAATCCCAGCTACTCTGAGGCTGAGGCAAGAGAATTGCTTGAACCTGGCAGGCGGAGGTTGCAGTGAGCCGAGTTCATACCTGGGTGACAGAGCAAGGCTCCACCTCAAAAAAAAAAAAAAAAAAAAAGGTACCAATTTCAATTAAAGCTCTTCAACTCTGAATTGTATATGTGGTTCATTTTGCTAACTTGGACCTGAATCATTTTCTTTGCCAGGAGTTGGTACCAGAGAGGCCAGTCATTTTTTCCACCAACCATTTCAGCTTTGTTTCTACATATTCTTCATAGAAGACAGCCTGCTTCCTCACACACCGATGAACGGTCTTTAAATAGATCACATGGTTGTTCTCCCTCTTCTCCCCTTGGAGTGCTTTGGGCCAGGGATGGACAAAATGGCAGCAGATTATTTTCTTTTGAAAATTCAGAATTGGACTCAGAGATTTTAGTATTGAATACCCAAATGAGAAAATTTACAAAGCATAGTAGGGGGAGGAAGAGGTAAAGAGAGAAGAAAGAGGCAGCAGTGGAAAACCTGAGAAATAGAGGAGGAAACTCAATTTCTGGCTTCCTAGTTTTTAATACCAGTTTACTTGAAGCTTGATTTTACTTTCTATTTTTGAGATTTATTCAGTATTTCTTCAGCTCTCCAATAATGTCTCTTGTTTGGTTAAGGTCACTTGCACTTTTTAATAGATTTCATGAAGGTGATAGTATAGCTATAAGTGATTATGTGCATGAATGTGTAATTTGCACAGGTAATTTCTGGTTATTATTGAGTTCAGATGATTGATTTTTCACTTAGTGTTTCTTTTCAGGATGTTGGAGTAATGAGTAGAATCATTAACAGCAATGAAGAATAAACAAATACATGGTTAGCTATGATGTACTGTCCACTATGTGCTGGGTGCTATGATCATATTTCGTACGCATTATGTCCCTCAGTCTTAAGAAAATCTTATGAGGCAGGTACTGGGATTGTCTCCATTGTGCAGATGAGTAAATGGAGACTTAGAAGTGCAAGGAAAGCCTCTTTTCTAATTGTCCCCTTTGTTTAGCATAATGATGTAAGGATTGATATCCAGAGCTGTAGCAGCTATTACTTTTTTTTTTTACCATGAGTCAACAAACATGAGAACAAGATACTAACACACTGAGGATGGTGGAGCAGAAGAATGGCAAGATTCTGGTACATTTATATGATTAAATTGCTAAAGAAATCTTGGAACCACTTACCCATAAATGTCTTGTTAAAAAACACAACTCTTTTTTCCGAGTTTATGCTGGTCATAGGTTTTCTGTTTCCTGAATTTAATGTATTTTTATGAATGGTATGTCCAGAGAAGAGTGGCTGGTCCAGTTCTGTTAAAGTGTGGAGTATTGAAAGGTCAGCTGAAAATATTAAGTGATGAAAGATTATAGAAGCTCTACTTGGCAGATTTTAGACTCTTGACTGTTTGGTTGACAATAAGGAGCCAATGAATATTACTAACCAGGAAAGTGACAGGCTTAGATTTGTGTGTTATAAGGTTCTGGCCTAGAGACTTCTAGCTTCAGTGTAAAGGAAACTGGAAGAGATTTGTAGACAAAGTGATAGGAGCCAATAATGACACAGACATTGAAGATGCAGGAGAAAAAGAGGTGCTTCATGGACAGGTTTTATAGTGGTTGGCTGGGAATGGCACCACGAGACCAGTAGACAGACTAGCTGTTGGGAATCGGAGGGATAGTGGTTGACTAAATTAATAATTTTTAGATGAAGATAAATAAATGGAGGGAGCTCATATTTGATGGCATCAGTCTCTAAAGTTTACAAGGAAGAGTTAACTTAGCAGAGTGAGAAAAAAAATGGGCTTGATAAGTTTGAGAGTGAAAACTGTTCTGTTTTAAGAATTATGGCCTGGTTGCAGCGGCTTACACCTGTAATCACAGCACTTTGGGAGATGAGGTGGGAGGATCTCTTGAGACCAGGAGTTGGAGACCACCCTGGGTAATATAGGGAGACTCCATTTCTACACAAAATTTAAAAATTAGCTGGATGTTGTGGCACATGCATGTAGTCCCATCTCCTCGGGAGGCTGAAGCAGGAGAACCCCCTGAGCCCTGGAGGTTGAGGCCACAGTGAACTATGATGGCACCGCTGCACTGCAGGGTGACAGAGAAAGGCCCTGTCTCTAAAAAAATGAAAATCCAAAACCAACCACACAAAAACCCAAATCAACCAAACAAACAGGATGGAAAATTACCTAGGTTTCCATTTTATGCTTATTTTATCCTAATCTGTATTGGTTGTTGTGGTAACCATCCTTCAAGAAGGCTCCCACCGTACCTGACTCATAGGATTTTGTTAAGACTGAGGGACGTAATGCATATGAAATATGATCATAGCATCCAGCAGACAGCAGACAGTACATAATAGCTAGCCATGTATTTGTTTATTCTTCATTGCTATTAGTGGTTCTACTCATTACTCCAATATACTGAAAACAATCACTCAGTGATTTTTGCCTCTTGGTATTCACACCCTTGCATAGTATCCTTTTGCGCAGAAGGCTGATCTGTATGGCCAATATAGTACGGTAGAGGTGACAGTGTGTGATTTCTGAGAGTAGGTCATAAAGTGAATTGCAGTATTTATCTTGTTCTCTTGGATTGCTCATTGTCATAGAAGCCAGCTACCATATTTTGAGGATGCTCAAGCATCCCTGTGCAGAGGCTCATGTGTAGAAAAGCTGAAGCCTCTACCAACAGCCAGCACCAAGTTTTAGCCATGTAAGTCAGGCTCTTTGGAAGCACATCCTCCATTTCCAGAAATGCTTTCAGATGATTAACAGCTCCACCCAGCATCTGCGTGCGATGTTATGAGGGATCCTGAGCCAGAAGTGTGTGGTTAAGCTGATCTTGAATTCTTGATCCATAGAAACTGTGAGGGACAATAAATGTTTATTGTTGCTTTAAGTGACTACATTTGGGGTAATTTGTCATATGGCAATAGATAAATAATACAGTTATTTACATGTTTGTATCTGTAAACTTGACTGAAAACTCTTTGTGGGTAAAAAATAGCTGTCTTTGTGTTTCTATTTTCGTCAAATTTCTGGCTCATTGCCTGGCATATGCTTATTCAAGTGAATTTATAAGTGTAGCTGGCTTTGGAAAATATAGCAGGGAGTCTGGAAGAACTGAATAGGGGAGTGGGGCTAGTTAAGATTAACGACCATTTATATGTTACTGCTGTGTAACTGGTTATGCATGATGTGAAAATAGATAAGGACAAAATGCTGTTCGTTTCTGTGGATGCAAGGAAGGTATTAAATGACAGTAACTTAAAAGACCTGTGAAGGCGATAAAATGGGGGAAGGAATGTCTATAAAATCAGTGGAAAAGATTTGTTAGGTGGAAAAGAACCTAGATTTTGCCTGATTGAGAAAAATAATTCTTCATTTGATTTTGGAAAAGCCCTAGTGCAGTAAACTTGTGATATACGAAAAAAAGGGAAAGGAGAGTTGACTGACATAGAGCTGAAGAGCAACTGATTCAAAGGTAATTCTGATTTTGGTAAAAATGATGAATTCTTCAGAAAAAATGAAGCTGGAGCCTTGCTTCCCATCATGTATTAAAATAAATTCTTCAAATTTATAAAACTCTTAGACAACAATTTAACCTCAGGATAGGTAAGAACTTTCTAAGCCTAACCAAAAGAAGATCACAAAATGAAAAGACTAGCAATTTGTATGATAAAAATAAAAACTGTGTAAATCAAATTCATGGTAAGGCAAATTAAAAGTATGATAAGGCAAATCAAAAGACAAATTGGGGGAAGTATTTGTAGTATATATAATAAAGAGTTAATTTTCTTACATTAAAAAACTTTGCAAATTAGTAAGAGAGATTCCAAAAAACCTTAATGTCATAAAAACAAGAGACAACCAAAAGTGCTTTTAAAAATAAAAAGATTATTTTTGTTCAGTAGTCATAAATTATTTTTAAATAAGTTTAGCAAATTTATGTTGTAGTAGGATACTCAGTAAATTTGATTATGTTATGATGACATATTTGTAATTAATTTTTTTTCTCTCTCCCTTTTTTTTTGAGACAGAGTCCCACCCGTACTCTGTTGCCCAGGCTGGAGTGCAGTGGTGCAATGTCAGCTCACTGCAACCTCCACCTCCCGGGTTCAAGTGATTCTCCAGCCTCAGCCTCCCAAGTAGCTGAGATTACAGACATCCACAACCATGCCTGGCTAATTTTTGTATTTTTAGTAGAGACAGAGTTTCACCATATTGGATAGACTGGTCTCGAACTCCTGACCTCAGGTGGTCCACCTGCCTTGGCCTCCTAAAGTGTTGGGATTACAGGCGTGAGCCACTGGGCCCAGCCTAATTTTCTCTTAAGTTTATTTCTATTCATTTTGTAGACAATTGAATGTTTAACAATAATTTGATTTTTATAAAAAATAGTCATCTCATGCCATTGATTCTAATTTTCTCAGGCAAACCATTTCATTTTTACTATTTTGTGTGCCAACACTCCCTTCTACAGCTTCAAATACTCTAGATACTGTTATCACCTGTTGTCATCATAATGAAATAAAAGTACAAGTGAGGGTTGTGTTGGTATTTCAGACAAGATCTGGTGTGTTGATGGTGGTATGGCCATAAACTGCGTTGGGATTTCAGAGTGGCTATCAGACAAACTTGTTCTGACTTTGTTTAAATCTCTGTGACTCCACCAGTTACCTAGACAAGAAATATGCCTATCTATCATGAACCTCCAGACCTTAAGGGGTGATTATGTGATTGATTGGTGATCAGGGGCTTTCCATGACTCAGTAAAGAGACTGGTGTGCCATTTGGAAGTCTAAAATGATTCCTGGGTGATTAACTGATAAGTTCCTCATGGAGGCTGATTCACCAATAAGCAGTATCACTCAATAACCAAAACATGGGCAAATGTTGCAGTAACCTGCTCTGTTGTGCCTCTCTGGTTCCAATTCCGTGTTTCATACTGATGCACACTATATCAGCATACCACTTAAAAAATATGCTCCCAAGATTTCCAAATGTTCAAAACAGAAACTAATTTTCTTCACTGTAGCAGGTTCCTTATTGTAACAGCAGTTTATTCTTGGAAGGGATCCACACAAAGGTGGAAGTCAGGCAAAGTGACCAGAAAATTGAAGACGTTCAGAAAGAGGAGCCCCAGGAGTCTGGATGAGGCTGGATGATTCTGGATGAGGCTGCTGAGCTTGGACTTCTGCACCTCTGAGGATCTGCTTTGTCAGATTGCCCTCAGGGCTGACATGTGTCATCTGGAGTGTCCTACAGAAACAGCCAGCTAGAAAAGAGTCCCTAGGAAATGCCTGTTTAATAGTTAATGCTAGCAGTCAATCGGAAAAGTGGCTGAGAATGCAGAACAGGGAATGTTAACTCCTGACTCCTTCTGAAGGACTCAGAACAGTGCTGGTGTCTGCTGGGGCCTTGGGTTCTGGTTGGTGGTGCTGATGCAAGACAAGGAAAAGAGAGAGGAAATAGTGATGGGGGGGAGGAATCCATCTAAGGGCTTTGGGCTTAGTAAAGAATTTATTACCATGGTGTGTGAATCTCAAGATGGAGAGATGGATAAATGTTTGGAGACCCTGACCAAATTTGCATGGAATTGCTCAGCACTTCCTCTCCACTATGTGAATCATATTTTGTGGGAAATAAGTGATGGTGGAGGCACAGAAGAAAAAAGTCTCCTTTTCCCCAACATTGGGCTGTGGAAAAGGCAGAGCCAGCTGTGTGATGCTCTCCTGGGGAATTTGAGATTTTAGAAAGTTATTGTCTGTTTGACTTTCTTCATAGCTTCCATCCATCTGTCCCCATCCATTTCCTTCATATTTTCTTCATTCTCTTTAATATAAAATCCTTATTTTCTACCTTATCTATGAAAGCCTTAACAACATTACAACATTTAAGCCTATGAATGGCAACATAGGTCTTCAAAGCTTGAAGGTCAATCACAGCTGAATAATGTGTCTTGTTTGGTTAAGGTTACTTGCACTTTTTAATAGATTTCATGAAGGTGATAGTACAGCTATAAGTGATTATGTGCGTGAATGTGTAATTTGCATAGGTAATTGCTGGTTATTATTGAGTCCAGAGGTGCTTCATAATTTCATCAATCATGGGAGAAATGTTTATTGAAACAGGTGTGCTGAGGCCTGTGAGAATTGCAGAAGTGAAATGAATCCTGTTTTGTGGCCTCAGGTGCTCTCAGGGGGATAGATACACAAAGAGCTCTAGGAAATGGTGAGTGGCAGCAAAAGAGGTAGCAAATGAACTGCTCTGGGAGGATGAGGAAAGGATGTGGCTGTGGACCAGGGTAGGCTTCATGGAAGAATTGGGGAATGACTTGGGCTTGTGGACTGGAAACATGAGGAGTGGCCTCTTGTGATAGATCATCTTTTGTTAGGAAGCACCTTCCCTTTATGGCATGGAGTAGAATCTAGACTCAAAAGCCATAGTAAATGCCCTTTTATCCAGGATTCAGATCAAAAAACAAAAAAGCAAACAAGAACCTCAAATGCTTTCTCCACCTTCCCATCATTTAATCATGCAAGTCATGTTCATAATATGTGACCTTGAGGCCTAACAAGATCCTACAGGGCTTTCAGAATCAAAGGAAGATTAAAACATGTTAAAACAGTTTGCCAGGATAATGTAATCTTCTGATTTATTGGCAATTAGCCATGGTTGAATATGAGGTAAGTGTATGAATGAAAATCTTCCCAAACATTCTTGATAAATGGACTTTATTAAAATAGTGCCAGAATAAATTCTAAATATCAGGAGTTTTCTGCTTCAAACGGTTGTGCCTCTCCAAGTTTGATTCCAGGAAAAACTGAAAGGAAGTTTGTTTTCATCCTCTTTCTCCCTCATTGTCATTCATTTAAGAAACATCTGTCCGGTGCTAAGGGGTAGGTATTACAAAGGCAAATAAGACAAAATCCTTTTTTGAAAGAAGTGTGTTATCTATTGAGAAAAAGTGGATATGAAAGCAAATATCTATCTACAAGCTATATTCAGCCTACAAAATTCAGTGAGAATAAAGGGAAATGAAAAAACTTGAAAAATATTAAAGATTAGGCTAATTTTGTTGTTGTTTTTGCAGCTTTAAACACAAAGGACTTCAGATCATGTTTACAACAGTGGTAGGTAAAATTCTGACACAAATTGAGAGTCCCTAAAGTAGGGATGTGTCCCCAACTCACAGTTAATCCTGTAACTTCCCCTCTCCTATAGTGGAAGGCACCTCAGTAGCCACTTCATACATGACATGATTGGACCAGGAGAGGGCGTCAGACTCAGGCTGAGCCAATCAGTCCTTTCCTTAGAAAGGAGACCTGAGAGAGGGGGGAGCCAAGATGGCCGAATAGGAACAGCTCCGGTCTACAGCTCCCAGCGTGAGTGACGCAGAAGACGGGTGATTTCTGCATTTCCATCTGAGGTACCGGGTTCATCTCACTAGGGAGTGCCAGACAGTGGGCGCAGGCCAGTGTGTGTGCGCACCATGCGCGAGCCGAAGCAGGGCGAGGCATTGCCTCACCTGGGAAGCGCAAGGGGTCAGGGAGTTCCCTTTCCGAGTCAAAGAAAGGGGTGATGGACGCACCTGGAAAATCGGGTCACTCCCACCTGAATATTGCGCTTTTCAGACCGGCTTAAGAAACGGCGCACCACGAGACTATATCCCACACCTGGCTCAGAGGGTCCTACGCCCACGGAATCTCGCTGATTGCTAGCACAGCAGTCTGAGATCAAACTGCAAGGCGGCAACGAGGCTGGGGGAGGGGCGCCCGCCATTGCCCAGGCTTGATTAGGTAAACAAAGCAGCCGGGAAGCTCCAACTGGGTGGAGCCCACCACAGCTCAAGGAGGCCTGCCTCCCTCTGTAGGCTCCACCTCTGGGGGCAGGGCACAGACAAACAAAAAGACAGCAGTAACCTCTGCAGACTTAAGTGTCCCTGTCTGACAGCTTTGAAGAGAGCAGTGGTTCTCCCAGCGCGCAGCTGGAGATCTGAGAATGGGCAGACTGCCTCCTCAAGTGGGTCCCTGGCCCGCGAGTAGCCTAACTGGGAGGCACCCCCCAGCAGGGTCACACTGACACCTCACACGGCAGGGTATTCCAACAGACCTGCAGCTGAGGGTCCTGTCTGTTAGAAGGAAAACTAACAACCAGAAAGGACATCTACACCGAAAACCCATCTGTACATCACCATCATCAAAGACCAAAAGTAGATAAAACCACAAAGATGGGGAAAAAACAGAACAGAAAAACTGGAAACTCTAAAACGCAGAGCGCCTCTCCTCCTCCAAAGGAACGCAGTTCCTCACCAGCAATGGAACAAAGCTGGATGGAGAATGATTTTGACGAGCTGAGAGAAGAAGGCTTCAGACGATCAAATTACTCTGAGCTACGGGAGGACATTCAAACCAAAGGCAAAGAAGTTGAAAACTTTGAAAAAAATTTAGAAGAATGTATAACTAGAATAACCAATACAGAGAAGTGCTTAAAGGAGCTGATGGAGCTGAAAACCAAGGCTCGAGAACTACATGAAGAATGCAGAAGCCTCAGGAGCCAATGAGATCAACTGGAAGAAAGGGTATCAGCAATGGAAGATGAAATGAATGAAATGAAGCGAGAAGGGAAGTTTAGAGAAAAAAGAATAAAAAGAAATGAGCAAAGCCTCCAAGAAATATGGGACTATGTGAAAAGACCAAATCTACGTCTGATTGGTGTACCTGAAAGTGATGTGGAGAATGGAACCAAGTTGGAAAACACTCTGCAGGATATTATCCAGGAGAACTTCCCCAATCTAGCAAGGCAGGCCAACGTTCAGATTCAGGAAATACAGAGAACACCACAAAGATACTCCTCGAGAAGAGCAACTCCAAGACACATAATTGTCAGATTCACCAAAGTTGAAATGAAGGAAAAAATGTTAAGGGCAGCCAGAGAGAAAGGTCGGGTTACCCTCAAAGGAAAGCCCATCAGACTAACAGCGGATCTCTCGGCAGAAACCCTACAAGCCAGAAGAGAGTGGGGGCCAATATTCAACATTCTTAAAGAAAAGAATTTTCAACCCAGAATTTCATATCCAGCCAAACTAAGCTTCATAAGTGAAGGAGAAATAAAATACTTTATAGACAAGCAAATGCTGAGAGATTTTGTCACCACCAGGCCTGCCCTAAAAGAGCTCCTGAAGGAAGCGCTAAACATGGAAAGGAACAACCGGTACCAGCTGCTGCAAAATCATGCCAAAATGTAAAGACCATCGAGACTAGGAAGAAACTGCATCAACTAATGAGCAAAATAACCAGCTAACATCATAATGACAGGATCAAATTCACACATAACAATATTAACTTTAAATATAAATGGAATAAATTCTCCAATTAAAAGACACAGACTGGCAAGTTGGATAAAGAGTCAAGACCCATCAGTGTGCTGTATTCAGGAAACCCATCTCACGTGCAGAGACACACATAGGCTCAAAATAAAGGGGTGGAGGAAGATCTACCAAGCCAATGGAAAACAAAAAAAGGCAGGGGTTGCAATCCTAGTCTCTGATAAAACAGACTTTAAACCAACAAAGATCAAAAGAGACAAAGAAGGCCATTACATAATGGTAAAGGGATCAATTCAACAAGAAGAGCTAACTATCCTAAATATTTATGCACCCAATACAGGAGCACCCAGATTCATAAAGCAAGTCCTGAGTGACCTACAAAGAGACTTAGACTCCCACACATTAATAATGGGAGACTTTAACACCCACTGTCAACATTAGACAGATCAACGAGACAGAAAGTCAACAAGGATACCCAGGAATTGAACTCAGCTCTGCACCAAGCAGACCTAATAGACATCTACAGAACTCTCCACCCCAAATCAACAGAATATACATTTTTTTCAGCAACACACCACACCTATTCCAAAATTGACCACATAGTTGGAAGTAAAGCTCTCCTCAGCAAATGTAAAAGAACAGAAATTATAACAAACTATCTCTCAGACCACAGTGCAATCAAACTAGAACTCAGGATTAAGAATCTCACTCAAAGCCGCTCAACTACATGGAAACTGAACAACCTGCTCCTGAATGACTACTGGGTACATAACGAAATGAAGGCAGAAATAAAGATGTTCTTTGAAACCAACGAGAACAAAGACACCACATACCAGAATCTCTGGGACGCATTCAAAGCAGTGTGTAGAGGGAAATTTATAGCACTAAATGCCTACAAGAGAAAGCAGGAAAGATCCAAAATTGACACCCTAACATCACAATTAAAAGAACTAGAAAAGCAAGAGCAAACACATTCAAAAGCTAGCAGAAGGCAAGAAATAACTAAAATAAGAGCAGAACTGAAGGAAACAGAGACACAGAAAACCCTTCAAAAAATCAATGAATCCAGGAGCTGGTTTTTTGAAAGGATCAACAAAATTGATAGACCACTAGCAAGACTAATAAAGAAAAAAAGAGAGAAGAATCAAATAGACACAATAAAAAATGATAAAGGGGATATCACCACCGATCCCACAGAAATACAAACTACCATCAGAGAATACTACAAACACCTCTACGCAAATAAACTAGAAAATCTAGAAGAAATGGATACATTCCTCGACACATACACTCTCCCAAGACTAAACCAGGAAGAACTTGAATCTCTGAATAGACCAATAACAGGCTCTGAAATTGTGGCAATAATCAATAGTTTACCAACCAAAAAGAGTCCAGGACCAGATGGATTCACAGCCGAATTCTACCAGAGGTACAAGGAGGAACTGGTACCATTCCTTCTGAAACTATTCCAATCAATAGAAAAAGAGGGAATCCTCCCTAACTCATTTTATGAGGCCAGCATCATTCTGATACCAAAGCAGGGCAGAGACACAACCAAAAAAGAGAATTTTAGACCAATATCCTTGATGAACATTGATGCAAAAATCCTCAATAAAATACTGGCAAAACAAATCCAGCAGCACATCAAAAAGCTTATCCACCATGATCAAGTGGGCTTCATCCCTGGGATGCAAGGCTGGTTCAATATACGCAAATCAATAAATGTAATCCAGCATATAAACAGAGCCAATGACAAAAACCACATGATTATCTCAATAGATGCAGAAAAAGCCTTTCACAAAATTCAACAACGCTTCATGCTAAAAACTCTCAATAGATGCAGAAAAAGCCTTTGACAAAATTCAACAACCCTTCATGCTAAAAACTCTCAATAAATTAGGTATTGATGGGACGTATTTCAAAATAATAAGAGCTATCTATGACAAACCCACAGCCAATATCATACTGAATGGGCAAAAACTGGAAGCATTCCCTTTGAAAACTGGCACAAGACAGGGATGCCCTCTCTCACCGCTCCTATTCAACATAGTGTTGGAAGTTCTGGCCAGGGCAATCAGGCAGGAGAAGGAAATAAAGGGTATTCAATTAGGAAAAGAGGAAGTCAAATTGTCCCTGTTTGCAGACGACATGATTGTTTATCTAGAAAACCCCATCATCTCAGCCCAAAATCTCCTTAAGCTGATAAGCAACTTCAGCAAAGTCTCAGGATACAAAATCAATGTACAAAAATCACAAGCATTCTTATACACCAACAACAGACAAACAGAGAGCCAAATCATGAGTGAACTCCCATTCACAATTGCTTCAAAGAGAATAAAATACCTAGGAATCCAACTTACAAGGGATGTGAAGGACCTCTTCAAGGAGAACTACAAACCACTGCTCAAGGAAATAAAAGAGGACACAAACAAATGGAAGAACATTCCATGCTCATGGGTAGGAAGAATCAATATCGTGAAAATGGCCATACTGCCCAAGGTAATTTACAGATTCAATGCCATCCCCATCAAGCTACCAATGACTTTCTTCACAGAATTGGAAAAAACTACTTTAAAGTTCATATGGAACCAAAAAAGAGCCCGCATCGCCAAGTCAATCCTAAGCCAAAAGAACAAAGCTGGAGGCATCACACTACCTGACTTCAAACTATACTACAAGGCTACAGTAACCAAAACAGCATGGTACTGGTACCAAAACAGAGATATAGATCAATGGAACAGAACAGAGCCCTCAGAAATAATGCCGCATATCTACAACTATCTGATCTTTGACAAACCTGAGAAAAACAAGCAATGGGGAAAGGATTCCCTATTTAACAAATGGTGCTGGGAAAACTGGCTAGCCATATGTAGAAAGCTGAAACTGGATCCCTTCCTTACACCTTATACAAAAATCAATTCAAGATGGATTAAAGACTTAAACGTTAGACCTAAAACCATAAAAACCCTAGAAGAAAACCTAGGCATTACCATTCAGGACATAGGCGTGGGCAAGGACTTCATGTCTAAAACACCAAAAGCAATGGCAACAAAAGCCAAAATTGACAAATGGGATCTAATTAAACTAAAGAGCTTCTGCACAGCAAAAGAAACTACCATCAGAGTGAACAGGCAACCTACAACATGGGAGAAAATTTTCACAACCTACTCATCTGACAAAGGGCTAATATCCAGAATCTACAATGAACTCAAACAAATTTACAAGAAAAAAACAAACAACCCCATCAAAAAGTGGGCGAAGGACATGAACAGACACTTCTCAAAAGAAGACATTTATGCAGCCAAAAAACACATGAAGAAATGCTCATCATCACTGGCCATCAGGGAAATGCAAATCAAAACCACAATGAGATATCATCTCACACCAGTTAGAATGGCAATCATTAAAAAGTCAGGAAACAACAGGTGCTGGAGAGGATGTGGAGAAATAGGAACACTTTTACACTGTTGGTGGGACTGTAAACTAGTTCAACCATTGTGGAAGTCAGTGTGGCGATTCCTCAGGGATCTCGAACTAGAAATACCATTTGACCCAGCCATCCCATTACTGGGTATATACCCAAAGGACCATAAATCATGCTGCTATAAAGACACATGCACACGTATGTTTATTGCGGCATTATTCACAATAGCAAAGACTTGGAACCAACCCAAATGTCCAACAATGATAGACTGGATTAAGAAAATGTGGCACATATACACCATGGAATACTATGCAGCCATAAAAAATGATGAGTTCATGTCCTTTGTAGGGACATGGATGAAATAGGAAACCATCATTCTCAGTAAACTATCGCAAGAACAAAAAACCAAACACCGCATATTCTCACTCATAGGTGGGAATTGAACAATGAGATCACATGGACACAGGAAGGGGAATATCACACTCTGGGGACTGTGGTGGGGTGGGGGGAGGGGGGAGGGATAGCATTGGGAGATATACCTAATGCTAGATGACGCGTTAGTGGGTGCAGCGCACCAGCATGGCACATGTATACATATGTAACTAACCTGCACAATGTGCACATGTACCCTAAAACTTAGAGTATAATAAAAAAAAAAATTTAAAAAAAAAAAAAAAAGAAGCATAATTCAAAAAAAAAAAAAAAAAAAAAAAAGAAAGGAGACCTGAGAGCTATCAGGAAAACACCTGAAGCCTGCTGGGCCAAGAGCATGGCAGCTGTTAACAGGGGAGAGAGAAGCAGAGGAATATAGCGAGAGAGAAAGATGGAAGCAGGGATACTTTCCTCCCCTTAGGCGTGAGAGACTCATGACCCCTTATAATCAACTTTCTTATTAAGCTAGCTGGAGTTAGCTTTGGTTACTTCCTGCTAAGACTTGTAACTAATGGAGTCTCACATTGCTCTTGTTTCCCTTTTGCTATCACTATGCCTGGTCTTGTGCTTCCTTCTGGGTTGTCTAAAAGGCCTGACTGAGCCTCTTAACCAGGCTGGGTCATTTCCCAGCTCCCTCGCCCTGACCACTGTCCCTGTCAAAACTTTCCTAACGTAGCCTCAATCCTCCTGAAGCTCCCTCTGCCAGTTTCCTTTTTTTCCCATTGCTACCAGGTCTTGAGTATTGACATGTTCCAGGCATAGTTTACTTATGTGCACTGTCATTCACAAAGCACTGGGAAGTAGGCATTTTTATCCCATTTTACATGCGACCCAGGTAACACCTGGGGTCTCCTGGTCCCTAGAGATTCAGCTAAAACCAAAGCAAAGTTCCATCTATGGCTTGAGGATGTGGAAAGCTTCCCCCAGATCTGTGAATTTCCAGAGCCCTTATGTTCTTAGGGTCATTCCTGGCTCTGATTTGCTGCTTCCACTTCATTATCGTTCTCTGTTCTGGTGCCCATTCTTTTATTTCCTCCCTGGTGACCACCCAACCTTGGTATCTAGCATATTCGCCTTTAATTTTCCCCAGCCGTGACAACCTCAGAAGCATCCAAAAAGAACTGTGCATAAAGAACTAACTTTTAGTGAGGGTTGTGGTTTGTGGGGGACAGGTCACATTGTGTACTATAAACAAATTGAAATTGCACATTAGATATTACTGTTTCTAAAAGTCCTTTAAACTTCCCTGCCACCATGGACTCTCAGTGGCCACTTCATTCTATGCCACACAAGCCCTCTGCCCTGCCATCGGCTCCAATCTCTTCTTTCTGTTCTCATCTTTCCTCCATGGCTGGCCAAATAAAAGGGCGTTTTATGTCAGAGCAACTGCCCTCAGAAAGCTTTTCTGATTAGAAATGACAATTCTCTCTGTTTTCTTTATACCACAGGGAAGCCGAGGCTCAAAGTACTGTTATGAATTGACCAAGCTTGGTTCCACAGAGCAAGTAGATTTCTCCTATAGGATTTTAATCCAGGACCATCTGGTCTTAAAGCATGTGTATTGATTTATTATACTCTATTGCTTCTTATCTAATAAAGAAATGGTGCTAAGAAGTTAATAGTGGTCAGGATGATCTGGGTTTCATCAAGAATCAATACTTTAAAAAGTCATTAAAAATAAAAGCAACAAATGCACATTTTCAAACATTTAAAAGTGAAGAACAGTATGAAAATGAAAATTGAGTCTTTTTCTCTCCCAGCCTCCTACCCTAACTCCCAGTCCTTTTTATCAAGTTACTTTTGTTTACTGCCTGGAAGTTATAACATTTTTGTGGTCACTATATCTTTTCCTTGATGGCTTCTGGGAGAATTTGTTTTTCAACCTAAAGGATTACCTAATGGAGGCATTTAAAGCTATAGTAATATGTTGTTGTGTTGGTGGCAAGGTACCGACATACTTCTTTTTATTGTGCATTGCTGATACTGCATTTTTTACATATTGAAGGTTTGTGGCAACCTTGAGTACAGCAAGTTTGTCAGTGCGATTTTTCCAATAGCATGCACTCACTTTGTGTCTCTGTGTCACATTTTGGTAATTCTCACAACAGTTCAAACTTGTTCATTATTATTACTGTGTCTCGTGTAATGACTTTTTTTTCTTTTTTTTTGGAGACAGGATCTTGTTCTGTCACTTAGGCTGGAGTGCAGTGGTGTGATCTTGGCTCACTGCAACTCGGCCTCCTGGGCTCAAGTGATCCTCCCTTCTCAGCCTACCAAGTAGCTGGGACTACAGGCGTGTACCACCATGGACACCTACTTTTTTTTTTTTGGGTAGAGATGGAGTTTCACCATATTCCCTAGGCTGGTCTCAAACTCCTGGGCTCAAGCAATTTTCCCATCTGAGCCTCCCAAAGTGCTGGAATTACAGGTGTGAGCCACCAAACCTAGCCAGTGATCTTTGATGTTACTATTGTAATGATTTTGGGATGCCATGAACTGATCTTTGATGTTACTATTGTAATTATTTTGGGACACCACAAACTGAGCACGAGCCCAGATAAGACAGCAAACTGTTACGTGTGTTCTGATGGCTTCACGAGCTGGCCGTTCTCCCATATCTCTCCCTCTCCTTTGGCCTCCCTATTTCCTCCTATTTCCTGGGACACAATAATATTGACATTAGGTCAAGTAATAACCCTACAATGACTTCTTAAGTGTTCAAGTGAAAGGAAGAATTGCACATTCTTATTTTAAATCAAAAGCTAGAAATGATTAAGCTTAGTGAAGAAAGCTGAGAAAGATGAGATAGGCTGAAAGCTAGGCCTCTTGCCTCAAACACTTAGCCAACTTGTTGAATTCTAAAGTTCTTGAAGAAAATTAAAAGTGCTACTCCAGTGAGCACATGAATGATAAGAAAGCAACAGAGCTTAACTGCTTATATGGAGGAAGGTCTGGATAGAAGATCAAACCAACAACAACATCCACTTAAGCCAAAGCCTAAAATCAAGCAACGCCCTAACTCTCTTCAGTTCTATGAAGGCAGAGAAAGGTGAGGAAGTTTCAGAAGAAAAGTTTGAAGCTAGCAGAGGTTGGTTCATGAGGGTTTTTTTTTTGTTTTTTTGTTTTTTGATGGAGTCTCGCACTGTCACCAGGATGGAGTGCAGTGGCGCAATCTTGGCTCACTACAAACTCTGCCTCCCGGGTTTGAGTGATTCTCCTGCCTCAGCCTCTAGGTAGCTGGGACTACAGGTGCACACCACCACACCCAGCTAATTTTTGTATTTTTAGTAGAGACAGGCTTCACCATGCTGGCCAGGATGGTCTTGATCTCTTGACCTTGTGATCTGCCCACCTTGGCCTCCCAAAGTGCTAGGATTATAGGCGTGAGCCACCATGCCTGGCCAGTTCATGAGGTTTAAGTAAAGCCATCTCCATAATCTAAAAGTACAACATGAAACAGTTAGTGCTAATGTAGAAACTGCAGCAAGTTATCCAGAAGATCTAGTTAAGATCTTTGATATAGGTGGCTACACTAAATGGATTTTCAGTGGAGACAAAACAGCCTCATATTAAAAGAAGATGTCATTTAGGACTTTCATAGCTAGAGAGGAGAAGTCAATGACTGGCTTCAAAGCCTCAAAGAACAGTCTGACTGCTTGTTTTTGGCTAACATAGCTGGTGACTTTAAGTTGAAGCCACTGCTCATTTATTCTTTTGTAAATCCCAGGGCCCATAGGAATTGTGCTAAATCTACTCTTCCTGTGACCTTTAAAAGGAACAACAAAGCCTGGATAACAGCACATCTATTTATGGCATGGTTTACTGAATAGTTTAAGCTCGCTGTTGTGACCTACTGCTCAGAAAATAATTCCTTCCCAAATATTACTGCTTATTGACAATGCACCTGGTCACTCAAGAGCTCTGGTAGAGATGTACAAGGAGATTAACGTTTTTTTCATGCCTATGAATACCACATCTATTCTGTAGCCCATAGATCAAGTAGTAATTTCAACTGTCAAATATTATTGCATAAGAAATACATTTCAGAAATTTTTAGCTGCCATAGATAGTAATTCCTCTGATAGATATAGGCAAAGTAAATGGAAAACCTTCTAGAAAGAATTCACCATTCTAAATACCATTAAGAAAATTTGTGATTCACAGGAAGAGGTAAAAATATGAACATTAACAGGAATTTGGAAAAAGCTGATTTCAACCCTTATGGATGATTTGAAGGGTTTAAAACTGAGAGGAAGTAATTGCAGATGTGGTAGAAACAGCAAGATAACTAGAATTAGAAGTAGAGCCTTAAGATGTAACTGAATTGCTGCAATCTCATGATAAAATCTGAACGGATGAGGAGTTGCTTCTTATGGATGAGCAAAGAAAGTGGTTTATTGACATGGAATCTATTCCTGATGAAGATGCTGTGAACATGGTTGAAATGATAAGAAAGAATTTAGAATATTTTCTAAACTTAGTTGATAAAACACGCAGGGTTTGAGAGGATTGACTCCAAATTCTACTGTGGGTCAAATTCTATTAAACAATATCACATGCTACAGATAAATAATCTTTCATGAAAGGAAGAATCAATTGATGTGGCAAACTCCATTGTTGTCTTATTTTAAGAAATTGCCACAGCCACCCAACCTTCAGCAACTACCACCCCATTCAGTTAGTAGCTACCCACATTGAGGCAAGACCCTCCACCAGCAAAAAAATGGACTCACTGAAGGCTCAGACGATCATTAGGATTTTTTAGCAATACAATGTTTTTAAATTAAGACATGTACATTGCTTTTTAGACATAATGCTATTGTACACTTAACAGACTACAGTATAGTTTAAACATAACTTTTATATGCACCAGAAAACCAAAAAATTTCATTATTGCAGTGATCCAGAGATGATCTTGCAATATTGCTGAGGTATGTTTCTATATGGAATCACTTGATGGAAACGGTAAGAGTTGACATTTACTTGAACTCCTCACCAATAACTTTCAACCCCTTCCCAAAGGCCACCATTGCCATGAATTGCATTTTATATGGTTTGTAGATAAACACATATGTGTACAAAAAAAACATGTCCTTGAAAAAAATATATATCACATGCCTGATGGTTCATGATACGGTTTTAGAATTGAATCCTAGCAGGGTTTTTCCTCTCTGAGTTTACATTCTTCATTTAAATAAAGGGGATGATAATAGTTACATAAGGCTATAGTGAGCATTAAAAGACACCATGGCTCTGATGTGGTCTCTGTGTCAAAACCTGGTCTTTAATGGACACTTAATTCCAGGAGATCCCAGGGCACAATTTAATAAGCTCCTTAACTACTGTGTGTGTCACAGGGTGCAGTTTCCATCCCTTACACAGCCTTGATTTTCCGTACCCTAAGTTTCACCTAGGACAGATACCCAATCTCATATCTCGAGACTGAGATTTCCTGTGGTTGTGTCTATAGCCCCTTAGTTCTGGTTCCAGATGTCATGCTAGTTAGGTCCTTAGTTGCAAATAAGAGAAGCTGACATTGGTTAAATTAATCAAAAAGGATACCAAAAAAAGATAGCTGGAGTACCAGGTCCAGATAGAAACCTCAGAAGGCCAGGTCAGCTGGGTCACCCTGCTATGCTGCTAGTTACCATGTGCTAGCTACTGTTAGACCTCTGGACTGTCACAAGATTTAAAGGCCCAAGTTGGGAGCCTCTGATTGGCTGCACTTAGGTCCTTTGCATATGATCCAGCTTCCAGAAGCCAGAGAGAGGAAAATACGTTTGCCACACATGCTTTGGGGTGTAGAGCTTGTGGTTTAGCACATGGGGGTGCTATGGGGGTGATTTAGCATTGCTTTGTCTGGAATCTTAAATAGGTTAGGGTCTGGATCAGGATTTTTTTTTTTTTAATTTCAGCATTGAGTTATAATTTACAAGCAGTGAATTACTCAGATCTTTAGTGTGTTGTACAATCAGTTTCAATAAATGCAAATGCACATTTTAGCCACTCCCGTATCAAGTCATGAAGCATTTCTGTCATGCCAACCAGTTCTCTCATGCCCATTCTCAGTCAATCCTCATTCCCAGATGCTACCATAGATACGATTTCTATTACCATGTTATAGAATTTCATATGCAATGTAGCATTCAGGACACACTTTTGTTGTTCTTTGGACCAGTTTTTAAAGCCATTATTGACTCATGGCTTCTTCACACAAAGTAGTGTGAATTCAGCCCCACCCACAGGGGAGTACAGACTTTCAGTGCTGATTTTCTGATGGTGACTCCTGTCCAGCTGCAAACCAGGCAAGTGAGGATCTTTCGTGTTGTTTGCCTGCGCCTCATTTTGTTTTTCTCAAGTCCCTCATTCCCTGGCAGGACAAGTCTTTATTGGCTCCTAGAGTTATATAAGGGGTCAAGTCCTTGACCTGGGACCATTTTTCCATCAATATAACTTTAATTAACTCACAATTTTTAGTTCTAAATTATCTTTTTGTTTCTGGCACACTTGGAGATTATGGTTTTTTTTTTTTTTTCTTTTGAGTCCAGTTTTATATTTAGAAATAATGTTCTTACAGTTAAGCATATCTGTGTGCTTATTCTAGGAGTACTCAGTCTTCTGTCTCATCCAGGAGTCCTAGTTTGCTGCTTTTGGCACTGAGGCACTCACTGAAGGAAACTGTGCTCTGATAAGTTGCCGTTTGTTCTGATAATCTGTACAGAGTTTCCAATAAACAACCAAAACCCACAAATGTGATTTTATTTTCTCTAATTTTCTTAAAGTGCCAGTGTAGCAGGGGTGCCCTTTATGCCTGTGAGTCTAAATTGTGCTCATGTTGCGATTCAGATAATTTTTGGGCATGCCAAATTTGATGCTGAGAGGATGAAGTTGTTATTGATCTTTTTGCATAAATGCTCATCTTATGGCAAGACAGCAGAGGAATTCAAGTTTGGGTCAAGGACAACAGGCCAGCATCACAGGGACTGGGCAACACTGAGTAGGGCATCATTCATAGTGTCTTCCCTGGGCAGAGCAAAACCAGGGAGGGAGTGAAATTAGAAAGAGCTGCTTAGGAGAAATTGCTGTAAGAAGTTAGGTCCACAAGGAAACACAGTTTTGGGGCACATGTGGCAGAATGTACCACATATGCGAAGAGGATAGCTGCTTTCTGCTTCATAAAGAGCTCAGCTCTGCAGGGTGGGTCACATTGCAGGCTTCAGTGCAGCAGCCTCTGCATCTTCCTGCCAGCCTCCTCAGTAGCCTCACCAGGGGACAGCATGGGCACGGGCTTCTTGCTGAGGCACCAGAGGGGTGAGAAAAGAAATGTGGCTGGTATTGTGATCTCGAACTCAGATGGTGAAAAGAGAGGCAGCAGGAGAGAGAAGGATCCTGAATGCTCTAGACCTTGTTAGAATTTGTCCACACAAAGGAACTAAACTGTTCAATCTGCTTGTTCAATCTGCTCTCAATGAGCTTCATAGAATATTTTTTATTTTCCCTCTTAAACTTACTTTCTAAATATTTTGACCTATGTATTATTATCATGCTTTCCCACCTAAAAATAAGGTTTTCCTATTACCTTGATCTGCCAAGCTTTCCAATAAACCCTCTTTACAAGTTAGCATATCACCATAGAGTTACATGGCTCAAGATATATGGGTAGGTACCATGATGTAGGCAGAAACATTTATGAAGTGAATACAAGTTTTATTAAAGCAAACTCAGTGCTTAGGAAATGTGAAAATGTGCTTTATAGTGGAAGAGATTGATGTTTAATACAGAGTATGTTTCTAATGAAATCACACCTTATGTATGAGGTTTTCCAATGAGTATTTTAAAAATGTGGCAGGATGTATTTAAAATTGATGTAATGAATATTCTGTCTATTTGTAAAGTTTCTAGAGAAAATATTTACTTGGGATGAGAACATGTGATGGAGGTAGAATAGTGATGATCATGATCTGGCTGGGGTGAACATTCATCTCTGACAATGACCTTGAGAGTCAGTCCAGAAAAGACATGACTACCTTCATATTGAAAATTTTGGGGGCTTGGTCTCTGTGATGGCTAATTTTATGTGTCAAACTAATTGGCCACAGAATGCCCAGGTTAAACATTATTTCTGCTTTTGTCTGTGAGGTTGTTTCCAGATGAGATTGGCATTTGAATTGGTAGACTCAGTAGCTCAGATTGACCTCCCCAATATGAGTGGGCTGATGTCATCCAATCCATTGAGGGCATGAATAGAACAAAAAGGTAGAGAAAGGAGGATTTTGCCCCTTTTGTTTTCTGCCTGCCTGTTTGAGCTGGGACATCTAATTTTATCTTCTCTGGCCCTCAGACTAGAATTTATACAATTGGCTTCCCTGGTTCTTGGCCTTCAGACTTGGACTGGCTTTCCTGGGTTTCCAGCTTGCAGACAGCAGATTGTGCTATTTTCTGACTCCATAAACACATGAGCCAATTCCTCATAATTAATCTCTCCCCCACACCTCATGCTCTCTCTCTCTCCTTCTATCTTACCTTACCTTATCTTATCTTTTCTTATCTATTCATCTCCAACTGATTCTGTTCCTCTGGAGAACCCTGACTAATGTAGTATCTTTTCCTCTAATGTCTTACCATGGATGCTTTATTCATGAATTTATCTAAACATCTGGATGTAAACAGATCTCATATGGAACCCCAGTTTCACTATGATTTTGAATTAATTATTTCATCATTTGGACTATGTATTAGTCCATTTTCATGCTGCTGATAAAAACATACCCGAGACTGGGAAGAAAAGGAGGTTTAATTGGACTTACAGTTCCACATAGCTGGGGAGGCCTCAGAATCATGGCGGGAGGTGAAAGGTACTTCTTACATGCTAGTGGCAAGAGAAGATGAGGAAGATGCAAAAGCGGAGACCCTGGATAAAACCATCAGATCTCATGAGACTTCTTCACTGCCATGAGAACAGTATGGAGGAAACTGCTCCCATGATTCAAATTATCTCCCACTAGGTCCCTCCCACAACATGTGGGAATTATGGGAGTACAATTCAAGATGAGATTTGGGTGGGGACACATCCAAACCATATCATTCGACCCCTGGCCCCTCCAAATCTCATGTCATCACATTGCAAAACCAATCATGCCTTCCCAACAGTCCCCCAAAGTCTTAACTCATTTCAGCATTAACCCAAAAGTCCACAGTCCAAAGTCTCACCTGAGATAAGGCAAGTCCTTTCTGTCTATGAGCCTGTAAAATCAAAAGCAAGCTATTTACTTCCTAGATACAATGGGGCTACATTGGGTAAATATAGCCATTCCAAGTGAAATAAATTGGGCAAAACAAAGGAGTTACAGGGCCAATGCAAGTCTGAAATCCAGTGGGACAATCAAATTTTAAAGCTCCAAAATGATCTCCTTTGATTCCAGGTCTCACATCCAGGTCATGCTGATGCAAGAGGTGGGTTCCCATGGTCTTGGGCCACTCTACCCCTGTGGCTTTGCAGGATACAGCCTCCCTCCTCGCTGCTTTCATGGGCTGGCATTGAGTGTCTGTGACTTTTCCAGGTGAATGGTGCAAGCTGTTGGTGGATCTACCATTCTGGGTCTGGATGACGGTGGCCCTCTTCTCACAACTCCACTAGGTGGTGCCCCAGTAGGGACTCTGTGTGGGGGATCCAACCCCACATTTTCCTTCTGCACTGCCCTAGCAGAGGTTCTCCATGAGCTCCCTGCCCCTGCAGCAAACATCCGCCTGGGCATCCAGGCATTTCCATACATCTGAAATCTAGGTGGAGGTTCCCAAACCGCAATTCTTGACTTCTGTGCACTTGCAGGCTCAACACCACATGGAAGCTGCCAAGGTTTGGGGCTTGTACTCTTTGAATCCATGGCCCGAGCTCTATGTTGGCCCCTTTCAGCCATGGCTGGAGCAGCTGGGACTTAGGGCACCAAGTCCCTAGGCTGCACACAGCATGGGTACCCTGGGCCCGGCCCATGAAACCATTTTTTCCTCCTAGGCCTCCACGCCTGTGATGAGAAGGGCTGCTGTGAAGATCTCTCACATGCCCTGGAGACATTTTCCCCATTGTCTTGGGGACTAACATTTGGCTTCTTGTTACTTATGCAAATTTCTGCAGCCAGCTTAAATTTCTCCTCAGAAAATGGGATTTTCATTTCTGTCACATTGTCAGGCTACAAATTTTCCAAACTTTTATGCTCTGCTTCCCTTATAAAACTGAATGCCTTTAACAGCACTCAAGTCACCTCTTGAATGCTTTGCTGCTTAGAAATTTCTTCTGCCAGATACCCTAAGTCATTTCTCTGAAGTTCAAAGTTTCACAAATCTCTAGCGCAGGGGCAAAATGCTGCCAGTCTCTTTGCTAAAACATAACAAGAGTCACCTTTGTTCCAGTTCCCAAACAAGTGTTTCATCTCCATCTGAGATCACCTCAGCCTTGACCTTATTGTCCATGTTGCTATCAGGTTTTTGGTCAAAGCCATTCAACAAGTCCCTAGGTAATTCCAAACTTTCCCACATTTTCCTGCCTTCTGAGTCCTCCAAACTGTTCCAACCATTGCCTGTTACCCAGTTCCAAAGTTGCTTCCACATTTTTTGGTATCTTTTCAGCAATGCCCCACTCTACTGGTACCAATTTACTGCATTAGTCCATTTTCATGCTGCTGATAAAGACATACCTGAGACTGGGAAGAAAAGGAGATATAATTGAACTTACAGTTACACATGGCTGGGGAGGTCTCAGAATCATGGCAGGAGGTGAAAGGCACTTCTTACATGGCAGTGGCAAGATAAAATGAGGAAGATGCAAAAGCAGAAACCCCTGATAGAACCATCAGATCTTGTGAGACTTGTTCACTACCATGAGAACAGTATGGGGGAAACCGCCCCCATGAGTCAAATTATCTCCTACCAAGTCCCCCCCATAACTCATGGGAATTATGGGAGTACAATTCAAGATGAGTTTTGGGTGGGAACACAGCTAAGCCATATCAGAGCACAAGTGTCTGTTCATAGTACATTGGCATGAAAGTATTCAATAAATATGAGTTCCTGTGTTAGCCTTATTTTTATTGAAAAAATGCTGTATACCAAATATCAATGGCATACAAAAACACCATTTATTTCTCACTTGTAGGTCTGTAGCTCACTCTACTTCAGGCTATGGGTCAAGCTTGTGTCTGCTTCATGTAGTTTATTCCAGGACCACGACAAGGGGCAGAAGCTAACTGGGATATATTTTCACTAGGTGGAGGTCAGAAACTTCAGAGGGATGGGCAGATACATGAAATGCCTCTTAGGGCCACATGGCCAAATCCCAAATCATTAGGGTGGGGAAGAATACTTCCTTCATGCAAGTGGGAGGGGGAAAGGAGTGAATATTTGTTAAATAATAATCTACCACACTTCCCTTTGTCCTTTCAGAACTTTAAATAAATCTATTTCCAGCCCTTTTTAAATCTAGTTCTAAACCTACCACAAATATAGTAGGCTTTCCATAAAGCAGTTTCTTTTTATTGCTGTAAAATTAAACATCTATTAGGGAGATACTTTGCTCACTTTTTTGGTGATGCTATTGTAATTGCCTTGGTTGATAATGGCAATATTTATTCTCTCTAATCTGGGCCAACCAGCCTGGTTAATGGCTAAGGGTTACACTTATGCTGTCCAAGTGGCAGCCGCTACCTACCCATATCTATTTGAATTAGACACAATTTAAAAATTCTGTTCCTCTATCACACTAGTCACATTTCAAGTGATCAATAGCTATATGTGGCTAGTGGCTACCACACAGTGTAGCACAGATATAGGACATTTCCATCATCACAGAAAATTCAACTGGACAAGATTGGTTTAGACACGACAATAATAATGGTCTTCATTTATCTTGCACCATGTGCTGAGCACTCTGCTATGTACACTCCATGCCTCATTTAAGTTCATCCTTGCAGCCATCCTGTGAGATCAGTACTATTATTCTCATTTTTCTAATGAGGAAACTGATGCTAATGATGCTAAGAATAGGAGCAAGTTTGCCAATGGGTAAGTAACTGGCAGTGTCATGTCCATTTGACTCCAAAGCTCTGCCTCTAAGCCACTAGCATCCTCAGTTTTCCAATGGCCTGTCCTCAGGTCTGTCCTCAGGCCATCTCAAGAACAGATGCCATGATGTCCAATAACAGAGAAGAGGTCTCCAGACTCCAAAGTTGGTCCAAGGAGCCAGGAGAGCCCTATGGTTGTAGTCACTCCAAAAGTTTCCTCTGCCTTTCCTGACACAGCAGTTCACAATTTGGAATGATTCTGCCCTGCTAACTCCTGTTGCATCAAGTAATTTGTGCTCTTTCCTGCTGAGGGGCTTTAGCAGGGGTTCATTTTTGGAGGGTGCTGTGGTTTGAATATGGTGCCCCCTCCAAGACACCACATTCAAACCACAGCATCCTCCAAAATGATGGTGACTAAGAGATGGTGCCTTTTGGGAAGTGATTAAGTCATGAGATCTTTGCCCTTATGAATGGATTAACCCTTTTTAACCCCAAAAGAGGCTTTAGAGAGGGTTCATCCCTTTTTGCCTTCTACCTTCTGCCATGTGAAGATGTCACCATGAGAAGGTGCCATTGATGGAGCAGTCCCTCACCACTCCAATGTTGATGAAGTGGTGTCATCATCAGGGGTAAATACCTGGGGTTTGTCTCACACCAAGAAGATTATCAGAAATAAAAAGGAATGAATTACTGATACATGCTGTAACATGAATGAGTCTTGAAAACATTATGCTAAGTGAAAGTAGCCAGCCACAAAAGGTCACATACTGTATTATTTCATTTATGTGAAATGTCCAGAATAGGCAAATTCACAGAGAAGGAAAGTAAATTAGCAGTTGCCAGGGAATGAGGGAGGGGAGAATGCTGACTGACTGGTTAATGGTTATGACATTTCCTTTTGTGGTGATAAAAACGTTCTGGAACTAGATGGTGGTGATGACTGCAGAACATTGTAAACATACTAGATGATACTGAAGTGTACATTTTAAATGGTTAAAATGGTGAATTTTATGTTATATGAATGTTACTACAATTTTTTGAAATACTAGACATTCAATGACCATACAACAACTTTCCTTCCAGGTGTTTATCCCAGAGAAATACAAGCTGATGTTTAAATTACATATACATATGAATGTTTATAGTAGCCTTTATTCACAATAGCCAAAAACTGGTTCTTGAATAGATGAATTGGTGAAACAAACTGGTACATCCAAACTAAGGAATACTACTCAGCAAAAAGGAAAAGAAAAGAAGAAGAACAGGAAGAGAGGAGGAGGTGGAGGAGGAAGAAGAAGAGGAAAAAAGAAGAAGAAGAAAAGATGAAGAAAAGAAGAAGAGGAGGAGGAAGGGGGAAGAGGGGAGAGGAGGTAGTGGAAGAGGAGAGGAAGGAAGAAGAGGAGGAGAAAGAGGAGGAGGAAGAAGAAAAAGAGAAAGAGAAAAGAAGAGGAGGAAGAGGAAGAGGAGGAGGAGGAAGACGAGGAGGAGGAAGAGGAGGAAACTATCAATACACACAAACAACCTGGATGAATCTCAAGAGAATTAGACTGGAATGATACAATTATAGAAATAGAGAACAGATTAGTGGTTGTCATAGGTTAAAGAAAAGGTGAGGATGGGAGGGAAGTTGTATGGCTATTAAAAGGCCACATGATGGGTGCTTCTGATGGGAATATTCTGTATCTGAAATGTATCATAATTTGGTTTTGATATAGAACTTGGTTTTGTAAGATGTTACCACTGGAGGAAACTGGATAAAATTACACAGGATCTGCCTGCATACATTTTATAGTTGCATGTAAATACAAGATTATTTAAAAATAAAAGGTTTTAATTACCAAATTTTTAGTTGAGTATAAGCAATATTTCTGATATAAAAATTTGAAACAGTTGGAGTCATCCAAGGTGGCCAAATATGAACAGCTCTGGTCTGCAGCTCCCAGCATGATCGACGAAGAAGATGGATGATTTCTGCATTTCCAACTGAGGCACCTGGTTCATCTCAATGGGACTGGTTGGACAGTGGGTGCAGCCCACAGAGGGTGAGCTGAAGCACGGTGGGGCATCACCTTACCCAGGAAGCACAAGGGGTAGGGGGATTTTCCCCCTTTTCTAGCCAAGGGAAGCTGTGACAGATTGTATCTGGAAAAATGGGACATTCCCACATAAATACTGTGCTTTTTCAATGGTCTTAGCAAATGGCACACCAGGAGATTATATCCTGTGCCTGGCTCAGTGTGTCCCACGCCCACAGAGCCTTGCTCACTGCTAGTGCAGCAGTCTGAGATTGACCTGCGAGGCAGCATCCTGGCAGGGGGAGGGGCATCTGCCATTGCTGAGGCTTGAGTAGGGAAACAAAGCAGTTGGGGAAGCCCGAACTGGGTGGGGCCCACCGCAGCTCAGCAAGGCCTACTGCCTCTGTTGACTCCACTTCAGGGGGAAGGTCATAGCTGAACAAAAGGCAGCAGAAACTTCTGCAGACTTAAACGTCCCTGTCTGACAGCTCTGAAGAGAGCAGTGGTTCTCCCAGCATGGCATTTGAGGTTCTCCCAGCCTGGCATTTGAGCTCTGAGAATGGACAGACTGCTTCCTCAAGTGGGTCCCTGACCCCGGTGTAGCCTAACTGGGAGACACCTCCCAGTAGGGGTTGACTGACACCTCATACAGGTGGGTGCCCCTCTGAGACGAAGCTTCCAGAGGAAGGATCAGGCAGCAATATTGGCTGTTCTGTAGCCTCCACTGGTGGCACCCAGGCAAAGAGGTTCTGGAGTGGACCTCCAGCAAACTCCAACAGACCTGCAGCTGAGGGACCTGACTCTTAGAAGGAAAACTAACAAACAGAAAGGAATGGCATCAACATCAACAAAAAGGACATCCACACCCAAACCCCATCTGTAGGTCATCAACATCAAAGACCAAAGGTAAATAAAAACACAAAGATGGGGAAAAAACAGAGCAGAAAAGCTGAAAATTCTAAAAGCCAGAGTGCCTCTTCTTCTCCAAAGGATCACAGCTCCTTGCCAGCAACAGAACAAAGCTAGATGGGGAATGACTTCGACAAGTTGACAGAAGTAGTCAGAAGGTGAGTAATAACAAACTTCTCCAAGCTAAAGGAGGATGTTTGAATCCATCACAATGACGAATGGCTGACTAGAATAACAGTGTGGAGAAGACCGTAAATGACCTGCTGGAGCTGAAAACCATGGCACAAGAACTACGTGATGCATGCACAAGCTTCAGTAGCTGATTCGATCAAGTGGAAGAAAGGGTATCAGTGATTAAAGATCAAATTAATGAAACAAAGCAAGGAGAGGTTTAGAGAAAAAAGAGTAAAAACAAATGAACAAAGCCTCCAAGAAATATGGGACTATATGAAAAGACCAAATCTATGTTTGATTGGTGTACCTGAAAGTGATGGGGAGAATGGCACCAAGTTGGAAAACACTCTGCGGGACATTATCTAGGAGAACTTCCCCAACATAGCAAGGTGGGCCAACATTCAAATTCAGGAAATACAGAGAACGCCACAAAGATACTACTCGAGAAGAGCAACCCCAAGACACATAATTGTCAGATTCACCAAAGTTGAAATGAAGGAAAAAATGTTAAGGGCAGCCAGAGAGAAAGGTCGGGTTACCCACAAAGGGAAGCCCATCAGACTAACAGTGGATCACTCTGTAGAAACCCTACAGGCCAGAAGAGAGTAGGGGCCAATATTCAACATTCTTAAAGAAAAGAATTTTCAACCCAGATTTCATATCCAGCCAAACTAAGCTTCATAAGTGAAGGAGAAATAAAGTCCTTTACAGACAAGCAAATGCTGAGAGATTTTGTCACCACCAGGCCTGCCTTACAAGTGCTCCTGAAGGAAGCACTAAACATGGAAAGGAACAACCAGTACCGGCCACTGCAAAAACATGCCAAATTGTAAGGACCATCAATGCTAGGAAGAAACTGCATCAACCAATGGGCAAAATAACCAGCTAACATCATAATGTCAGGATCAAATTCACACATAACAATATTAACCTTAAATGTAAATGGGCTAAATGCCCCAATTAAAAGACACAGACTGGCAAATTGGCTAAAGAGTCAAGACCCATCAGTGTGCTGTATTCAGGAGACCCATCTCACGTGCAGACACACACATAGGCTCAAAGTAAAGGGATGGAGGAAGATCTACCAAGCAAATGGAAAGAAAAAAAAAAGGCAGGGGTTGTAATCCTAGTCTCTGATAAAACAGACTTTAAACCAACAAAGATCAAAAGAGACAAATAAGGCCATTACATAATGGTAAAGGGATCAATTCAACAAGAAGAGCTAACTATCTTAAATATACATGCACCCAATACAGGAGCACCCAGATTCATAAAGCAAGTCCTTAGAGACCTACAAAGAGACTTAGACCCCCACACAATAATAATGGGAGGCTTTAACACCCCACTGTCAATATTAGACAGATTAACGAGACAGAACATTAACAAGGATATCCAGGAATTGAACTCAGCTCTGCACCAAGCGGATCTAATAGACATCTACAGAACTCTCTACCCCAAATTGACAGAATATACATTCTTCTCAGCACCACATCACACTTATTCCAAAATTGACCACATAGTTGGAAATAAAGCACTCCCCAGCAAATGTAAAAGAACAGAAATTATAACAAACTGTCTCTCAGACCACAGTGCAACCAAACTAGAACTCAGGATTAAGAAACTCACTCAAAACCACACAACTACATTGAAACTGAACAACCTGCTCCTGAATGACTACTGGGTACATAACGAAATGAAGGCAGAAATAAATATGTTCTTTGAAACCAATGAGAACAAAGACACAATGTACCAGAATCTCTGGGACACATTTAAAGCAATGTGTAGAGGGAAATTTATAGCACTAAATGCCCACAAGAGAAAGCTGGGAAGATCTAAAATTGACACCCTAACATCACAATTAAAAGAACTACAGAAGCAAGACCAAACAAATTCAAAAGCTAGCAGAAGGCAAAAAATTACTAAGATCAGAGCAGAACTGAAGGAGATAGAGACACAAAAAACCCTTAAAAAATCAATGAATCCAGGAGCTGGTTTTTAGAAAAGATCAACAAAATTGATAGACCACTAGCAAGACTAATAAAGAAGAAAAGAGAGAAGAATCAAATAGATTCAATAAAAAATGATAAAGGGCATTATCACCACCAATCCCACAGAAATACAAACTACCATCAGAGAATACTATAAACACCTCTACACAAATAAACTAGAAAATCTAGAAGAAATGGATAAATTCCTGGACACTTATGCCCTCCCAAGACTAAACCAGGAAGAACTTGAATCTCTGAATAGACCAATAACAGGCTCTGAAATTGAGGCAATAATTAATAGCCTACCAACCAAAAAAAGTCCAGCACCAGAGGGATTCACAGCCAAATTCTACCAGAGGTACAAAGAGAAGCTGGTACCATTCCTTCTGAAATTATTCCAATCAATAGAAAAAGAGGGAATCCTCCCTAACTCATTTTATGAGGCCAGTATCATCCTGGTACCAAAGCCTGGAAGAGATACAATAAAGAAAGATAATTTTAGACCAATATCCCTGATGAACATCGATGTGAAAATCCTCAATAAAATACTGGCAAACCAAATCCAGCAGCACATCAAAAAGCTTATCCACCATGATCAAGTGGGCTTCATCCCTGGGATGCAAGGCTGGTTCAATATACGCAAATCAATAAATGTAATCCAGCATATAAACAGAGCCAAAGACGAAAACCACATGATTATCTCAATAGATGCAGAAAAAGCCTTTGACAAAATTCAACAACCCTTCATGCTAAAAACTCTCAATAAATTAGGTATTGATGGGACATATTTCAAAATAGTAAGAGCTATCTATGACAAACCCACAGCCAATATCATACTGAATGGGCAAAAACTGGAAGTATTCCCTTTGAAAACTGCCACAAGACAGGGATGCCCTCTCTCACCACTCCTATTCAACATAGTGTTGGAAGTTCTGGCCAGGGCAATTAGGCAGGAGAAGGAAATAAAGGGTATTCAATTAGGAAAAGAGGAAGTCAAATTGTCCCTGTTTGCAGACGACATGATTGTATATCTAGAAAACCCCATTGTCTCAGCCCAAAATCTCCTTAACCTGATAAGCAACTTCAGCAAAGTCTCAGGATACAAAATCAATGTGCAGAACTCACAAGCATTCATATACACCAATAACAGACAGAGAGCCAAATCATGAGTGAACTCCCATTCACTACTGCTACAAAGAGAGTAAAACACCTAGCAATCCAGCCAACAAGGGATGTGAAGGACCTCTTCAAGGAGAACTACAAACCATTCATTGCTCAGTGAAATAAAGGAGGACACAAACAATTGGAGGAACATTCCATGCCCACAGATAGGAAGAATCAATAACGTGAAAATGGCCATACTGCCCAAGGTAATTTATAGATTCAATGCCATCTCCATCAAGCTACCAATTACTTTCTTTACAGAATTG
Organism: Homo sapiens; assembly: GCF_000001405.40. Taxonomy (NCBI): domain Eukaryota; kingdom Metazoa; phylum Chordata; class Mammalia; order Primates; family Hominidae; genus Homo; species Homo sapiens. Next base: position 62,841,715 of record NC_000005.10, read on the forward strand.
GAGAAAACTATTTTAAAGTTCATATGGAACCAAAAAAGAGCCCACACTGCCAAGACAATCCTAAGCCAAAAGAACAAAGCTGGAGGCATCGCGCTACCTGATTTCAAACTATAGTACAAGGCTACAGTAACCAAAACAGCATGGTACTAGTACCAAAACAGATATATAGACCAATGGAACAGAATAGAGCCCTCAGAATTAACACCACACATCTACAACCATCTGCTCTTTGACAAACCTGACAAAAACAAGCAATGGGGAAAGGATTCCCTATTGAATAAATGTTGCTGGGAAAACTGGCTAGCCATATGTAGCAAGCTGAAACTGCATCCCTTCCTTACACCTTATACAAAAATTAAATCAAGATGGGTTAAAGACTTAAACGATAGACCTAAAACCATAAAAACCCTAGAAGAAATCCTAGGCAATACCATTCAGGACATAGGCATGGGCAGGGACTTCATGACTAAAACACCAAAAGCAAAGGCAACAAAAGCCAAAATAGATAAATGGGATCTAATTAAACTAAAGAGCTTCTGCACAGCAAAAGAAACTACCATTAGAGTGAACAGACAACCTACAGAATGGGAGAAAATTTTTGCAATCTATCCATCTGACAAAGGGCTAATACCCAGAATCTACAAAGAACTTAAACAAATTTACAAGGAAAAAACAACTCCATCAAAAAGTGTGCAAAGGATGTGAACAACCGCTTCTCAAAAGAAGACATTTATGCAGCCAACAGATGCATGAAAAAATGCTTATCACCACTGACCATCAGAGAAATGCAAATCAAACCCACAATGAGATGCCATCTCACACCAGTTAGAATGACGATCATTAAAACATCAGGAAACAACAGGTGCTGGAGAGGCTGTGGAGAAATAGGAACACTTTTACACTGTTGATGGGAGGGTAAACTAGTTCAACCATTGTGGAAGACAGTGTGGTGATTCTGCAAGGATCTAGAACCAGAAATACCATTTGACCCAGCGATCACATTAGTGGATATATACCCAAAGGATTATACATCATGCTACTATAAAGACACATGCATATGTATATTTACTGCGGCACTATTCACAAGAGGAAAGACTTGGAACCAACCCAAATGTCCATCAGTGATAGACTGGATTAAGCAAATGTGGCACATATACACCATGGAATACTATGCAGCCATAAAAGAGGATGAGTTCATGTTTTTTTGTGGGGACACGGATGAAGCTGGAAACCACCATTCTGAGCAAAATATCACAAGGACTGAAAGCCAAGCACCATATGTGCTCACTCATAGGTGGGAATTTAACAATGAGAACACTTGGACACAGGGCGGGGAACATCACACACTGGGGCCTGTCATGGGATGGGGGCCTGGGAGAGGGATAGCATTAGGAGAAATACCTAATGTAAATGACGAGTTGACAGGTGCAGCAAACCAACATGGCACATGTATACCTATGTAAGAACCCTGCACATTGTGCACATGTACCCTAGAACTTAAAGTATAATAATCCAAAATTTGAAACAGTTATGAAAAGAAAATGGTGGGCCATAAACTACTTTTGCTTTAGGCCTTCACATCATGTAGAACATTAGGAGTAGGGTGAGGTTCACATTTATTATGCCTGTGTGATCATGTTTCTACTATAAATGTGCCTGGCATTCTACAGAATCAATTTAGACCTCACAACATTGAAAGATGGGCATTTTAACCCCATTTTCTCAATGAGAAAATGGAGTTACAAAGATATTATATAATCTGCCCACAGCTTGATATTGCCAGCAAAATTTAAACATGGGTCTCTCAACTCCCAGTCACTCATTACCACACTGTCTCAGAGCTCTCACTATGACCAAGATAATGAGGAAATGGCTGGGGATCTCACAATGTCCTAATTCTCTGCAGATGCACGCAACCCCTTGGTCCTAGTTCACTTATGCTACTGAAACAAAATATGACTGACTGGATAGTATAAAAAGAACAGAATTTTATTTCTCACAGTTCTGGAGGCCAGGAAGTTCAAGACCAAGGTACCAATGACATAGGAGTTAAGAAGAAATTACTTAGGCAGATAGTGAGGGTACAGGATTCCTCAGTAAGATTTCCCTTTTAATGAAAAGCAGCCCCCAAGTAATTGTCTTTTCTAATAAAGATAAGCCTGTAAAATCAAGCTACAGACATAGACAAGCAAGCTGGAAGCTTGCAGGAGTGAATGCCAGAAGTCATGCCAATAGGAAAAGGCAACTTGGGACTAGGCATGTTCAAAATGGCAGCTCCATCTTCCCTTCTCTTTGCCAAACCACATGTACAGTAGGAAGAAGACAATATGGTGCCAGCCAGGCAAAGACCCCATTTGTATAATAAGATTAGGGTGGGGCAACTAGCCTTCCCTGTGTGCTATGTAGACATCACATCTGATTGAACAGTCTGTGGGCCCTATCTAAATCAGATACCACCTCCCCATGCCTGGCTATAAGATCTAGTGCAGTCCACCGTGGGCTGGATTTTCCCATTTTGGAGCCCCTCTTTCTGGCAAGGGAGACAGCCGTTCTCCTTTCTCTTTCTTTTGTCTTTTAAACCTCCACTCCTAAACTCACTCCTAACTCACTCCTTGTGTGTGTCCGTGTCCTTAATCTTCTTGGTGTGAGAAAATGAACCCCAGGTATTTACCCTGGACAATGACATTTTGTTTATCCATTCATCCATGAAGGATATTTTGTTGATGTAAGGTTCTGTGTTGACAGTTCTGTCCTTTCAGCACTGGAAAAACGGGGTGCCACTTTCTATGGCATCCATGGTTTTCAATGAGAAATCTGCTGCCATTCAAATTGTTTATTTACTATAGGCAAGGTGGTATTTCACTCTCACATTCAAGATTTTGTTTTCTTTAAGAAGCTTGACTATAATATATTTTATTGTGATTTCTCTAAGTTTATCTTCTCTGGCGTTCAGTCAGCTTTTTGAATCTGTAGGATTATGTTTTTACTAAATTTTGGAAGTTTTCAGCCATGATTTGTCTGAGTACTTCTTCAGTCCTGTACTCTTTCCCTCCACCTTCCCTGACCCAATACACAATAGTAGATCTTTTTATATTGTCTTATAGGTCCCTCAGGCTCTCTGTTTTCTCTTTCAGTCTATTTTTTTCTCTGTCATTCAGATTGGGTGATTTATATTATTCTGTCTTCCAGGTCATTGGTTCTTTCCTCTGTCACCTCCCTTCTGCTATTGAGCTTATCCACTGAGTTTTAAACAATTTTCATTAGTATATTTTTTAGTCCTAAAATTTCTATTTGGTTGTTCTTTATATCTTCTAATTTTTTTTCTTAGACTTTCTATTTCTGTGTTAAAACTTTTTATTTTTTTCATTTAAATGTGCTTATAATTGCTTACTGAAACAATTTTATGGTGAATGCTTTAAATAATTGTCAGATAATTCTAATGTCTCTGTCATCTTAGCATTTGCATCTGCTGATTGTCTTTTTCTATTCAGTTTAAGATCTTTCTTATTCTTTGTATGACATGATTTTCCATTGAAGCTTAGGTATTTTGGGTATTATGTTATTAACATTGGATTTTAAAATTTCATTTTATTTTGCTTTTCTTTTATTGGTACATAATGTTTTACATATTTATGGGGTAGATGTAAGTATTTGTTACATGCATAGAATGTGTAATGACTAAATCAGGGTATTTGAAGTATACATCACCTTGAGTATTTATCATTTCTATGTGTTGGGAACATCTCAAGTTCTCTCTGCTAGCTACTTTGAAATATACACTGCATTGTTGCTAACTATAGTGATTCTACTCTGCTATCAAACATTAGAACATATTCTTCTAACTGTATGTTTGTAATCATTAACCAACTTTTCTCCATTCCCCTTCTCACCCACACACCCTTCCCAGGCTCTGGAATCTGTTCGTCTATTCCCTATTTCCAACAGGTCAACTTTTTAAGCTCTCACATATGGTGAGAATATGTTGTATTTGTCATTCCATGCCTTGCTTATTTCATTTAACATAATGACTTTTAGTTCCATCTGTGTTGCTGCAAATGACATGATTCCTTTTTACATCAGAATAGTGTTCAGTTGTATATTTATAACAAATTTTCTTTATCCATTATCTATTGATAGACACTTAGGTTGATTTTATTTCTTTGCTACTGTGAATAGTATTGTGATAAACAAGCAAGTGCAGGTATCCCTTTTATATCTTGTTGGTCTTGCTGAAGAACAGTTGGCTATAAATATGTGAATTTATTTCTGGGTTATCTATTCTGTTCCATTGGTCTGCCTGTCTGTTTTTATACCAATGCCATGCTGTTTCGTTATCATAACATTGTAATGTATTTTGAAGTCAGGTAGTGTGATACCTCCACTTTTATTACTTTTACTCAGGGTTGCTTTGGCTATTTGGGCTCTTTTCTCATTTGGATAAATATCCAGTAGTGGGATTGTTAAATTACATGATAGTTTTACTTTTATTTTTTGGAAAAATCTCTATGTTGTTTTTCATAGTCACAATACTAATTTACATTTCCACCAAGAGTATATAAGACCTATGTTTTCTTTATGTCCTCATCAGCATCTATTATTTTTTGTCCTTTTAATAACAGCTATTCTAACTGTGGTAAGATGATATCTCATTGTAGTTTTAATTTGCATTTTCCTGATGATTAGTGATGCTGAACTTTTTTTTTCATATACCTGTTGGCCACTTGTATGTCTTCTTTTGAGAAATGGCTATTTATGTCCTTTGCCTATTTTAAAATAAGATTATTATTACTTTTTTATTGTCGAGTCAAGCTGTTTCAGTTCCTTGTATATTCTGGATGTTAGTTCCTTCTTGGATAAATAGTTTGCAAATATTTTTTGCCATTCAACAGGCTGTCTCTACATTCTGTTGATTGCTTCCTTTGCTATGCAGAAGATTTTAGTTTAATGTTCAGTTTGTCTGTTTTTGTTATTTGTGTCTTTGAGGTCATAGATGTAAAATCTAAAATCTTTGATTAGACCAATGTTCTGAAGTATTTTCCTTCTAGTAGTTTTGTATTTTCAGGTCTTACATTTAAGTCATCAATTCATCTTCAGTTGATTTTCTAATATGGTGAGAGATAGCCTTGTTTTATTCTTCTGCAAATGAGTTTCCAGTTTTCCCAACACCTTTTATTAAAGAGGATGTCCTTTCCCCAGTGTATGTTCCTGATTGTTTTGTTGAAGATCAGTTGGCTATAAATATGTGAATTCATTTTTGGGTTATCGAAGCTGTTCCATTGGTCTATTTGTCTATTTTTATACCAATACCATGCTGTTTTCATTATAATAACATTGTAATGTATTTTGAAGTCAGGTCGTGGGATACTTGCACCTTTATTATTTTTGCTCAGAATTGCTTTGTCTATTTGGGCTCATTTTTCATTCCATATGAATTTTAGTGTTGTTTTTCTAATTCTGTGAAAAATGACATTGGTATTTTGATAGGGATAGCATTGAATCTGTAGATTGATTTAGGAAGGAAGATCATTTTAATGATATTAATTCTTCTGATCCATAAGTATGAAATCTCTTTCCATTTGTGTCCTCATTCAATTTCTTTCATCAGTGTTTTGTAGTTATTTTTACTTGTATAGATCTTTCACCTCCCTGGTTAAATTTATTCCTAGGTTTTTTCTGTAGTTTTTATAAATGAGATTACCTTTATGATTTCTTTTTCAGTTATTTCATTATTGGTATATAGAAACTGTAGTGATTTTTGTATGTTGATTTTGTATCCTGTAGCTTTACTAAATTTATCAGTTCTAAGAGTTTTTTTTTTGGTGGAATCTTTTGATGTTTCTAAATATAAAATTATGTCATCTGCAAAGAGGGACAATTTGACTTCCTCTTTTTCAATTTGGATGCCTTTTATTTCTTTCTCTTGCCTGATTGCTCTAAGATTCCCACTATTTTGTTGAAAAGGAGTGATGAGAGTGGACATCATTCTCTTGTTCTGGTTCTTAGAGGAAAGGGATTTAACTTTTCCTCATTCAGTATGATGTTAGCTGTGGGTTTGTCATAAATGACCTTTGTTATTTTGGGGAATCTTACTTCTATACCTAGTTCACCGAGTTTTTATCATAAAGAAAATTATTAATTTTATCAAATGATTCTGCACCTATTGAGATGATCATATGGTTTTGTCCTTCATTTTTTAAAAACCTTGCATGTGGCATCCAGTGTCTTTCATTGTTTTGATTTGATGTATTCTGTTTTTTGAATTGCATATGTTGAATCACCCTTGCATTCTTTGGTATAAATCTCATTTGATCATGGTGTATTATTTTTTTGAGGCATTTTGGGATTTTGTTTTTCTTGTATTTTATTGAGGAATTTTGCATGTATGTTAATCAGGAATATCGATCTGCTTTTTTCTGTGTGTATGTGTTTTTGCTGGGTTTTGGTATTAGGGTAATGCTAGCCTTAGAGAATGAGTTAGGGAGAATTTCCTCCTGTTCAATTTTTTAAAATAGTTTCAGGAGGTATTAGTTCTTCTTTGTACATTTGGTAAAATTTGGCAGTGAATCCAAAAAATCCTGGGCTTTTCTTTGTTTTATTACTAACTCAATTGTGATATTTGTTATTGTACTGTTCAGGTTTTCTATTTCTTCCTGGTTCAATCTTGTTAGGTTGTATGTGTCTAGAAATTTATCCATTTTTTTCCTAGATTTTTCAGATTGTTGACAAATAGTTGTCCATAATGGTTTCCAATTGTCTTTCGTATTTCTGTGTTATCAGTTATAGTGTCTCCTTTTGCATATCTGATTTTGCCATTTGGGTCTTATCTCTTCTTTTCTTTTCTTGGTTAGTCTAGCTAGTAGTTTAACAATTTTGTTTAATTTTTTGAAGGATTTTGTGTTTCTCTCATCCTTTATATTGTTTCATTAGCCTCTATTTCATTTAGTTATGCTCTGATTTTTATTTTTTCTTCTGCTAATTTTAGGTTTGATTTGTTCTTACTTTTCTGATTCCTGAAGAGCATCATTAGATTGTTTATTTGAAATCTTTCTACTTTTTAAAAAATGTAGACATTTATTGCTATAATTTTTTTCTCTTTTCTCTATCCCACAGAGTTTGATACATTGTATTTCCATTTTCATTTGTTTTAAGAAATGTTTTGATTTTCACCTGAATTTATCCATTGTCCCAATGATCATTCAGGAGCATATTTTAAATTTTCATGTATTTGTATAATTTCCAAAGTTCTTCTTGCTATTGATTTCTTGTTTTATTTCATTGTTATCTGAGAAGATACTTGATATGTTTTTTAAAAATTTTATGAGACATGTTTTCTGTCTTAACATATGGTCTATCCTGGAGAATGTTCCACGTGCTGGTTAGAAGAATGTGTATTCTGCTGTTGTTGGAGAAAATGTTCTGTTAATGTCTGTTAGATCCATTTGGTCTAAAACTCAGTTTAAATCCAGTGGGTCTTTGTTGATTCTCTGTCTAGATGATCTGTCTAATGCTGAGAGTAGAGTGTTGAAATCCCCCATTATTATTGTATTGGAGTCTATCTCTCTTTTTAGTTCTGATAATATTTGCTTTATAAATCAGGGTGCTACAGTGTTGGGTGCATATATTTAGAACTGTTATATCCTTTTGCTGGATTGATCCCTTTATCATTATGTAATGACCTTGTCTTCTTTATTAAATCTTTTTGACTTAAAGTCTGTTTTATCTGATATAAATATAACTATTCATGTTTGCTTTTGTTTTTTTGTTTGCATTGCTTATCTTTTCCCATCATTTTACTTTCAGGCTATATGTGTTTTTACAGATAAAGTGCATTTATTGTAGGCAGCATTAGTTTGATCATTGTTCCCCCTTCACTCAGCCAGTCTATATCTTTTATGTGGAGAATTCATCCATTTATATTCAATGTTATTATCAATATGTGAACTTCTGTTTCTGTCATATTTTAACTGTTTTCTATATTTTTTTCCTTTTTTTTGTTTTACTGTTTTTCATTGTTCTTTGTTGGCTTTCTGTAGTAGTACCATTTAAGACCTTTATCTTCCTTATTTGTGTTGCTTACCAGTGAGTTTTATACTTTTATGTGTTTTTATAACAGTAAATGTCATCATTTCACTTCCATGGTTAAGACTCTCTTGAATATATCTTGTAGGCCTGGTCTTGTAGTGATAAATTCCCTTAGCATTTGCTTGTCTGGAGAAGACTTTATTTCTTCTTAGCTGATGAAGGATAATTTTAGTGGGTATAGTATTCTTGGCTGACAGTATTTTTTCTTTCAACACTTGAAATATCTTATTTCCTCCTGGCCTACAAGATTTCTGCCAAGAGGTTTGCTTTCATCTGATGGGGCTTCCTTTATAGGTGACTAATTTTTCTTGTTGTTTTTAGAATTCTCTCTTTGTCTCTGACTTTAGAGAGTTTCATTGTAATGTGGACTGGAGAAGACTGTTTTGTATTGTATCTGTTTGGGGATAACTTAGTCTCATGTATCTGGATGTCTAAATCTCTTGCTGGGCTTGGGAAATTTTAATCTATTATTAAACAGGTTTTCTAACCCTTTCATCTTTTCTTCACCTTCTGGGACCCCAGTAATTTGAATATTTTGTCACTCCCTGGTATCCCATATGTCTTGAAGGCTTTGTTCATTCTCTTAAAATTCTTTTTTTTTTTTTTTAATTTTCATCTGACTGGGTTATTTTGAAAGAGCTATCTTCAAGTTCTGAGATTCTGTATTCTCTTTCATCTGGTCTGTTGTCGAAGCTTTTGAATGTATTTTAGTTTTCATTCAATAATTCTTCAGTTCCAGAATTTCTGTTAGATTCTTTTTATGATATCTATCTGGTAAACTTCTCATTCAGATCATAAATTATTTTTCTGCATTATTTTTTAGAATTATTTTGTATCTTGTTAAGCTTTATTAAAATCAATATTGTAAATTCTTTTTCAGGGATTTTGTAAATTATTTTTGATTGGGATCTGTTGCTGGAGAATTACTGTGTTTTTTTGGTGGTATCATATATCCTTGCTTTTTCAGGTTTTCTGTGTTCTTACATTGCTATCTGCACATCTGCTGTAATGGTCACCTCTTCCAATGTTTTTGAATTTACTTTCATAGAGGAGAATTTTTTTCCTGAAGATATACTTATGGTTTTGATTGGGTAGAGAACTTTGACCTTGATTTTGAGTATACACAGTAGTGTAGTCTTTATATGATATCTTCAGATATAAACAGCATTAGTGGAACCTATGATTTTCTTGGCAGCTTTGAGTGTGGTTATTAGTTGAGGCTGTGGTAAAGTTTTTCTGGGGACTGGAATGCCAGATCAGTCAGTCTTTGGGCTGCAGTGGTGGGCTGAGAATGCCTGTCTTTGAGCCCAGAGCAATGTATGTTGGCTACAGTGTTAGTGAGTTCAGCGAGCCAGGCAGGTGGGTGGGCCAGTTGCCAGGTCTGCAGGTGGCACATACATGTAGGTGCCAGCTGTGATGACAGTGGCAGGGTGGGTAAGCTCAACCCCAGACTCCCAGAAGGAGTGCTCAGGTGCCAACTGTGGTAGATTGAGCTGGGCAATCCCCAGGCCCCCAGATTACATACTCTGGCATTGGGGGAACAAATTTGGGCCAGGGGGGCTTGTCTTCAGGTTCCCTGATGGTGTATGTAGGCAGCAGCTGTGGCAGGCAAGGGAAGGATGATCCCTAGGCCCCTGGTGGCATGCTCATATTGGGGGCAATAACAACTGTGCTGTGGATCTGCCTTAGGAGGCCAGGGGCTGCCTTTAATGGCAGCAGCCTAGGTTGGCTAACGGGAAACACATGCCTTGCTCTTGCTTCAACATCAGTGGTGCTCGCTGATCAGCTTCAGCAGTGGTTAGCCAGGTTAGAGGGGGCTCTTTCTTCTTCTGGGTTAAGGTTGAATTCCTGGCTCTGCAGCAGGCCTCCACGCATTCCTCTATGACTGGGATGGGGGGAAATGTCTTGTTACTTCTCCACTGACACCATGATTTGGGGATGACCTCATTAACACTAGGAGGTAATGGAAGTTTAGACTCTGCATAGGCCTCCTCTGACACCACTCACCTGTGCAGGACGGGAGGCGACTCATTACTTTTGTGTGTTTGTGGGAAGTCCAGGCTTCCACAGTGGTCCCTACTGACACAATGGGGGATGGGAGCTCATTATCACTTGAACAAAAAGAAAATCATTGCTTCCTTCTCTGATACCACCTGCTGAGGGTAAGGGGTTTGGGGCACCTGGTTATAGCTTCTTTAAGGGGGAAATCTAGGCTCCTCACTGAATCTTTGCTGGCATAGTTGGCGTTGGGAACATAATTTTCTCTGTGGTGTTCAGCTGGAAAAGAGTAGTTATTATCTGACAATTTTCTGTCTTGCTAAACTGTTCATTTCCTGGTATTTTGGTTGGAGGGAGCAGCTTTTTGATGGTGATACTTTAGTTTGTGCTCATTGACATTACCAAATTGCTGGCTTCTTTAGCACCAAGTCTGGGACCTGTGAAGTAAAAAGAAAACCCAGAAAATGTACCCCCCTGTTGTTCCTTGGGTCTCAAGTTTCCTAGTCAGTCTACCTTCTCTTCTCCAGCTTTCAGAATCTTCATATGTTTGTTTCATATACAATGCCCAGATTTTCTAGTTGTACTTAACAGGTGAAATAGGGAAAATTATGTCTATTTCATTTTTCTGGAAGTGGAAGTCTAGCAAAGATACGGTAGCTTCAAATTAAAAAGTTTCCATTGTTAGGGGTTTGTTTTCCCTGTACCCATTCATCCTTCATTTTGTTCTATGAGAATAATTTTAAATGCATTCCTGAGCCCTTTAATTCTTCCCTGGACAAAGTTATTTGTACATCACTGCCTTCTAAACTGTATTCTTTGAATTATAATAGAGACAATCTGTTCCAGGCATGAGAAACTTGCTAGTTATGGTACTAATGAATAATGATTTATTTCTGCTCTCTTTTGCTACTTTTTTTAAGGGGAAAGAACTTTGTTACTCAGAGACATTTAGTAGTGGGCTGAGAATTATTTAGTGGAAGTAATAGCCTAAAAGGAAAACACGGCAGAAGGCTGAAAGTTTAGCTAGATTTACAATATAAAGTATAGAGTTACTGTGGCCAGGTGTGGTGGCTCACGCCTGTAATCCCAGCACTTTGGGAGGCAGAAGTGGGTGGATCACGAAGGTCAGGAGATTGAGACCATCCTGGCTAACATGGTGAAACCCTGTCTCTACTAAAAAAAATACAAAAAAATTAGCCGGGCGTGGTGGCGTGTGCCTGTAGTCCCAGCTACTCGGGAGGCTGAGGCAGGAGAATGGCATGAACCTGGTAGGCGGAGCTTGCAGTGAGCTGAGATTGCGCCACTGCACTCTAGCCTGGGTGACAGAGCGAGACTCCGTCTCAAAAAAAAAAAAAGAGTAGAGTTACTGACAGAAGACAATAGGCTAAATAAAAGGAACGATTCTACTGGGGCTGAGATATTTGGGGGACATTTGGGAGAAATTGGAAGGTACTTGCTGTGAATGAGCAAAAGTGAGAGAAGAGATCAGGAAAGGGAGTTTTAAGAAGTGTTTTATGTAATAAAGGGAATACGCCTTAGGTGATTTCCATAAAGTTGTAAATAGTTTTTGTTCATTTGTGTACATCAAGACTATTTTTTCCTTGAGTGCAAAAAGATGCTAAGAATGAGCCATGAAGCAGTTGAACTTTATATGTAAGAAAACTGGTATTTGATATATTTGATATAAATGATAGTTTCAGTGGGAAAACATAGGTCAGAGGCTTGAGAATTTTAGACTGTTAGTAACAAAGTTACGTTCTTTTGGAATTTAAGAAAATGAATGTATAGCTATAAAACCTGAGCATCACTGAGCATATTTAGAGCTTATCTCTAGCTTTTTTCCAATAGTACTGACCATTGTTTCTCTACCCCAAATGGCACACTACTATTGTACATTCTTTTAACAATCACTTTTATCATCTATTATTTAAGGAAAGTAAATATAAGATGAATTGCAAGCTGAGTTGCAAGCACTGTAGTTTTTCTTTCTATTCTCCATGATAAGTTTTAATTATAAGCAATAGTGATTTATAAAATGCAAGTTAATTGACTGTATTATATTTGAAATCATCTGGGAAACTTTTGCTGCTGGAGAAACATTTGCATTGTGAGGGAAAAAATTTTCCATGGTTAAATGCTTGGTGTGGTTGCTGCATACTCTATGCTCCTTGGAATAGTACAGGCTCTGGAGTGTTCTTCCATGAGGAAACCAAGATAGCCTATTTCCAAGAGTTGGTATTCCAAAACCACTTTTATCTTAGAGCCCTTATCCACCTCTTCTGAAACATTCTTCAAAGCAAAGGATGGGAAGTGCTGATTAATTAACTATGCCCAAGAAATGACTCTTCTTGGTTGGGATAAAACCTAGGATCACTTTTTCTCTTTTTTAGCAAAGGCCCACTTCTGTTCTTCAGTGAGATAGAGATTTCAGCACTCCCAGAGTTTCTTTCTCTTTATATCCTGATATGTGCCTAGAAGTCCAGTTATTACCTGCATTGAATCTTTCATTGATTAGGGAAGATGATGGGGTGAGTCAATCAGGGAGTGGAGGATTGCTCAGGTTTCTTTTATTACTTCCCTTATAGTAGAAATTGTGGACTCAAGTGCCATCCAGTATCACTGAAGGACAGGTTTATAAAAATATAAAAGACAAGCAAGCAGCTTTTCAGATAAAGACTAACCTTTTTAGCAGGGGATTTGCAGATACTACCATCTTTGGCAAGGGCACACAGACCATTCAGAAAACAATGGGTTCCACAATCACAGTCTGTTTCTCATGAGGAGGAAAAATAATGACATTTTAGTGATGGAAAACTAATACAGAGGATGTTTGAAGGGCCTCACAGCATGGTGACCTTCAGAGAATCTCGGAATGAGAATCACCATGTTACTTTTCAGTTGATTCTCTTTTGTCTCTGTCTTCATTATAGAGAAATGTAATATTGTGTAAGAGTTATAATATTGATCATTACCACATAGATTTTACGTTTGATGAGTCCAATTATGTCCTTCCAAATATAACAATGACTTTATTTCTTAGCTCAATTTAGTCTTTTATTCTAGGTAAATGATTTCCCACAGAAACTTTTGCCCCAGGAAAATGATTTTTCCCTACTATGTTTATTTCTAACACCAATCTTCTGCTTTATATTTCTTCCTTACTTTCCTTACTAATTCTGCATAGCTCACTCCAATTTTCTTTGGCTAAATAAATATTGCTTACTCTTTTTTGGTCTGAGCTTCACTTGTTTCAACAAGTTTTTATGGCTAACCTGGCTGAGGACAATTTCACTCTCCTCTGAAGTTCTGTCGCATTGAAAGTACCACCAAGTTTGGCATCTCTTTCAACTACCTTTGCTTGTATTTCATGTTTGTCTTCTCTTCTATAGAATCTATGTCCTCTTAGGTTGCTGACTGTATTTTTCATTTGATATGTATCTTTTGCAGCATCTAGGAAGTATCAGTATTTTTTCTCCATATCCTCGCCAGCATTTGTTATTGCCTGGTTTTTGGATAAAAGTCATTCTAACTGGGGTGAGATGATGTCTCATTATAGTTTTGATTTGCATTTCTCTGATGATCAATGACGTTGAGCACCTTTTCATAAACTTGTTTGCCATTTGCATATCTTCTTTTGAGAAATGTCTTTTCAGATCTTTTGCCAATATTTTATTTGGGTTATTACATTTTTTCCTATAGAGTTGTTTGTACTCCTTATATATATTTTAGTTATTATTCCCTTGTTAGAGGGGTAGTTTGCAAATATTCTCTCCCATTTTATTGGATGTCTCTTCACTTTGTTGATTGTTTCCTTTGCTCTGCAGAATCTTTTTAACTTGATGTGATCCCATTTGTCTACCTTTCTTTGTTTGCCTGTGCTTGTGGGTATTATTCAAGAAATTTTTGCCCAGATCAGTGTCCTAGAGAATTTTCCCAATGTTTTCTTGTAGTAGTTTCATAGTTTGAGGTGTTAGATTTAAGTCTTTAATCTATTTTGATCCAAATTTTTGTATATGGTGAATGATGGGGTCTAGTTTCATTGTTTTGCATATGGACATCCAGTTTTCTCAGCACCATTTATCGAAGAGACCATCTTTTCCCCAGTCTAAGTTCTTGGTACCTTTGTCAAAAATGGGTTCAATGTAGTTGTGTGAATTTGTTTCTGGGTACTCTATTTTGTTCAATTGGTCTATGTATCTGTTTTTATGCCAGTACCATGCTGCTTTGGTTACTATAGCTATGTAGTATAATTTGAAGTCAAGTAATGTGATTCCTCCAGTTTTGTTCTTTCTGCTCATGATATCTTTGGCTATTCTGGGTCTTTTGTGGTGCCATATAAATTTTTGGATTGTTTTTTCTATTTCCATGAAGAATGTCGTTGGTATTTTGATAGGGATTGAATTACATCTGTAGATTGCTTTGGGCAGTTTGGACATTTTAACAATGTTGATTCTTCCAATCCAGGAACATGGACTATCTTTCCATTTTTGGTGTCCTCTTCAACTTATTTCATCAGTGTTTTACAGTGTTAATTGTAGAGATATTTTACCTCTTTGGTTAATTCCTAGGTATTTAATTTTATTTGTGACTACTATAACTGGAATTAATGTTTTTGATTTCTTTTTCAGATTGTTCACTGTTGGCATATAGAAATGCTACTGATTTTTGTATGTTGATGTTTTATCCTGTATCCTTACTGAGTTTATCAGTTCTAATAGTTTTCTTATGGAGAATTTAGTTTTTTCCAAATATAAGATAATATCATCTGCAAACAAGGATAATTTGACTTCTTCCTTCCCAATTTAGATGACATTTATTTCTTTCTCTTGTCTAATTGCTCCAGCTAGGACTACCAGTACTATGTTGAATAACCAAGGTGAAAGAGGGCATCCTTGTTGTGTTTCAGATCTTAGAGGAAAGACTTTCAGTTTTTCCCCACTCAGTATGATACTAGCTATGGTTCTGTCTTATATGGCTTTTATTAGGTTGAGGTATATTCCTTCTATACCCAGTTTTTTGAGGATTTTTATCATGAGGGGATATTGAATTTTATCAAATATTCTTTTCAGCATTAATTGAAATAATCACATGTTTTTTGTCCTTCATTCTGTTGATATGATGTATCACATTGATTGATTTGCGTATGTTAAATCATCCTTTTACATCCCTGGAATAAATCCCACTTGTCATGATGAATGATATTTTTATGACCTTTTAAAGGTATTGTTGAATTCGGTTTGCTAATATTTTATTGAGTATTTTTGCATCAATTTTCATCAGGTATATTGGCCTGTAGTTTTCTTTTTTAGATGTGTCTTTGTCTGGTTTTGGTATCAGGATAATACTGACCTCGTAGAATGAGTTTGGAAGTATTCCCTCCCTCTGTTTTTCAGAACAATTTGAACAGAATTGGCATTAGTTATTCTTTAAATGTTTGGTAGAATTCAGCAGTTAAGCCACTGGGCTTTTCTTTACTGGGAGAATTTTTAGCATGGCTTCGATATTGCTACTTGCTATTGATCTGTTCAAGTTTTGGATTTCTTCATGGTTCAATTTTTATATGATGATGATAAAGGTTTATATGTCTAGGAATTTATCAATTTCCTCTAGATATTCCAATTTATTGGCATTTAGTTGCTCATAGTAGCAACTAATGATCCTTTGAATTTCTGCAGAATCAGCTGGAATGTCTCCTTTTTCATCTCTGATTTTATTTTTTGGGGTCTTTTCCCTTTTTTTCCATTGGTCTGGCTAAAAGTTTGTCATGTTTATCTTTTCAAAAAACCAAATTTTTGTTTTGTTGATCTTTTGTATTGTTTTCTTCATTTCAATTTTATTTATTTCTGTTGTGATCTTTATCTTTTCTTCTACTAATTTTGGGTTTGTTTTGCTCTTGCTTTTCTAGTTCTTTGAGATGCATTGTTAGGTTATTTATTTGAAGCTTTTCTTTTTTTTTGAAGTAGGTGCTTATAGCTGTAAATTTCCCTTTTAGAACTGTTTTACTGTATCCCATAGGTTTTTGTTGGGTATCCATTATCATGTGTTTCAAGAAATTTTTCAATTTCCTTCTTAATTTCTTCATTGACTCACTGGTCATTCAGGAGCATATTGTTTAATTTCCATGAATTTGTATATTTTCCAAAATCCTTCTTGTTGTTGATTTCTAGTTTTCTTCCATTGTGGTCAGAGAAGATGCTTGATATTATTTCCATTTTCTTGAATGTTGAAAGACTTGCTTTGTGAATATGGTCTATCCTTGAGAACGATCCATGTGTGAAAGAGAAGAATGTATATCCTGCAGCCTTTGGAGGAGGAAATGTTCTGTAAATATGTATTAGGTACACTTATTCTATAGTGCAGATTAAGTCTACTGTTTCTTTGTTGAGTTTCTGTCTGGGAAATCTGTTTAATGCTGAAAGTGGGGTGTCAAAGTCTCCAGCTACAATTGTATTGGGGTCTATCTCTCTAGCTCTAATGTCTGCTATATATATCTGGGTGCTCCAGTTTGGGTGCATATATATTTATGATCATTACATTCTATTGCTGGATTGAACTTTTTATCATTATATAATGACCTTCTTTGTCACTTCTTACAGTTTTTGTCTGGAAGTCTATTTGTCTGATTTAAGTATAGCTACTCCTGCTCTTTTATGGTTTCTGTTCACATGGAATATCTTTTTGCATCTTTTTATTTTTAGTCTATATACATCTTTATAGATGAAATGTGTTTTTTGTAAGCAACAGATCATTGGGTCTTGTTTTTTAATCCATGTAGCTGCCCTATGTCTTTTGATTGGAGAGCTTAGTTCATTTACATTCAATGTTACTATTGATAAGTAGGAATTTCTCCCATTTTGCTATTTCTTTTCTGGTTGCTTTGTGGTCTTCTCTTGCTTCCTGTTTTCCTTTTAGTGAAGGTGATTTTCTCTGGTAGTATGATTTAATTTTTTGTTTTTAATTTTTTTCTATTTGTTATGTTTGTTTGGCTTGAGGTTACCATGAGGCTTTCAAATGCTATAAAGCTCATTATTTTAAACTGATAATGACTTAACAATCCTCATTTACAATTGCATAAAGAAACATATAAAAAGAAAACTAATAAAAACTCTACACACCTTAACTTCATCCTCCTGCTTTTTAACTTTTTGTTGTTTATCTTTATGCTTTATTGTACTGTCTATGTCTTGAAAAGTTGTTGTATTATTATTTTTAATTGGTTTATCCTTTAGTATTTCTACTTAAAACAAGAGTAGTTTACACACAACAATTACAGTGTAATACTATTCTCTGTTTTTTGGTGTGCTTACTATTACCAGTGAGTCTTCAGATGATTTCTACTGGGTCATTAACATACTTTTCTTTCAGATTGAAGAACTCCTTTTAGCATTTCTTGTAGAACGGATTTGGTGATGATACCCCTCAACTTTTTTCTGGGAAGGTCTTTATTTTTCCTTTAAGTTTGAAGGATATTTTCACCAAATATACTATCCTAGAGCAAAAGTTTTTTCCTTCAGCTCTTTAAATATGTCATGCCACTCTCCCTGGACCTGTAAGGTTTCCACTGAAAAGTCTGCCAGGTGTATTGGAGCTCCACTGTATGTTATTTGTTTCTTTTCTCGTGCTGATTTTAGGCTGCTTTCAGGCTGCTTTCTTTATCCTCGACCTTTGGGAGTTTGATTATTAGATGCCTTGAGGTAGTGTTCTTTGGGATAAATCTTCTTGGTGTTATATAAGCTTCTTGTAATTAAATGTTGATATCTTTCTCTAGGTTTGGAAAGTTCTCTGATATTATCCCTTTGAATAAACCTTCTACCCTTTATCTTTCTCTACCTTCTCTTTAATGCCAATAACTCTTAGATTTGCCCTTTTAAGGCTATTTTCTAGATCTTGTAGGCATGCTTCATTGTGTGTTATTCATTTTTCTTTTGTCTCCTCTAACTATGTGTTTTCAAATAGTTTGTTTTCAAGCTCACTAATTCTTTCTTCTGACTGATCAGTTCTGCTATTAGGAGATTTTGATGAATTCTTTAGTATGTCAATTGCATTTTTCAACTCCAGAATTTCTGCTTGATTCTTTTTAATTATTTCATTCTCTTTGTTAAATTTTATCTGATAGAATTCTAAATTCCTTCTTTATATTATCTTCAATTTATTTGAGTTTCCTCAACATAGCTATTTTGAATTATCTCTTTGAAATGTCACATGTCTCTGTTTCTCCAGGATTGATCCCTTGTGGCTTATTTAGTTCATTCAGTGAGGTTATGTTTTCCTGGATAATCTTGATGCTTGTAGATGTTCTTCAGTGCCTGGGCATTGAAGAGTTGGATATTTATTTTAATCTTCACAATATGGGCTTGTTTGTGCCCAACCTTCTTGAGAAAGCTTTCCAGGCCCAACATCCCTGTGTTTTTTGCAGACTTGTAGAGGTACCACCTTGATCATCTTGGATAAGATCCAGAAGAATTCTCTGTATTACCAGGCAGGGATTCTTGTTTTTTTCCCTTACTTTCTCCCAAACAAATGGAGTCTCTCTGTTTTTACTGAGCTGCGTGGAACTGGGGTAAGGTGATGCAAGCACCCCTGTGGCCACCACCACTGGGATTGCCCTGGGTCAGACCTGAAGTCAGTACAGCACTGGGTCTCACCCAAAGCCTGCTGTAACCACTACCTGCCTATCTCCTAGGTTCACTCAAGTCCCTAGGTTTATGTTCCTCCCTTCAGGGCAGTGAGTTTCCCCAGGCCCTGGGCACGTCCAGAGATGTTGTCTGGGAGCCAGACATTGGAATCAAATACCTTAAAAACTTGTCTGATGTTCTATTCTACTGTGGCTAAGCTGGCCCTCAAACTACAATACAAAGTCCTTCCTGCTCTTTCCTCCCTTTTCCACTGGCAGAGTAGCCTCTCCCTGTGGCCACCACCACTATTGACCCATGGTTGGGGAGGTTCTGCCAGGCTACTGCTGATGTTCACTTAAATCCCAAGGGCTCTTCAGTCAGCTGGTGGCAAATGTTGCCAGGCGTGGGACTCAAACTTCAAGGCAGTGAGCTCTCCTGTGGCTTAGGGCAGGTCCATAAATACTGTTCAAGAGCCTAGACCTGGACTTGGGGACCCCAAGATGCTGCTTGTTACTCTACCCCCTTGTGGCTGAGCTGGTACCTAAGGTGCAAGACAAAGTCCCCTTCACTTTTCCCTGTGCTTTTCTCAAACAAGAAGAGTCTTTTACTGTAGTCACCACAGCTGGAAATGTGCTGGGTCACACCTATAGTCAGTATGTGTCAGAGTCCAAGACCAGTGGCATTTTACCTGGGTATTAATGCTTATTATTCAAGGCTCAAGGGGTCTTTAGTTAACAGGTGATGAATTCTGCCAGGATTGGGTCCTTCCTTTCAAGGTAGCAGGTTCCCTTTTGGTCCTGGGTGTGTGTAAAAATGTTGTCCATTAGCTAAGGCCTGGAGTGGGGGCCTCACAACTCTGCCTGGTGACTTATCCTGCTGTGGCTGAACTGGTATCCAAGATGCAAGACAAAGTCCTCTTTACTCTTCATATTTCTCTCCTTAAGTGGATGGAAGGAGTCACTTTTGTTGCTGCAAGCTGAGCTGCCTGGGGTTGAGGGAGAGATGGTGCAAGCAGTCCCTTAGCCATTCCAGCTGATGTGTCCCTATGTCTTGTGCCACCCTAGTTCTCTGGCACCGAGCCCAGCTCAGCACTAGGAGTTGCCTAGGAATTGTAGCCCTTGTGCCCTAGACTGTCTTTCCAATTTACCTAGGACCCCAATGTACTTTGGCCTGCAGTGGAGAGGCTTGCTGAGAAGCTCAAGTTCTGACCACTCAGATGGGTGATTCTCCTCTGGCTATGTCTGGTCTAAATGTCCCTCCATGCATGGGTGCTGGTTGAGCCCAGTATGGATTTGCTGTCTCCTATGACAGGATGGCACTGAGTTCAATGTCAAAGGTCCTCTCTGTAGGCAGGTCATTCTGTTTGAGTGTTCCGCTCTCAGCAGAAAGGAGGCCCTGGAGTAGGTGGCTCCTCTCTGCAAGCAGGTCATCTCGACAAGTGTTCAGCTCTCAGCAGAGGGTAGCTCCTCTCTGCAGCTGGTCATCCTGTTGTCTGCAACTCTCAGCAGAGAGGAGGCCCTGAGAATGGTAGCTCCTCTCTGCAGCTGGTCATCCCTATATCTGCTCTGCTCTGGCTGAGTCTGGGATTTTTATGGTCTTCAGAGGGGGAAAGTGTGTGGTGATTGGTCTATGGGCTGCCATGGTGGGCCCAGGAAAAATACCATGAATTCCCTGGCCCCAGGCTTCAGGCCTTCCTCGGTCTGGAGGTGGTGTTTCACCTGGGACGTGTCCCCTTCCACCCAGAGCCTATCTATCTCCTCCCACTGTTCATGGCTGCCCAGGCTGTTTGTGCCAAGGGGAGCCTACAGGCCAGCAATGAGCTGCCCTTAGCACCACCTCAGCTTCCCTCCTGTGCCCCTTGGCATCCAAAGTCCAAAGGGGGCTGAGGTGGCAGAGGGCTGGTGTGTCAGTGCTGGCCCGAGCATGTGCCCACCCAGCTGGGCTGCTGTAGTGCCTGAGCTTGGGCCCAACCTTCCTCCATGAGCTGAGTGGGCACTGGGAGTGGGGATGGGCCAGGCAGTGGAAGCAGGCAATTCTGAACCTGCAGGGGGCAATGGGGCCTTCCCAGGCCCTCAAGAGCACAGGGATGCCCAGTCTGCAGCCAGGCTTGGGTGGCTGCAGATGCATCCAGGGAACACCCTCCCCACCAACTCGGAAGGGGCGGAGCTCCTGCTTGTCCCCAGCTCCCACTGGCTTCATGGAGCATGCAACTCTGGCCACACCTCCAAGACTGGAGCAGGTGCTGACAGTGGGGCTAAGCCAGGCAGTGAGATCAGGCACTTCCAAGCCTGCAGAAGGCAGGGGGACCTTCTGGGGCCCCCAAGAGCACAGACACACCCATGTCTTGAGCTGGGCCAGGGCAGCTACAGCAGCACCTGGGGAGGGCGGGTCTCCTGCTTCTCTGCTGCCATCATAATGATTGGTGATTCTGGACTTCTTTTCGTGCTTTCATTGGCCATCCATGTATCATCTTTGGAAAAATGTCCATTTAAGTCAGGCTCATTTTTAAATTGGGTTGTGTTTTTGCTGTTGAGTTGTAGGTGCTCATTTTATATTCTGGATATTAACCCCTTATCAGATATAAAACTGCAAATATTTTCTTTCATTCTGGGAGCTGCCTTTTCTCTCTGTCGATGATGTCCTTTGACATACAAAATTTTTAATTTTCATGAGGTCCAACTTATCTGTTGTTTCTTTCATTCCTGTGCTTTGCCTGTTTTTTTAAAGTTAGAATTATGTGGAGGGCAGCCAAGATGGCCGAATAGGAACAGCTCCGGTCTACAGCTCCCAGTGTGACTGACGCAGAAGACGGGTGATTTCTGCATTTCCATCTGAGGTACCAGGTTCATCTCACTAGGGAGTGCCAGAGAGTGGGCACAGGACAGTGGGTGCAGCGCACCGTGTGCGAGCTGAAGCAGGGTGAGGCATTGCCTCACTCAGGAAGCACAAGAGGTCAGGGAGTTCCCTTTCCTAGTCAAAGAAAGGGGTGACAGATGGCACCTGGAAAATTGGGTCACTCCCACCCGAATACTGCGCTTTTCCGACGGGCTTAAAAAATGGCACACCAGGAGATTATATCCTGCACCTGGCTTGGAGGGTCCTACGCCCACGGAGTCTCGCTGATTGCTAGCACAGCAGTCTGAGATCAAACTGCAAGGCAGCAGCGAGGCTGGGGGAGGGGAGCCCACAATTGCCCAGGCTTGCTTAGGTAAACAAAGCAGCCGGGAAGCTCGAACTGGGTGGAGCCCACCACAGCTCAAGGAGGCCTGCCTGCCTCTGTAGGCTCCACCTCTGGGGGCAGGGCACAGACAAACAAAAAGACAGCAATAACCTCTGCAGACTTAAATGTCCCTGTCTGACAGCTTTGAAGAGAGCAGTGGTTCTCCCAGCACGCAGCTGGAGATCTGAGAATGGGCAGACTGCCTCCTCAAGTGGGTCCCTGACCCCTGACCCCCGAGCAGCCTAACTGGGAGGCACCCCCCAGTAGGGGCAGACTGACACCTCTCACAGCCCAGTACTCCTCTGAGACAAAACTTCCAGAGGAACGA
Source organism: Homo sapiens (assembly GCF_000001405.40). NCBI lineage: Eukaryota > Metazoa > Chordata > Mammalia > Primates > Hominidae > Homo > Homo sapiens. The sequence goes on from NC_000005.10 coordinate 62,863,958, forward strand.
TCAGACAGCAAAATTTGCGGTTCACGAAAATCCACTGTTCTGCAGCCACTGTTGCTGATACCCAGGCAAACAGAGTCTGGAGTGGACCTCTAGCAAACTCCAACAGACCTGCAGCTGAGGGTCCTGTCTGTTAGAAGGAAAACTAACAAGCAGAAAGGACATCCACACCAAAACCCCATCTGTACATCACCATCATCAAAGACCAAAAGTAGATGAAACCACAAAGATGGGGAAAAAACAGAGCAGAAAAACTGGAAACTCTAAAAAGCAGAGCACCTCTCCTCCTCCAAAGGAATGCAGTTCCTCACCAGCAGCAGAACAAAGCTGGACGGAAAATGAATTTGATGAGTTGAGAGAAGAAGGCTTCAGACGATCAAACTACTCTGAGCTACAGGAGGAAATTCAAACCAAAGGCAAAGAAGTTAAAAACCTTGGAAAAAATTTAGACGAATGTATAACCAGAATAACCAATACAGAGAAGTTCTTAAAGGAGCTGATGGAGCTGAAAACCAAGGCTTGAGAACTACGTGAAGAATGCAGAAGCCTCAGGAGCCGATGAGATCAACTGGAAGAAAGGGTATCAGTGATGGAAGATGAAATGAATGAAATGAAGCGAGATGGGAAGTTTAGAGAAAAAAGAATAAAAAGAAATGAGCAAAGCCTCCAAGAAATATGGGACTATGTGAAAAGACCTAATCTACGTCTGATTGGTGTACCTGAAAGTGATGGGGAGAATGGAACCAAGTTGGAAAACACTCTGCAGGATATTATCCAGGAGAACTTCCCCAATCTAGCAAGGCAGGCCAACATTCAGATTCAGGAAATACAGAGAACGCCACAAAGATACTCCTCGAGAAGAGCAACTCTAAGACACATAATTGTCAGATTCACCAAAGTTGAAATGAAGGAAAAAATGTTAAGGACAGCCAGAGAGAAAGGTCGGGTTACCCACAAAGGGAAGCCCATCAGACTAACAGCGGATCTCTCGGCAGAAACTCTACAAGCCAGAAGAGAGTGGTGGCCAATATTCAACATTTTTAAAGAAGAGAATTTTCAACCCAGAATTTCATATCCAGCCAAACTAAGCTTCATAAGTGAAGGAGAAATAAAATCCTTTACAGACAAGCAAATGCTGAGAGATTTTTTCACCACCAGGCATGCCCTAAAAGAGCTCCTGAAGGAAGCACTAAACATGGAAAGGAACAACCGGTACCAGCCACTGCAAAATCATGCCAAAATGTAAAGACCTTCGAGACTAGGAAGAATCAACTAATGAACAAAATAACCAGCTAACATCTTAATGACAGGATCAAATTCACACATAACAATATTAACTTTAAATGTCAATGGACTAAATGCTCCAATTAAAAGACACAGACTGGCAAATTGGATAAAGAGTCAAGACCCATCAGTGTGCTGTATTCAGGAGACCCATCTCACATGCAGAGACACACATAGGCTCAAAATAAAAGGATGGAGAGGAAGATCTACCGAGCAAATGGAAAACAAAGAAAGGCAGGGGTTGCAATCCTAGTCTCTGATAAAACAGACTTTAAACCAACAAAGATCAAAAGAGACAAAGAAGGCCATTACATAATGGTAAAGGGATCAATTCAACAAGAAGAGCTAACTATCCTAAATATATATGCACCCAATACAGGAGCATCCAGATTCATAAAGCAAGTCCTGAGTGACCTGTAAAGAGACTTAGACTCCCACACAATAATAATGGGAGACTTTAACACCCCACTGTCAACATTAGACAGATCAAAGAGACAGAAAGTTAACAAGGACACCCAGAATTGAACTCAGCTCTGCACCAAGTGGACCTAATAGACATCTACAGAACTCTCCACCCCAAATCAACAGAATATACATTTTTTTCAGCACCACACCACACCTATTCCAAAATTGACCACATGCTGGGAAGTAAAGCTCTCCTCAGCAAATGTAAAATAACAGAAATTATAACAAACTGTCTCTCAGACCACAGTGCAATCAAACTAGAACTCAGGATTAAGAAACTCACTCAAAACTGCTCAACTACATGGAAACTGAAAAACCTACTCCTGAATGACTACTGGGTACATAACGAAATGAAGTCAGAAATACAGATGTTCTTTGAAACCAACGAGAACAAAGACACAACATACCAGAATCTCTGGGACACATTCAAAGCAGTGTATAGAGGGAAATTTTTAGCACTAAATGCCCACAAGGGGAAGCAGGAAAGATCCAAAATTGACACCCTAACATCACAATTAAAAGAACTAGAAAAGCAAGAGCAAACACATTCAAAAGCTAGCAGAAGGCAAGAAATAACTAAAATCAGAGCAGAACTGAAGGAAATAGAGACACAAAAACTCTTCAAAAAATTAATGAATCCCGGAGCTGGTCTTTTGAAGGGATCAAGAAAATTGATAGACTGCTAGCAAGACTAATAAAGAAAAAAGGAGAGAAGAATAAAATAGACACAATAAAAAATGATAAAGGGGATATCACCACCGATCCCACAGAAATACAAACTACCGTCAGAGAATACTACAAACACCTCTACACAAATAAACTAGAAAATCTAGAAGAAATGGATAAATTCCTCGACACATACACCCTCCCAAGACTAAACCAGGAAGAAGTTGAATCTCAGAATAGACCAATAACAGGAGCTGAAATTGTGGCAATAATCAATAGCTTTCCAACCAAAAAGAGTCCAGGACCAGATGGATTCACAGCTGAATTCTACCAGAGGTACAAGGAGGAACTGGTACCATTCCTTCTGAAACTATTCCAATCAATAGTAAAAGAGGAAATCCTCCCTAACTCATTTTATGAGGCCAGCATCATCCTGATACCAAAGCCAGGCAGAGACACAACCAAAAAAGAGAATTTTAGACCAATATCCTTGATGAACATTGATGCAAAAATCCTCAATAAAATACTGGCAAACCGAATTCAGCAGCACATCAAAAAGCTTACCCACCATGATCAAGTGGGCTTCATCCCTGGGATGCAAGGCTGGTTCAATATATGCAAATCAATAAATGTAATCCAGCATATAAACAGAACCAAAGACAAAAACCACATGATTATCTCAATAGATGCAGGAAAAGCCTTTGACAAAATTCAACAACCCTTCATGCTAAAAACTGTCAATAAATTAGGTATTGATGGGACATATCTCAAAATAATAAGAGCTATCTATGACAAACCCACAGCCAATATCATACTGAATGGGCAAAAACTGGAAGCATTCCCTTTGAAAACTGGCACAAGACAGGGATGCCCTCTCTTACCACTCCTAGTCAACATAGTGTTGGAAGTTCTGGCCAGTGCAATTGGGCAGGAGAAGGAAATAAAGGGTATTCAATTAGGAAAAGAGGAAGTCAAATTGTCCCTGTTTGCAGATGACATGATTGTATATCTACAAAACCCCATTGTCTCAGCCCAAAATCTCCTTAAGCTGATAAGCAACTTCAGCAAAGTCTCAGGATACAAAATCAATATACAAAAATCACAAGCATTCTTATACACCAATAACAGACAAACAGAGAGCCAAATCATGAGTGAACTCCCATTCACAATTGCTTCAAAGAGAATAAAATACCTAGGAATCCAACTTACAAGGGATGTGAAGGACCTCTTCAAGGAGAACTACAAACCACTGCTCAATGAAATAAAAGAGGACACAAGCAAATGGAAGAACATTCCATGCTCATGGGTAGGAAGAATCAATATTGTGAAAATGGCCATACTGCCCAAGATAATTGATAGATTCAATGCCATCCCCATCAAGCTACCAGTGACTTTCTTCACAGAATTGGAAAAAACTACTTTAAAGTTCATATGGAACCAAAAAAGAGCCTGCATCGCCAAGTCAGTCCTAAGCCAAAAGAACAAAGCTGGAGGCATCACGTTACCTGACTTCAAACTATACTACAAGGCTACAGTAACCAAAACAGCATGGTACTGGTACCAAAACAGAGATACAGATCAATGGAACAGAACAGAGCCCTCAGAAATAATGCCACGTATCTACAACTATCTGATCTTTGACAAACCTGAGAAAAACAAGCAATGGGGAAAGGATTCCCTATTTAATAAATGGTGCTGGGAAAACTGGCTAGCCATATATAGAAAGCTGAAACTGGATCCCTTCCTTACACCTTATACAAAAATCAATTCAAGACGGATTAAAGACTTAAACGTTAGACCTAAAACCATAAAAACCCTAGAAGAAAACCTAGGCATTACCATTCAGGACATAGGCATGGGCAAGGACTTCATGTCTAAAACACCAAAAGCAATGGCAACAAAAGCCAAAATCGACAAATGGGATCTAATTAAACTAAAGAGCTTCTGCACAGCAAAAGAAACTACCATCAGAGTGAACAGGCAACCTACGAAATGGGAGAAAATTTTCACAACTACTCATCTGACAAAGGGCTAATATCCAGAATCTACAATGAACTCAAACAAATTTACAAGAAAAAAACAAACAACCCCATCAAAAAGTGGGCGAAGGACATGAACAGACACTTCTCAAAAGAAGACATTTATGCAGCCAAAAAACACATGAAAAAATGCTCACCATCACTGGCCATCAGAGAAATGCAAATCAAAACCACAATGAGATACCATCTCACACCAGTTAGAATGGCGATCATTAAAAAGTCAGGAAACAACAGGTGCTGGAGAGGATGTGGATTAATAGGATCACTTTTACACTGTTGGTGGGACTGTAAACTAGTTCAACCATTGTGGAAGTCAGTGTGGCGATTCCTCAGGGATCTAGAACTAGAAATACCATTTGACCCAGCCATCCCATTACTGGGTATATACCCAAAAGACTATAAATCATGCTGCTATAAAGACACATGCACACGCATGTTTATTGCGGCACTATTCACAATAACAAAGACTTGGAACCAACCCAAATGTCCAACAATGATAGACTGGATTAAGAAAATGTGGCACATATACACCATGGAATACTATGCAGCCATAAAAAATGATGAGTTCATGTCCTTTGTAGGGACATGGATGAAATTGGAAATCATCATTCTCAGTAAACTCTTGCAAGGACAAAAAAACCAAACACTGCATGTTCTCACTCATAGGTGGAAATTGAACAATGAGAACACATGGACACAGGAAGGAGAACATCACACTCTGGGGACTGTTGTGGGGTGGTGGGAGGGGGGAGGGATAGCATTAGGAGATATACCTAATGCTAAATGACGAGTTAATGGGTGCAGCACACCAGCATGGCACATGTATACATATGTAACTAACCTGCACATTGTGCACATGTGCCATAAAACTTAAAGTATAATAATAATAAAATTAAACAAAAAGAATATTTCTCAAAAGTCAGTGAAGAGCTAAGCAATTATCTAATGGGATTATGTATCGTAGATTATAAAATATTACTTTAGGATCAAAATAATACTGTCTTTATTTTAGGCCTCTGGTATAAGAACTCATTAGCCTAATTTACCCTGATTATAAAAATGATTAACCTTTTATATATATTTTTACTATTGATAGTTGTGGTTTTTTCTGGAACCTTCCAATAAAATATATTTTAAAATAATAGGAAATCTATATATTGAAACATAGTATACAGTACTTACATGACTGAATTTTGGCAAAGAAAATGATTGTCTGATGTAGTTTTAGAATATTGTACTAGGAGTTAAAAATTTGCCTTGATAATATACCTAATTAGAAAGATCATGTGCCTTAATTAGTTGCATTTTTTTGTCATCTACAAAATAAATTAAACTGAAAAAAAGTTAGAATTATGCTAACTTATTAATGATTCAGAGGTCCTGTATTTAACATTCCATTTTTTTCATGCCGGTATTTTGAATCTTCAATCAAGTATTCATATCTTTATTCATATGTGGAGCCTGGATACCTTTACTTTTAGAATTACTGTTATTCTGGTGTGTGGGAGAATTCTGATTTTGGAGCATTATTGTAGTATCTAAGAAGAAAATAGTTATACCTATAGCTTCATAGAATATGTTTTTTTTGCTAAAAGTGAGAATAATCAGATTAAATATGCCCTAGAGTGGAAAGCATGGTTTTTTTCATAAGTAAAAACTACCTTGTAATAAAAAATTTAATGTATGAAAATTATAAACATTTATTCTGTTAGCTATGAGGTATAATATACTTGATTGCATTGAGGTTCACATCTGTCCCTTTCATTTATCATTGTGGTTTAGGCAAAAAGTAATGTTATAGAAGTAATGTTAAATTTCAAAAAATAAATTCTATGAGCAGTTTTCATTGACAGGCTGGGATTTCTTTTAAATAATTTGTCACAATTATGCTGAACATATTTTCAGAAAATTTACCACATGGCTTGTATAAAAAGAGGTCTTTCATATCTCCATTTGTGTAACCCCAAGCGGGAAAATCCTAATTGGTTTAAAAATTACTCTGGCAGGCCAGGTGCAGTGGCTCACACCTGTAATCCCAGAACTTTGGGAGGCTGAGGTGGGCAGATCATGAGGTCAGGAGTTTGAGACCAGCCTGACCAACATGGTGAAACCTCATCTCTACTAAAAATACAAAAATTAGCCGGGCATGGTGGCATGTGCCTGTAATCCCAGCCACTCAGGAGGCTGAGACAGAATTGCTTGAACCCAGGAGGCGGAGGTTGCAGTGAGCCATGATCGCTATTGCACTCCAGCCTGGGTGACAGAGTAAGACTCTGTCTCAAAAAAAAAAAAAAAAAAAATTACTCTGGCATCACACTCCGCTCACCTACAGAGAGGGCAAGTGGGACATCCTGATTTGCACTCTGTTGTCAAGTGTTAATGATTCTGAAAAAGAACTGATTGTGATCATGGAAAACATACCAATCTCTGAAGCTTATTGGCATTTTCTAGCATGTGAATCCTGCCTAAAAGAATCCTGAATAAAATAGGCACAGCAAGTTGCATTAATCAGACACAAGCATCTTTTGGAAAAGGTCAAATTTACGCGTGTGGAAGTTTATAGATCCTGTACTTAAATAAATATAACATGTATAAATCTTCTGCCTTAGCTAGTTTGGGCTGTTATAACAAATTATCGTAGATTGGGTGGCATATAAACAACATTGTATTTCTCACATTTCTATGGGTTGGAAGTCTGAGATCAGGGGGTCAGGATGCCTATATGGTCCATTCTGGGTTCTGGTGAGGGTTCTTTTCCAGGTTGCTGATTGCCTCCTCATTGTAGCCTCAGAAGGCAAGAGAGCCCTCTGAGGTTCCTTTAAGAAGGGCATTAATCCAATTTGTGAGGGCTCCACCCTCATGAACTAGTAACCTGCCAAATGCCCATGTGGGGGTCCACAAACATTTAGTCAGTGTACCTCCAAAATATTTTTTCTATTCTCATAATTTCCACCTATTTCGCTCTCATTTCCTTTTGGAATATTTTTCACCTGCCAATTTGTTCATGATTCATTGTCTTATTGGGAGTGTAGGTGACTCTAAGAATCCAAATTCAAGGGCTGAAAGTTCTCAGGGACCAGGGCAAGGCCTTGAATCAGAGCTAAGCAGGCAAACCAGAGTCCTGTTTTCATTTCAGAGTAGAGGTCAGCGCCTACTGTGTGTGAGAAACCACTTGGACTAACAAAACCCAGGAAAATACAGCAGCTAGACATCATACAAAATCAGAAGTGCAGAGTCCAGGCACATGGGCATAGCCAGACAACCTGTAAGAACTGTAGAAATAAAAAAAATCCTATAGAAATTTATTTCTGTAAAACCACCTTTGATTGGTGTGATCTTTGCAATCCAAGGCCACTCTTCTATGACTCAGCTTCTCATTATTTCTTGGTCATACAATTTGGATAACCTTTTTAGTGGCCTCCCTACTTTCCATCACCTTTTTTTCCTTCAACTCATCATAGATCTGGAATCAGATTGTTTTTGCCAAAGTAAATAGTCAATTAAACCACCCCACTATTCTAGAACTTTCAACAACTCCTCATATTTAGCCTTGGCTTCAAGGACATCGCTCTCATACCTCACACTATTTTTATAGCCTTATCTCTCCCTATTCTAATTATTTTAAATGACATCCAAATGGCCAGTGTCTGACTATTCCCTGTGTATTCCTTCTTCTTAGTAATTTCCATCATTTTCTCCCCCTCTTTAGTCAAAACCTACTGATTCTTTAAATCTTCTTTCAACTGCCATCTCTACTGATGACAATGTCCCTCCTCTGAACTTTCTCAGTCCTTTGTGAGCCAGTACTTTGGAATTCTTTTGTGGTACTTTTCTCATATTGCCATCTGTAAAAAATGTTTGATTTACCCTCTCATAGGCACTAATTAAACAGGGCTGTTTTATTCATGACGAGCTATAAGCAAAGCTCCTAGGACTTATGAGCTTTTAAAAAGCTTACAAAAAGGAGATGATATCTGAAAAATTTTCACATCCCTGATTCAAGTCTGAAGGAGGAAAAATAAAGACAATACCGAGAAAAATTGTACAAACCTGCAGAATATCAGGGACACAGAGAAAAATTTTAGATGTAACCAGAGAAAAAAATTTTACTTGTATAAGAGTAATTAAATTACAACAATAATATTAGAGATAAGAAGACAAAGAAATAATATCCTTAACTGCAGAGCAAAACAATTGTAAAATTAGAATTGTATACCAGGTTAAATTATTATTAGAGTGAGGAAAAAAATAAAAATATTTTCAGACAAAGTCACTGAGAGTTTATCACCAGCACATCATTGCTGAAAGAAATACTAAAGGACAGACATGAAGAATGAAATTCAATCTAGAAAGTGCTCAATTGTTTAAAAAAGAAAGAAAGAAAGGATAAGCAAAGGAATTGCTAAATATGTAGGCAATGTGAATAAATATTGACTAAAAAGTAATAATGATGACTAACTTGGAGGGTTATAAAAACAAAGTCAAATGAAAATATTAGACACTAGAATGCATGGAAGGTCCTTGTACTGCTCAAGAGGAGGTTAGAAATACTGATTTTGTCAATTCAAATATTTATGTTAAAAATGTAAGAATAATCATTTTATGCAAGGAAATAAAATAACTTCCAACCAGTGAAGAGGAAAAGAAGGGAGAAGGAAAATACAAAAAAACAAACAGAAGACAAGAAAGAAGAAAAAAAGCATCTCCCCCTCCAACAAAAGAACATTAAATAGAAGACATGAAGTAAAATGGTAAAAGTAAATAAAAATATATTAGTACATTGGATAAAAATCATAATCCTGCCATGTTCAGTTTATACTTATATAAAAAGAGTTATAACAAGTTTGAAAAGATGTAAAAGGCAAATGCTACCTCAAAAACAGCTGAAATAGCCAAATTAACATCAGCCAAAATCCACTAGAGTATAAAAGCATTAATAGGAGTAAAGAGGGTTACTATATAATGATTAAAAAATTCACCATGAAGATTAAATAATCTTGAACTTTCAAACTCTTAACATATTTTCAAATTTTATACATTAAAAATCAAAAGAATCACAAAAGAAGATGATAATTCTACAATAATAATGGGAGTTTTAAGTAAACCTCTCATTGAAAAATCACCTGGAGAAGAAAATTAATAAGAATTAAAAAAACTTGAACAATAAATAAGTTTTATTAGTCAAATTCTGAACCCAACAATTAAAGAGGATACTTTAAAAAACATGCATAAAGCATATACAAAAATTGTTAGTTTACAAAACAAGTTTCTGCAAATACAATTAAAGTTATCTCATAGACATAATCTCTGACCAAAATCCAATAAAATTAAAATAGATAACAAAATAATAGACAAATAGGTCAATGGAACAAAATGGAGAGACAAGAAGTAGGCCTACGTAAATAGAGTCAATTGATCTTTGACAAAATAGCAAGAGCAATCCAAAAAAGAAAATGTAGTCTTTTCAACAAATGGTGCTGGAGCAATTGGACATTCACACGCAAAAAAATGAATCTGGTCTTAGACCTTACACACGTCACAAAAATTAACTGAAAATGAATAACAGTCCCATGTGTATAAAACTCTTAGAAGATAACATAGGAGAAAAGCTAGATGAACTTGGTTATGCTAATGACTTTTTATATATGACACCAAAGGCACAGTCCACAAAAGAAACAATTGATAAGCTGGATTTCATTAAAATAAAAAACTTCTTCTCTGTAAAAGACATTATCAAGAGAAAAAGACAAGCCACAGAATGGGGGAAGATGTCTGCAAAGATGTATTTATTAAAGAATATTTATCCAAAAGATACAAAGAACTCTTAAAACTCAACAAAAAGAAAATAAAAAACCTGATTAAAAAATGAGCACAAGACCTGAAAAGATACCTCACCAAAGAAGATGTATAGATGGCATATAAATTTATGAAAAGATGTTCAACACCGTATGTCATTAGGGAACTGCAAATTAAAACAGTGAGATACCACTACCAACTTACTGGAATGGCCAAAATCCAAAACACTGGCAAGATCAAATGCTGGCAAGGATGTGGAGCAACAGGAACTCTCATTCATTGCTGGTATGAATGCAAAATGGTACATTCATTTTGGAAAACAGTTCAGCAATTTCTTACAAAATGAAACATATTTTTACCATGCAGCTTAACAATCATGCTCCTCGATATTTACCCAAATGAGTTGAAAACTTACATCTATACAAAAACCTTCTCACAGATGTTTATATTAATAGCAATTTTATCCATGATTACCAAAACCTGAAGCAACCAAGATGTTGTTCAGTAGGTGGATGGATAACTAAATTGTAGTATATCCAGACTATGGAACATTATTTATTACTAACAAGAAATGAGCTATCAAGCCATGAAAAAAGACATGGAGGAAACGTAAGTGCATATTAATAAGTGAAAGAAGCCCAGCCAGAAAGGCTACATACTGTATAATTTCAGCTATATGACATTTTGGAAAAGGCAAAACTACAGAGACAGTAAAATGATCAATGGCTGCCAGTGGAGGGAGGGATGAATAGATCAATTTTTATGGCAGTAAAGGTATTTTGCATGCTATCTGAAATCTTTATCTTTTTTTTTTTTTTGAGGCGGAGCCTCCCAAGTAGCAGCCTCCCAAGCAGCTGGGACTACAGGCACATGACACCACACCCAACTAGTTTTTGTATTTTTAGTAGAGATGGGGTTTCACCATGTTGGCCAGGATGGCCTCGATCTCTTGACCTCGTGATCTGCCTGCCTTGGCCTCCTAAAGTGCTGGATTACAGGCATGAGCCACTGTGCCTGGCCTAAAATCTTTATCTTAAATAGACTCAAATGGGCTATTGTACTCTTAATTGGCATGACTAGAAAATCCCGATTAAATAATGCTTTTGAAAAACTGCAAAAACTTGGCTTTAGGTCAATCAATATTGTAAAAATGTAAATTCTCTCTAAACTTATAAACAGTCCAATTTCAAATTATCAGTATGCTTTTGTTGCAACTTGACAAAAATAATTCTAATGATTTCTAAAAGCATGTACATGCAACAATGGATAGGAAATTCTAAAACAGGGAATATAAACAGGGTTTACCTTGTCAAATATTAAAATGGGTTAAGACAATATAATTTTGAGGTACTGTGAAAATAAATTTTAAAGTGTATGGAAATTTATATCACGATATCATTTTAAATTAATTAAATAAAGATGGATTATTTGGAAAAAAATTGGTGCTGGGAAAATTTTCTAGTTATTTGGAAAATAATGAATCTGAGTTCACTGATGTAAATTCTAAGTAGACCACAGACTTAGTGTATCTATACAAGCAAAAAACCCAAAAAACTAATAGACGAAATAAAAACTATAAAAGCAATATTTTCTAAGTGCTAGGCACTGTTTTGAGCTTTTCTTAAAAAACTGTATATCTTTTACAGACTTGAATACAGAGGCAGATGGAGGTTAAGTAACTGGCCAAGTTCACACAGCAAGAGGAAAAGCAGGGATTCTGAACACAGTTGGATTTCAGACCCAAATTTGCCCTAGGCACTGTGTTGCACAGCATGGCTGCAACGGTCAATTTTATGTGTTATCTTTTCTGGACCATGGATGCCCAGCTAAGTGTTTAAACATTTTGACTGGGTGAGTCTGTGAACCCTTTCAGAACCCCTTTCTGAAAGAGATTAGCATTTGAATTGGCAGATTGAGCAAAGCAGACTGCTGTACCCAATACGGATGGGCCTCATCCAATCTGTTGAGGGTCTGAATAGAACGAAAAGGCAGAGAGGAGGGTTGCATTCACTCTGGCTGACTGCTTGAGTTGGGACATCGATCTCCTCCTGACCTTGGAGCCTCTAGTTCTTTAGCCTTCAGACCTAGACTGGAACTTACACAATTGGCTCTCAGGCCTCCAAACTACACCACTGGATTTTCTGGGTCTCCAGCTTGCAGACGGTGGATAGTGGAACATCTTACCTAGCCTTCGTAAGTGAGCAAGCTGGTACTTATAATGAATTTCTTCATAAATCTGTTTCTCGAAAATCCTAATACAGCTACCCTAGATAACATGAAAAAATGTATACAGCAGGGTGGCCAAGGCGGGCAGATCACAAGGTCAGGAGTTCGAGACCAGCCTGGTCAATATGGTGAAACCCGATTGCTACTAAAAAATACAAAAATTAGCTGGGCGTGGTGGCACATGCCTGTACTACTTGGGAGGCTGAGGCAGGAGAATCGCTGGAACCTGGGAGGCAGAGGTTGCAGTGAGCCGAGATTGTAACACTGAACTCCAGCCTGGGTGACAGAGCGAGACTCTGTCTCAAAAAACAAACAAACAAAAAAGTGCACAGCAAAAGATCAGTATAAAATCAAAAGAAAAATAGCAAACAGGAAATTGCTAATAATACAATTATCTACCACCAGCTGAAGGTCAATGTGCCTTACACAAAATTAACAATAATTAATTTTAAAAAGATACCCATTTAATATAAAGACAGGCAAATTCCATGAAATAACAATTCACACAATTAGGAACACAGATAACTGATAAATATATGAAAGGATCTTTATTCCCATTGATTAAAGCAATACAAATTAAAACAATGCAATAGCTTTTGTAACTATCACATTGTCAATGATTAAAATATTGATAATACCAGTGTGCCAAAATGTGGAGAGACAATTACTCTTTTATGCATTATTACTTAGTGGCAGCTTATATTGGTGCAATACTTTAAAGTGACAATTTAGCAATATGTATTAAAATATAACACATCTACATCCAGGAATTCCTTTAAAAGAAATATCCCTACATGTATGCAAAGATATGTAAATATAGAACATTATTCATTGCAATATTGTTTATAATGGCAAAAAACTTGCAGGCTTTTTGCTATTACAAACAATATTGGAATGAATATTGTAATATTTTTATGTTACAATGGGGGACTAGTTAAATTCAAAATAAGCTGAAGAATTAATAGTAATGATTTCTACAGGAGGAGTTGGAGGATCATGGGAGAATTCCAGTTTTTTTTTCTTTTTATGTGCCTTATTTCAATCTTTCCCATACTAAAGTAGCACTTTTACAATAAGAAAAATAATTAAGATATAAAACATTACTTTTAGAAAAGCCTCACAATTTTTTAAACAGAATAATAACACCAAATAAATGTTCACAAGTGGATACTCAGCATTATATTGAAAGGATTAAATGATAATATAATAAACTATAATATGATAACAAAGGATAATTTCAGGAATCCAAGAATGTTTTAGTATTAGAGAATATATTTACAATATGTGAAAAAGTCTAAGGAAAAGTAGATTTGACCATCTTAGTAGATGTTCTAAAGACTAGATGGATGTCAATGTTGATTTTAAAATATATAAATATATTAGTAGATGTAGAAGAATATCTCACTAACTCTTGTGAGTAAGATGATCTCTCTGAACCCAGTAGCCAATGTCATACTTAACAGAAACCTGTAGAATAATTTCTTTGAAATTTGTAAAATATAAGAATATCCCAAGGATCTCAAAGGATATCCACTATTCTTACTTGACAAGATTCCGGATATTTCAATAATAAGAAATATAAACATAAATGGGGAAGAAAAAATATTTTTAAAAATGATGTAACTGCGTATTTGGAAAACTCAAGTAAAGTAACTGAAATAAAATTACAGCTAATAAGAGAGTTCAGCAAGATGGTCAAGACAAAATAAATATGTGAAATATCAACAGCTCTGTTATATACCAGTGAAAACTAGTTAGGAGGAAAGGGAGAACCCATTTATCTTCATAAGTAGTTTAACAGATAGTTAGAAGGTAGTCTACAAATATATTGGTAGATATTTATTAAACCATGTTACAAAAACGGTTGTAACAATAGTCACCAAAATATTAATTGTGGTTACTATTGAGTGGTTAGATAATGCTGGATAATAAAAATATTATTTTTATTTTCTTCTTTTATCTTTCTTGTTTTTTAATTTTATAAGTTTTCTCTATATCTTCTATAATATATAAAATTCTAAATTACTTATTTTAAAAATAATTATCTTTTTATAGATTCGGGGGCACAAGTGCAGCTGTGTTACATGGATATATTGTGTACTGGTCAAGTCTGGTTAAATTATTAGTTTAAATATATGTCATAATCTGTGATTACTAGAATCACTAACACCATCACCTGTAAATTGATTACCACAACAGTAAGCCACATTTCAATTCGTACTGTTGAGAAAATATCAAAATTTGCATAACAGTTTGCCCATCATATGTCAATTCATTCTGCCACATTTAAAAAGAAGTCATGGGAGATAAGTGTGGGTGCTAGTTCAGAATGAGATTCAGCATTTGTTCAATATATTTCAAACATTTTAACACATTGGAAAGGTGCTGTTCATTTATCAAAGCATCACAGATACTTCTATGAGCAAATTTTGAAGGAGTAATCTTGTGACTGTTCAACCACCTGGAATAAAACAAAATGTTCCAAATTCAATTTATTTTATCTTTTAAGTAAACAAAATGAAGTGCACAGGCCTTGACACTGTCCTTGTTGAAGAAAGTGCATCTCCACAGTGGAGATGGATTCTGATTTACTGTCTGAAGATATGCTATTGTCCTTTAATAATGTTTTGAAGGCAGATACTAGCCCTGATGATCATATCCAATGTGATTGTGTTATTTTCTTGCCACAGTGCTACAAAATAAATTAATTTTCCTAAATAATAACAGGATGATCTAAAAAGAAATTTATAGTACTTGACCCCTGTCTTTTAAAGTAACCAATTCCTAGTGCTTTAATTGAAAGGATGGCTGTGTTAAGGACAAACTCTGCTGTTGAGCAAAAATCCAGTTAGTTATTAAGAGCACTTTCTGAGGTAACTTCAGTTAGACTTTTTCTCTAAAGCTGCTTACAGCTGTGAGAGGGAGTCAATAAAGAGTGAGGCTAGAGGGAAGGAGAGAAAAGGAGAATTCAGTATGATACTTCTTATTTGAGAAAAGAGCATTGTGGACAAGCTCTCTTGAATTAGTCAAAGAAACATATCTAGACTAATAAAAATGTCTTCTTGATTCAGGCAGAAGGGAAGTCAGATAGGACCAAAGCAGGCAGAGCCAGGCTTTAAAACCAGGGGTGTGGGTGGGGGGGTGCTATGCTGATTGGGGCTGTGTGGTACACTTAGAGGGAGTCATGCTTGCATGCCTTCTCCACCAGGTCTTGGGCACCCCTCATGCCCTGCCCTCAGTTCTCCCTCTGTGGTAGAGAGAGAATAAAGGATTTGATAGTGTCTGTGATACCTGGGAAACCCAATTATTTGTTTTTTGTTTGTTTTGTTTTGCTTTTATTTTAGTACAGACAGGGTTTCACTAGGCTGCTCTCCAACTCCTGACCTCAAGCAATATGCCTGCCTTGGCCTCCCAAAGTGATGGGATTACAGGCATGAGCCGCTGCACCCAAGGAAACCCAATTATTTTGGGCTCTGGATTGTCAGGCGGGAGACCTGAGTTACTCACTTTGTGTTTTCACTGCTTCCCTGGTTTTAAAAGGTCATTGTGACAAGAGCAATAGAAGGAGCTTGTTCAAGATGCTGATTCCTGGCCACCACGCCCTGTGCTTCTGGTGCAGTAGGTCTTCAGTAGGACACAGGGACTTGCATCTTTAGCCGGATCTCTGGGTGATTCTAATGTGATTTTTTTTTTTTTTTGAGATGGAGTCTCTCTCTCTCTTGCCAGGCTGGAGTGCAGTGGTGTGATCTCAGCTCACTGCAACCTCTGCCTCCTGGGTTCAAGTGATTCCCCTGCCTCAGCCTCACAAGTAGCTGGGACTACAGGTGCGTCCCACCGCACCCAGCTAATTTTTGTATTTTTAGTAGAGACGGGGTTTCACCATATTGGTCAGGATGGTCTTGATCTCTTGACCTCATGATCCATGTGCCTCGGCCTCGCAAAGTGCTGGGATTACAGTTGTGAGCCACCGCGCCTGGCCTGATGTGATTTTTGACTGTATCCCAGATACACTGAATTAGGTGATCCTGACAGGTAAAAGTCAAGGCTGAATGGAGACATGGGGTGAAATAGTATAGGACATTGTGGGCAGTGTACCTTCTTCTCCTTATTCTCTGCTGCATCTAATTTACTATAATTGGCCTTTTAGGTGGAGAGGAGTAAGTGGTAGTATGTGAGTTCATCAAGGCACTTGGATGAAACCTGACAGAGAATCCCTTCTGTATGGGAATTCCTAATTTATATTCATTGTTAGTAGAGAGGTAAGTCAATAGAAAGGAAAGTGAGATGTTGGGAGGAATGGTCTCTATCAGAATCATGCCTTTTTCCTTCTTATCAATATCTCAGAATTTGCAAGGTCTTTCGAAGAGAAAGTTGATGCAACTTCTGAGGAGATGGCTCAGTACAAAGTACACTGAATTATTACCAAGTCTTAGTAGGACTGTGGGTTGAGTCAAGTAATCATCTCACAGAAAGAAAAATAAGCTTCAACAGAGCTAATCCTGACTGAGTTGAGAATTCCTAAATGAACTGTAAAATTATAACTGTGCAAAGGGACTCCATAAAGGCCATGTTTATGTATATATATTTGGCAAAGCCTGAAAAGCACAGAGAGTCTCCAGCTCTAATCAGCCCATTTAAAAATTGTGCCTACTAAAGCTCTAGTATAATAGACCATTTGATCCTTATTTTAAGAGAACTAAAGGCTTTCCAGATTCTGCACAGGACTTTACTCTGTGAATAGGTCCTTAGTGTGCAATTAGTCACTTTTGTAGCCATTAATTTTAGACCACTTATTGCAGAATTATTTGTTCTCAAGTCTGCCTGCCAAAAGTACATATGTGCTAAGGTGCTTATTGTACTAATTAATAACATGGCTGAGAATGATGAAGTGATCTGATGGAATGGTTCATTTTTCAAATTGGGGGCTCCCAATTGGGGGATTAATTCAAAGATGAGTTTTTGCCATCATACTCACAAGTGAGACTTTAAAAAGTCTGGAAGTGCGGTGCTTGTACCTGAGAACTGGGGTTAAAAAGGATTTTAGAAGACACTTCCCTGACAGAGAAGGCTGAAGAAGAAGACTGTGAGAGACAGCAGCTGCCTGGCAGGGTTGGCCTTAAAGCTCTCTGCATTAGTCTCAGGAGGTCTCATGTTATGCTCAGTAGAGTTTAAATGTAGCCAAGATATTGGAATAACACTGAAGAAGAAGAAACACACATGTCAAATTATAACTTTGGGAATCATTGATTTTATGCCCAGGAAGGGAGAAGATTTTGGTAATGGGTTCTGAAGCCATTGATTGGGCCAAATGCTGGAGGGAAGTGGTGAGAACACAACTAAAGATGTATGGTTAAGTTGTGTTAAAATCTGTCCTGTTTTAAACAGTCATAGTTCATGGGTTTATTTTTGTCTAGTACTGTGTTCTAGAGGTAAAAATTTGGTATAAATTATAACTTGAAGAAGGAATTGCCAAAGATTCTTTCCTGAGCTGGACCATCTGGGAAGAAAATAGATACATTGTTTATAGGTAGGAGAACAGGCTGGTGAGATGGCTCCCACCTATAATCCCAGCACTTTGGGAGGCTGAGGTGGGAGGATTGTTTAAGTCCACGAGTTCGAGACCAGCTTAGGCAATATCGTGGAACCCTGTCTCTACAAACGATAAAAAAATTAGCCACGTGTGGTGGCCTTGTGTCTGTAGTCCCAGTTACTTGGGAGGCAGAGGTGGGAGGATCGCTTGAGCATGGGAGGTTGAGGTTGCAGTGAGCTGAGTTTGTGTCACTGCACTCCAGCCTGGGCAACAGAGCAAGACTCCATCTCAAGAAAAAAAAAGATAGGAGGACAATGTTGTTCTAGAGTTTAAAGCACCACAGATTGTCTTTCTGAGATAATCTAATGACCTCAAAATACATTTGGTACTAGACATGTAGAAAAGCTAGACCTACCTTGGAGGACCTATGAAGATTTGTGTGTTTATCGGACCCACAAACATATTATATTATTCTCAGCCATAACAGCCTCACTCTCTGGGGCTTTTAGAGTGATAAAATATTAGGCAGTTACTAGATTTTGCACATAACTTTGACATCATAGTATTTTGTTTTGATGACTTGTTAGCTAATTGTTTGAGTTGCAGGATTACAAAATGTGTGAAGCAGTACAGATTTGATTTTAGTGGAAAAGGCCTAATAATGGAATAAAATGCAAATTTGTTTCTGTAAAATATAACCAAGGGACAAGTAGTAGAAATCAAACTGAATCCTCTTTAGAAATATTTCGTTTCTTGTACTTTCATCTCTATTAGCACTTTACATGTTCATTTTTTCAGTGCTAATTTAAAAGAAAATTTAGCTACATTAAGAATGAATTTAAGACCAGGCGTGGTGGCTCATGCCTGTAATCCTAGCACTCTGGGAGGCTGAGGTGGGAGGATCACTTGAGGCCAAGAGCTCGAGACCAGCCTGGTCAGCACAGCGAGATCTGTCTCTACAGTTATAAAAATAAAAATTAGCTGGGTGTGGTGGTGCATGTCTGTAGTCCCAGCTAATTGGGAGGCCAAGGCAAGAGGATCCCTTGTGCCTAGGAGTTTGAGGCTGCAGTGAGCCATGATTGTGCCACTGCACTCCAGCCTGGGTGACAGAGTGAGACTGTCTCAAAAAAAATTAAATTAATAATTAATTTGAGTTGGTGTTCATGGCAAGCCTGTAATATATTCATTAGAGTGGACATTTAAGTGTTCCAGTTACTTCTGGGCATAGGCATTTTTATAACATTAGATAATCCTTCTATTTACCTTTCTTTTATTTTTTTTAAAGTCTCTTAAGTACCAAAAGATCAAACCCAAAGGACTAAAGTTGTTTATGTAACTCAAAAGAAACTCCAGCATAATATAAAAAAGATGATAAGTCAGGAAAAAGGAAACCACTGTCACCACTCTCAAATTAGTCTGTTCAAAATGTTTACTGTCAGGATCATTTTTCCCAAGGAACATATACATTTTCCCATTCTCCTGTTACAGCTGACATTTTTTGAGGTGGGGGGGAGGGCGGAAAAAAATTTATGGAATTAACCATTATTATAACTTTCTGTTTTTCTCATTGTATTCATCAATTTTTTGATTTTAAATATTGTGAAAGATAAAGAGAGGATCAAATAGTTTATCTTCACATGAGGTAAGACTGTTTATGTCTGATAATGAGAGTTGCCAGTGTTGTACCTTCAAACTTTTAGATGTTGCATTTGTTATTGTTTAAAGAATAATCCGTGGAGTGATTCTAAAATGTACACAGTTGGTCCTTCATATCTGTGAGTTCTGCATCTGTGGATTCAACCAATTTTGGATTGAAAATATCCAGAAAAAAATGTGTTCGTACTGAACATGTACAGACTTTATTGTCATTATTCCCTAAACAATACAGTATAACAACTATTTATATAACATTTGCATTATATTAGGTATCATAAGTAATGTAGAAGTGATTTAAAGTATACAGAAGGATGTGCTGGGTAATATGCAAATACTGTGCCATTGTATATCAGGGACTTGAGCGTTGATAGATTTTGGGATTTGAGGGAGGTTCTGGAACCAATCCCCTGCTGATACCAAGGGACTACCTATCGTATGTGCTTTAGGGAAAGTTGTAAAGTGAAAACTTTCTGATAGTATTTTTAAAGCATTTGAACATGTCATCCAAATTATCCAAATGTGTGCATTTTATAGTATAATGATATCTCATATTTAATCATGCAGAAGCACCTTCTGTGGAATCTATGAATTTTAGAGGATTTTGGAGAGTTTTAACAAGAGAGACATTTTGTGTAGTGAAGAGCGCAATGAACTGGGAGTTGGTCTGTGGCCTCTTCTGAGGATGATTTTTTCCTACTTTCTCAGGCAAAATTAATCACAGTATTGTTAACCTTGAGGGGTGGTATGACTGAAGGGGGCTTCTCAGGTGCTGGTTTTGGATTGTGGCGCTAATTACACAAGTGTGTTCATTTTATGAAAATGATTTATATACTTATGCATGTATGTAACACTTTAAAAAGTTTTAAAAAACTGCTGTCTAAAATTTAAGAGGAAAATACAGTTATGGCTTTGATAACAGCAGCAACAAAATCATGTCCATCCTATTCCCACTGCCTCCATGCACACCTCCACTGTTGTGTTTTCCACATTGTATTCTAATAATCTGTTATGATGTCACCACTGTCAGACACATCACCAGGGTAGAGAAGAAAGTGGCATTGCAGGAAATGTCTACAGTGGTGCCTGGCAGTAGTGTACTTGTCATGTAGAAAATTAAGAGATTTCACTATGGGGTGGCTAAGACTTTTTCTAGTTTGAAAATTCTGTGAGAATATATTAAAAATACAAATATATATGTACCAGAAATATATTAGAATGTTAATAACATCCCATGGTGATTGAAGTTAGTGAAAATAAGGATAACTAAAAAATAAAAACTACAAATAAAAGATGGTTTCAAAATATAAGTAGGGCTTCCAATTTATGAAACTAAAAATTGAATTAATCTTCTGAGGGTCATACTTACTAGTTTAATTCAACCTTGCATTTTCTGTTAGAGGAAAGCATTTTATATAATTTGAACTTGTGGTGATAAGGAAAAAATCAAAAGCAATATTACTTGAAAGTAGACTATGGTAAGTTAAAGATGTATGCTATAAACATTAAAGCAATCAGTAAATTAACACAAAAAAGTTATAGCTAATAAGCTAACAGTAGAGATAAAATGAAATAAAAATATAGTTAATACTAAAGAGGGAAGAAAAAGAGGTACATAGGACTGAAGAACAAATGGGAAAATAGAAAACAAATAGGAAGATGATACATTTTAATCCAACATCAGTGATCACAATCATTGTAAAATAGAAACTATTTTCAACTGAATAAAAATAAAACATCAGATGTAAAAATTTTTGCTAAAGTAACTGGCATAGTACTCAGAAGGAAATTTATAGTTATAAATACTTATATTAAAAATACACGTCTGAAATAAAAGAAACTAGGAAAAGAGAGTCAGTTATAAGCAGAGCAAGCAGAAGAAAGGAATTAATGAAAAGAGTAAAAATCAATGAACTAGAAAACAGAAAAGCAATAGAGAAAATCAAATAACCCAGAAGCGGATTCTTTGAGAAATTTAATAACATTGATAAACCTCTAGTCATACTGAGAAGGAATAAAAGGGAAGATACAAATTACCAATATCAGACTTTACCACAGATTCTACAGATATTAAAAAGATAACAAGGGAATCTCAGGAATAACGTTATGCCAACAGATTCAAAGACCTTGAGAGACACCAGCAGATTCAAAGACCTTGAGAGACATGAATTACCAATTTCTCTCAAGAAGTAAACTTGAGATAGATATTCCTTGTGAACATAGAGGTAAAAAACTCTAAGCTAACTGAATCCAACAACATATAAAATTAATAAGACGTCATGTCCAAGTGAAGTTTATCCCACGAATTTGTCAGTTTAACATTTGAAGATATCAATTAATGTAATTACCCATTCTAACAAATTAAAAAGGAAACACCATGTGATTATTTCAATAGATTTTTTTTTAAAAAAGCATTGAACAAAATTCAGCACTTGTTCATGAATAGAAGGGAACTTTTTCAACCAGGTAAAGGGCATCAGTGAAAAACCTACAGCTACCATTGTACTTAATGGTGAAATCATATATATTTATAGCTTAAGATCAGGAACAAGGCCATTATACCTGGATGATGAGATACATATTATAGATTAAAAAATATCTGAATAGCTTCCTTTGGCTTTTGGCATTTTATCAACATGATAATAACAATAATACAAATAAAAATCATGGCTAATATTTATTGCATATATATTATAATATTGTAAGTGCTCTAAATACATTATCTCATTTAACCCTCACAATAACCTTTAGTTATCCTCCCTATTTTATAGTTGAGTTTTAAAGACATTAAGTAACTTGTCAAAGTTCATATAGATGGTCAGTGGAATTCACATCTTCATAACTCCAGTGGTGATATCCTTCAGCCAAATAAAACAAAAATCTTCACTCAGGAAAATTTTTTTATAGTAGCTATTGATAACAACTCTGGTCTGAACTTTATTTTTCTGTTAGTTCATTATTTTTGTGCTATTTATTGCTGGATAAATCTCAGCTGATGTTTAGCATCTTTGTTTTATCCATGGAGACTCCTTAGCTACCTGCTTCTCTTGAGCATCTGGAAATCCTGGGTATTATTTGGGACCTGGGTTTACAGAATTTCTCGTATCATGCCTTGAACATACGAAATTAAACTCCTACCCACACTCTAGCCTTCTTTCCCACTCCTCCCTCCACCAACTACCCACGCCCATAAGGTTAGTTATTTTCCTTTGCTCAGTTGACAGCTTGGCTAAAAATGAAAAGAAAAATTCCACTGCTTGTAGCTACTAGCCAAGAGAGAAAGACAAAAAACACCCAATTATCTGGAACTAAGGTAATTTTTTTTCTGTGTTTATTATAGATATGTCCTTACTCCCATTTCAGTGTTGGAATAACTATGCTTCTGCAATTGACTGCCAGATATTATTTTTTGGAAGCCTTTAAATATTTCTGGTTTTCTTCCTTCCAGGCCCGTGATAGGATTGTGTTTCTTGGCCACGTTGTGGTTGAGTGGGTTCTGGCTAATGAGTTGTGAAAAGTGATGCATGTCACATTTAGCTGTTGATGTGAGACCATTGGAATTCCTTTCATCCTCTGCAAAGTGACCTGCAATGTAAGAGATGGTGGCTCCTTTATCAGCCTGAGTTCCTCAGTGATGATGATAAGCAGCTTCTCTGTCTATCTGTGGCTGGACATATAGTCTGAGTAAAAAATTGATCTTTTTTGTTTTAAGCCATGAAAACTTTCTTCCACAAAAAGGAGGGTATTTGTGGGAATAGATGTTATGCTTCTATAAAAATATTTTAAAATGTGGATATTTTAAGAACTAAAATCGTAGAGAAAATTTATAGTTACACCTTAAAATTTTTTTAAAGGATGTAGTGTGGTAAAGCAGAAAGCACATTGCCTTTTGTGTGACATTAGGGTCAAGTCAGCTTTGCCACCCCAAAGTCAAGGCAGGTAACTCTCTGAGCTCAGTTGCCTCAGCTGAAAGGGATATGCCTATGTCTGCACTGCTGTAATTTTTAAGTGAGACCATATATGAAATGCCTAGCATGAGAATAATAGTAAGTAACATTTGTTTAGTGCTTGATGCATGCTAGGCACTGGTCTAAACCCTTTATACATATTGCTATGGACTTAGTTGTCCCCCTGCCTCAAAATTTGTATATTGAAGGCTTAACCCCAGTGTGAATATATTTGGAGATTGTGGTCTTTGGGAGGTAATTAGGGTTAGATGACATCATGAGGGTGTGGCTCCTCTGTTGAGATTGGTGGCTTTATAACAAGAGGAAGAGAGAGAGAGACCACTCTCTCTCCACAATGTGAAGACACAATGAGAAGGTGGCCATCTGTAAGGCAGAAAGAGAGCCCTTACCAGAAACCAAATCTTGCCAGAACTTTAACCTTGGACTCTAACCTCCAGAAGTGTGAGAAAATAAATTTCTGTTGTTTAAGCCACCCAGTCTATGGTGTTTTGTTATAGCAGTCTGAGCAGAGTAATATTATTTAATCCATTTTTTCATCACAACCCTCTGAAGTAATTTCTATTATTATCTTCTCTCTACAGATAAATAAACTGAGGTATGGAGAGGAAAGTTATTTGTGCAGGGTCACACAGTGATTCCAACCCAGGCAGCCAGTCTTTAAGCCCATTCTCTTCACCATTGTGCAATACATGAGAACACAAGTATAAATTTCCAGTTACAAGCTGTTAGTAGAGTAATGCACACTTATTAGGGGGAGACACATTCCAAGACCCCCAAGGATGCCTGGAACCTCTGTAGTACTGAATCCTACATATACTATGTTTTCTCCTACACATACATCCCTATGATAAAGTTTAATTTTTAAATTAGGCACAGTAAAAGATGAACAGCAAATAATGAATTACAAAATAGACCGCATAACAATATACTGCAATACTGCAATAAAATTATGTGAATGTGATCTTTCTCTCTCTCTCTCTCTCTCAAAATATCTTATTGTACTGTACTCACCTATTTTTGGACCTCAATTGACTGAGGGTAACTGGAACCTTGGAAAGCGAAACCATGAATAAGGAAGGACTAGTGTCCCGAAAAACTCACTATCCAGGAGGATAGTGGACAGCTCAGGGAGTGGTCCTCACATTTCATGTTGCGGCTCCTCATAGGTACAGGGTGTAGTGCAGCTGGTATAGTCATTTGGTTTGCTCATTTATAATTATAGGGTAGAAAACAACGCTTGTATTGTGTTTGAGCCTGGAGAATGGGCCTCTATTTGGGAATGTGAGGTGGGGAGACAGATACCCAGAAAACGTAATTAGGCTTCCTAAATATAAGATAGACTAGAAGAGTCTGAATGTGGGCTCTTTGTGCCCTGGTGTGAGTAGCTGCAGAACAACTCCTAGCAATGATGCTCATGATCTTGAAGTCAAAATTCTGAGGAAAGTGAAATTTTGTACTCAAAAGGTTCCAAGCCTATGGGGTAATTGTGCATTCAGTGATCCTCTCATCCTATCTCTAAATGCAAAGTCGGTCTTCGTGTGGACATGATGCTAATGTCACTCTGTTTCCTCTGCATACAGATAGAGCATGCAGAGGACCCAGATGTATTTGTTGTGACTTAAGGACAAGGCTTCAGTAGGAGATTATATTAATCACCAACTCATAGGCCTGTAAACTTGAGTTCTATGTAGTTAAGTATACAGT
Organism: Homo sapiens; assembly: GCF_000001405.40. Lineage (NCBI taxonomy): Eukaryota > Metazoa > Chordata > Mammalia > Primates > Hominidae > Homo > Homo sapiens. Next base: position 62,889,286 of record NC_000005.10, read on the forward strand.
ATTTTTCATAAACACTAAATTAATTGCAAACGTTTTTTTATTGTCATCATTTTGGAGAGATTTATCTTTCAAAGCAAAGAATTATCTCTAACTCATAAATTTGGTCCATGCTTCACTTAGAGGAGTGTTTGTTTTTCTAACTCTAATCCTCAGAAATCAGCCATGAGGTTCCCAAATATTTCAATCTTGTTAATGACTCGCTTTCAATTCAAATCCCACTTCTCAATATCTCTTTGAAATAGTTGAGAAGCCCTGTCATTTTTCAATTATTCCTAGTATGGTAAGAGGATTTGAAGTTATCTGTTAATGAGCCCTGTTCCCCTCTGGTCCTTCCCTACAGCAATTCTCCATAGCAGGGAGGAGGTTGATACATGGCTCTAGATTTGGGGAAGGAGGGTGGACTAAGCAAGTTTGAGATAATGTTAAGACTGAAATAGAGGGTCTTTTGGTCACAAGCATGCTACCCTCAATTCAGTTCTCTAAGGGTAGGTTGATATTTGATGTTCAATGTTAGAAAGAATATAAAAATATGGGCAAGACAGCCCCCATTTACTTAGCACTCACAATGTACAAGCCATTGTTTACCAATCACATCTTATCATTAAATCCTTACAATAACACCATGAATAAGTATTACAGTAATCACCATTTAAAGGTGAGCAAATGGAAGCTTAGAGGGGTTAATAACTTGCTTACTTGAGACATAAGGTTGCAAAGCTGGTTAGTAGCATTGCTAGGATTTGAACCTGAGTGTGTCTGAGCCCAAAACCTTAGTTTTTAGCCCCGTGCAATGCTCCATCACCTAAACAGAGAATATTGGGGAGAATCAGAGCAGGGAGTGAGAAAAAAGCATTTTCTTACTTCTATACGCAAAAGACAACAAGATCCTCAGTTTTCAACATTTATTCAGCAAACATTTATTAAGCCCCCATAATATGTAGGGTGCTGTGTGAGGGGGTAGTGTGTTAGAGGCACAGTGTTAGGGGCACTCTGTTATGTACACTCTGTTAGGGGCACTGGCATCTTAAGGTGCCAACTCTATTACAACTCTCACCTATGACAAAGAGTCAGAATGTAAACAGAAAGCTCCCTTATCTAATGGAGACCAAAATGCTAAGACAGCAGTTCAAAGTTCTAAATAGTTTTTCAGACTCTCTCAAAGATTTCCTGGGGATATTTCAAAATTCAATTCAATTCAATTCGGTAAGTGTTAATATATTAAGGCTGACTATATGCCTAGCAGAGTGTCTGTACTGAGGATACAAAGATGAATAAGACAACTTCCCTGCCCCTGAAGAGCTCTCAGTCTAATGGGGACTATTTATCTGTTTCAGTTGCAAATGCAGAGATTCTGTTACACACCTAGATAGATAAATGTATCAATGCCTCTATTCCCAATAAGGTTTGAAAAGCATTACATTAAGTGCCTACAATAAAATCCCATGGAGAGAAAAATGTAAAGTAATGAAGAAAAGGGGAAAAAGGTTAGAGTAGGAAAATTACGCCTGGAGAAATTATTAGTACATGAGACTAATATTTCTAATTAGTTTAATGTTCTGCAGAACTTTTCTTTTTTTTAATTTATTTTGCTTAAGTTCTGGGATACATGTGCTGAAAGTGCAGGTTTGTCACATAGGTATACATGTGCCATGGTGGTTTGCTGTACCCATCAACCCGTCATCTAGGTTTTAAGCCCTGCATGCATTAGGTATTTGTCCTAATGCTCTCCCTCCCCTTGCCCCCCACACCCTGACAGGCCCTGCTGTGTGATGTTCCCCTCCCTGTGTCCATGTGTTCTCATTGTTCAACTCCCACTTATGAGTGAGAACATACAATGTTTGGTTTTCTGTTCCTGTGTTAGTTTGCTGAGAATAATGGCTTCCAGCTTCATACATGTCCCTGCAAAGGACATCAACTCATTCTTTTTTTATGGCTACAAAGTATTCCATGGTGTATATGTGATACAGTTTCTTTATCCAGTCAATTATTGATGGGCATTTGGGTTGGTTCTGAGTCTTTGCTATTGTAAATAGTGCTGCAGTAAACATACATGTGAATGTGTCTTTATAGTAGAATGATTTATAATCCTTTGGGCATATACCCAGTAATGGGATTACTGGGTCAAATGGTATTTCTGCTTCTAGATCCTTGAGGAATTGCCACACTGCCTTCCACAATGGTAGAACTAATTTACACTCCCACCAACAGTGTAAAAGTGTTCCTGTTTCTCCACATCCTCTCCAGCATCTGTTGTTTCCAGACTTTTTAATGATCGCCATTCTAACTGGTGTGAGATGGTATCTCATTGTGGTTTTGATTTGCATTTCTCTAATGACCAGTGATGATGAGCTTTTCTTCATATGTTTGTAGGACTGCATAAATGTCTTCTTTTTAGAAGTGTCTGTTCATATCCTTTGCCCACTTTTTGATAGGGTTGTTTGATTTTTTTCTTGTAAATATGTTTAAGGTTCCTTGTAGATTCTGGATATTAGCCCTTTGTCAGATGGATAGATTGCAAAAATGTTCTCCCATTCTGTAGGTTGCCTGTTCACTCTGATGATAGTTTCTTTTGCTGTGCAGAAGCTCTTTAGTTTAATTAGATCCCATTTGTCAATTTTGGCTTCTGTTGCAATTGCTTTTGGTGTTTTAGTTATGAAGACTTTTCCCATGCCTGTGTCCTGAATGGTATTGCCTAGGTTTTCTTCTAGGGTTTTTATGGTATTAGGTTTTACATTTAAGTCTTTAATCCATCTTGAGTTAATTTTTGTATAAGGTGTAAGGAAGGGGTCTGGTTTCAGTTTTCTGCATATGACTAGCCAGTTTTCCTAGCACCATTTATTACATAGGGAATCCTTTCCCCATTGCTTGTTTTTGTCAGGTTTGTTGAAGATCAGATGGTTGTAGATGTGTGGTGTTATGTCTGAAGCCTGTGTTTTGTTCCATTGATCTGTATCTCTGTTTTGGTACCAGTAGCATGCTGTTTTGGTTACTGTAGCCTTGTAGTATAGTTTGAAGTCAGGTAGCTTGATGCCTCCAGCTTTGTTCTTTTTCTTAGGATTGTCTTGGCAATGCGGGCTCTTTTTTGGTTCCATATGAAATTTAAAGTAGCTTTTTCCAATTCTGTGAAGAAAGCCAATGGTAGCTTGATGGGGATAGCATTGAATCTATAAATTACTTTGGGCAGTATGGCCATTTTCACAATGTTGATTCTTCCTATCCATGAGCATGGAATATTTTTTTTCCATTTGTTTGTGTCCTCTCTTATTTCCTTGAGCTGTGGTTTGTAGTTCTCCTTGAAGAGGTCCTTCATATCCCTTGTAAGTTATGTTCCTATATACTTTATATTCTTTGTAGCAATTGTGAATGGGAGTTCATTCATGATTTGGCTCTCTGCTTGTCTATTATTGGTGTATAGGAATGCTTGTGGTTTTTGCACATTGATTTTGTATCTAGAGACTTTGCTGAAGTTGTTTATCAGCTTAAGAAGTTTTTTGGCTAAGATGATGGGGTTTTCTAAATATACAATCATGTCATCTGCAAACAGAGACAATTTGACTTCCTCTCTTCCTATTTGAATATCCTTTATTTCTTTCTCTTGTCTGATTGCCTTGGCCAGAACTTCCAATACTATGTTGAATAGGAGTGGTGAGAGAGGGCATCCTTTCTTGTGCCAGTTCTCAAAGGGAATGTTTCCAGATTTTTCCCATTCAGTATGATATTGGCTATGGGTTTGTCATAAATAGCTCTTATTATTTTGAGATATGTTCCATCAATACCTAGTATTGAGAGCTTTTGTCATGAAGGGGTGTTGAATTTTATCGAAGGCCTTTTCTGCATCTATTAAGATAATCTTGTGGTTTTTGTCATTGGTTCTGTTTATGTGATGGATTATGTTTATTGATTTGAGTATGTTGAACCAGGCTTGCATCCCAGGGATGAAGCCGACTTGATCATGTTGGATAAGCTTTTTGATGTGCTGCTGGATTTGGTTTGCCAGTATTTTATTGAGGATTTTCACATTGATGTTCATCAAGGATATTGGCCTGAAATTTTCTTTTTTTGTTGTGTCTCTGCCATGTTTTGGAATCAGGATGATGCTGGCTTCATAAAATGAGTTAGGAAGGAGTCCCTCTTTTTCTATTGATTGGAATAGTTTCAGAAGAAATGGTACCAGCTCCTCTTTGTACCTCTGGTAGAATTTGGCTCTGAATCCATTTGGTCCTGGGCTTTTTTTTGGTTGGTAGGCTATAAATTACTGCCTCAATTTCAGAACTTGTTATTGGTTTATTCAGGGATTCGACTTCTTCCTGGTGTATTCTTGGGAGGGGGAATGTTTTGGGGAATGTATCCATTTCTTCTAGATTTTCTAGTTTATTTGCATAGAGGTGTTTAGAGTATTCTCTGATGGTAGTTTGTATTTCTGTGGGATCTGTGGTGATATCCCCTTTATCATTTTTTATTGCATCTATTTGATGCTTCTCTCTTTTCTTCTTTATTTGTCTGGCTATCTGTCTATCTGTTTTGTTAATCTTTTCAAGAAACCAGCTCTGGGATTCACTGATTTTTTTGAAGGGTTTTTTTTTTGTGTCTCTATCTCCTTCAATTCTGCTTTGATCTTAGTTATTTCTTGTCTTCTACTAGCTTTCCAATTTGTTTGATCTTGCTTCTCTAGTTCTTTTAATTGTAATGTTAGGGTGTCAATTTTGGATCTTTCCCACTTTCTCTTGTGGGCATTTAGTGCTATAAATTTCTCTCTACACACTGCTTTAAATGTGTCCCAGAGATTCTGGTATGTTGTGTCTTTGTTCTCATTGGTTTCAAAGAACTTTGTTATTTCTGCCTTAATTTCATAATTTACCTAGTAGTCATTCAGGAGCAGGTTGTTCAGTTTCCATGTAGTAGTGTGGTTTTGGGTGAGTTTCTTAATCCTGAGTTCTAATTTGATTGCACTGTGGTCTGAGAGACTGTTATGATTTCCATTCTTTTGCATTTGCTGACGAGTGTTTTACTACCAATTATGTGGTCAACTTTAGAATAAGTGCTATGTGGTGCTGAAAAGAATGTATATTCTGTTGATTTGGGGTGGAGAGTTCTGTAGATGTCTATTAGGTCTGCTTGGTCCAGAGCTGAGTTCAAGTCCTGAATATTATTGTTAATTTTCTGTCTTGTTGGTCTGTCTAATATTGACAGTGGGGTGCTAAAGTCTCCCACTATTATTGTGTGGGAGTCTAAGTCTCTTTGTTGGTATCTAAAAATTGTTTTATGAATCTGGGTGCTTCCTTATGGGGTGCATATATATTTAGGATAGTTAGCTCTTCTTGTTGCATTGATCCCTTTACCATTATGTAATGCCCTTCTTTGTCTTTTTTTATCTTCGTTGGTTTAAAGTCTGTTTTATCAGAGACTAGGATTGCGACCTCTGCTTTTTTTTGCTGTCCATTTGCTTGATAAATCTTCCTCCATCCTGTATTTTGAGCCTATGCGTGTCTTTGCACGTGAGATAGGTCTCCTGAAAACAGCACAGCAATGAGTCTTGTCTCTTTGTCCAATTTGGGAGTCTGTGTCTTTTAATTGGGGCATTTAGCCCATTTACATTTAAGGTTAATATTGTTATGTGTGAATTTGATCCTGTCATCATGATGCTAGCTGGTTATTTTGCACATTAGTTGAAGTAGTTTCTTCATAGTGTCATTGGTCTTTATATTTTGGTGTGTTTTGGCAGTGGCTGGTACTGTTTTTTCCTTTCCATATTTAGTGCTTCCTTGAGAAGCTCTTGTAAGGCAGGTCTGATGGTGACAAAATCCCTCAGCATTTTCTTGTTTGTAGGATTTTATTTCTCCTTCACTTATGAAGCTTAGTTTGGTTGGATATGAAATTCTGAGTTGAAAATTCTTTAAGAATGTTGAATATTGGCTCCTACTCTCTTCTGGCATGTAGGGTTTCTGCTGAGAGATCTGCTGTTATTCTGATGGGTTTCCCTTTGTGGGTAACCCAACCTTTCTCTCTGGCTGCCCTTAACATTTTTTCCTTCATTTCAACCTTGGAGAATCTGAAGATTATGTGTCTTGGGGTTGCTCTTCTTGAGGAGTATCCTAGTGGTGTTCTCTGTATTTCCTGAATTTGAAAGTTGACTTGTCTTGCTAGTTTGGGGAAGTTCTCCTGGATAATATCCTGAAGTGTGTTTTCCAACTTGGTTCCATTCTCCCCATCACTTTTGGGGACCCCAATCAATTGTAGGTTTGGTCTTTTCACATAGCCCCATGTTTCTTGGAGGCTTTTTTCATTCTTTTTTCTCTAATCTTGTCTCATGCTGTATTTCAGTAAGTTGATCTTCAATCTCTGATATCCTTTATTCTGCTTGATTGATTTGGCTATTGATACTTGTGTATGCTTCACGAAGTTATCGTGCTGTGTTTTTCAGCTCCATCAGGTCATTTATATTCTTTTCTAAACTGGTTATTCTATTTAGCAGTTCCTGTAACCTTTTTTCAAGGTTCTTAGCTTCCTTGCATTGGGTTAGAACATGCTCCTTTAGCTCAGAGGAGTTTGTTATTACCTACCTTCTGAAGCCTACTTGTGTCAATTTGTCAAACTCTTTCTCTGTCCAGTTTTGTTCCCTTGCTGGCAACGAGTTGTGATCCTTTGGAGGAGAAGAGGTGTTTTGGTTTTTGGAATTTTCAGCATTTTTGCACTGGTTTTTCCTCATCTTCATGGATTTACTTTGGATGGGGTTTTGTTTGGGGGCATTTTTTGTTGATGTTAATGTTATTGCTTTCTGTTTGTTTGTCTTTCTTCTAACAATCAGGTCCCTCTTCTGCAGGTTTGTGGCAGTTTGCTGGAGGTCCACTGCACCCTATTTTCTTAGCCACCAGCCAAGGCCATGGAACAGCAAAGATTGCTGCCTGCTCTTTCGTCTGGGAGGTTCCTTCCAGTGGGGCACTAATCTGCTGCCAGCTGGAGCTCCCCTGTATGAGGTGTCTGTCAGTCCCCATTGGGAGGTCTCTCCAGGTCAGGAGGCATGGGGGTTAGGGACCCACTTGAGGAGGCAGTCTGTCTCTTAGCAGAGCTCCAGTGCTGTGCTGGGGGAACCCTCCTTGTCAGGATCTGCTGCTCTCTTCAGAGCTAGCAGGCAGGGACGTTTAAGTCTGCTGAAGCTGCGCCTTCCCCCAGGTGATCTGTCCCAGGGAGATGGGAGTGTTATCTATAAGCCCCTGACTGGGGCTGCTGCCTTTCTTTCAGAGATGCCCTGCCTAGAGAGAAGGAATCTAGATAGGCAGTCTGGCCACAGCCACTTTGCCACACTGTGTTGAGTTCCACTCAGTCCAAACTTCCAGGTCTCCTTAGCAGTTTCAGAGGAAAACCACCTACTCAAGCCTCAGTAATGGCGGACGCCCCTCCCCCCATCAAGCTCAATCATCCCAGGTCAACTGCAGACTGTTGTGCTGGCAGTGAGAATTTAAAGCCAGTAGTTCTTAGCTTGCCGGGCTCTGTGGGAATGGGACCCACTGAGCAAGACCACTTGGCTCCCTGGCTTCAGCCCTCTTTCCAGGGGAGTGAACGGTTCTGTCTCGCTGGGGTTCCAGGCACCACTGGGGCATGAAACAAACAAACAAACAAACAAACTCGTGCAGCTAACTTGGTGTCTGCCCAAACAGCTGCCCAGTTTTTTGCTTGAAATCCAGGGCCCCAGTGGTGTAGGCACATGAATCACCTGGTCTCCAGATTGCAAAAACCATGGGGAAAGCATAGTATCTTGGCCAGATAGCACAGTCCCTCACGGCTTCCCTTGGCTGGGAAAGGGAGGCCTCCCTGCTCCTTGCACTTCCCGGGTGAGACAATGCCTCACCATGCTTCTGCTAGCCCTCTGTGGGCTGCACCCACTGCCTAACCAGTCCCAGTGAGATGAACAGAGTACCTCAGTTGGAAATGCAGAAATCACCCTCCTTCTGCATTGGTCTCTCTGGGAGCTGCAGACCAGAGCTGTTCCTATTCAGCCATCTTGCCTCCCTCTTCTGCAGAACTTTTCATGGTCAGCTGTTTGGCTTGATCTTAAGCTTCCTGGCTGTCTAAGCACAAAGGGAAATAGGATCAGTTACAATGCTCAGAATATCCACAGAAACATATCTGTTGCTTAGAAGCAGCATACATTTTTCCTGGCATTAAAACCTGAGGAAAATTTTGGCTCTGAGTTTTCCTAAAGGAGAACCATGTGAAATAGTGACTCATTCTCAACATCACAGCACATTTCAATAATAAGCACAATAGAAATTTGCAAATGGTGGTTTATTAGCCCACCAGCCAAGTTAATAATGCCAAAGTGAAATTCTGAAAATAAACATCTGCAAGGACCATAGTGGTAAGTCCAAGGGCCCAAGTGCCTATTTCTCTGGCTTAAGCTGGAGCTAGAAATTCACCTGTAGTCTGGGAGATGATCTGTCTTAAATTACAAGCTCCTAAAGGAAAGAGTAGTTGTGAGATGCTTTGCTGCTTTACTTAACCTTAAGTGCTTATGGCAGTTTAATCACCTGTCCGCCTTATGCCAGTGATTGCTCTCTCTCCCTCTCTCTCTCTCTCTGTGTGTGTGTGTGTGTGTGTGTGTGTGTGTGTGTGTGTGTGGGTGGTGTTTTGTTATTACATGTGTTGGAGTGAGACAGATTGGGGTTTGTCTCTGCTCTGTTACCTAAGTTGTGTTACCTTGGGCAATTTGCTTATCCTCCCTAAGCTTTAGTTTTTATTGTCTGTGGATTTGGGAGAGTAATATCTGCTTCATAAGTTTATTGGGAAAAACAGGTGAGGTAGTATACACAAGCACAAAGCTCTGTGCTCAGGGTAAAGCACTTGTTTAACAGTAGCTATTAAGGTGATGAAACTACTGTAATATTGGTAAAAATGTTACTGGCTTTTAAATTGCAGAGGGAGTCTCCCTTTTCCCTTTATGATTTTAATAACATCAAAAACTTTTATTATGCTAGTAAATTTTGCTAGATTCTATTCCTACTAGGAATTCAGTATAGCACTTATAATGCTTTATTTAATTTTGAATAATTTTTAAATATAATCCTAAAGCTTTTTTGGCTACTAGCCAAGACAAACACATGAGCATCCCAGATTTATAAAAGAAAATGCAAAACAAAATGAAACAAAACAAAAGCAGTTTAGCCTCACCAGGCTTTCCCAAGACTCTAGGCTAGTATCCGATAGGAAAATAGCATACATAGCTTAAAGAAATATACTGGAGAGTTGTACGGCTGTATGTCTAATTTTAATTAAAATTAAGAATTTCAGAAGGAGTGCTTTAGTTAATGCTCTTGGTTAATAGACAAGTGCTAATTTGCATATCTGGACAATGCATATTGAAAGCAGGTGATAAAGGCTTGTAATATTAAGGCTTAGAAAACAAATTGCTGGCTGACCTAGGACTGCATGTTCAACGTGTGTCAAGTCCACATGTCCATGTGCCTCCCAAAATGGCCTATACCTCTTTAAATGCTCATGGGTATAAATGTGTGCTCTTGATATTTTTCTTACCTTGAGGTCTTTCTTTTCTTTTCTCTTACATTATAGGTCTTTTGGGCAGCTTCCCTCAGGTTTGGTGACTCAAGGGCCAACTGAGCCTCTGACCCCACTCCAAGTCAATTCTCCGGGGACAATTTCCTCAGTAGACACAGAGAGATGTGGTTGAGCATTACAAATCTTTTGTTGAGTTTCACTGGAAATAGGAACGATTTGAATTCCAACAACTATTTATTAAAAATCAGATCTCTGTGAATTAGAGCATGTAGTTACGATCTGAATGTTGCCTGAATGGCAGGTGGCATTGCATAGGGTCACACTGTCCCAGGCTTATTACATAGTTCAGTTTGGATGGTGGACTAGAGAACATCTCATTAAGTGTGCAAATTAGATGATGTTAAGTGGCTTGAGTATATGGGAGAAAAAGATTGAATTTTAAAGTAATCTTACAGAATGAATCACACATAAATAGAGGAAGGTTAGACATGATTATGCATTTAGTATAAGCAGAGAGAGAGAGGGAGAGACAGAGACAGAGACAGAGTGAGCGAGAGCAGCAGACTGGGATGATGATACCCACTGTGTCTAGTGAAGCCTGATGCAGAGTAATTGTTAAATAGACATTGGTTTAATTGGATTAACCCAATAAAGATTCACTCAGAAAAGACTGCTCTTCCATTAACCTGGTTCATGAAGGCATCCAAAGTTATGACTCTATGTAAACTTTGTAATTTTACAGCTATCTTCAGTGCCAGTTGCTTTAGTTGCTAAAAACAAAAGCAAAATCACCTCCTCCTCCAAAAGCCCTCACGGTGCAACAAAGAAGCAAAAGTTCGTGTACTTTTTAGTCCTTTTATTTCCTCTTACTTCTATCCTGAAAATGCAGTTGAAGCTATAAGAGATGCTGATATAACTTTTAATTTAGATTTGGAGACTGATTGTACAGGGCCTACTTCCCATTTCTTGTTTACAAAAAATCCCCTTCACCGACAGGAAAATATTGAGTCCTCTTAGTAATTCTGGACCACACTCTCTCCTCTTACTGTGAACACAGTTGGGGTAGACACAACCATTAGAATTATTGATATGCAATCTTGCTCAGGAATGAAGAGGATGGTGAAGAATCACAATTTATTGTCAGAAGGCTGAGTGTAGGTCAAAGGGCATCTTTTTCACAGGGACCCTTGGCAGACAACCAGAGAAGGTCCATCTGTTTAAAGGAGTGGTGTGCTTTGTCCCTCTCTGGAATATTCCAGTTCATATTCCTATCAAGTACTGGAAGTTTCTTTGCTGTGTGGCCTCTGTACACTGTCTCAAGCAGTTCTTTCCATTAGTCAGACTAAATTTAGAGGAAAATGACATTTGAAACAATTTATCATTATCTTTAATAGATGAGGTAAAATTAGTGTTTTGCTTTTCTCTTTCACTTATCTTTACTATTTGCTTTATTGTAAAGTCTACTTTGAACTCTGGAGCCCTGAAAGCCAAATTTCTGGGGGAAAGTAACCCAGGATTAAATACAGATTGACACTTGTCCCTTCTTGCTCGTGTGATTTTGGGCTGCTTCCCCCTCTGTAAAATTAATACAATGACACTTGCTTCCCAGGACTGAAATACTGATTACATGCTTTGATCCATGTAAAGCTTTTAGGATGGTATAGGAAAAGTAGCAAGGGCTGAATAAATGGCACTCATTATTATTATTTAGTAATGGGTTAATCTAGCCAGCAAGATTATCCCATTAGAATTATAGTCATAGTGAAGATAGTCATATTAAAATATTATCAAATTTGAGACTTGCTGACTTTTGAGAAACCACCCATTTAGTTTTCTTGTATGTAGTGATACATTGTTTATCACAAGAAATTTAAAATCTATGCAGACAATACCACATTTTGATTTGCAGTTTTACTTAGGGAACAGGAATGAGTTAAGGCTTTTAGGAGGACAGGATGAAGTGGTATCTACTCAGACCACTAAAACAGCATTCCCATTCTGTGCTTCACAGACACTGGTATTTTATCACTTGCTAAGAAGCATAGCAGGAGAAAGGGTTCTGCAGTCAAATACATTCAGGCAATTTCTGTCATTGCAATAACTGGATGGATTTTGCCTTGGGCTGCTCAAGTGAAAAACCTAGGAATCTTTTAAATCCCTTTTGCCCTTGCCCCACAGTATCCATTTCACCAACAAGTCTTCTCTCTCTGCTTCCAAGTTACACCCTCTGCACATCCACATCTTCTTGGCTATGCCTTCTTACAGCGTATTCTAGGCTACCAAGAAACCTACCTGCCAGCTCCAATGCTTTGTGCTCTCTAGAGCATATCCAGACTGATCTTGGAACAGTTAAATCCCATTATACTTAATTCCCCTGCTCCAATTGCTCCTTGGCTTTCCATTGCACTTAAATCCAAATGCCTTCCTTTTCCCTGCCTGTCTCTGATCTTCTCTCATGTTCCATTCTGCTCCATTAACTCCACTCTGGCTCTGTAGCCCTTAGTTCTGTCCTTGAATATGACAGTCTCACTTCTGGTTTAGTGCATTTGCCTGGTAATCACCTGCCCAGAGAGCTCTCCCTTCAGAGCTCTGTTTTCTAGCCAACTCCTCAGACCACTTACCCTTACATGCTGTATCACATCTCCTTGTTTCATGTTATTTTACTTTTGGAGGCTAAATTATCTTGTCCATTTGTTTGTTACTTCTTCCTAGCCTGCCTGGGGTGTAAGTTTTTGAAAACAGGGATGTTGTTTGACCATCAAGAGCTTGGAACAGTGCCTGGCATTTCACAGGCATGCAAATGTTTACTGTATGAATGAATGAAATACTAGCTAAATAACAGCAGATGCTACACCTTACACAGCCTTAAAACTACTAATGTATGTTAGGAATCTCTGAGTAAATACAGCTATAGGAAGTTGTTTCCCTGCCTTATTTGACCACAGAACACTTTTTTTTGTGTGAAATATCTGTTCATAGGACACTGGTATTTTACTGAATATAATTTGAGAAACATTGTATTATGAATATTGTTGATAAAAGATAGTACTAAGCCTATTTCTGCATACTAGAGTTCATGGTGTGAGGGGTCCAAATTTATTCCTATTTTGAAAAGCCTGCCTTTGGACTGCTGCAGTGCCAGAAATGCATGCTGTTCTCATTCTTTTGCACTAATATATTGAAGCCTCTTATAATAACAATGTGCTATTTTGGAGCAAAATCACATTAAGTTTTCATTGGCCAATCATCTTGGCATGAATTAGTCCTCTTCTGTCTGACCACCTAGCAGAGGCCTGACTCTAAACCATCAGAGCTTTGACAGGTAAACTGTGATAAGAGAGGAGAGGGAGAGGCAGAGCATGGGCTACCCAGGCCTGGAGTAGGCTTGTGGGAACCAGGGAATTGCTGGGAGGATGGAGCCTCTGAAGGAGCAACTCGACAGAAGGAGTAGGGAAGGGAAGGTATGGGAGGGCTGTAGAGACCAACTCCCACTGCAGTTTTGAGCTGTCATTATTCCAGGAGTCCGGTTCCTGTAAGACTTGAGTTTTCTATTAGAAATGTGCTTAGCTTTCTGGAAATCTTCCACCTAGACAGCCATTTTAGGAAAAGTAGCCAAGTGGTGTTGAGGGCCAGCCTCCTGTTTTTGATTTAAAGATATATTGAATAGTAGTTCTTGAGGTCTTTTCCCCCAAACTCTAGTTTGCAAGCAATAGAAACAAAAATGGCAAAATAACATTTGTGTTCACTAGATTTTTTAAAGATAAGCCTGTTAGCCATAAAGTAAATCACCATTTTGCTTTCTGTATAATCATATTTTTAGATGAAACTTGCAAAATGAAAACTTGGGGACAATTTTAAAATTTTAAATAAGGAAGAATATCTTGGGCACTATGACTGTAAGATGATTTGAAGTGCTATAAAAATGTTCCTAGATGTTCAATTAAATGCTTTTCTTAGACCTTGCAGAAGTTGTTAAACATCACACGTTAAACAAACGTTATTTCTTTCATTGTATATTTCACCTTCAAATGACGTGTGTGTGTGAGTGTGTGTATGATAAATATAATGTGTTTATTTTAAACCCTAAAGCAATTCTAGAAAAGTGAATGTCAGGTGGAAATTTGTTTTTCAAAATTCTTAGAATGCCTACATAGAATACTTTATTAGATGGCTACTTTAATTTTTTTTTTTTTTTTTGAGACAGAGTCTCACACTGTGGCCCAGGCTGGAGTGCAGTGGCCTGATCTCTGCTTTCATCCATTGGTGTGATCTCTGCTCACTGCAACCTCCGCCTCCCGGGTTTAAGCGATTCTCCTGCCTCAGCCTCCAGAGTAGCTGAGATTACAGGTGCCCACCACTGCGATTGGCTAATTTTTTGTATTTTTAGTGGAGACGGGGTTTCACTATGTTGACCAGGCTGGTCTCGAACTCCTGACATCATGATCCGCCAGCCTTAGCCTCCCAAAGTGCTGGGATTACAGGCGTGAGCCACCGCACCCAGAGCTCCAGAATATTTCATTTGAAAAATGTTTCTTCTGGTTTCAAACAGTTTAATAACCATAATCTATTTAGGAAATCTTCTAGTAAAAAGGAAAGAATACCAAAATGTTACTGAACTGATTTCTAATCAACAAAACTTAAAAAAAAGTAATTATTAATTATTACTGTTCCTGTTGATTTTTCTGTTAGAATTGTGCTTAGCTTTCTGGAACTCTTCCACCTAGACAGCCATTTTAGAAAGAGTAGCCAAGGGTGTTGAGGGCCAGCCTCCTGTTTTTGATTTAAAGATATATTGAATAGTGGTTGTTGAGGTCTTTTCCCCCAAACTTAATAATTATTAATTGTTAAGAATGTTTTTAAGTTTTGTTGATCAGAAATCAATTTAGTAACATTTTAGTATTCTTTCCTCTTTACTAGAAGATTTCCTAAATAGATTCTGGTTTTTAAACTGTTTGAAATCAGCAGAAACACTTTTCAAATGGAATATCCTGGAGCTCCAATATATAGAACAAATATCCTGACTTGCATGCTCATAAATTATGTGAATTTTAGAAAAATTTCTTAACATTTTTTACTCTATTTATTCTTCTACAAAGTGGAGATAACAATATTTATTTTATGGACTTGTTGCAAGGACTAAATTATATAATCTGTGGGTTATCATGTGCTCAGTGCATGACATAAAACAGATCCTCAACAAATGCCCATTTTTTTTCCCTACATTTCTTCTTCGCTGTCCTTCTCTTTGCTCCAGTCATACCCACTGAGTTCCTACTATGTGCCTAGCACTTGCTAGATACTAGGGATAGCAACAGTGAACAAGGCCTGGTTCCTGACCTCAGTCTGGTTAGAGAGGCCCTTTTCATTACACATCTTTACTGTGGCTTGAAGCTTGATGATATGACTTATCATCTTATAACGATGGAGATAATAGAGGAATATCAATATAAGTTCACATATAGTAGCCAGGGTTCCAAAGTCAAGTTAAAAATCACTCGAGGTAGACAAGTGATTTTGTGGGAGATTAATAAGTGTTTGGTACCCAGGATTCCAAAGTCAAGTTAGAAAACATTAGGGCAGACCAAATTAAGCTGGTTTCTTCACAGCATGACTTCTCAGATCTTCTCTCTTGGGAATGTGCAATATGACTTTCTAAGGAAATTTCTGGCACTTCTGTGCACATATTAGGGGCTCAACAAATATTCGTTTATTCAAATCAGTGGTACACATATTTTGTGGGACTTTATAGAGAAGAAAAGGAAATTTCCAGCAGAGGCTACCATTCTCCTGTTGGCTGTACTTCCTTTCCCTGTGTGGGATTCACATTGGACATAAAAATTTTCTACTTTCAATAAGTAGAAAAGGGGGTGAAGAGGGCACTCAAGGAAGGAGAAGGAGAATGTGATAAGTTCTACTTCGTTGTGGAGTAAACAGTAAACAACTGTTTTTCTATGGAGGATTATGAATTATAGTAATTGAATAAAAGTTAGAATAAGAAGAAAGTAGCATTCATGCAGTGCTTGAAAAGCTGAATAAAGTATCAGTGAAGATGTTTTATAAGATTGTTCACTTTTCCACTGAGAATTTTGTAATAATTTTGGATTTCATGCCTGTTATTTCAACCCTGTGAAATGGTTAGGGCATTTTGTATAGTTGCATGATTCTAAAGCTCTTCCAAAGCAAGATAAGTAAAATGATAAGACCCTTTTTTAAAAAAAAAAAAAAAAATCTGAAGTCACTAACATTTTAGAATGAAACAGAAGCTGGTGAAAATGTAAACGTGTTTAGAAGTAATTTTATGTGTGTATGATAAAGTTGTTTACTGTTCCTCAAACAATATACCATATACCTAATTCTTACCATCTTCCCTTGTATATTAGTCTGTTTTCACACTGCTATAAAGAAATACTACCTAAGACTGACAATTTATAAAGAAAAGAGGTTTAATTGACTCAGTTTCGCATGGTGGGAGGCCTTAGGAAACATAATCATGGTGGAAGGGGAAGGAAGGCATGTCTTATGTGGTGGAAGGAGAGAGAGAAGGAAAACTGCCACTTATCAGATCTTGTGAGAACTCCCTCACTATCATGAGAACAGCATGGGGTTCTCCCCACCCCGCCATGATCAAATCACCTCCCACCTGGTCCCTTCCCTGAATTGTGGGTATTACAATTCGAGATGAGAATTGGGTGGGGACACAGAGTCAATCCATATCACCTACCTTCTTTTAATCCTCCTATTCCAGATATTTGTGCTAGGAATCCCACTGCCCTGATCCTGCCTCATGTTGTCCTCACCCTGACCACCTGGGGTCTTACTTCTCCCCATTTCCTTTCCATCTGTTTGCATGGACCACTATATTGGCTTTCCTGATGTTTGGGCTTGCACCGGAAAAGTATCTGTTCTAGATCCCATATTCCTTCTATCCTTGCTAGAGGTACTAACTCATCAGTCTACTAAACTGGTACTCGTAGGAGAAGCTTAAAGAAGAGCTGAAAGACTCTCCTTCAGGTTCCCCAAAATTCTGTAAATTTTACTAGGATCTTTCTGAAGGCCAAATTCCATCTTTATGGATTGAATCCCAGTGTTCCTGAACCTGTCAATCACAAAGACCTCTTATAATTTTTTCCCACAATTTTATAAGATTTTTGTCTACTAAACAAACACAACCAACGATATATTTTTCCTATTAATTAGAGTTTCTGTTTAGCTTGAAGTAAGTATCAGCACACTGAGTTCTACAACTAAAATCACAAGAAAAGAAACTTGATGTGCACGTGTATTTCAGACAAATGTAGGATATATAAAGAGACCTTTGATATTAGAAAAAAGCTCTAGTACCCTAATTAGGAAAATCATTTAAACTAAATGAAGATTTAGTGAAAGATTTCAGGAGGCGGTATTATCTCTGGCTTGTTGGGAGATTTTGAAGAGCAATAGGATTTGATGCACCCTCAATTCATATTATATTAGCAGTTGCCAGTAGCTATTAGCTATTTCCCTTACTCTCATGAATATTTACACAACATATGTGTGAAAATTTCTCCTTTGTAGATGTATAGTTGGGGGAGGGGATTTCTGAAATGCAACTTTGCACTGATAATTTGTAGTATGAACTTAATGGTCATTCTTCTCCAAAGTTAGCAAATAATTGAGGGTAATCTTAAGCTAGTACCACAGAGGTTCCAAAAAATATACTAAATGTCAAGGATTTAGTGATTAAGAAAAGACAAATGCCAGGTCTTCCCTTACTACCATTCTCACTAGAAGATGGTTTTATCAGCTGATCTTCCCAGGAGGTGAAATCCTTTAACTACACAAGCTATATTTATTCTTGAGAACTGACCTTTTTATTTATGGCAATTTGAAGAAATAAAGGACTTCAATTCTTCATCGTGTTTAAGGAGAGCCACAGTAGAGATTCTGTACTAGCAGAGGAGAGAACAAACTGGAAAATCAGTCAGGAGCTGAAGTGGAGGAGTAAGTGTCTGTGACAGCACCTGAGAATTAATGTTGAGAGAGAAAAATGAAGATCTTGCAAATCTATACTTGCTGTCAGATTCTGCAAATGAAATCATATTAACACTAAAGCAAATTGTGTGGTTTTTGGACTTCGACAAAAAGAGAAGAGGAAATGTTAAGGCTTAAGGGAGAAAAAATCAAATTCTTTCTATGAAATACAATAGTAAGGTAGAGAGTGGGAGAAAAAAAATCGCTGGAAAAGGCCAGAGAGTAAACTTTACATATTTGGTAACCAGGATAATAGATGTAAAGGGAGTCATTGTTGAAGAAGAAATAAATGATTCTATACATTTTTTTAAAAAAATGAATTGGAACCAACAAGTTTCATTTAAAAAAAGCACTTGGTATTAGAGTAGTTTTAAATTTATGGAAGCATTGCAAAGATAGTGCAGAGTTCTTATATAATCCACACCTAGTTTCCTCAACTGTTAACATCTTACATTAGTATATACATTTATCACAATTAGTGAACCAATACTGACACATTATTATTAACTGAAGTCCGTGCTTTATTCAGATTTTCTAAGTTTTTTCCTGATGTCTTTTTTTTTTTTCATTCTAGGATCCCATCCAGGATACCACAGAGCATTTAGTTGTCCATGTCCCTTAAGCTCCTCTTGGTTGTGATAGTTTCTCTGACTTCTTTTGTTTCTGATGACCTTGACAGTTTCGAGGAGTACTAGTCAGGTATTTTCTAGAATATTCCTTAGCTGGGATTTGTCTAATGTTTTTCTTATGATTACACTAGGTTATGAATTTTTGGGAGGAAAGCCACAGAGATAAAGTGCCATTCTCATCCCATCATGTCACAGGTGCATACTACCAATATGACCTATCACCGTTGATGATGTAAACTTCGGTCACCTGGCAGAGTTACTGTGTCTGTTAAGTTCACTGTAAAGTTATTCTTTTACCCCTCACCCCATACTCTTTGGAAAGAAGTCACTATACGCAGCCCACACTTAAGAAGTAGTGAGTTATGTTCTACCACCTTGAGGGCAGAGTATCTATATAAATTATTTGGAATTCTTCTACAGAGATATATTTATTCTCCTCTAATTATTTATTCAATCATTTATGTATAGCAATATGGACTCATGGATATTTATTTTATACTTTGGGTTATACATCAATACTTCTTTATTTATTTTGTTGCCCAAATTATTCCAGGTTTGGCCATTGGGAACTCATTCACTTGGCTCCTGTGTCTCTTTGACAAACACATTTTTGTGGTTAAAAACTTTTTTTTTGAGAACTTTTTACTTGTGACACCACAAGATGCTCCAGGCTCATCTTCTGTGTTTCCTGCCTCAGTCTTAGAATCAGCCATTTCTCCAAAGAGCTCTAATTCCCTTTATTGGAGAATAATATTTTAAACCAAGATCTGGGCACTATATGCTGCCAGCAGGGTTTTAATGGTTTAAGGGAAGATGTATAGTGAAGCCTCATAACTTTATTCAGGAGTGAAATAATCTGCTTTTCCTTAAACAAATATAATTTTTTTTCTTTTAAAATGTTAGTGTAGACTGCAACTTTTAGAAAAACAATCTCCAAATAATGGATAAAACCAGGGTTGGCAATTTTTTTTTCTGTAAAGAATGAGATAGTAAGTATTTTAGGTTTTGTGGACAACTCTGTCTCTACTCTGCCACTGCAGTGCAAAAGCAGTCATAGGCAATATGTAAATGAATAGAAGTTGCTATCTTCTAATCAAATTTTATTTACAAAAAAAACCAGGCTGGATTTGGTCCATGAGGCCATAGTTGTCAACCTTTGAATAAGACCAATGAAAATCAAACAAAAAATATTTATTGGGCACTTACAAGGTGTAAGGAATATACTAAAAGTAGATGTGGCAAATAAAAATAACAGAAAATGAAACATAAAAACGGAAAGATTCAGAGATTAGGTGAATGACCTAAAGTGACTTGACTCTGGTCCCTTTCTTCCTCTTTAGAGGGAGGATTAGATGAATATCTCTGAGCCACTTATCAGCTCGAAATTCTACGGTCAAATAATTCACCCTCATTACTTACAGACAAGTGGAAATAGAATGTACGTGTAATAATAGCTTTATACTTTTTTTTCTCCCAGATTGAGACTATTGACAACATTTGTTTTTGAGTTATCCTGTGCACAAAGCTATTTGATTTGGTTCTATGATAACTTGATTGGATATTCTCTTCACTACTAGGGCAAGAATTTTTAACCTGGATTCACTGGGTCTCCAGGAGGTTAATGTTTCGAATTTTGTATGACAATGAGGAGTTTTCTACAAACATGAAATCAAATGCAAAATTTTGTGTGCCTATGTGCATCATCTGGGTAAGTATTCTATAATTTTCACTAGCTTCCTAAAGAAGTGTGATCCATGTATGAGTTAGGAATAGGTTTGTTTACATATAATAGAAAACCTAAAATAATGGTAGCTTAAACAAGAAAGAGGCTTATTTTTCTTTCATGTAACAGAGGTAGGCAGTTGAAGCCTCCTATGGTGGCTCCTTAGTATCTTCATGGATTCAAGCTGCTGAGATCCTTAGCATATGGTTATCATATTCAAGGTCACTTCAGGGTCAGTATGAGTGCTCCATCATCACACCCACAACTAGACAGTAGAAGGGGGATGAGGGAAAGTCTAAAAAGGTGTATCTCCCAACTAAGTCAGCTCCCTTTAAGGAGCCTTCACAGACATTCCACAGAATCCTCCATGTGAGTATCATTGACTAATACTGGCTGCAAAGGAATGTGGGAAATGTACCTGTAAACTGGACACATTGATACTCTGAATAAATGAAGGGTTCAGTTAAGTGAGGGAGGGATGCATATTGGATGGTCGTGTAGTAGTCTCTGCTTTTACTTTAAAATTCTGAAGGCTAAATTCTATGCTGTTACTCTGAGGCAGAAAACATTTAATTGAATGGTATGGGAGCACATTGTGCTTAGCAAAGAGTTATTCATTTACCCATTTACTATTGAGTAATATTGGGCTATTTATGGAAATAAACTGCACCAACACCTTTAATGTTCTATTTGGAATCTGTATTCATTTCCTATTGCTGCTGTAACAATTTACCACAAACTTAATGGCTTATAATAGCATTAATTTATTCTTTTACATTTCCAGTTTCACTGGGCTAAAGTCAAGGTATTTGTAGGGCTAGTTCCCTCTGGAGTCTTAGGGGAGAATTTATTTCCTTGCCTCTTTCAGTTTATAGTGCCCACCTGTATTCCTTTGCTTGTGGCTCCTTCTTCCATCTTTAAAGTCCATCACTCCAAATTCTGCTTCTGTCATTACATTGCCTTTTCCTCTGACTCTGATTGCTTTTGCATTCTTATAAATACTGTTGTGATTACATATGGTCCACCTAGCTAGCACAGGAGAATATCCCTATCTCAAGATCTTTAACTTAATTATACCTGCAAATTCCTTTTTGCCATAAACCTTTTGTTTCTGTAGTATAATATCCCCCCAATATTCCCATGCCCTATTCCCAAGATTTTGAGGCATATTTGGGGGGATATGATATCACAGAAACCATCCTTTTGGGGTATCATACCTGTCACAAATCTGTTAATCATTTAGCCCCCACCACTTTTGGCTACAGAAGTTTCTATTTAATCAATAGATGCTTGTGGTTGAATTGAATTGTTGAAATGGGCATACAGGAAGCAGGTCTTTCAATTTCTGCTCAGGGAGAATTAAATTCATTCGTTCATAATTCAACACATGTTTATTTATTCAGCACCTGTTATGTGTTAGGCACTGTTTTATCCTTCTTCCCTTCCAAAATTACTTCTTCTGTAGTAAACGGAGATACAGTTGATTCAATTTTCTTATTTTATTTTTAGATTCAGTGGGTACACGTAGAGGTTTGTTACATGGGTATATTGCATAATGCTGAGGTTTGGACTTCTAGTGAGTCCATGACTTAAATAGAGAACATAGTACCCAATAGGTAGTTTTTCAACCCTCATCCCCACCTAACCTCCCTGCTTTTGTACTCCCCAGTGCTTAATATTTCCCTCTTTATGTCCATGTATACCCACTGTTTAGCTCCCACTTGTAAGTGAGAACATGTGGTATTTGATTTTCTATTTCTATCCGTAGTGAGTTATTTCACTTAGGATAATGACCTCCAGCTCCATCCATGTTGCTGTGATGAAAATGAATTTATTCTTTTTTATGGCTGCATAATATTCCATGGTCTGTATATATACACCAAATTTTCTTTATCCAGTCCATCATCAATGGACACTTAGGCTGATTTCATGAATTTGCTATTGTGAATAGTGCTGCAATACACACACAAGTGCAAGTGTCTTTTTGATAGAATGATTTTTTTCCTTTGGGTAGATATCCAGTGGTGGGACTGCTGAGTCATTATGATGCTTCTATTTTTAGTTCTTTGAGAAGTCTCCATACTGTTTTCCATAGAGGTTGAACTAATTTACATTCCCATCAATGGTGTATAAGCATTGCCTTTTCTCTGCATCCTTGCCAACATCTGCTATTAAATATTTTTTCACTCTTTAATATAGCCATTCTGACTAGTGTGAGATGGTATCTCATTGTGGTTTTGATTTGCATTTCTCTGATGATTAGTGATGTTGAACATTTTTTCATATGTTTATTGGCTGCCTTTAGGTCTTCTTTTGAGAAGTATCTGTTGGTGTCTTTTGTGCACTTTTTAAAGGAATTATTATTATTTTTATTATTATTTTCATGGATTTAAGTTTCTTATAGATTCTGAATATTAGTTTCAAATGCATTGTTTGCAAATATTTTCTGCCATTCTGTAGGTTGTCTTTTTGTTCTGTTGATTATTTATTTTGCTGTGCAGAAGCTCTTTAGTTTAATTAAGTCCCATTTGTCTATTTTTGTTTTTGTTGCATTTGTTTTTGAGGTATTAGTCATAAATTCTTTGTCTAAGACAATATCCAGAAGAATACTTCTTAGGTTTTCTTCTAGAATTATTATAGTTTGAAGTATTATATTTAAGTTTTTAATCCATCTTGAGTTAATTTTTTATATGGTGACAGGTAAGAGTCCAGTTTCATTCTTCTGCACATGGCTAGCCAGTTTTCCCAGTACAGTTTATTGACTAGAGTGTCCTTTCCCCATTGTTTATCTTTATCTACTTCATCAAAGATCAGTTGGTTGTAGGTATGTGGTTTTATTTATGGTTTCTTTATTCTGTTCCATTGATCTATGTGTCTATTTCTATATCAGTACAATGTTGTTTGGGTTTCTATAGCCTTGTAGTATAGTTTGTAGTATAGTTTGAAGTCAGGCAATGTGATGCCTCTGGCTTTTTTCTTTTTACTTAAGATTGCTTTAGCTATTCAGGTTCTGTTTCTGGTTTCATATGAATTTTAGAACTGTTTTTTCTAATTCTGTGAAAAATGATGTTGGTAATTTGATAGGAATTGTGTTGAATCTGGGATTGCTTTGGGTAATATAGTCATTTTAGCAATATTGATTCTTCCTATCCATGAACGTAAGATGTTTTTCCATGGTAGTGTCATCTGTGATTTTTTCATCAGTGTTTTGTAGTTCATTTTGTAGAGAACTTTTAATTCTTTGATTAGACGTATTCCTAAGATTTTATTTTTTGTGTGTGGCTATTATAGATGGCATTGCATTCTTGATTTGATTCTCTGCTTAAACGTTGGTGTATAGAAACACAACTGATTTTTGTGCATGAATTTTGTATCCTGAAACTTTTCTGAATTATCTACCAGGTCTAGGAGTCTTTTGGAGGAATCTTTAGGGTTTTCTAAGTATGGGATTGTGTCATCAGTGAACACAGATAATTGGACTTCCTCTTTTTCTATTTGGATATCTATTATTTCTTTATCATGCCTGATTGCTTTGGCTAGGACTTACAGTACTCTGTTGAATAGGAGTGGCAAGCGTGGATCAGCATCCTTGCCTTGTTCCAGTTCTTAAGAAGAATGCTTTTAACTTTCCCCTATTCGGTATGATGTTGGCTGTGGGTTTGCCATAGAAGGTTCTTAATATTTTGAGGTGTCTTCCTTCCATGCCTAGTTTCTTGAGGGTTTTTATCATGAAGGGATGTTGGATTTTATTGAGTGCTTTTTCTGCATCTGTTGAGATAAGATGATTATATGGTTTTTGTTTTTAATTCTGTTTATGTGGTGTTGATTCAATTTTCTACATCTGAAACCTGAGACTCATAAATTTTCTCTCACATCACACTTAATCAATTCCCAAATTGTGTTGACCCAGCCTCCAAAATAATCTGTCCACTTGTCTCCATTTCTTATGCTATGACCCAAGTCCAAGCCACATTTTTCCTCTTTTAGATTCTGCAATGTCTTTTAGACGCTGCAGATGTTTCTCTGCACCTGTTCCGAGCTCCCTCCATTTCATTCTCCACCACGCAGTGATCTTTTAAAAATGCAAATCTAATTATATCAGTTTTTTTGTTTAAAACGTTTCCATAGATTTCTGTTGCTTTTAGAACAAAGGGAAAACTTCTTATTAGCAGCTGTCTTAAGGGGCCCTCTGCTTACTTTTCCAGCCTCATCTAACTATGGTGCCTCTTCAGTCCTCAAACATCCTAAAAAGATCTCTTCTTCCTTAATGCCTTTCTATGTGCTGCTTCATCTGTCTGGACTACTTCTTTCTCTGATTAATGCCTTGCTTGGTTTACTTTGGTGGGAAGACTTCTTTTTTTTTTTTTTTTTTTTTGAGACAGAGTCTCGCTCGTTGCCCGGGCTGGAGTGCAGTGGTGCAATCTCCGCTTACTGCAAACTCTGCCTCCTGGGTTCACGCCATTCTCCTGCCTCAGCCTCCCGAGTAGCTGGGACTACGGGCGCCCGCCACCACGCCCAGCTAATTTTTTGTATTTTTAGTAGAGATGGGGTTTCACCGTGTTAGCCAGCATGGTCTCGATCTCCTGACCTCGTGATCCGCCTGCCTCGGCCTCCCAAAGTGCTGGGATTACAGGGGTGAGCCACTGTGCCCAGCCAGGGAAGCCTTCTTTAACCCTTCAGACCAAATTAGATCTAGGGAGATCTAAGAAATGTATTCTTTCATTGCAACTTTTTTTTTCATTGTACATTTTAGAACCATATGGAAATAATTAATAGTACAACTTTGGGTGTAACGTCTGTCTTTCCCACTAGATTAAAAATCGTTTGAGGATGGAAAGAGTATTTTATCAACATATCTCCAGTGCCTTGAATCATGCTTCTCACATACTAGGGGCTCAGCAAGCAGTTGCTTAATCGGTGATGGGAAAAAACTCCAGGGTATCTTCAAAACCTAAGTGGAACAATGAAAAGCAATACTCAGCTATTTTGTATTCTTATGAACCTTCTGTCTACTGTCTATTAATTGTGCACATAAGCTTATAGAGAACAATGAAACATTTTCATTTCTGAAGATAGTATTGCTGTTTGATGAGTGGTTCTCAAACTTTAATGTGTATTAGAGTCACCTGTGTCACCTGCCTGGTTTGTTAAAATACAATTGCTTGATCCCACCCTCAAAGTTTCTGATTCAGTAGGTCTGGGCTGGGGCATGAGACTTTTCAGGTCTCAATAGTTCAACAGTGATGCTTCTGCTACTGGTCTGAGGATCATACTTTGAGAAACACTGGCATAGACTGTCAGCTGCCAAGCAGCTTGACAGGCAATTCCATCTTTCTCGTTGGAAGGATATATTTTGCTCTCTTCAATCGGTTGAACTCACTGGAGATTGTGCACTGGCTAAGGGTATATCTTAGTGTAGACAGTGAGTGACCTGCTACTAGCTATCTCCTCCTTATCTTCATCCTCTCTCTGAAGAAAGGGGTCAATGGCAATGGAAACTGACTTAGATATCTGCCCAGTAGAGATTTGGTACTGAGAAATCCACTGTTGGGGGCTTCAATTTAACTTGCAGTTGTGTTAAGATCAGTTCAAACATGTGTATGTTGCTGAATATATACACAAATTGGCATTGATAACCTGCATTTTACCTCATCTTTGAAAATCTTTAGTAAGAATTTGGCTTGCTCAGTCTAAATGTGTGGGGGTATATGGCTTACAGTTTGATTTTCACTGCACGCAATTGAGTTCTGTGGAGCCACGTTTCACTTGGTAACTGAGCACCCAAATAAAAGTGGTTTTTTTTCCTTCAAACTAAACAGGCAAACAAAACTACCCTTGAGCTAAAAGGAATTGAATGCCTGCAATCTTCAATGCCATGAACCCATTAAAACTCCCACTTGCTATTCCATGTATCCAATCAGTAAGGTGCAAATCAACCATCATACATTTCTCTGCCTGGGAAGCAGTGTGCATTTCTGTGTAATCAGAAGTGTGTTACAAGTGAAACTTAGTCACCTGCTTTTCCAGAGGTGTACTCTCTTAGGAAAGTGAGAGAGAAAAGCAGCTTTAAAAATAGGTCCAACAAAAAAGAAACAGGCATGCAAGTTGGATAGTAATAATAGATTATTAGCTATGCAAGGGAGGGTTGGGGTCAACTGATCCAATCTTGTTATTTTACAGGGGAGAAAGCCTCAGAGAAGCTAAGTCCCCTGCCAAGGTCATTGAACTAAATAGGGCAGACCTGGAATTCGGGACTTCTGTCTTCTAGGCCAGTGCTGTTTTCATGATGCCTTATACTTAATAATTAAACTCTTATACCTGATTTATGTTCAATGTCCTTGGCAAGTCTTGAAATAGATTATACCTCTCTTAGGTTTCATCTCTTCTCCTGGGGAGAAAACATATCCTTTCAGTGGAAAGCAGGGAAGCTTATGGAAATATCATTTTTAACTCCTCAGACAGAATTTGAAAGTCAGATGTTAAGCCGGCATCAGCAAAACCAGGGTCAGGGTATGCAAAGGGGATGCTAGCACTGAAATTGTTTTTGTATCTCACATCCTTAGCTTTATTATTGGGAATCTTTGATTAATGTCCAAATTCAGGATATAGCATCATTTCAACAATTTTATGAAGACTTGTTGGCCACAAAGATGAGAAATTCAGTCTTGCACAACTTAAAGGAGATTATTAAAATAACATAATAATTAGTGTCATATATTCAAAGATAGGGAATGATATACTACCAAGCCTAGGGGATGGAAACTGAAGCATTCTCAGAGGACCCTATAGTCAGTAAGTAAAAAAATTTACTAAGTACCTGTTATAGACCAGGTACTTGGGGACACGAGACCAAAAATCTTAAAGTCATTACCTCAAGGTACCGACATTGCAATAGGCTATTCAGACAGTAAACATGCAAATGAATAAATAGATTATTTTCAGATCCTAATAAGTGCTGTGAAGAAAATAAAATAGGGAAATATGATAGATAGTAGTGGAGGAGGAGTTCTACTTTGGCTAAGATGGTCAGGAAAGGCCTTTCTGAGGAGGTGACATTTGAATTATGAAAGGAAGGCAGGGGAAGGATCCTAGGGAAGACACTTCCAACTGGAAGAAACAATAAGTGCATTTGCCTTCAAACAAAACTGAACTTGAAATGTATGCAGGATGAAAATAAGGGTGGTAGAGTTCAAATGTGAGAATTGAGGAGTAGAGATAAGATCAAGGAAGTGAGCCAAGAACAGATCATGCGGGGCCTTCTACACCTTGCTAAGAGTTTGTATTTTAATTTTAATTTGGACTCAGTGGAAATTCATTAAAGAATGATAAGCATAATAGTAGCCAATTTTGCTGCTATTTGTAGAATGGACTATTGTTTTAAGGCTGTTGCTAAAATTTTCTGGGAGATGATGATGAGGTGGTGGTGAAGAATTGGTGAGGGGCAGTCAAATTCAGGATAAGTTTTGAAATTTGAGCTTGCTGGACTTGCTGATGTGTTAGATATGGAATAATCAGGGAAGGAGAAGAATTAAGGATAACTTGTAAGACTTTTGACCTGAATGACTGAGTGAATATTTGTGCCATTTATTGAAAGGAGGCAGACTAGGAAGGTGTGGAGTGGGGAATCAAAAATTCTTTTTTGGCCATGGTAAAGGTGAGGTAATTGTTAAAGAGCCATGGGAAGATGTTGAATAGGTAGTTGGATATTTGAATGTGGCATTCAGGGACAAATTAAGACTGGCAATGAAAAATTGAGTTGTCAGAATGTGTTTACAGTGTTTAAAACAAAGGTATTGGAGGAGACTATCTAGGAAGAGAATATAGAGATGAGAAGAGAGTCAAAGGCAGAATCCCAGAGGCATAACAGTGGTTAGAAGAAACTGCCAGCAAAGGAGATAAAAGGATAAACTAAAGAAGGTAGGAGGAAGCCTGGAGTCATAAAACTGTGAAAAAGTGATTTCAAGAAGAAATATCAACTCTATCAAATGCTGCTGAGAGGTCAAGTAAGCTGAGGACATTTGCGGTCATTTATGACTATAATAAGAGTTGTTTCTCTTATACAAAAGTCCTCATTGCATTGTGTTGGGAAGACAATTGGAGGCAAGGAAACATCTTTCACCACATATGGTAATATTCATTCTTTTGCCATATCAGGTAATCACCATAGGTTCTAGGGATTAGGATGTAGACATATCTTTTTTTGGGACCACCATCTAACCCACTATGGAAAACTACTTGAAAACTTAAAACTGTTTTTCAGGACTTTCCTCTTTTTATAAATTTCTAAAGGATAAGAATTGGGAGACAAGATACAAATATTAAAGTCAAAATTTGTGTTGAATCATTCTCTGAATAACCATCTCATCAAAAGGATTTGTGGTAATTTAAATTTATTAACTAAGAGTCCTGCTGAGCGCTAGCACTAATTGGCACCCTTTGGGTTACGTGCCAAAAGATGCATTTGAACCAAACCTGTTTTCTTCCTGTTGAACATCTATACAAGAACATACATCTATATGTTCTTCCTGTTGAACATACAGGATGGAACCAACAAATAAGTGTGGAAGAGAAATTGACTATATAGGTATTTTTCCATCTAATCTGGGCTTTATGAGATGTAATCAATTTATTAAAGAAGCAATCTGCTGTTACCTTGCTGTCCTTGTCAATCAAAAAGGGAAAAAAAGTATAAAAATAGAAAGTACCTTCTGGGCTTAGAAGAGGATGAGAAAAAATATTTGTAGCTTTATTAAGGCTGTTAGAGTTATTTCCTTTGTGACGTTGTGTGTTCTTTGTGAAATTCCCTCATTTTGCCCTCTTAGCTTGTGAAAGCAGTTACACTGCTGTCCTTCAGTCAGCCTTTCTTGGTGAAATCTCCCTCTTAGATAGCTGTTCTTGTCAGTGTATTTTCCTCCAGTCATCCAACCCCCAGATCCTGTGCACTAAATTAGAAAAGAGGAATTATTCTAAGTGTTCTGTTAATAACTGTGTCTTCAGGGACGACTAAAAACCCCAGTTTTTTTCCTTTGAGAAGCACTGTCCTCATGTTTACATCTAGTTTGTCTAATTAGACTTTAGATTAAACAGGGGCCTTGTTTATTCTGCAGTCTGTGGAGCATTTAGCAGTGTCTACAATGACTAGATCCACTTCTTTTGCCCCTGTTCTTACCCATGGGAACATGAATGGGCTGTAGGAATTGTAAAAAGGAAGACATAAGCATTCTGGAGGAAGAGTATGGGCGGTTCCTCTTCGGCTTTTTAGCCCATAGAAGAGCTTGTTGGTCATCTGCACCTTCAGAGTGGTGTCTAGACTTGCTGGCCTGCCTCCCATGCAGAGGCAACAGGCAACATCTGCTGCCTTCCTCCTCTCTGGTTAGAGATAGCCATAAACCAGCATGCAATGGAGCCTTTTGAGATGGATTAGAGAGAAGCTTATTGGCTTTCTACAGTGCCAGGTGTAGAGGATCTATTTGATTGAAACAATAGACAGAATTACATTCCCAAAAGCATCCTGAGAGGGCATATGGCTTTAGTGTTTAGGTACATTTCTGAATAAGAACCAGTCTCCAAACTTGAACAGGCTGCTTCTAGATACTGAAGACTGGGTGATAAATGACATTCTCTAGGTATAGCCAATATCCCTTGCTTTAATCTCTTTTCTCCAGCAGAGTATTCCAAAGCATAGTGCTGACTGCCCAACACCTCCCTTTGGAAAGACCTTTCTTATTTGAGAACAATAATTACATCATTCTTTAGCTTTCTTTTTTTCTAGGCAAATTTCTTAATATTCCCTCTTTGGACCTATTTTCTATTTCTTTAGTCATTTCCACAGCTCTTCCCTGAAACTCTGCCTTGTCTCTATGTTCCTGTAAAGGTATGGTGACTGAAACTACCCATAATGTTCTTATACAGGCCTCAATGGGCCTCAGGATAGTATACAGTTTATCTATCGGCTAGATATCACTACTCTCATTTTTTGCTTAAAGTGAATATCAGGGAGAAATAGTTTACTTGTGATGGTTAATTTTGTGTCAACTTGACTGGGCCAAAAGATGCCCAGATATTTGGTGAAATGTTATTTCTGAGTGTGTCTGTAAGGATATTTCTGGATGAGATTAATATTTGAATGTTAGACTGAGTAAAACAGATTGCCCTCCACAATATAGGTGGGCCTCATCCAATCTGTTGAAAGCCTGAATAGAAGAAAAGGCTGACTAACAAAGAATTTTTTTTCTCTGCCTGACCATCTTGAAACTGGGACATCATTCATCTCCTGCTTCTTCAGACTTGGACTCAGACTAGAACCTTACCATCAGCTTTCCTGGGTCTTTAAACATATATTGTTCTATTTAAAGAATAGAAGTAAAAAAACATATATTGTTCTTATTTAAAGAACATGTAGCCAGTGCGGTGGCTCACGCCTGTAATCCCAGCACTTTGGGAGGCCAAGGTGGGCGGATAACTTGAGGTCAGGAGTTTAAGATCAGCCTGGCCAACATGGTGAAGTCCCATCTCTACTAACAATACAAAAATTAGCTGAGTGTGGTGGTGCATGCCTGTAGTCCCAGCTATTCAGGAGGCTGAGGCAGGAGAATTGCTTAAATCTGTGAGGCAGAGGTTGCAGTGAGCCAAGATCCTGCCACTGCACTCCAGTCTGGGCAACAGAGTGAGACTCTGTCTCAAAAAAAGAAAAAAAACAGAATATATATACTCATTCATAGCATTTTATGTGTGTGTGTGTGTATATATACCCACACCTATGTGTATGCATATGTATGTGTGTATATATGTATGTATGTGTGTATATATATCTATATATCTATATCTATATCTATATATCAGCTTTCCTGGTCTTTAAACATATGCTCTATTTAAAGAATATAAGTAAAGAAACATATATTGTTCTTATTTAAAGAATGTATATACTCAATCACAGCATTTTATATGTATCTATATATATACACATACATATATATACACATATGTGTATATGTATATATTTGTATGTGTATATATGTATGCTTCTCTATATATGTATGTATCTATACATATGTATGTATGTAGCTATCAAAGACTTCCTGGGTCACACCAATAGGACACAGGAGTCAACTTCTGGGAGCTCCTACTGGCCAAAGATGGGAATATTTGAGCTTCAAAAAAAAAAAAAAAAAGTTTGCTCTCCAAACACGTTAGTCTCAGAAAAAAAATTGCTGTCATAGATTGAAATAATAAAAATCTATACATTCATAATTGTACTTCAAAAGGAAAAGAGTGTTCCATACTGACATTCTTTGTAGGTTGCTAGAGTACAAACTCATTTCCTCTGAAGAGTAACGATTAAAGGAAAAGAATTAAGTATGTATCCTCTTTTTCCTGTATAGACTGTATTTCATGATAGCCAAATAGATATAAATGTTCTTCTCCCACATCCCCACATCTTGAGTCATAGACCTCCAAGAACACACCTGTAGCTCAGCAAGTCAGGTGTACTACTTGTTGCAGTGAGGGAAAAATGCATGCCATGGAGAACTGTGGGGTATCTCGGTAACAGGGTGTTAAAAAGAACATATATAATTTGGGTTGCAGTTAGATGATATTGGGGATGGTTCAAGAAAGAGGGAATTTGCTGTGGATTGAGTGTCATTAGGAAGGGAGGATAATGCTATGATTGGACATTTTTAATCTTATTTAAGAATGCCATATATGATTGAGTATTCAATAAATCTTGTAGGGCAGGCTAGAGCAAGGCTGAAGCTGTAATTATTACAGAAGAAGCAGTCACTCATATTATTTGGAAAAGAGGGATGTTTGGTATTTTTGTGGTCTGCATAGTGACCTTGTTTTTGCTTATGATTAAACAATATTATGAAATGGTCTTGTTTTTTTAAACCTCACTTCTTCAAAGTCACAAGCTGACCTGATGTTCTGGGAGATTGTTTATGTCCAACAAGAGAACATTGAAGTATAGCTGTGAGTGTCAAGCCAGCCTGCAGCCCTCAGAGTTTAGGAGCTGCTTTTCTGTTTCTCAGTAGGAGAATAGAGTAAAATAAAAGTGAAAGAAATAAAAGATTTGGATAATTCCGTTTTCAACCTCTAAAGAAATAATGGACCTGGCAATCTAGATGCTAAAATCATTAGGTGAAATGTTAATGAGGTATTTTATTATGGATGGTTCAGGCTGATATTACCTGAATCACTGAACAAAGCAAGACCCTGTCTCTCAAAACTAAAAAAAAGAAATATATCATGTTGTTTATAAAAATGATATGGTGGTTACTTTAACATGTT
Organism: Homo sapiens; assembly: GCF_000001405.40. Taxonomy (NCBI): domain Eukaryota; kingdom Metazoa; phylum Chordata; class Mammalia; order Primates; family Hominidae; genus Homo; species Homo sapiens. Next base: position 62,921,446 of record NC_000005.10, read on the forward strand.
CTTATCTGTTAGAGATGCATTCTAAAGTATTTAGGAATAGAATGATATGATGTCTGGCATTTGCTCCAGAAAAGAGAAAAACATTTGGAAAGTTGATAGATGAAATAAAAACAACAGAAAGTTGCTAGTTCTTAAAGCTGCAGGATGAATCTATGGAGGTTGACCATTCTTTCTACTTCTGGATATATTTGAGAAGTTCCAGAACAAACAGCTTTTTGAAAAGGTGAGCATTGCTTTTGTATCACACCATTTGTTTGATTGTCCTCTCCTCTCATCAGGGCACCACAGCCCGCTATTAAGAATTAAAGAGAATAAGACAGTAACTCATCTCATTTTCCAAGCTCTCAAGCAGAAATAGGCCTATTTCCTGAAGATCTGTTCCATGATTCCCAGATACTGCTTTTGCTCAGTCTCTGTTTAATATGGACTTTATGGGATAGGGCTCCCTAAAATGACAAAGGCTTCTAATGGTTATCAGTTTAAAACTTTATTTTTGCCTCATTCATTTTCTCAAGGTCATGTATCCATTGGAATAGAAAGGCATTTATTGAAAGAATTGAATACATCATAATATGGGCTATAAATAGTTCTTACATGGTGGGAGTCATATTCAACATTTCAAGGTTGAGCTGACAGTTGGTTGACCATAATATTACTTTGAAAATTTCTTTGGAATTAAGCATTTCATAGCATTTTCTAATCAGGAGCAAATTTTCTATAAATGTTCAAATTTTTAGAATCCTTAGGGAGCTGGGATAATAGTCATTGCTTAAAATGTATGAAGACTAAAAGCCAGTCCTAAACAAGTATTGCCTTTCTCTTGTGCTGTGCATTTTCAGTCTCAGTTTTGATCCCAGAGATAGAGGTGAATAACTTTCTTGCCCATTTCCCCTTACTAAACGTGCACTGAACCTTTTCTTTTTACTCATCAGATTGGCATTTTTTATTTCTAATCCTTTTCAGCCGTTCTGACCAACTTAAAGTTTCATAATAATTCAAGGACACTTCCACAATGAAATACTATGTTTGTGCACACACCCGCAGAGTATCTGGAAGCAGAATTCTGTGTTATAGAATGCATGCTGAATAGAGTAATGAACAGCAGTTAGTTTGCTTTCTTGAAGATTGTTCTTTCTCAATTTTGGAAGAGTTTTTTATAAAATAGATAGGGTATTTCTCTGGTCCCTAGACTAATATATAGGGTATTTCTCTGGTCCCTAGACTTCTATGGCATGGTTTTATTTACTTGTTCATCAAAATTTTGTCTAATAAATGTCATGTTGATTTGAAGGTAACCCAGGTCACCACTTTAGATTGGCTTCATTTAAAAAGGGACGTTGATGAGAGGAAATGGAAAATGATTTATTCTGCATAAGAACAAGGTTAATAGCACAGACACTGAAAGTTAAATTCTTAAATCTTTTCCTTTAATTTGGAGGGGCAATTTCTCTTCCTTCTGTTTTTTTCATCTTTTCCAGCCCTGTGTTTTAGGGGGTTCTGACAGAAATAATCAAACAAAGCTGTTTGCTCTCCCAAACAATTTAGCCAAGTGCTCATCTCTGGACTGGTAGGACATCTTTCTCTGCATCATCTTTATGTAAGGAGACCAAATGAAGGAATGATATATGGGGCCTCTTGAGGGCTCAAAGAAAGAATGGCCAGAGCCTGCCCTGAGGGAGGGAGTGAGGAAAGATTTCACAGCAAAGATGATGTTTAAATGGATTGTTAAAGGAAGGGAAAGTACATGCTAGAAAGTGAGAGAGCTATGGGGAGATCTAAAACAGTAAAGTACATTTAGGAATTGCAACTAATTCAGTACTGCTGAAGGATTGTGTGTGTGTGTGTGTGTGTGTGTGTGCGTGCACGTGCGCACCTACGTGTATGTGTGTTGGTGAAGGCAAAGTAGGAATGGCAATGAGTAGAGAGGGTATAACAAGTAATGACGATGGAGATGTAAACAAGGGTAAGATCACAAAGGGCTTTGTGTGTCTCATTAAGAAATAGAGCCAGACATGGTGGCTCACACCTGTAATCCCGGCACTTTATGAGGCCAAGGCAGGTGGGCAGCTTGAACCCAGGAACTCAAGACCAGCCTGGGCAACATGGTGAAATCCCATCCCTAGAAAAAATACAAAAATTAGCTGAGCATGATGGCGGGTGCCTGTGGTCTCAGCTGCTCAGGAGGCTGAAGTGGGAGGATCACATAAGCCTGGGAAATTGAGGTTGTAGTGAGCCATGATATAGCATCACTGCACTTAGGTCTGGATGACAGAGTGAGAACCTGTCTCTAAATGAATGAATGAATGAATGAAATAGAACTTTATCCTGTAGGTGATGGGGAGCCTTTTGGATGCTGACCTCTTAATATTAGCCTATATCTGTCATGGGCTTTCACTAGAAACCCAAGTACCCTTCTGCAGTTAAAGGCCTAAGATTGTCTTTGGAGAGTCCATAGTTCTTAAAGTAAGGTATGGAGTATATATGCATTTATATCAGTGTTTCTTTCTGAGTTTGGATGTAGCTCAAGATTAAGCTTTTGCGAATTTTGGCACATTTCTTATTTCAGAGGGCAAGAGCATAGGGCAGAGTAGTAATCTAACAGAAGCTTATTGAAGGTGGGATTTATAGCAGATATATAGCCTTTCCAAGATGCCATCTTAATTAGTACTCCTAGAATAGCTAGCTATGCTTGGATTCTATGTAAGAGGTTGATATTCCCTTGTAAAACTCTCTGACCTCTTCTTGTCTTCACATTTCAATGTACTTTCACTAGTTTTTTGGTCATTTACTTTAAGCTATTTATTGCATATACCCTGTTCATGATTTAAAAGAGGACTTCATTTGGCTAATATTTCCATTTTTATAAATATAAGTCTCTGATATCATAATTTAGTCTTTGATTTGTATAGAAAAGCACAAAAGGTTCAGGCATCAAATATTCTTGAAATAACAGTTCCAATTAATTATTTGACAAACTTTAGAGCAAGCAATTAACTCATCATTCCTCAGAGAAGATCATGGTGATTCCAGTTTGTTCTCTAACAGGATACATTACATTAAACTTCTCCAGACGGTTAGAAGAGGAAAGTATCATGGTAATCCAGAGCTCCCTTAGTGAATCAAACAAATAGTTGTCTTCCTGAAGGACTTAGGTGCAATAAAAATCTGTTTGGAGAACATCAGACCGTTGAATTTTCGACAGTTTATATTAAGAACTACCTGGAAGCAGCTGCATTTTTCTATTAAAGTGATGCAATTTGCTCATTCTAACCAGGCTCTTCAACACAAAAGGCACTTTGAGATATTCTGTCCTTCAGAGTTGGTTGACTCTAAACCTGTGCCTGGTTGGTGAAATCCCACTGTCCAAAGAGGCTCCTTCACTGAGTGTCTGGTTATCTATGGTTGCTTGGCATACTACCCCCAAACATAGTGGCTTAAACCATTTTTTTTTTGGTTTTGAGGGTCGGGAATTCAGACATGGCAGAATGGGGAAGTCATGTCTTTGGTCCCAGAGCCTGGGGTCTCAGCTGGGATGATTTAAATAGATGGAGACTTGTACAGCTAGGGACTGGTATGGCATCTTTCCCTTTATGTAGTGTCGGGCTTGTCCCTATGGCCTCCTCATGTGATTCTTCTAGCATCATGGTCTTGGGGTAGCAAGACTTCTCATGCAACAGTTCAGGGTTCTGAGAGTGAGTGATCCAGAACACCAAAGTGGAGTGGCAGAGCCTTTTTCCTTCTGGTCTGGGAAGTCATTCAGCATGGCTCTGTCATATCTAGTTGGTCCCTCAGGGGCAGCCCCCATTCAGCATGGGAGGGGACCACATAAGGATGTGAATACTGGGTGGTGTGGCTCACTGGGGAAGGGGGTGGGAGCATTTTGGAGGCTGCGTCATTACCAAGGGTAGTACACCCCATTTCTTCAGTTCATGGCACTAGCTCTTCTTGGTAATAAGCTCATTTTCTCCCAGGCATCCACTCTTATCCATAGCACTGCACCCCCACTCTACCCCAACATTCTTTTTCATGGACAGGTAGAGAGACCTTAAAATCTTCTATATGACTATGACTCTTCACATTTAAAGCTTTCAGTGGCTTATTAGTGCTCTAAGGATGAAGATCTTTATTCAACAAATATTTACTGAGTGCTTAGTCTGTTTAGGCAATATTCCAGGCCTCCGGGATAACATAGTGATTAAAACTGATAGAAATTCCAGTCTTCCATAGGCATGGGAAAAGACTTCATGGCTAAAACAACAAGAGCAATTGCAACAAAAGCCAAAGTTGACAAATGGGATCTAATTAAACTAAAGAGCTTCTGCACAGCAAAAGAAACTATCATCAGAGTGAACAGGCAACCTAGAGAATGGGAGAAAATTTTTGCAATCTATCCATCTGACAAAGGGCTAATATCCAGAATCTACAAGGAACTTAAACACATTTACAAGAAAAAAACAAACAGCCTCATCAAAAAGTGGGTGAAGGATATGAACAGACAGTTCTCAAAAGAAGACAGTCATGCGGCCAAAAACATGAAAAAAAGCTCATCATCACTGGTCATTAGAAGAACGCAAATCAAAACCACAATGAGATACCGTCTCACACCAGTTAGAATGGCGATCATTAAAAAGTCAGGAAACAGCAGATGCTGGAGAGGATGTGGAGAAATAGGAATGCTTTTACACTATTGGTGGGAGTGTAAATTAGTTCATCCATTGTGGAAGACATTGTGGTGATTCCTCAAGGATCTAGAACAAGAAATACCATTTGACCCAGCAATCCCATTACTGTCTATATACCCAAAGGATTATAAATCATTCTATAAAGACACATGCACACATATGTTTATTGCAGCACTATTCACAAGAGCAAAGACTTGGAACCAACCTAAATGCCCACCAGTGATAGACTGGATAAAGAAAATGTGGCACATAGACGCCATGGAATACTATGCAGCCATAAAAAGGATGAGTTTGTGTCCTTTGCAGGGATGTGGATGAAGCTGGAAACCATAATTCTCAGCAAACTAACCCAGGAACAAAAAAACAAACACCACATGTTCTCAATCATAAGTGGGATTTGAACAATGAGAACATATGGACACAGGGAGGGGATAATTACACACTGAGGCCTGTCGGGGGGTGGGGGGCAAGGAGAGGGAGAGCATTAGGACAATTGCCTAATGCTTGAGGGACTTAAAACCTAGATGACGGGTTGATAGGTACAGCAAACCACCATGGCGCATGTATACCTATGTAACGAACCCGCATGTTCTGCACATGTATCCCAGAACTTAAATTAAAAAAAATTTGTAAATAACAAAAAAAAAAAAAAAGAAATTCCAGTCCTCGTGGAATCATGCATTCTAGTGTGTGTGTGTGTGTGTGTGTGTGTGTGTGCACGCGCGTGTGTGTTGGAAAGGAGCAGTAAATAAGTGCAAATATTTATCATGATAGAAATAAACCCGGTAAAGAAAAAGGGAAGAGCAGGCTCAGTTTTAAACAGGACAGTTAGGGAAAGCCTCAGTGAGAAGACAACAAAGATTTGAAGTAGGTGAGGGTGTGAGCCATGTGGATATTGGCAGAGGGAACAGCAAGTGCAAAAGTTCTGAGAGGGAAGCATGCCTGCCCTTCAAGGGAAGCCAGGATACTGGGTTTGGGGCATGTGGAATGAGGACAAGGGTAATGAGAGATGAAGTCAGAGATTTAACAGCAGACTAGACAGGATCTGGACTTGTAGGCCATTTTAAGAACTTTAATTTTCACTTTTGAGAAGAACAGCATTAAGGTCTGACTCATGTTTTAGAAGAATCATTCTTGGGGGGTAAAGGTAGAAATAGAAAGAACATTTATATGATTATTGCAATAACCTAGGAGAGGGAAGAGGGTGGCTTGGATCAGGATGGTATGGTAAAAAGGATGATAAGTGGCTCAGTAAAAAATATATTTTGAAGGTAGAATTGATAAGTTTTACTGATAAACTGAATGTAGGATATGAAAGAAAGAGAGGAGTCACAGATGATGTCAAGTAACTAGAACGAGTTGCCGTTTATCGAGATGAGAGAACCTATCAGTAGAACAGATTTAGAAGAGAGTTGTTTTGACATGTTTTCAACCTTAAAATAATGAGATTCAGAAAATATGATTAAGTATAGAGTCTGAGTCTAAAGCTTGAGGATGGCCACCTGGAAGCATAGATTCAAGTTGCCCTGTATATACACTCCAATTAGCAGCAGTTACAAGTGTTTTTTTTTTTTTTTTTTTTTTTTGGTTATTGTTGTTGTTTGTTTGTTTGTTTGTTTTGAGACAATGTTTCACTCTTGTTGCCCATGCTGGAGTGCAATGGCGCGATCTCGGCTCACCGCAATCTCTGCCTCCCAGACTCAAGCGATTCTCCTGCCTCAGCCTCTCCAGTAGCTGGGATTACAGGCATGCGACACCATGCCCAGCTAATTTTGTATTTTTAGTAGACACAGGGTTTCTCCATTTTGGTCAGGCTGGTCTTGAACTCCTGACCTCAGGTGATCCGCCCGCCTCAGCCTCCCAAAGTGCTGGGATTACAGGTGTAAGCCACCACACCCATCCACAAGTGGGTTAAGAAAAAAAGGAGGCCCTTTCTCAGTTGTTATCAATAATTTACATAAAATAACAAACTATTGATTGACCATACACTGTTTTTTGCATCACAAATTCCAGGAACATGAAGATAGTGGCTGAGACAGCTAGTCAGGAACAAAATGCCTTTAAACAATTTCGTGGGTGTGGGGGAACAAACGGTGGAGGGGGTGCCTGAGTCATGACTGAAGTCCCATACTCATGTCTTTCTGGGCCTGCTACATTTTGCGTATTTCATGTCATTCAGGCTGCTCTGAGCTAGTTTTGTTTTGTCATTTTAAAAATAAAAATCTTTAATATGTCCCTGAATACTGTGATGGTTAATTTTAGATGTCAATTTGACTGGATTAATGGATACCCAGATTTTTGGGTGTGTCTGTGAGGTTGTTTCCAGAGGAGCTGGCATTTAATCAGTGAACTGAGAAGGGAAGATCCACCTTCACCCATTGTGGGCAGGCTCAGTAGAATCAGGGAGGGCCGAGTAGAACAAAAAGTCAGAGGAAAGGTGAACTTTCCCCTCTGGCCTGAATGCTCTCCCTATCCCCTTTTTCCCTGCAACTAGTTAATCCCTAGTCCTTTAAGATTCATCTCAACTATTATTTTCTGAAAGAAGCCTTCCTGATCTCTTTAGATATGGGTTCCTATAGCACCCTGTCAGGCCTCTGAGCCCAAGCTAAGCCATCATATCCCCTGTGACCTGAATGTATACATCCAGATGGCCTGAAGCAACTGAAGATCCACAAAATAAGTGAAAATAGTCTTAACTGATGACATTCCACCATTGTGATTTGTTCCTGCCCCACCCTAACTGATATGATATATTCTGCCCCACCCTTAAGAAGGTACTTCGTAATATTCTCTCCACCCTTAAGAAGGTGCTTTGTATGCCTATCCCAAACCTATAAGAACTAATGATAATCCCACAACCCTTTGCTGACTCCTTTTTCGGACTCAGCCCCCCTGCACCCAGGTGAAATAAACAGCCTTGTTGCTCACACAAAGCCTGTTGGTGAACTCTCTTCACATGCATGCATGTGACACACCCTGTAAGGAAGGGATAAGTTTGCTTAATGTCTGCAGGTACTCTCTGCAAGCATGTACGCTATGTAGGGAGAAGGACCCCTTCACAGCTGCCCACCCCAATGTCTCCAATGCCTGCTTGGGGCCTGGAACCTGGCAGTGCTCAATAATCATTTTAATAATCTCCATTCATTCAAAGATTATGACATAACTACTCCTTATTTTATTCTTTCTAACAGACTGACTCAAACTACTTCCTTAATACAGAATGTTCAGGAGGATAGAGATTCAGCTGACAGTTCTGGAAATTCTCTTGAATGCCTGAGGATTCTTTCTTACTATCAGCAAGGCCATATTATATTTGTATTAGACTTGTGTAGGAATTTTCTCCATTTGAAAACACACTCAAGTGTTGAGTGGCAGGTCAGTCAGCAAAGAGAGAATGTCATGTACTTCCCACTTTCCCACCCTTTGGGCTGCCATCATTCCCTAGAGTCTTACATTTCCCCAGTATGGCAGCCCTTATGTCAGACTTCTGAAGCACTTATGCTCTTTCAATGAGAGGAGATGCTGCTTCACTGCTAGTGAAATGCCATTTCAATTCCTTGCTACCTTTCATGGAGAAGATTTGTAGATGTGACTTCAACACAGAAAGTGAGAAAGGAAACTGAAGTGTCTGAGAGGTAGAAGACAGTTTGTTACCAGCACTAGCTCACTGGCTTACTCCCTAGCTGTTCCGATGAAACACATTCAGCAAAGCATGCCGAAGCACAGGGAAAGAACAAGTCTATAATGAGGCTGATAATGCTAGATGAGCATGGCATTTGGGGCAACTTATTTTTAGTTACCTGTAGTTTAGATTTAATTGTTGTCAATATATCAAGTTTATCTTTATTAAATAGTATAGTGCAATTTTCTGGAACTAGCAAGTGAAATATTTGGGGACATGGCTTTTGTCCTGAAAACCTGTCTAGAAATCTTCATGGGCATTTTAAATTAACACTATAGCATTAGCCAGATATAAATCCTCTTGTGAAGATAAGCTAGAGATCAAGGTCCCCTTTGCCTGCTTTAAAGAGTTGGAGTGTGACAGCAAGGACCTATTCTCAGTAAATCAGTAAGTGCACAGTGATTGTCACTGGAGTCTCCTCCAATGCCAAGGCACCTTGAGGACAGTCCCCTCCCTAATGTTTTGTGATTCCTACCCTTCTCTTACCTGAGATTCCTGGAGATATTAACATCTCATTTCTAATTTTGTAATGAAAGCTTCCATTCTTTGCACAGGGACATTGAATGTCACGGGTTATTAATGTAGCATTTTGGGGGGTAGGGTGTAATGGCCCCTCTTACTCCAGAAATCCTCCGGGAAACAGGTAGGCAAGTTTCTACATAAGTTAAGGTAGGTCTAGGAGACGGTTCTTCATCTCTTACCTTTTCAATTTTCTCTTGAGCCGATCATTCAACTTCTGATTCCTCTGTGCTTTGCTGACTCCACCCAGCAGCACACGTGTCAGCTTTTCTCTTCCAGTTAGAGTCAGTGCCAGGAAAACTTGTGAAGAAAGATCTATCCTTCTGGATGTATTCGCACAAATTATTTTGGTTGTAGGTGATTGAAACTAGTAGCAGTGGCACGATCTTGGCTCACCGCAACCTCCACCTCCCAGGTTCAAGTGATTCTCGTGCCTCAGCCTCCCAAGTAGCTAGGATTACAGGCATCTGCCACCACACCTGCTAATTTTTGTATTTTTAGTAGAGATAGGGTTTCTCCATGTTGGCCAGGGTGGTCTCGAACTCCCGACCTCAGGTGATCCGCCCACCTTGGCATCCCAAAGTGTTGGGATTATGGGTGTGAGCCACCACCCCTGGCCCAAACTAACTTTAAAAGGGAATTTATTGGTTTATTTAACCAGAGAGTCAAAAGGAAGGTATACCAGGTACAACTGATGGCATCCAGGGTTTCAAATAATGGGGTCAGGTTCCTGTCACACTGCATTCAGATCTGGGATCTGCAAGCCATCATTTCACACGGCTTCCAATCTCTGGATGGGACAGGCTCCCTCTTTCCCTCCCAGTGTGTGTATCTAAAAAGAACTTGCACTCCAGGGGTCAGAATATTTTGATTAGTCAGCTCAGATCATATTCCTGCTTCTGTGGTTGGGGAGGTAAGATTCTGTGACATTTTCACCCAAGTCACATGGGTGGTGCAGTCCCCCAGAGGAAGAAATTCAGAGACAACTGTGTAATGATGATGTCTGCAATACTGCCCTCACCACATGCTGCATAAGGTTTACCCTGCTGGGGAGGAGTTTTTATTCATCAGAATCTATTTCTATTCATCGCCACGGGGTGGTTCTTTTCCACCCAACAGCCTAACTCTGCTGCTCCCAAGGGCAGAACAAGGACAGATAGGTGGATGTTTCAGGGAAGTAAAGTTCAGCTAAATATAAGGCAGAACTTTTACTAGACTTTTTAGAAGAGTCAAAAAAGGTATTGTCTTAAAAATGGTGGCTTCTGTGTCACTGGTTTTTAAGCAAGTGCCTGCTGTCCACATGTAGAATATATTTTTTAGAGATGATTTGTATAATAGGGAGTAGTAGAAACAAATGACCAGCACTTCTGACTCCATATGAAAAGTGTTCCTCTCTGAGCATGCCCAGGTGTACAAACACACTTGCTTAACAGGTTTGAAGCGTAGGTCAGATAAACAGGTAGGGCCTGACACACAACTTTTTTGTTAAGTTTTTAATTATTGTCTCTTAAAAGGTTCTTAAGATGGTTTTTCTCTCTCATAAAATTTTTTATGCACATAAAAGACTGAACTATTTTTAGCTTTATACATTACATGTAAAGGTTTTACCTTGAAATAGATTTTCATTTATTTATTCAGCCTTCAGATTTTCCTTATATTGACTCATTTCTTTAGTAAAATATAATATATAATAATTTGACCGATGAATTTTCTGATCGACTCTAATATTTTTATAAATACATTCTCATCTTTAATGTGAACATTATCAAAAAGTTATGAAGTTTTCTTTAAGGTTATAGTCTCCAATTATTTTTCATGAGTTAAAACATAAAAATAGATTTTTATGTTAGAGATTTCACTTGCAAGATGAGAAGTTTTATGTAAATGGCTGTATTAAATATTTATTTTGTAATATCAAAACCATATATTTTGAGTATTTGGGGTTTTATTTGGCAACGAGAACAAAAATAGTGATTAAAACAATAAAATTAAAATCCTTAAAGGTTTGTGATGTATCAGCCTTTAAAGATTTAGAGCTTGGGTACTGGATTCAGGTACCTGGGTTCAAATCAAATGCATTTTCTAGCTGTGTGACTTAGGAAGGCTGATGACTTTTTCATGCTTCCATTTCCAACTATGTAGAATGTTAACAATAGAAGTGCCTGCTTTTCAGAACTGCGGTGAGTTTAAAAGAGAGAATGCAGGTAAAGTCCATGGCATAACACCTATCACATAGTAACAACCCAGCAAACATCTAGCTCTTTTAATATTATTTTCTGCTTAATAACCTCCAGAGACATAAAGCACTGTACAGAGGAAAAGTGTACTAGCTCTGCCAGTCATCAACAAATAGCAATTTTAGTTGTTCACGGTCATTGCATTTTGTTTTTGACCCTGATCTTTTGCTTTGTGTGAACTTTATTTTGAGGTGAGTTGAAGCGTTAACTTCTTCATGTTTAATAAGTGCAACAGTTGTTAGTGTTAAATGCCCTTGTATGAAGGTTATGATTCTGACTGAAACTAAAGTGGAGAAAAATTTGAATCATAAGTGGGATAAGAAATGTTACATGTTGGAGATGCATGTGAGATAAACTCTTCAATTGTGGCAGTGATTCAGAAGGCAAAGACTGTCTCATGAACCATGGAAAATGTATGATGTCCTTCAAAAAGAGACAAGGGCAAGTGATCAAATAGCCCTAAAATATGTGGCTAGATTATAGAAAATGAAAATTAGATGCTAGGACTAATCCAAGGCAGTGTTTAAAAAAACAACTGAATCTGGGTAGGTGTGAAGGGGCTGCCAATGTGAGGTGGCAATGATAGTGCCTGCTGCCTGTCAGCTGAGTGCTAGGGGCTCTGACACTGTCTGAGAACTGAAAACTGAGCACAGGAAAGAGCTGCTGCTAAAAAGTTGTACAAAAAAGGCTTATAAAGGCTTATTATTAAAAACATCATTTATTTTTAAATTAATGGGAGTTAATTAGTATACCTTCCTAGGTGCCAAGGGGTTCCCTCTAAAACTGCCTCAACGGATGAAACTGGTCACTTATGGAAAAAGTAAAAAAAACAACAACAGATTATATATCACCAAGGGGAGGACAGACACGACTGGCTTTAATGCATCAAAGAATTAATTTGTACTCTTACTTTGAGGAAATGTGTCTGGGAACCGCAAACTTAAATCTCTCTTCTTTTGAAGTTAACATACCTACAGAGTTAATTAAAAAACAACATTTCAGAGTCTAACCTGCCTTGAAGAAGAGAAGCTTCTGTGTGAGCAGTTCTGCTCACACAGAAATTTATTTAGGAAATACCCTTTGGAATTATTTCTATATAACTAAAAATGACATGGAAAATATAATTTTTGAAATTAACTTGAAACTCAAATTAACTTGAAACACTACAGAGTTCAAACCTTCTTGCTTGGTCATAGGATGTGAAGGAAAAGTTTTCATGCTAGAATTAATTTCCGTGGCCCTTTCTCACAAGATAATAGCTAAAATACAACGTGTTTTGTACTATTTAATTTTATTCTTCCCACCTGTTAAAAGCTTTTTTTTGTGTGTTATGAAATAAACAGCTTTTCAAAAAGATTCTCAAATTTCCTCAAGTGCTCTGTATGTCAAATGTACTAACAATTATCATCTTTTCTTTAAGTGGTTCAGTCTTTTCAGGAGTAAGAGTTATGGTACTGAAGCATACAAAACACACTCAATAATAGCACAACATGATGGGGAGAGGCAAATGGGTCATTGTAAAACACCTCAATTTTCCTTTTTCCTTTTTATGAACTATAACTTAAAACAGTAAAAAATGGATCATTTTATAATGCTGATATAAAACCAGGTGAACAAGTAGACAAATTAAAGGGTAATGCCATACTTTACATGTTGTAATAAAAATTCAACAACTTATCACGAATCTGAGGTAAAAGTCACCATTATTTAAAAATAACTATCATAATGATTGGAAACCCAATTCTTCTTGCTCTGTGAGGCCTGCTGCTCAGGTGTCTGCTGTTAATTGATCTGCCTGGATGCACTCACAGAGGAGCCACTTCATTTGGGTACCACTGTCTCCCACTGGGCATGTTCACATCTGCCAGGCAACACTGCTCCTCTTGCTCAGTGCTGCTGTACCCCACTGGTGCCAGGCTGATGCTGTGTTCCTGGAGCCCTGCACTTTGTTCCATGTAGAAATGAGGAATATGTTCCATGTTGGTACTGACGTCATCACAGTTTGCTTCCACTGTCTTACTGATTTTTAACTAAAACAGCTGCCAGCTTTTATGCCCAGACAGCTCTCCCATCCCACCCCACCTTCAACAGGTCTCTAACACATATTCACTAGAAGCTAAGTCTTCACATGGGTACTGCTGATCTCTTCCCCATAGATCATTGTTTCTAATGTGACTTCTTTTGACTGTGTTTGACTCAGCATGAATAGCATACAATTCAAGGTTTACTTATTCTTTTAGGATCAAAACACATAGAAGGAATATCTATTTTGGGGGTCCTGGGTTTGGAAAATGTAATTGGCTTTTCAGTTGGGTTCTTTTACTTGTGAGTAGTAGTCTGAAAATTCATAAACAAAAATATTACTTCACATTCATTATTGGATATAAGATAAATTATTAATTGAGTCAACTAAGTTCAGATTAATAAGATTTACCTTGTTTAACTCATTTGGAAAATTGAGCCATTAGTACCTACCGCAAGGCTGGGCACAGTGGCTCACTCCTGTAATCCCAGCATTTTGGGAGGCCGAGGCAGGAGGATCACTTGAGCCCAGGAGTTTGAGACCAGCCTGGGCAACACAGTGAGACCCAAGACTCTACAAAACAAATTACCTACCTCAAATATTTTTCTTGAGGGTCCCATTAGCACATGTTAAAATGTCTTACAGTTGGAGTGCCCCTTCCCCTTTCTTTACGTAAATCTTTGATGTGAATGTGAGGTATGCAGCCATTCAGAGGCCATGCAGCAAAGCAGATGACAGCCCAGTCTCTGAAGCAGATATGTGCTTGAATTCTGCTTCTTTATTTAATATCTGTGTGTCCTTGAGCAACTTAACCTCTTCATTCCAGTGTTCAAAGTGTAAATAGGAATAATAATCGTGGTATCTACCTCACAGGGTTCTTGTGAGAACTGAATGAATTTGAAATTTGTCAACAGCTTAAAACAGCACCTGGCTTATGGTAATCCCTCAATAAATGTTAGCTACTATTGCTAGTATATGCCAGTCTATTCATTTTATTTCACAGAGACAACTTCCCATTTGATAGCCAAACTGGGAAATATTGAAATGATTTAGATTGGTAGGTTTCAAACATGAGCCTCTATCAGAATCACCTAGAGGGCTTGTTATGAGCAGATTGTGGGAAATTCTCATTCTCAGAATTTCTTATTGTGGTGTGGGGTTGAGAGGGCTTGGTGAGAATTTTCATTTCTAAGAAGTTTCTGTCGAATGCTGGTGCTGTTTGTTAGGACCATATTTACAAGGTTCTTGGCCAGCAACCTAGACCACATGGGAGTGCAGGGCAGCGAGAGGTCAGCAGGTTGTTAGTAGGTCTTAGCCAACTGTGCTGGAGCTCAGAGAAGGCCTCTATGTCACACGGAGGAATTGGAGGGCAAATTCAGAGAGAATAGTCATGAGCTGGGAGAAAGGGGTGCACAGCTCAGTGGGTGCCCCAGGCTTTGGGGTAGGGATGCAGGATTCTAACAGCTACCAAATGCAGCAAGCAGCTGAGCGAGCAGGTTGGCTGTATCAGTGCCTGAAATTGAGCACAGCCAGGGAAGACAGTATGACAAGTAACATACTTCTTCATAGCTATGCTTTTTTTTTTCCTCACATTTTTTTCTCCTAAAAACAGAGTGTATCTTACAATTAAATGTAGTGGTTCCCACCTCCACAAAAAGTGGTATTGTGTTGATATTGGTGTCTTAAGATTATCTTAGAATCAAAGAAATTAAGTCCTTTAGCCTTAATTTCACTTATCAAATCTCTTTTTGAATCTTTTTTCCTCCCTCTCTTTAATTTGATTACTAGTGCTTTGTGCCTTAGAGAACAATGACTTTTTTTTAAACAGTGAATTTGCTTAATTTGGCTCTCTAAAAGATACAAGGTTGAATTGTGCCTGGCATTCCTTAGTTGGTGCCATCTAAAGTCACAAATTTAACAAGATAAGGGACATTCATACAACTCTGGAACAATTTGTTAGGACTGAAGCATGAAGCAGAAATATCATCATGTCTTTCCATATCAATATTAATGTTGCAAGGTTGAAAAGAATAAAGGCTTGTTGAGATTTCTAAATTGAATAAATACGGGATGCAGAGAGGAAATGTGTTTATGCCATTCCAAGTGTCATTTATAAAATGATCTCATACACATGAGAAATGCTTTTAAATCAACAGATAGCATACTTACATAGGTGTGCTTCTAAACCTAGTGGCAATATATTTGAGAAAAATCTTTTAATATTAAGGAGCTCCAGATATCTGCTCTGGGTGGCACAAGGCCCCTCCCTTCATTTTTACCTTCTTCCTTTTACTATCAGGTCCCTCTCAAGTAACAGAATGCAAGCATTAATACACCAAGGGAGACAACGACCCATGATGTGGAGCCATTTATTTAATTTGATTATACTAATGCAGCAAAATAACTACTTGAGCGAGTGTTAGTGAAATAGTAGCATTTTTTGCATTAAAGATATACCACAGAATGAATAGTATCTGTCTGTCTGTCTATCTGTCATCTGTCTATCCTGTGTAACTTGTGCCAAAATTTATGTCTTATTGCAACTCTTCTTTTATGTGATGATGGTGGTAGTAAGATGCTGTGATAGAAATATTTTTGCCATGCATTAGAAAGCAATGAACTAA
The DNA here is from genome assembly GCF_000001405.40 of Homo sapiens. NCBI lineage: Eukaryota > Metazoa > Chordata > Mammalia > Primates > Hominidae > Homo > Homo sapiens. Next base: position 62,937,213 of record NC_000005.10, read on the forward strand.
AAAAAAGAACTATATTTATACTTTTCAGAGCAGTAGTAAAGTTATATTGCTTTAGTTTTTGTTGGGGAGTTTTTTTTCCAATGTAATTACAGAGCTTAGAACTTGGTAAGATAGGTAAGAAAGGTTTTTCAATGATGTTGAAATGACACTTGTGTTGTTGGCATTATCAAGCAATGCAGAGGCCACCCAGTGTTGTCACTTAGTGCCTTATTAACACTTCTGGAAATGACTTTAAACACTCAAAAGCTTCCTTTTAAGTAAATGTGAAATGGTAATATAAAGTTGCCATGGAAGTTTCATAATTAAAATTTTGAAGGCTGTACTGATGCTTCTGCAGTGTGTCCTGAGATTTATTGGTAGGTTTGCTACTGTTTCTAAACTATGTTCTGAGATTTCATGGTGGTATTTCTCTAATTGCATAGCAAGTTGGGGTAAGCCTTTCTGTCCTGGTAGTGTCACAGAAATGGGCAAAGAATCAAGATCCAAGATCCTTTTCCAAATCTCTTGCTTTATCAGTCATGAACTTTGTTCAGCTGCTAGTAATAGAGACCTGAATTTAGCAGCTGGAAAGGTTGTTTTCATTTCATGTAACAGGAACTCTGAAGTAGGCAGTTACTGGTTTTGGTTTAGTGGCTCAAGAATGTCCTGGCCAAAGTCTCTACATTCTTTTGGTATTCCCTCATGATCAAGAGGCGCTGGACCTTTAGCTATCATATTTGCTTTCCAGTTAACAGGAAAAACGAAGTGCAGAGGGGCAAAAAGAGCTTTCTCAGAAGCTCCAGCAAGAGCTTTTGCTTATTTTTCATAGGCTTATCTCTGTCTTCAAAGGAGATTGGGAAATGGAGTTTTTCAGATGGACTTTTAACCCAGGGTTCTACTGATAAGGAATAAGTTGTCAGATACTTTCCACCACATTGATTGACTCCCAAAGTGGTTTCAGTCCCTAAGAGACTATGTGAGAATCTCTGTATTCTGGCCTAATCTCTTCTTCAGCACACTACACCTCAGTCCCATCTACTTGGGCTTCCCTGCCTTTGTTCACATCACCCACTATTTTAGTTTGGATTGTCCCAGAAGCAGGCCCTAAGACAAAGTACGGAATGCAAGTGGTTTATTTGGGAAGCACAGTAGGGAAGTAGGGAAGGGAAATAGAGAGGGGAAGGCAGCCAATACAGATTGTGCCCTCAAGCCAGCTACCACTATGGGCAATCAGAGCTTAATTGCATGGGGATCACATCCTGGGGTTGTCTCACCAAAAGTGAAGGAAATGAGGCATTTATATACCAGCTATTGTCAGCCATTGGTTGTTTCCTGCCACTGTTAATTCCTTGGCCCTTTAGATCTGCCATGCCCAGGCAAAGTAGCCTTCCTGGACTTCTGAGAAAGCCTTTAGGCAAAGACAGTCAGATTCTGGCCATTGGAAGTCATTGAGTGATAAGGTCCAAGAGGTGTGAGTAGGTACCTACAGCATCTGCTCCACCCACCCTGATTGTAAATGTCCTTTCCTTATTTCTGTTGGTCTGAGGAACACCCACAGATTTTCATAACCCTATGAAAGAAGGAGGAGTTACTTCCTTGATATGTTATTTTGCTACTGCTGTGTGACAAATTACGATGAATTTAGTGGCTTAAAACTATGCCCATTTATTACCTCACAGTTCTGTAGGTTAGAAGTCTGGGTAGGTTTGGCTGAGTTTTATGCTCAGGGTATCAAAATGCTGAAATCAAGGTGTCTAGGCTGTTTTAGCTGGAGGCTCTGGGAAAGAATCTGTTGCCGGCTCTTTCAGTTTATTGGTAGAATTCAGTTCTTTGTGGTTATGGGACTGACGTTCTCATTTGCTTGCTGATTTTCAGCAGGGGCTGCCCTCAGCTCCTAGAGGCTCCCGCATTCCTTCCCATGTGGCTCCCTTCATCTTCAAACCAGCAATGACATGTTGCATTGCTCTCATGTTTGGCATTTCTCTGACTTCCTCTTCTGCCACAAGCCAGAGAAAGCTCTCTGCTGATTAGATCTGGCTCCTTTGGATAATCTTCCTATCTCAGGGCAGCTGTGCCATATAACATAATTTAATTATGGGAGCTATAGATGATCAAAATTACAGGTTCTAGGGATTAGGATATAGAATTTTGGGGAAATTTTTAGAATTTTGCCTACTACACTAAGCTCTTTTCCGGTAAAACCTCTCTACCTTTCTCTGTTCGCTTTGCTCCCACGCCCCAAATATAATTGGTACTTTTGCCTTCAAGTTCTTATTGTACTCTGTCCTTTTATCGGAGGACATAGAACTTATTATTGTGCTAATTATTATTCTGAAAGGCAAGTTTAAGAATCATGCAGTGAGGATTTGAATATGATCTTGAGTGGTAAGACTTAGTGCTGATTGCTAAACTCTCCAAGTTTCAACTTTTTTAAAAACTATAAAATTACCTTGCTGGGTTATGAAATTTAAATTTAAATACAAATATGCACAAAACCATCCACACTGACTACAGATAGATAAAGAAAGAGGAAGCAGGTGAACATACAAGAAAGAAAAACTCAGGAGGTTGAGATGGAAGGATCACTTGAGTCCAAGAGTTCAGGGTTACAGTGAGCTATGATCATACTACTGCACTCCCCTCAGGGTAACAGAGAGACCCTGTGTCTAAAACAAAAAGAATCTCCACTGTTTAAAAAATAGTCTATTGTTTTTGTTATCAATATTAGGATGCTATAAAATCAATTGTTCAACTGAGTCTAACTGGTGGAAGCAATGACTTGTACTAGTTCAACCTAGGACTACAGTATTCAAAAGCATTGCCATGAGATCATTCCCTGTGAAAATATTTTTCCAGTTTTCAGTGGGTGAGCTCCATAGCCAGTAGTCTGGAATATTCAGGCACAATTTCTGCTGTTCCTAGGCAGCTGCACTGACATGTACTTACCAAGTTGCTTCAGTGATTCGTGAGATTATTTCTAAACAGAAATTCTGAAAGGCAGTGTGATGGGCTTGTCAAATGTTAATGCCATACTGAACTGTTTTCTCTCCTGAGGGGTTTGGAGATTCACATTTTAGGCTACTGGGGGGATATGCAGTGGATTTGGTTCTGGGAAGCATATTGTTTCGAACATAATAATTGTGAAAGATATTTTGAAATAAGACACTCTCAGCTATTTAGGGATACCATTTTTAAACTTTTTTTAAGTGAACAAATATTTTTTGAAGCCCACAGGATGAATATCAACTTTCCTAGAGAGAAACTTAGTGGAAAGTAAATGTGGTTAGCTCCCTCACACTTACAGGATAAGAAACGAGCTTTTAAAAAAGTGACAGATAATACCTTTCATAAAGACAATTGTCCTATTTTTATTACATTTGAAACTTTAGTTCTCAAGGTCTAATTGGGATTTCCAGCCATTCAAGGTATGTCTTAAACCTTTGTTGAGTGATGCATCCCCATTCACGAATGAGTGATGTGGCAATAACATCCCACATATTGAAGAGAGCTATTTTTTTCTTCATTGTATTCTATATTCAGTAGTTGAATCAGATTTTTTTCCAAAGTAAAGTGTTGTCACAAGTTTTGTGTGTGTTTAATTTATTCTCAGTTGAAATTTTATAGGAGAGAAAATTTATAATGGTAAATTTTGATTGACTAATTGATGTTCTTGTTTCTTTTTCAAGAGCCCCATGTGGATGAGATCAGCTGATTGTATTTTTTAGGTCATGGTGCACTATTATCAATCCATGCAAACCCATCTTCAGTTTTATTTTTATTTATTTATTTTTTAGTGGAGACAAGGTTTTGCCATGTTGCCCAGGTTGGTCTTGAACTCCTGAACTCAAACAATCCACCTGCCTCAGCCTCTCAAAGTGCTGGGATTACAAGAGTGAGCTAATGTGCCCAGTTTTTTTTAAATGATTAATTTTATCCTTCAGTCCTGATCCTCAGATGCATTCATTCTTGCCCACTAGCCTCCAGTACATTGCATTTACTTAGATATTTGTGTATGCTTGTAAAAATTTAGTGTGTGTGTGTTTTAATGTGCATGATTAGATATTATCTATGATTATAATGCTGCATAAGTTTCATTATGTTTCACTCAAAATTATTACTGAGCTCCATCCATGTTGCTATCTTCTACTTCTGACTGCTGCATCTTTTTTTTAACTGTACACATATACCACATTTTACTTTTTTATTCTAAATTCATGGATGCTTGACTAACTTTCTACTCTTCCTCCTGCAACCAATGCTGCAGTAAACATTCGTATACATGGACCTATGTATTTATTTCACAGAATGACCAAAATGAAAGCTCTCTCTATTTCTACTTAATTTCAAGTTCAGATTGCCCCATTTTAAAAATGTTAACTGCTTGGATTACATTCATTTTTCCAATTATTTGTTGATTGGACTATCCTTTTTAGTACATTGGAATTTTAGTTTGCAGCCTCAAATGGAATTATATTTTTTTCTTTCTCTCTGCGTTCACACTTTCCTACCTAGCAATTTTTGGGTTACCTCCAGGTTTTATACTGAACTTTCTGTCTCACTCTGATAATCAGTATCACTGAGCTTGTGGGCACAGGACTTAGGTCCTGGTTAGGAAGCTGTTTTTGCTTATTTCTGTCTCTTGAGTGTGCAGACATCCTCAGGTAGCAGTCTCAGCTTTTATTATTTCAGCTTCCTTTCAGAGAAAGCGCAGCCAACTCCATTCCTGGTGTTAAGCAGTGAGCCTGGCTTAGATTCCTCTGTTAGAGTACTTTGGGTCCACATTAATAATCATACTGGTCCTTACTGGCTGTATAATTAGCCTTGTTACACAGCATCTGGGTCAGAAGCTCATAGTTATGAATTTTTAAACCTTTTCTTTCATCTGACTTGTTTATACTTGAAGACTTGACATATCATTAAAAGTATACTCCTATTGCTGGTTTTTGAAGCTTTGCTTCTTCCTTCAAGTTTCTTTAACAGTTGAATTTTTTTTTAGACACTCTTTGTTCAAATGACATGGGGTTCAGAACTAGGTTGAAAGGTCCTGAAAATATGTCTGTTTAATTTACGTGCCTTGCTGGTGCAAAAACATGATCTTTGCTCTTTCCACAAGTCTCCAGGGAATCACAGGCCATCTTCCAGGCACTTTGGTATCAAATCTGCCCAGTGCTTTAGTCTGACAAGATGGAGCTTGAAGTGCTAATTAAATGATGTTTTGAATTGGAGAGATAGAAATGTCCGTGTGTCTTAATTTTTAAATTGTGGAGTCAGACATAGTTCTCTGAGTAACGTTATCCACCACAACATTTTGAATGTGATTACAATAAATACCCCAATAAACAAGATGTCTCAGGAGCTCCCTCGCTGATGCTTCAGGAAGTGAGCAAGTTATTCAGGAAGTGAGCAAGTTCCTCCTCCACTGAAGAGGACCCAATACACGGGGGGCTGTTTTCACATCTTTCCAGAACAACACTTTTATTGTTTGATTACAAATATTTACTTTCTCCTTCTTTTTATCCTAGGATTTAAGCTGTCTGTATCTCAGTTTTTGGAATTATTTTTGGAAGCAGGGGGTGGGGTGGATGCTCCAGGAATAATATTTGAAAATAGTCCTTTGAATTTAAACCCCTTTGAGTATTTTTAAAGACTTAAAAGTTCAGGATTAGTATTAATTCCAGCATATGCTAGTGTATTTTTTAAAAAGTTTCCTGATGATAACTCAATTTTAAGTGCATAATTTGATGAGTTTTTCTCCTGGTTATGGGTCAGATTTTCCTGATTTTTGCATGCTTGGTTATTTGAGATCATATACTGAATATTGTGAATTTTACATTGTTAATGCTGATTTTGTTGTGTTATTTTAAATACTGTTGAACTTTGTTCTAGGACACAGTTAAATCACTTGAAATTAGTGTGGTCTTTCCAAAGCTTCTTTTTAAGCTTTGTTAGTATAGGTCTGATCAGCTCTTAGTCAAGGGCTAATTTGGTCTTATTATTAAAATCATATCTTTTGGAGGATTCTACCCGATGCCCTATGTATTAGGAGGCATTTCCACTCAGACTGATGGGAACATAAGCTATTCCCAGTTCTATGTGAACTCTAGAGATTGTTTCGCCTATTTCTTCCAGGTCGTTTATTCCCTAGGCCTTCGGTACTTTCTTCTTATACATGAGAAGAATAGTACTCAGACGAAGTCTTCAGGGAGTCTCCTGCAGAACTCTGCAGATAACTTTTATGCAGTTTCTTCTCTTACTTTGTTTTGTCCCACAGTTCCTGGATATCTTTGCCTACTTGATCTTACATTTCTCTCTCCTCAATTCAGGCAATTTGCTGGGCTCTGTTTGGATTACCTCTCTCTGTGCTGTGGGCTGGAATTCTCTCTGGGTAGTAAGCTATGATATTTGTAATACTAATCTCATTTGTTTTCCTTATATTCAGGATCACTGCCCTTTACTGCTTGTTTCCTAATGTTTTAAAACTGTGGTTTCCTGTTTTATCTGGTTTTCTAGTTTATATAAGGCATTATTTTAAGAATCAATCCAGTTATTACTCCATTATAGACTGAAGTGAAAGTTGGTGACTGAAATTTCCCTGGGGATAAAACTGGGCACTTGGGATAATTCAAGACAACTGGTCATTCTTCTGAGAGTTGCTTCTGATGGGAGCTTAGGCTCTATAAAATGTGTCCCATTTGGAATTTTTATTGAAAAATATAAAACTTGGGGAAACAACTTAGGATATTCAATTTATATCTTAAAGTTTACAGATAGCATTTCGAGTTAATGTTTTCAAGCTCAAAGAAAATAAAACACTTAGGAGTACAGCATAGAGAATACATTCAATTAGTGAAAAAGGCTAGAAAGATTTGAAGAATTTTACGGTTTTATTAAGCACAATCTTTTGGTGACATATACTTACATGGAAGAATTATAAAAACATAGGAAGCAAAGAAGTCTACATAATATTAGGTGTTTATCATGATGACTTTAATCTGCATTTAGTTATACAGTGATACATTTATTTTTATTCATGTATGTCACTAGCCTTATCTTTTAGTCAAATTCAAGAACAATAAAATTAAAATAGTGTATGATAGTGTTAAACCTGCTTTCGCTGCTTAATTTTAGAGCATCAAGACAGATTGTATTACTTTTTTTTATAGTGACTTCTGTTTCTCTCTTTATTTTCAAGAAAGATTTCTTAGAAGCTACCATAATTGGAGAAGTCATAGTTAAAATACAATTTAATTTATTTTTGATGTGCTTGCTATGTTCATAGCACTGTTTATAGCACTGCTACAAAGATTGAAAAAGAAGAAGAAACAACAGTTTCTGCTGTATAAAATTTTGTGTGCTATACGCACAAACAAGATTTATGTGCATGAAACAGCTTCAAGACAAAAGAGTGCGCCTGATGCAGCACCAAATGAAATAAAACTGATGACAAATGTAGTATGTGAGAGTTGGGTTAATCAGAAAAGTGTTCATAAAAAAGGTGAGGTGTCAGCTGACTCTTAAACCGATATATTAATATTCTTGTGGATGGATGGATCAGTGGGAGGACCTTCTGAACGAGACATAATAAGTAAAGTCTTATATGATGGAAAAATCACGTAGAGAATAACTACAGGAGAGACATATAGGTATCATTGCAGGGAAGGACAGACTTTAGTGCTTGGTAACAACTTTAGATATTTGATCTGGAAAGCAATGGAAGTCACTGAAGTTTCTTAAGCTGGGATGAATGTGTTTACTATAGAAAGATTATTCTTTGCCTGTAATCCCAGCAGTTTGGGAGGCCAAGGCAGGTGGATTGCTTGAGTTCAGGAGTTGGAGACCAGCCTGACCAACATGGTGAAGCCCTGCCTCTACTAAAAATACAAAAATTAGCTGGATATGGTGGTGTGTGCCTGTAATCCCAGCTACTCAGGAGGCTGAGGCAGGAGAATCACTTGAACCCAGGAGGTGGAGGTTGCAGTGAGCCGAGATTGTGCCATGGCACTCCGGCCTTGGGTGACAGAGCAGAACTTTTTCTCAAAAAAAAAAAGAGAAAAAGAAATATTATTCTTAAAAGCAAGGGCAGGATTTCTATTTCCATCCCTGATTTCTGGTTTGATTTCCAGACCATGTATACAAGATAATTTGAACTTATTATTGATTTCCCTTAAACACAGTCCTCTTTTAGACTTTCTATCACAGTGAATAGAAAGAAGAAACCTAGTAATCATTCTTGAGAGCTACATCTCTCTTTCTTTTACTCCCCATGTAGAATACATCACCAAAATTTTATTAACTTTTCCACCTGGTAAAGCTCTTGACGCCATCATGTTTCTCCGTATTCACTAACCATGTCACCACCATAGTCATCTTTTCTTACCTGACTTTCCTAAGTGGCCCCCATGCATTCACCCGAGTCTCCCTCAAACAGGTGTCCAATTCCCCATTTAGAGTTATTTCTTTGAACTGCAAAATGTCTTTTCATTCCCTATTTAAAGTCCTTCCATGACTCCTCACAGCTTTTAAGACAAAGAGCACATCCTCACCCTGACTTATGAGTGCCCTCAAAGGCTGGCTCCTGTGTACTTCTCCAGTCTCATCTCTGCACTGAAGCCACACTGACCTCCTTGTTCCACAGGCATGCTAGGACCCCTCCTATCATGGGGCCTTTTTACATGCTATCTTCTCTATCCTTGTTGCTCTTTCTTCTACCATGGTGGATTAAACATGTCCACAAATTCCTTGACACTCCTCCCTTTGGGAGATGGGGTCTATTCTTGTTCTGTTGCTTCTGGGCTCAACTACAATTTCTTTGACAAATTAAGTAGGGTAGAAATGACATTGTGCCAGCTTTGGACCTAACTTTTTGGACTGGGAGTTTCTACCTTGGTCTCTTAGAACCTTGAGCTGTTACTGAAGAAGAATATCTGTCTGGAAAAATAATGTGGCAAGACTACATGAAAAGAGAGAAGGGGCCTTGTTAAGTCCAGTTTTCCAGACATCCCTGCCAGAAGCCAGCTGTATTTGTGGTGCCACCTTGGACCCTCCAGACTAATTAAGCTGCCAGCTGAGTACTGTGAAATAACCCCACTTGATGCCACATGGAGTGGAAACTTGTTCAGTCAAAATATGACCCCCCCCAAATTGTGATACATATAATAAAAGTTACTTGAAGCCACTAAGCTTTATTTTCAGCTGATAGGTAATGGAAATAGTCACCTTTCCCCTGCAACCTTGATAACCCCTATTTTCATATTACTTCTTTAAATGTCAGCTAAACATGTCTTCCTCAAGGAAACCAATTTTCCCTATTGTATGCTCTCATGGGACCATGCTCCTCTCCTGTGTACCACTTGTTATAGCGATTTTACAGAGTTTTGTGATAATCTGATTAATAACCAACTCTATGATGAGGGCAGGGCTGTGTCCTTTTTACCATTCACCATTGCATTGATATGGGAAGAGGGCAGGGAAGTGCTGGGTAGAGAAAGGCGGGTCCCTGGCTAGGGCTTCATCCCCAGGACTGTGCCCACGGACGTAGATGAAGAAAGACACTTCTGCCTTCGTGCCCAAGTGTTGCATTTTCCAAGACCACCCTGGCCCACCACGCCCCCATCTTGTGCCTATAAAAACCCTCACACCCTAGTAGGCAGAGACACAAGCAGCTGGACGTCAAGAGGAACACATCAGTTGAGCACACTGACAAGTACCGGCAGATGCCGACACGATGGCAGGCCATCGACCAGCGGAATGACGTGGAGTTTGGCCAGGGCAGTCGGAGGGGAGCCCAGCCACTGGGTGGCCTGACTCCAGGGAAAAAACCACCTTCCCACTTCATCTCCCTTCTGGCTCCCCCATCTGCTGAGAGCTACTTCAGTCAGTAAAACTCAATAAAACCTTGCGCTCATTCTCCAAGCCCACATGTGATCCAATTTTTCCAGTACATCTAGGCAAGAACCCAGGATACAGAAAACCCTCTGTTGTAATAAGGCAGAGGGTCTAATTGAGCTGGTTAACACAAGCCACCTATAGATGGTAAAACTAAAAGAGCACACGATAACACATGCCCACTGGGGCTTCAAGAGCTGTAAACATACACCCCTAGATGCTGCCATGGGGTTGGAGCCCCACAACCTGCCTGTCTGTGTGTTCCCCTAGAAGTTTGAACAGCGGGGCACTGAAAGAAGTGAGCCACTCTCCCTGTCACACGCCCTGTGATGGGACAAGGAAACCTTTCCCATTCCAGTATGCCCAACACCTATCTATGAGCTTGGCGTAGAGTTTTGTTCAATAATCTTGTTGAATCAATGAATTGATGAATGAATCTAAGATGATGGAGTGGTGAGGAGCGGTTCAAAGCATGTAAATTCACAGCATTTTGTGATAAAACAGGAAGTATACGGCAGTTATAGTTTTCACTTTCCTTTGAGGGGATGGATACTGAAAATCAGTTGATACCTTAGTATTCTCATCAATCAAGTGGGACAAAAATTTCTCCACCAAATGCAGTCTTTAGTTTTAAATATTGAAGGTTATTTTGCAGCTACACAGAAAAAAATGCATCCTCTTAAAATTATTGGGTTTAGATGACAGGTTGATACGTGCAGCAAACCATCATGGCACATGCATACCTATGTAACAAACCTGCACATTCTGCACATGTATCCCAGAACTTAAAATAAAAAAAAATTATTAGGTTTACAACCGAATTGACTTATTGGGCAATTTGGTCAAATTGTTAGTTGTCAGTTGATTTGTTCTACTTCTGAAAAATATAAGCCAAACTGGTTGTCTGGTTGAATAACATTTTTAAAACGGTATAAAATAGCACATATCTTTACCACATTTACATTTTATATTAGAGAAAATGCATTCTGGATCATGAGGGGAAGTGGGAAATTGGCATCTGAAATGTTTCCTTGGAAATTTTGAGATTTATAAGGAAATAAAAGTCATATGAGTACATTTTTTGGCAATTCATATAATATTTATGGATGGAATGACTCCAAACAACTATGTCTGGCACATTTTAAGTTTCCTTCTAATCACAAAACAACTGAATTCATCAATGAATATTTTAAAAGGTATCTATACTATGTTCTAGAACATGTTAGGCACAGTATGGAAGTCCCTTTCTGCCACAGATTGGCTCAACTGTAGATGCAGAAGAATTTCCCCTGCAGGCTCAGTGCCAGCTTTCACCTCTCACAGCCTAATGCACAAGGGCAGAAACCCCATTTATTCAGCAACCTGATCCCAAAACCTAGCATAATGTGAGGCTTATTATTTATGACTTTAGTTCCTCATTTCAAATGATTCACAACACAAAAAGCAAAGCCAGTCAAGAAGTCTGAACAGAGATGTGTCATGATGAAAGCTGTGTTTTGTCTTGGAATAGAAGGCGGGAAGGTTGTCAGGAAGAGCTCTGTGAAGGAAGTAATCTCAGAGCTGACTGAGGTGCCAGTTTACTAACCTTATCAACAGAGGGAGAGCTGAGAAATATAACCTACAGAAGTGTTGTTGATTTGTGAGCTGTACATTCTCAGATAATTTCTTTTTAATTGTGTCAGATAAAAATAAAATCTTACAGGCTAAAGCTTTGTTTCTGTTTTTTAACAGTGCTATATATGCACACTTGATATAGTATGAATATATGTTGGTTCTCTTGCTGAAAGTTAGTGTTAATTAGTGTTATCCTTGCATCTTATTTATGAAGAAATCAGTTTTTTGGGCCTCTTTTCCCCATAAGCCACCTGATGTTAAACAAAATAAGAGACTACAGACAACTTCAATATTAGCTTACAGGTAAATGCAAATTTTTGTTTTGGTATGTTTCCATACAACGTTGAACAGACCACTTATTAGTAGTGTAGTCTTGGTTCACTGTAATGAACCAAAATGCTCTTCAGTTCTGTTTTATCCTTCATTCATTTATGGACTTTTGAATTGACATATGAATCTATCAGGATTCTGTATACCTTCATAATAGAGAACTGCCAACACAAAAACCCGGTATACCCATGTGCTGCAGACTAGCCCTTCGTGGAGTAGCAGAGCTATTCTAGAAATCGTTATAACCTTGTGCTGAACAAGTCTGTGATATATGGACTATCTACTGAGCTGTAAGCATAGGCAATGAAACATCCATGCCATCTATAAACAAAGAATAAACTTAAGGTAGGCAATATTTTTTAGTGAGAGATATATTTTACTCAAAATTTTCTCTTGTGGTGTTTACTTAGCTTGTTGTGTGTAAATAACAATATTTTATAAAAGGGTTCTCAAATTCTGTTTTCCCACCAGCAGCATCAGCGTCACCTGGGAACATGCTAGAAATCCAGTTATCTGGCCTTATCCCAGGCCCACTGAATAGCAAACTCTGGAGCTGGGCCCACCTATCTCTTTTAACAAGCCCTCCATGTCATTCTGATGACTATTTAAGTTAGAAAATTATTGGTCTATAGAGTTTGGTGGTATAGCAAATTTAGCAGAAAAAAAATTTCGAAATATCAGCCCTAAAAAACCTATCTAGATTAATATGTCTGAATTTTTGTCTGTAGACATTTTATTGTCACTATTTTTATAGTATAACTCACCTTAATATCCATGTCCTTAAGAATGTTGTCCCAGCAATCCATCAGCTTATTTGCCTTATGAAAAATGATGTCTCTTTCACAAGAGCTAAGCAATAAACACAGCCCATTTTGTAATTTAAACTGTGGTTGTTTAAATGGAATCTAACTCAGTACTTCAAATTCCCCAATTATTGGACGTAGAACCAAACAGTGTCAGTGAATTTCCAAATGTCCAGCTGAACAATTCATTAGCTGATCTGAGTCTCTTCCAGGTTCTGCAGTGCTTTGTACTGACCTGATGTTCCTAGTACTGAGTTGTAGCAATCCACCTGGGCTGGCCTTCATTAAAGTATCCAGTAAACCAAATTTACTATCCTTTCTTCCTCAATAACATCTTGTGACAAATCTCTGCTAGTCGAAGGAAAAATGCTATAGGACCAAATTAATTCCTGCTAATTGTCCATTGGAAGTAGATACTTTTATACCACTTTCTAACTGAAAGCATTAGAAACATTATGCGAAGGCAGAAGAGGGAATTTCTTTATTATTATTATTATACTTTAAATTCTTGGGTACATGTGCACAGCGCACAGGTTTGTTACATATGTATACATGTGCCATGTTGGTGTGCTGCACCGATTAACTCGTCATTTACATTAGGTATATCTCCTAATGCTATCCCTCCCTCCTCCCCCCTCCCCATAACAGGCCCCAGTGTGTGATGTTCCACTTCTTGTGTCCAAGCGTTCTCATTGTTGAATTCCCACCTATGAGTGAGAACATGCGGTGTTTGGTTTTTTTGTCCTTGCAATAGTTTGCTGAGAATGATGGTTTCCAGCTTCATCCATGTCCCTACAAAGGACATGAACTCATCATTTTTTATGGCTGCATAGTATTCCATGGTGTATATGTACCATATTTTCTTAATCCAGTCTATCATTGTTGGACATTTGGGTTGGTTCCAAGTCTTTCCTATTGTGAATAGTGCCACAGTAAACATATGTGTGCATGTGTCTTTATAGCAGCATGATTTATAATCCTTTGGGTATATACCCAGTAATGGGATGGCTGGGTCAAATGATATTTCTAGTTCTAAATTCTTGAGGAATCGCCTCACTGTCTTCCACAATGGTTGAACTAGTTTACAGTCCCACCAACAGTGTAAAAGTGTTCCTATTTCTCCACATCCTCTCCAGCACCTGTTGTTTCCTGACTTTTTAATGATCGCCATTCTAACTGGTGTGAGATGGTATCTCATTGTGGTTTTGATTTGCATTTCTCTGATGGCCAGTGATGATGAGCATTTTTTCATGTGTCTGTTGGCTGCATAAATGTCTTCTTTTGAGAAGTGTCTGTTCATATCCTTTGCCCACTTTTTGATGGGGTTGTTTGTTTTTTTCTTGTAAATTTGTTTGAGTTCATTGTAGATTCTGGATATTAGCCCTTTGTCAGATGGGTAGATTGCAAAAATTTTCTCCCATTCTGTAGGTTGTCTGTTCACTCTGAAGGTAGTTTCTTTTGCTATGCAGAAGCTCTTTAGTTTAATTAGATCCCACTTGTCAATTCTGGCTTTTGTTGCCATTGCTTTTGGTGTTTTAGACATGAAGTCCTTGCCCATGCCTATGTCCTGAATGGTATTGCCTAGGTTTTCTTCTAGGACTTTTATGGTTTTAGGTCTAACATTTAAGTCTTTAATCTATCTTGCATTAATTTATGTATAAGGTGTAAGGAAGGGATCCAGTTTCAGCTTTCTCCATATGGCTAGCCAGTTTTCCCAGCAGCATTTATTAAATAGGGAATCCTTTCCCCATGTCTTGTTTTTCTCAGGTTTGTCAAAGATCAGATGGTTGTAGATGTGTGGTATTATTTCTGAGGGCTCTGTTCTGTTCAGTTGGTCTATATCTCTGTTTTGGCTCTAGTACTGTGCTATTTTGGTTGCTGTAGCCTTGTAGTATAGTTTGAAGTCAGGTAGCATGATGCCTCCAGCTTTCTTCTTTTGGCTTAGGATTGTCTTGGCAATGCGGGCCCTTTTTTGGTTCCATATGAACTTTAAAGTAGTTTTTTCCAATTCTGTGGAGAAAGTCATTGGTAGCTTGATGGGGATGGCATTGAATCTGTAAATTACCTTAGGCAGTATGGCCATTTTCATGATATTGATTCTTCCTGTCCATGAGCATGGAATGTTCTTCCATTTGTTTGTATCCTCTTTTATTTCATTGAGCAGTGGTTTGTAGTTCTCCTTGAAGAGGTCCTTCACATCCCTTGTAAGTTGGATTCCTAGGTATTTTATTCTCTTTGAAGCCATTGTGAATGGGAGTTCACTCATGATTTGGCTCTCTGTTTGTCTGTTATTGGTGTATATGAATGCTTGTGATTTTTGCACATTGATTTTGTATCCTGAGACTTTGCTGAAGTTGTTTATCAGCTTAAGGAGATTTTAGGCTGAGATGATGGGGTTTTCTATATATATAATCATGTCATCTGCAAACAGGGACAATTTGACTTCCTCTTTTCCTAACTGAATACCGTTTATTTCCTTCTTCTGCCTGATTGCCCTGGCCAGAACTTCCAACACTATGTTGAATAGGAGTTGTGAGAGAGGGTATCCCTGTCTTATGCCATTTCTCAAAGGGAATGCTTCCAGTTTTTGCCCATTCAGTATGATATTGGCTGTGGGTTTGTCATAAATAGCTCTTATTGTTTTGATATACATCCAATCAATACCTAATTTATTGAGAGTTTTTAGCATGAAGGGCTGTTGAATTTTGTCAGAGGCCTTTTCTGCATCTATTGAGATAATCATGTGGTTTTTGTCTTTGGTTCTGTTTATATGCTGGATTATGTTTATTGATTTGCATACGTTGAACCAGCCTTGCATCCCAGGGATTAAGCCCACTTGATCATGCTGGATAAGCTTTTTGATATGCTGCTGGATTCAGTTTGCCAGTATTTTATTGAGGATTTTCACATCGATGTTCATCTGGGATATTGGTCTAAAATTCTCTTTTTTTGTTGTGTCTCTGTCAGGCTTTGGTATCAGGATGATGCTGGCCTCATAAAATGAGTTAGGGAGGATTCCCTGTTTTTCTGTTGATTGGAATAGTTTCAGAAGGAATGGTACCAGCTCCTCCTTGTACCTCTGGTAGAATTCAGCTGTGAATCCATCTGGTCCTGGACTTTTTTTGGTTGGCAAGCTATTAATTATTGCCTCAATTTCAGAGCCTGTTAGTGGTCTAGTCAGGGATTCAACTTCTTCCTGGTTTAGTCTTGGAAGGGTGTATGTGTTGAGGAATTTATCCATTTCTTCTAGTTTTTCTAGTTTATTTGTGTAGGGGTGTTTATAGTATTCTCTGACAGTAGTTTGTATTTCTGTGGGATCGGTGGTGATATCCCCTTTATCATTTTTTATTGTGTCCATTAGATTCTTCTCTCTTTTCTTCTTTATTAGTCTTGCTAGCGGTCTATCAATTTTGTTGATCTTTTCAAAAAACCAGCCCCTGGATTCATTGATTTTTTGAAGGGTTTTTGTGTCGCTATCTCCTTCAGTTCTGCTCTGATCTTAGTTATTTCTTGCCTTCTGCTAGCTTTTGAATATGTTTGCTCTTGCTTCTCCAGTTCTTTTAATTGTGATTTTAGGGCGTCAATTTTAGATCTTTCCTGCTTTCTCTTGTGGGCATTTAGTGCTATAAATTTCCGTCTACACACTGCTTTGAATGTGTCCCAGAGATTCTGGTATGTTGTGTCTTTGTTCTCGTTGTTTTCAAAGAACATCTTTATTTCTGCCTTCATTTCGTTATGTACCCAGTAGTCATTCAGGAGTAGGTTGTTCAGTTTCCATGTAGTTGAGCAGTTTGGAGTGAGTTTCTCAATCCTGAGTTCTAGTTTGATTGCACTGTAGTCTGAGAGACAGTTTGTTGTAATTTCTTTTCTTTTACATTTGCTGAGGAGTGCTTTACTTCCAACTATGTGGTCAATTTTGGAATAAGTGTGACATGGTGCTGAGAAGAATGTATATTCTGTTGATTTGGGGTGGAGAGTCCTGTAAATGTCTACTAGGTCTGCTTGGTGCAAAGCTGAGTTCAATTCCTGGATATCTTCGTTAACTTTCTGTCTCGTTGATCTGACTAATGTTGACAGTGGGGTGTTAAAGTCTCCCATTATTATTGTGTGGGAGTCTAAGTCTCTTTGTAGGTCTCTAAGGACTTGCTTTATGAATCTGAGTGCTCCTGTATTGGGTACATGTATATTTAGAATAGTTAGCTCTTCTTGTTGAATTGATCCCTTTACCATTGTGTAATGGCCTTCTTTGTTTCTTTTGATCTTTGTTGGTTTAAAGTCTGTTTTATCAGAGACTAGGATTGCAACCTCTGCCTTTTTTTGTTTTCCATTTGCTTGGTAGATCTTCCGTCATCCCTTTATTTTGAGCCTATGTGTGTCTCTGCATGTGAGATGGGTCTCCTGAATACTGCACACTGATGGGTCTTGACTCTTTATCCAATTCGCCAGTCTGTGTCTTTAATTGGAGCATTTACCCCATTTACATTTAAGGTTGATATTGTTATTTGTGAATTTGATCCTGTCATTGTGATGTTAGCTGGTAATTTTGCTTGTTAGTTGATGCAGTTTCTTCCTAGCATCGATGGTCTTTACAATTTGGCATTTTTTTGCAGTGGCTGGTACTGGTTGTTCCTTTCCATGCTTAGTGCTTCTTTCAGGAGCTCTTGTAGGGCAGGCCTGGTGGTGACATAATCTCTCAGCATTTGCTTGTCTGTAAAGGATTTTATTTCTCCTTCACTTATGAAGCTTAGTTTGGCTGGATATTAAATTCTGTGTTGAAAATTCTTTTCTTTAAGAATGTTGAATATTGGCCCCCACTCAGAAGAGGGAATTTCAAGCACTGTGAGGGAGACATTTTGAGTTGTTCAGAACATTTCTGACCTTTAAAAAATAATATGCATAGCTGGCCAGTGTATTTTTCTACTTTCTTGGCATCATATAGTTTAGTTCTGGGCCAAGTGTTGACAGGTCAGCAATGGCCTCCTTCTCTGAGAACTTTCTTTGACCTGTGTGTAGAGCTCACTCTTGTGAAGGAGCATACCAATTGTTAGGACAAAATGAGCAACTAAACTGCTCATATAGTTTTAAAAAATTGGCCAGGAGTGGTTGCTCATGCGTGTAATCCCAGCACTTTGGGAGGCCAAGGTGGGCGGATCACCTGAGGTCAGGAGTTCGAGACCAGCCTCGCCAACATGTTGAAACCCTGTCTCTACTAAAAATACAAAGATTAGCCAGGCTTGGTGACAGGCACCTGTAATCCCAGCTATTCAGGAGGCTGAGGCAGAAGAATCACCTGAACCCTGGAGACAGAGGTTGCAGTGAGCTGAGATGGCACCACTGCACTCCAGCCTGGGGGACAAGAGCGAGAGTTCATCTCAAAGAACAAACAAACAAACAAACAAACAAAACTTGGTAAAAAATACACAATGTTAAACTTATCTTAATCATTTTTAAGTTCACTAGTGTTAAGTTTATGTACATTTTTGTAAAAAGATCTCAGAACTTTTCATCTTTCCGATCTGAAACACTGTACCAATTAAGCAACAACTCCCTTAGCCCACCCCCTCCTAGCTCCTGGTGACTACCTTTCTACTTTCTGTTTCTATGAATTTTCCTACTTTAAGTGCCTCATATAAGTGGAATCATGTAGTATTTATCTTTTTTTGTGACTGACTTATTTCACTTAATATAATGTCCTCAAGCTTCATTGATGTTGCATCATATGTTTGTATTTTCTTCCTTTATAAGGCAGAATAATATTCCATTGCATGTAGCATATACTATATTTTATGTATCCATTCATTTGTTGATAGATATTTGGGTTTTGTCTACCTTTGACTGTTGTGAATAGTGCTGCTATGAACATGGTAGTGCAAATATCTCTTGAAGATCCTGCAATTCTTTTTTTTGAAAAAAATTATTTGGAATGTGTAGTAAAAGTCAGATTGCTGGACCATATGCTAATTCTATTTTTAACTTTTAGAAGAATGTGCATAGTGTTTTCCATAGTGGTTTTACCATGTTACAATCCCACCAACACTTACCATTTTCTGGGTGATTTTTTTTTTTTTTAGAGTAGCTGTCCTAATGGGTGTAGGGTGATATCTGATTACAGTTTTAATTTAAATTCTCTGATGATTAGTGAAGTTAAGCATCTTTTCATATGCTTGTCAGCCATTTTTATATCATTTTTGGAGAAATGTCCTTTGCCTATTTTTTAGACAGGATATTAGATTTTTCGTTTTTGAGTTATAAGAATTCTTCATATATTCTGGCTATTAATCCATTATCACATGTGATTTGCAAATATGTTCTCCTAATCCACAGGTTATCTTTTCCCTCTGATTGTGTCCTTTGATGCACAAAAGTTTTAAAATCTGATGTAGTTCCATTTGTCTATTTTTGCCTTTGTTGTCTGTGCTTTTGTTGTCATATCCAAAAGATCATTCCAAGTCAATGTTATGGAGCTTTCTCCTGTGTTCTCTTTTAAACTGCTCATGTAGTTTTAACTTAAGGAACTAAATTGTCACTTACAGTAACATTTTTTGGGTATGAGTGTAATTATAACCACAAATAGTGATACAATACTGTGGATAAAATAAGAGAAGAAATTTATTTGAAACAGTGGTCTAAAGAAAGACAGTTCTAAAATTTGCCCATTGTTGAGAGATGTTGTAACATGAATAAACTATTTCAGGTTTTTCTTTATAATAAATACATCATCCCTTTTCAAAATATTTTTAAAAATGTATTTAAAAATCTTTTAAAATTAGATTTAAAAGGTATTTTTTGAAGTGTTATGTTTGCAGCATGGAAGGTGAACAGACTTTATTTTTAATTAAGTTATAAAACATCTCTTCTTTATAAAATGCCTGGATTTGAGACTTTTTCTATTGCATTCTGGCCAAGTTAACAATCACTAAAATTTCATATTTGGATTATGGCGCAATTGCAAAGATACAATCAGTGATCTCAGAACTAGCAATTTCCTGGGGAAAAGGATTGAATATTTGGCAAAGAAGAGATGACATTTCAAAGTTTAACATTCATCTGTAATTCTGGAAAAAAAAAACAATAAACCACCGATTGAAGAGATTCACATTTAACAAATATGGCTTTATATTCATTCTTTTTTGAGGCAAGATGTAGGTACTAAGTCCCAAAGAATTGCCTTAAGACAAGCTATTTTCAGAATAAAATGAAACATAAGTAATTTAATTCTGAAGATATGATGGGATGAAACTGCAGTGATTTTCTAAAATGAGCTCTCTTGAATTCTGTGAAATTTGCCTAAAATAAATGAATAAGCGTTTTCTATCCCCAAAACACAGATATTGAAGTGACTCCTATATATTACCCCAAAATGATGTCTCTTCATAAAATTAACAGCATTGCAAAAAGGAAGTTTGGGAGAATGATTTAAGCCTCATTGACAATGAACAATGGGCATCTGGAAGAACATTTAGTAATTTTAATAACATGAAAGTGAATAACTTCCAGCAAGTTTTAAATACATATTTAAGCCTCTTCTCTTATTTTTCTGGGGGGACGGAAGTTGAGTTTTTTCATAATTCAGTGGTGTTAGGAGAAGGGCTGGATAGATATTGATCACCTGATTCACAAGGCAGTATCAAATAAAAGTCTGACAAGGACAAAGGAGATGATGAAAGTTACCTGTGATTTTCTGAATGATACGAGAAAAGTAAATATATTCTGTAAGTTGCTTCAACAATAATCTGAATGCCTATTTTGTACCAGGCACTATTCTAGGTATTGGGGATTCATCAGTGAAAAAAACAAGCGCACCTCTTCATAGAATGCAAAGGGAGGAGAGAGGGATAGAGGGAGGGAGGGAGGGAGAGACAGAGAGGAAAAGAGAGAGGGAGAGGAGAAGAAGGAGGAGGAGGAGGGAATCAGTCATTTGACATAAATATAATAAGTACTATGATTTTTTAAAAAAGCAATATAAGGGGACTGCTATCTTAGGGTGGTAACAGAAGGACTCTCTAAAGAAGTGACATTTGAACAGAGGCTTGATTGAAATGAGGCAGCAAGACCTGTGATATCTGGAGGAAAGGAGTTCTAGACAAAGGGAACAGAGAAAGTGGTGGCCTTGAGGTCTGTGGTAGGAGTCTGCTTTGAGGAATAGCAAGGTCAGTGTGGTTGGAGTAGAGGGAGCCAGGGAAAGAGCAGGATTGAGAGCAGAGAGCTAAGCACAGGCAGGATTACTCAGGCCTTGTAGATTGTGGATTTTATTTTAAGATTGTTGGGAAGGCCCTGGATGTTTTGAGCAGAGACGTGATATGATTAAGTTTGCATTTTAAAAGCATCGCTCTTATTGCCTTGTGGAGAATAGATTGTAGAGGTGTAGAAGTGGATGTTTCTGAAGATTTATTTCTGCTTTTATTTAAGTAAATAAAAAATTAAACAATTTGTATCATTTTATAGTAATATGTTAAAATTTGGGAGAGGGAAGATATTTCTAGGAATTTTACTACATAATGTTGGACAACTTCTCATGCATGCACTTGGCATCTGTATGTCCTCTTTGATGAGTTGTCTGTTCAAATCTTTTGCCATTTATTAGCTGGGTTGTTTTCTTCAGTAGAGTTTTGAGAATTCTTTATATATTCTAAATTAGAGTTCTTTACCAGATATGTCATTCATTTGTAAATATTTATTTCAAGTCTTTAGCTTGTTTTTTAATTCTCTTAACAGTATCGTTTTCAAAGCAAAAGTTTTAAATTTTTAATGAAATTGACAATTCTTTTCTTTTGTGGATCATGCTTCTTCTGAAGTCATTTCTAAGAAATCTGCCTAACCACAGGTCATTACTGGTTTCTTCTGAGAGTTTTATAATTTTATGTTTTACATTTAGATCTATAATCAATTTTGAGTTAATTTTTTATAAGGTGTGAGGTTTATGTTATGGTTCATTATTTTTGCATATAGATGTTCAATTGTTTCAGTATCATTTGTTGAAAACACTCATTAATTTTGTGCTTTTGTTAAAAATCAGTGGCCATATTTGTGAGTTACTTTGATAAATGTATTTTACCTTTTTTTCTGGCCTGAACATTCTCTAGAATAAATTGTTTGGATATAATTTTTATTTTCTACTAGGTTTTCTAGCAAATCTTTGACAAGTGATTTACAAGAAATAATACAAAATGAAGCCATATCTAATATTGAGTGTATTTCACTATGGAGGTTTAGCTACAGGGGACTGATAGGTTGAAGATCTAGATGAAAGAAATATTATGAGTGGAGGATTAAGAACAGGATTAGCTGTTTGTGCTGCTAAATCTTGCATGTTAATATCAAATTGATATGCTAGTGGCTATGGACTTACTTTTGCTCTTTTCTCATTTAAGGTGATGCCCTGATATGGTTTGGCTGTGTCCCCACCCAAATCTCATCTTGAATTCTCACATGTTGTGGGAGGGACCCAGTGGGAGGTATTTGAATCATGAGGGTTGGTCTTTTCTGTGCTGTTGTCATGATAGTGAATAAGTCTCATGAGATCTGATGGCTTTATGTGGTGGAGTTTCCCTGCGTAAGCTCTCTCTTTGCCTGCTGCCATCCATGTAAGAAGACTCCTCCTGGCTTTCTGCCATGATTGTGAGGCACCCCAGCCACTTGGAACTGTAAGTCCATTAAACCTCTTTCTTGTGTAAATTTCCCAGTCTCAGGTTTGTCTTTATCAGCAGTGTGAAAACAGACTAATACATGCCCAGATCAGGTCTGAATTTTGCAGCTTTCGACAGATGGTTAGGTATCTTAGAAACAGTTCCTACATAAGTGACCTAGCCCACCAGCCAGGCAAGTCAGCAAAACTAAAATCTTAGTTTCATCAAGGACTCTTGTCTCTGCCTGTTTTCAACAGCTGACATAAGACAAAAATAAAGTTTTTTGATAGATATGAAAATACTTTGGGAATTGCAATTATCTCTTTATATATAAATGGTGCCACATACTGCAAAATAATTCTGGTGATTATGGAGTGCCCTGTTCCCATGAACACAGACTGTAAACTAACCAGTCTCCTAAAGCCGTGAGGCATCATGCATACATAGCATGAGGGCATGCTCATTTCAGATCTGGCACACTAAAATATTCTTTATGATGATACCGATTTTTCTCCTAAGATTATTCTAGCATAAACAATAGGAACATGTAATTTTTTTGGGGGTGGGTATAGCCTACCATATATGCAAATATGGTCAGTGATGACAAATACAAAAGTTATTGAAGAACTGTTAGAATTACTCAGGGAGTTTAAAAGAGATCAACTTTATTGATGTATGATTTACATGTAATAAATGTCACCAAGGAAGTATTAAATAATTCCTGTGCTTAGGACTCCACCTGCAGAGATGCTGATTCAATTGTTGTGGTGTAGGGCCAGGGCCTCAGTACTTTGTAAAAACTCCCCAGGGCTTTCTAATTGGTAACCAGGTTGCAACTTACCTATATAGTTAACCTAATTATTCCCTAAAAGCACCTACCAAGGGAAATTGGCATGTTGCTAATAGGTGATGGAGTCTTAGCGAAAGTGTGTCTTTAATCTCAGGAGCTGTTACAGTGGAAATCTTCTGTCAAGTATCAGGAACAGATCTTATAATATGGCTTTGACATTTATGTCCAAAGAACATGAGGCAGATGGAAAGGTTTATTTTTCAGAGATTGTGTCCCACAGAGAATGAGGTGCCGATACCATGATTTCCTCAGCCTGATGGAGAAGGAGGACAGACAGCTGTGAGGGTAGTACAAAATGTGGAAGGACCAGTCCTCTTACCATAAACTTGCTTTCTGCTCCTCCCACTCTACGTCCAAGTGAGCAGAGGACTGGAAAGGATTCAGTAAGTGTTGAGGCTGGCTTAGTAGGAGGGAGAGACTCTTCCCTCTTCCCTGTACCTTCATGGGGAGGGTGTTTGTGGAATAAAAGCAGCCCCAGGAGTATATTTTATAAAGATTTGAGATGCTGTATTAGTCAGGGTTCTCCAGAGGGACAGAACTAATAGAATATATTCATATATGACAGGGAGTTTATGAAGGAAAATTGACTCATATGATCACAAGGTGAAGTTCCACAATAGACCATCTGCAAGCTGAGGAGCAGGGAAGCTAGTAATGCCTCAGTCAAAGCCACAAAGCCTCAAAAGCAGGAAAGCCGACAGTGCAGTGTTCAGTCTGTGGCAAAGGCCTGGGAGCCCCTGCCAAACCACAGGTATAAGTTCGAGAGTCCAAAGGCTGAAGAACCTGGAGTCTGATGTTCAAGGACAGGAAGCATCCAGAATGGGAGAAAGATGAAGACAAAAAACTCAGCAAGCCAGCTTAATCAGGGCCCTCCCACACATTCACACTCCAAGTTGCAGGGCCCCATTCTTTTCCGATCAATGCCCACACTTTAACAGTAGACACCTGGCGAGGCTGAGCATTCACCTTTTGTTGCAGGTCAGCCACTTGCACGATAAGAGTTTGTGTCTGATTTTTAGCAATTTCAGCCCTTTGTCTACAGGAGATAAGGCTCTCACTCAGGGCAGTCTTAGAAGATTTGAGGCTAAGTATGTGCTTCTGGAGCTGGGAGTTAGAATCCCTGAGCTCATCCTTTTCTTTCATCACTTTGTCCAGTGAGCGAACTTAGGAGCAACCAATTAACTTCATTATACTTCTTGGCTCTCCACATATGGTCTAAGGCATTATGTATAGAGTCACTAAACTCCTTGGTTCTCAAGAACAGTGAATGAGGAGTATCAAATTTATTTATGTTGCGTAACTCTCTAAACAATTTATGCCAAGGACTATCAGTGTTCTCCATACTCTTAGAAGTAGAGTCCTTAGCATTTTTGAGTCTAATTATGTTAAGCAGCTAACTCCAGAAACCACAAAACCAACTAAAGAAATCCATCCTTAAAATTCTGTTCCTCTGGAACCACTCCTGGTACCAAAATCTGTATCAGTCCATTTTCACACTGCTATAAATATACTACGTGAGACTGGGTAATTTATAACGACAAAAGGTTTAATTGACTCACAGTTTTGCATAGCTGGAGAGGCCTCAGGAAACTTACAATCATGGTGGAAGGTGAAGGGGAAGCAAGGCACGTCTTACATGGCAGCAGGAGAGAGAGAGAGAGAGAGAGAGAGAGAGAGGAAGTGCCCTACTTTAAAACCATCAGCTCTTGTGAGAACTCACTCATGATCATGAGAACAGTATGGGCAATACCACCCCCATCATCCAGTCGCTCTCCACCAGATCCCTCCCTTGACATGTGAGAATTACCATCCGAGATAAGATTTGGGTGGGGACCCAGTGTCAAAGCATATCAGATGTCATGAAAGAGCAGGTTGGCACCTTGTTTTCCTGTTGGGTATATGCTTGGCAGTGGACTTGCTCATCTGCTCTTTAAGTCTCTTGAACAGAGAAGTTGAGAATTGGAGAAAGATCATATGGTTAAGAGGGAGGGCAACAATGGAGAGGTTTGCACGTCTGGTGGTGTAGCAATGATGTGG
Source organism: Homo sapiens (assembly GCF_000001405.40). NCBI lineage: Eukaryota > Metazoa > Chordata > Mammalia > Primates > Hominidae > Homo > Homo sapiens. The sequence goes on from NC_000005.10 coordinate 62,962,337, forward strand.
AGGTTCCCAAGTCAAATGGAAGCCAAGAATAAAGCAGAACTTGGGATCCCCTTTCTGTATTTTTTCAACAGAGGCACCTGGGATATGAGCAGAAGAGGAATAGAGTGTGTCACATAATAGGAAGAGGTTGCCAGGTGTATTAGTCTGTTCTTATACTGCTGATAAAGACATACCTGAGACTGGGCAATTTACAAAAGAAAGAGGTTTCATGGACTTACAGTTCCACATGGTTGGGGAGGCCTCACAATCATGGTGGAAGGCAAGGAGGAGCAAGTCTCATCTTACATGGATGGTGGGAGGCAAAAAGAGAGAGAACTTGCTCAGGGGAGCTCCTCTTTTTAAAACCATCAAATTTCATGAGACTTATTTACTGTCACGAGAACAGCATGGGAAAGACCTACCCCATGATTCAATTACCTCCCATTTGGTCCCTCCCACAACACGTGGGAAATCAAGATGAAATTTGGGTGGGGACAGAGCCAAACCATATCATTCTGCCCCTGGCTCCTCCCAAATCTCATGTCCTCACATTTCAAAACCAATCATGCCTTGCCAACAGTCCCCCAAACTCTTAACTCATTTCAGCATTAACTCAAAAGTCCATAGTCCAAAGTCTCATCCAAGACAAGGCAAGTCCCTTCTACCTATGAGCCTGTAAAATCAAAAGCAAGTTAGTTACCTCCTAGATAAAATGGGTAAAGGCGTTGGGTAAATACAAGAAGTATGGTACTCATATCTATTGGATTCTGGTGAGGTCTTTAAGCTGCTTCTACTCATGATAGAAGGTTTTCACCTTCTATCATGAAGCCAGTGTGTGCAGAAGTCACATGGCAGGAGAGGAAGAAAAGGGTAGGGGGAATGTGCCAGACTCTTTTTAATGGCCAGCTTTTGTAGGAATGAATAGAATGAGAACCCACCCACTCTTAATGGTTGATATCTGTCTATTCACAAGGGATCTGCCCTCATGACCCAAACATCTTCCATTAGGCCCCACGTCTAACGTTGGGGATTGTATTAGTCCATTTTCATGCTGTTGGTAAAGACATATCCAAGACTGGGCAATTTAAAAAAGAAAGAGGTTTAATGGACTTACAGTTCCACTGTAGTGGCTGGGAAAGCCTCACAATCATGGCAGAAGACAAGGAGGAAAAAGTCACGTCTCAAATGGCAGCAGACAAGAGTGAAGCTTGTGCAGGGAAACTTCCATTTTTAAAACCATTATATCTTGTGAGACTCATTCACTGTCAGGAGAACAGCACAGGGAAGATCTGCCCCCATAATTCAATCATCTCCCCCGGGGTTCCTCCCACAACATGTGGGAATTGTGGGAGTTATAATTTAAGGTGGTATTTGGGTGGGCACACAGCCAAACCATATTGTTCTGCCCCTAGCCCCTCCCAAATCTACAGTCCTCACATTTCAAAACCAATCATGTCTTCCCGACAGTCCTCCAAAGTCTTAACTCGTTTCAGCATTAACTCAAAAGTCCATAGTTCAATGTCTTATCTGACACGAGGCAAGTTTGTTCCTCCTATGAGCCTGTAGAAACAAAATCAAGCTACTTACTTCCTAGATACAAGGGAGGTATGGGCACTGGGTAAATACAACCTTTCCAAATGGGAGAAATTGGCCAAAACAAAGGGGCTACAGTCTGAAATCCAGCAGGGCAGTCAAGTCTTAAAGCTCCAAAATGATCTCCTTTGACTCCATGTCTCATATCCGGGTCATGCTGATGGAAGATGTGGGTTCCCATGGTCTTGGGCAGCTCTGCCCCTGCGGCTTTGCAGGGTACAGCATCCCTTCTGGCTGCTTTCATGGGCTGATGTTGAGTGTCTGTGGATTTTCCATGTGCACCGTGAAAGCTCTTGGTGGGTCTATTATTCTGGGGTCTGGAGGATGGCAGCCCTCTTCTCACAGCTTCCCTAGGTGGTGCCCCAGTAGGAACTCTGTTTGGGAGGTCAAACCCCACATTTCCTTTCTGCACTGCCTTAACAGAGGTTCTCCATGAGGGCCTCGCCCCTGCAGCAAACTTTTGCCTAGGCATCCAGCATTGTCATACATGTTCTGAAATCTAGGCAGAGGTTCACAAACCTCAATTCTTGACTTCTGTGCACTGCAGGCTCTGTGCACAATGTGGAAGCTGCCAAGGCTTGGGGCTTCCTCCCTCTGAAGCAACATCCCAAGCTGTACCTTGGCCCCTTTTAGTCATGGTTGGAGCAGCCTGAATGCACAGCACCAAGTCTCTAACCTCCACACAGCAGATGGACCCTGAGCCCAGCCCATGGAAGCATTTTTTCCTCCTAGGCCTCCAGGCCTGTGATGGGAGGGGCTGCTTTGAAGACCTCTAACATGCCCTGGGGACCTTTTCTTCATTGTCTTGGGGATTAACATTTGGCTCCTCATTACTTATGCAAATTTCTGAAGCTGGCTTGAATTTAAAAAAGAAAATAGATTTTCTTTTCTATTGCATTGACAGGCTGCAAATTTCCTGAGCTTTTATGCGCTGTTTTCCATTTAAAACTGAATGACTTTAACAACAACCAAGTCACCTCTTGAATGCTTTGCTGCTTAGAAATTTCTTCCACCAGTTACCCTAAATCATCTCTCTCAAGTTCAAAGTTCCACCAATCTCTTGGACAGGGGCAAAATGCTACCAGTCTCTTTGCTAAAACATAAAAAGTGTTACCTTTGCTCCAGTTCTCAACAAATACCTCATTTACATCTGAAACCACCTCAGCCTGGACTTTATTGTCCATATTATTAGCAGCATTTTTGTCAAAGCCATTCAACAAGTTTCTAGGAAGTTCCAAACTTTCCCATATTTTCCTGTCTTCTTCTGAGCCAGCCTCTAAACTGTTCCAACCCCTGCCTGTTACCCAGTTCCAAAGTTGCTTCCACGTTTTTGGGTATCTACAGTAGCACCCCACTCTTGGTACCAATTTGCTGTATTAGTCTGTTCTCATACTGCTGATAAAGACATACCTGAGACTGGGCAATTTACAAAAGAAAGAGGTTTAAGGGGCTTACATTTCCACATTGCTGGGAGGCCTCACAATCATGGCAGAAGGCAACGAGGAGCAAGTCATGTCTTACATGGATGGCAGCAGGCAAAAAGAGAGAGAACTTGTGCAGGGGAACTTTTCTTTATAAAATCATCAGATTTCATGAGACTTATTCAGTATCACGAGAACAGCCTGGGGAATACTTGTCCCCATGATTCAATTACCTCACACTGGGTTACTCCCAGAACACATATAAACTCAAGATGGGATTTGGGTGGGGACACAGCCAAACCATATCACCAAGATTCCCACTCAAGGGAATTATGTGATGGAGTGGCCCTGAGAGCTTTGCTGGCGTCCTTGCACATATGCTCTATTGGAGGACCAACCTTGTTTTACCAAGGTCACTGGACAAGTCAGTCTCAGCTAGAGAGCAGTGACAGCAAAGGAAGATGGCAATTCTCATTCACATATGTGGTAACAAATATCTCAAAGAGGGTACTTAAACCTGAGAAGACTTTGTAACTGTGCCCTTGAGCTGCTTGCTCAGCCTGCTCCCACCCTGTGGAGTCTTTTCTTGCTTCAACAAATCTCTACTTTTGCCGTTTTGTTGCTTTGTTTCATTCCTTTGTTATTTCATTTGTGCATTTTGTTCAATTCTTTGTTCAACATGCCAGGAACCTGGATGTCTCACACTTGAGGCCTGCCTCCTGGTAACACTACTGGCTTTTAATTTTTGTCAGTGTGGTGTGAAATGATATCTCATGATTTTAATTTGCATTTCCCCAGTTACTGACTTTGATAATTTTAAAATGTTTCATATTAATATGTAATATATTCTATTTTCTATTTTGTGAAATACTTGTTTGGAACTTTTGCCCTTATTGAGTTTTTGTTTTCTTGACTTATGCGAGTTGTTTATATGTTTGGGATTCTAATCCTTTCTTGGTTACATAAATTACAAAGATCTATGTGGCTTGGGTGTGGCTTGTGTTTTAACTCTTTTTATGGTAACTTTCATGTAAGAAACTATAAATCTTGTTGCAAATAACACTTCTATACTACAAGGTTATAAAGATATTCTCTATATTTGAAAAATTTTAAATGTTTTACATTTCACATTGAAATCTCTTTAATTCACATGGAAATGAGTTATTTTGTGTGTGTGTTTAGTAACTATTTAATTAGGCATACCTGAGTAAAGTGAACATTTTATTATGTAGCAGCCATTTTTCATCTCTGATATTGTGCTTTGCTTTAAAGTCTACTTTTATGCCATAGGTATAATGACATCTTTTTTGGTTAATATTTGCTTTGTACATTGTTATGAGTTTTCTATTTGTTGTGTGTTTTAATGTTTTTTTTCTTCCTTTCTATATTCGTTTTGTGAACCCAGAAAATTTGAGACAGGTCTCAGTTAATTTAGAAAGTTTATTTTGTCAAAGTTGAGGATGCGCCCATGACACAGCCTCAGGAAGTCCTGATGACACATGCCGAAGGTGGTCGGGGCACAGTTTGGTTTTATACATTTTAGGGAGACATGAGACATCAATCAATACATGTAAGAAGTACGTTAGTTCCACCCAGAAAGGCAGAGACACAGATGGTTGCATTCTTTTGAATTTCTCATAAGTCTTTCTGAAGGAGGCAATCAGAATATGCATCTATCTCTGTGAGCAGAGGGATGACTTTGAATAGAATGGGAGGCAGATTTGCCCTGAGCAGTTCCCAGCTTGAAGGGGCCCAAGATATTTTCCTTTCACATTTTGGGTTGTGGTTTTTTCTTTTTTCTCACTCTGTATATTCTCTCTTTACCCTTTCAAATTCATGTGTATTGTTAAATCAAGTTTAGCTTAAAGCTACCTCCTTACGTATTTTAAATTCAGCCTAAAAATTTCTTGGTAAATCGTGAACTATAACCTGAATGGAATTGTAAACAGACTGTAGCCCACTCTTGTGCCAATCACTGAGTTTTGGCCGATCAAATGTGGCCAACTGTTCAAACTGTGTTCAAATAAGGCAAAAGCCAAGTTGTAACCAATCTACCTGTTTCTCTACCTCACTTCTGTTTTCTGTTACATCGCTTTCCTATTTCTGTCCATAAATCTTCTTCCACCACGTGGCTGCACTGGAGTCTCTGAGCCTACTCTTGCTCAGGAGGCTGCCCTATTCACCAATTGTTCTTTGCTCAATTAAAGTTTTAAATTAAATTCAGCTGCAGTTTTCCTTTTAACAGTATTCTTTTATTAGTTATCCTGGCAATTTTAACATACATGTCTTATACTTAGTCTCATATTAATTAACATTGTTACTATCCTTCTAAATAATACCAGAACTTTCAGTCATTCTAATGTTCTTAATTTCTATCTATTATACCTTTCTGGAGCCATACACATGCCTAGAATCCAGCAAATTTAGAATAATTCTAGGACTTTTGGTTATTCTAATGCTCTTAACTTATATCTATTATACCTTTCTGGAGCCACACACATACCTAGAATCCACTAAATCCAGGATTTAAATTTTGTATTCTGTCTTTTTCCCCAGAATTTTTAAGACCATGGTAACATTTCTAGCGTTCTTACTTTTTAAAATCTGTTTTCAACAATCGAATAGGAATGGTGAGCTTTCGAGAGGAATGAGGAGAAACTCATTCTGATCTGGGAATACTCAGCTCCAAAGGAAAACAGTGTTTTTCTGTTCAGTCTCTGATGTGTTTATTAACTTGCCTTTCCCATTTGCTTCTTCCCATTTTTGTGGCTCTTCACCCTCTCTTATGGTGAACTCTACTCTTCTGATTCTGTATGATACAACTTTATGTAAGGAGTTTCTAAGTGATTGACTATAAAATATGTTAGCTTTCTCAAGATCTGAAACTTGTTTCAAAGTACTTGTTACACAACACAGACACCGTCTCTATTATAAGGATGATGATGATAATAATAATTTCACTTTTGTCTTCCCTTTCCTCTGCAGTGTTGCATAAGCTTATTTCAGGTTAGTTGATGTATCTAGGTCTCCTAAAGAGAATGACACAAAAATATGAAGTTAGAATGCATATTTAAAGTAAACAAAGATTTGATTTCCAACTTGCTGCCTCCCTCCACCTGCATCATCAGCATTTACTATTGATTCCAGTTTTCGTCTACATCTAGCATGTTTTGTCTTTCCATCTCATGGGCTCACCCCAGCTCATAAATTCTCCCTCTAAATGCTTTCATAAAAATCACAATTTGAGGCATGATGCTAAATATCAAAGATCTTCACCCACTCCCCAAACAAAGCATTTGCCCAGCTGCCACCAACAATACTTCTAAATGCCAGTCAAAGCATGCAAAAGCAAAGTATATGGCATTTTGCTGGGACTTATAATGATAAGTTAAAACATCTTATTGATGCTCATCAAGGATGAAAAGTAAGAATTTTGCATGAAAATAGAAAAAGTGCTTAGAAAAACAAGCTGTGCTTGTGCTTTTGAAGTTAATATTGTACACAAAATAAGAAGATGAAGGCCAAAAAAATCTTTGGAAAATTACTTTAAAATTTTTGAATTTTTAACAACACATTCTGATATTCTGATATTAAAGCTCAAGGGGTCAGAGTTTGATCTGATTTGAAAGTAGGGGCTGAAATTGGAGGAGATCTGATCACTATCACCTGTTTTTCTTTTTCAACTCCTACTTATGCTTTTTAAAACTCCCTTTACCTCAATAACTGTGCTTGAATCTAGTTACTGAAAAGAGCAGGGCATTATGTGCATTCAATCACAGGTCCACATCTTTGTGGCCAGCAGTATTGCTAGTAAGTTACATGTGCTTTTAGAAGCCTTTGGCCTCATCACAGTTAATAATAATAATAGCAATTATTTATACGGAAGCCAGGAAGAGAGCCCTCACCAGAAACTGAACTGACTGGCACCTTGATCATGGATATCTAGGCTCCAGAGCTGTAAGAAAATACATTTCTGTTGTGGAAGCCAAGCAGCCCATAGTATTTTGTTATGGCAGCCTGAACAGAGATGGTAGCAATGTGGACTGTTTTAGGACTTCTCTGTTGAGGTGTCATGGCAAATGGGAGCCAGGACTAGATTACAGTTCTGACTTGGATGGACAGAGCAGCATGTGGAGGCTCACATCATGAATTTTAGCTCCAGAATGACTGCAGGAATAAATCAGGAAACCTGAGAGGACCCACAGTCCCTCTAAATAAAGCAAATTTCTCCTGCAGAACCTGGGAGACACGCCAAATACCATAAGTGCGCAAACTGTGGAAGCAGAAAAGGGAAATCCTCCATCCTGGAACACACACTCTCGCTGGGGAAACTGAAGGTCTAGTTTGCTGGAGAAGATTCTGACCTTACCTGGAGCTGAGTCAATTTAGAGAGCTGAGCAAAATACAGTGGTAGAGGAAGAAGTGGGAAAGGCCCTGGGAGCTCGCTGGGTCCCCAAGCAGGCCATTCCTGCCTGGCACCACAGGGACTCTTCGTCAGGGTGGCCACAGGCATGGGGAAAATGCCACAGAGAGAAGGAAACCACCAGCTGAACTTTGTAACAATCTGAACCGGTCAAGAAGCCTCCTGGCCAGAACTGGGGGGAGGGCGCAAATCCTGCATGCAGACTCCAGCCATGACTCAGCAGAGGCAGCCATAATCCTCCTAGGTACATAACTCCATTGACCTGGAAACCTCACCCCCATTCCCTAAAGCAGCCGAAGCAAGACCCGCCCAAGGAGAGTCTGAGCTCAGAACCGCCAAGCCCTGCCCCCACCTGATGGTCCTTCCCTACCCACCTCAGTAACTGAACACAAAGGGCATATACCCTTGGGAGTTCTAGGGCCCTGCCCACCACTGCTTCCTCTCCATACTACCACAGCTGATGCTCTCTGGAAAGCGCCACCTCCCGGCAGGAGGCCAATCAGCACAAAAATAGAGCATTAAACCACCAAAGCTAAGAACTCTCACAAAGACCATTTCACCCCCTGCCACCTCCACCAGAACAGGTGCTGGTATCCATGGCTGAGAGACCCACAGACGGTTCACATCACAGGACTCCGTGTGGACAACCCCCAGTACCAGCCTGGTGTCTGGTAGACTTGCTGGGTGGCTAGATCCAGAAAAGTGATAACAATCAGTACAGCTTGGTTCTTAGGAACCCACATCCATAGAAAAAGGAGGAGAGTATTACATCAAGGGAATACCCTATGGACAAAAGAATCTGAACAACAGCCTTCAGCCCCAGACCTTCCCTCTGACAGAGCCTACCCAAATGAGAAGGAACCAGAAGACCAACTCTGGTAATATGACAGAACAAGGCTCTTTCATACCCCCCCAAAATCACACTAGCTCACCAGCAATGGATCCAGAACAAGAAGAAATCCATGATTTACCTGAAAAAGAATTCAGGAGGTTAGTTATTAAGCTAATCAGGGAGGCACCAGAGAAAGGTGAAGCCCATTGCAAGGAAATCCAAAAAATGATACAAGAAGTGAAGGGAGAAATATTTAAGGAAATAGATGGCATAAAGAAAAACAATCAAAACTTCAGGAAACATTGGACACACTTATAGAAATGCAATATGATCTGGAAAGTCTCAGCAATAGAATTGAAAAAGTAGAAGAAAGAAACTCAGAGCATGAGGACAAGATCTTTGAATTAACCCAATCCAACCAAGACAATGAAAAAAGAATAAAAATAGGCACATAGACCTATGGAACACAATAGAGAATCCAGAAATAAACCCAAATACTTACAACTAACTGATCTTTGACAAAGCAAAGAAAAATTTAAGTGGGGAAAGGACACCCTTTTCAACAAATGTTGCTGGGATAATTGTCTAGCTACATGTAGGATAATAAAGCTGGATCCTCATTTCTCACCTTATACAAAAATCAACTCAAGATGGATTAAGGACTTAAATCAAAGACCTGAAACTGTAAAAATTCTAGAAGATAACATTGGAAAAACCTTTCTAGACATTGGCTTAGGCAAGGATTTCATGACCAAGAACCCCAAATCAAATGCAGTAAAAACAAAGATGAATAGATGTTAATGAAACTAAAGAGCTTTTGCACAGCAAAAGGAATAGTCAGCTGAGTAAACACACAACCCAAGGAATGGGAGAAAATCTTTACAATCTATACATCTGACAAAGGACTAATATCCAGAATTTACAACAAACTCAAATAAATCAGCCAGAAAAATCAAATAACCCCATCAAAAAGTGGGCTAAGGACATGAATGGACAATTCTCAAAAGAAGATATACAAATGTCCAACAAACATATGGAAAAATGCTCAACATCACTAATGATTAGGGAAATGTAAATCAAAACCACAGTGTGATACCATCTTACTCCTGCAAGAATGGCCATAATAAAAAATCATAAACAGTAGATATTGGCATGGATGCAGTGATCAGGGAACACTTCTACTCTGCTGGTGGTAATTTGAACTAGTACAACCACTGTGGAAAACAGTGTGGAGATTCCTTAAAGAACTAAAAGTAGAACTACCATTTGATCCAGCAATCCCACTACTGGGTATCTACCCATGGAAAAGAAGTCATTATATAAAAAGATACTTGCACATGCATGTGTATAGCAATACAATTTGCAATTGCAAAGGTGTGGAACCAACCCAAATGCCCATCAATCAATGAGTAGATGAAGAAAGTATGGCATATATATATATATATATATATATATATATATATATATATATGAAGGAATACTACTCAACCATAAAAAGGAATGAATTAATGGCATTCACAGTGATGTGGATGAAACTGGAGACTATAATTCTAAGTGAAATAACTAAGGAATGGAAAACCAAACATAGTATGTTCTCACTCATAAGAGGGAGCTAAGCTATGAGGATGCAAAGGCATAAGAATGATACAATGGACTTTGGGGACTTGGGGGGAAGGGTGGGAGGGGGCCAAGGGATAAAAGACTACAAGTAGGGTGCAGTGTATACTGCTCGGATGATGGGTGCACCTAAATCTCACAAGTCACCATTTAAGAACTTACTCATGTAACCAAATACCACCTATACCCCAATAACCTATGGAAAAATAAAAATTTTAAAAATAATAATAATTAAATAAAACATGGCTAAAAATTTCCAAAAAATATTTGTATGGAGCTTACTCTGGGTAAAGCACAATATTAAAAGTATTTTATGTGTTAACTTATACTTAGCACAATTTTATATTACGGATAAGGAAACCGAGTTATAGACAAGTTATGTTACTTGCTGTAGCTTTAGAGTAGCAGATTTGAACTGGGTCATCTGGCCCCTAGACTTCAGGCTCTTACCCTTTGTTTTACAATGCCTAAGGTCTTTTAATTATTATAGAAGGGGTCATAGTCTATTCTTTTCTGAGAATTTGGCAGTGTTAAAATGTCCATCATCTCAAATCAAGTTTTCATTGCTCCATCCCGCACTGCTATAAGTCCTCCTTTGCCCACATCCATCTTCAGACTAAAGTCTCTGAATTCTCGAGGCACTTCCTGCATTCAGCTAATAGTGATGGAATATAATCTATTTTAAATACTGTCTCTATTTTTTTTAATGTGGACCTGTTTTCCTTCTTAGAGTGTAGGCATTTGGAAAGTAGAGACTATGTCTTACATTATATGGTTACCAACTCCTAGCACAATCCTATTGCCTAGGAACTATTTATATGGCATATGGGTGGATAAATGGGAAAATAATAATTGGAGATCAAAGACAGAAAAATTGTTTGAATACCTAAGACAGGTTCTAAAATGGGTTGGGAAAGACAAAAGAAAAAGAAAAACTACTAACTTCCAAGTAGAAGCATTCCAGAACAGGAAAATGGTATGATAAGTTCATCTGACAGTCAGAATTCTTTATTTTTTACTTTTGTTAATTTTTAGAGACAGGGCTTCCCTCTGTTGCTCAGGCTGGAGTGCAGTGGTGTTAACATAGCTCACTGCAGCCTTGGACTCCTGGGCTCAAGGGGTCCTGCCACCATACCCTCCTGTGCAGCTAGGACTGAAGGTATGTAGTACTGTGACAGGCTGATTTGTAAATTTTTTGTATAGATAGGCTCACTATGTTGCTCAGGCTGGTCTTGAACTCCTGGCTCCAAGCAATCTTCCTGCCTTGCCTCCCCAAATACTAGAATTACAAGGGCGGGTTACTGTACCAAGCCAGAATTCTTTCTAATTTAGGGGGAACAAAGCTCAACTTGGATCTTCCTTTGTGGTTGTATGTGTGTATGTGTAGATACAATATGCAATCATATGTATATATGTTGTATGCACATATATATCCTGCAATAAAGACATTTTTTTTCTATGCTCAGAAAGGCCAGCCTGGCAATATAGTGCTGTTATAAAGAATAACCATGAAGATGAATAGAAGGATCTATAAGAGAATGGCTACATTCTAAGGTCAAAGTCATAGCAAAATCCAAAGCTCTTGGAAACAGCAGCAAAGTTAGGAATTTATTGAGTGTACCTGTAACCCCTTTGTTCCCTGGGAATTCCTCTGTAGAGTTTAAGTCATGTGGCATAGTGGGTATCCTGGCAACATTAGCAGACAGCAGACCTCATTACCTTATATTAATATTTTTATCATTGTATTAGATTAGGTAAAGTGGAAGCTTGTTTTAGTAAGAAAGAGGAAAAATTTGAAAACATCTGAAAGGCCCAAGCCATGCTTGGAGGAATGATGAAAAGATTTGATCAGACATAAAATTAGGGAATTTTGCGGTGACTATGTAAGATTTTAGTTTGATGCATATTTTTGTGCCATTAACTTTAATAATATACTTTAAATAAATTTAATTGAATGAAATATCTTTTTTTATTGTAATCTATTCTTTTTCCATAAGTCACATTTACAGGCAGTTCTAACGAGTTTGGCTTTTGCTCTGGTAATATGTGTTTCCCTCTATCCAGACTTCTCATTTAATTTTACTGTTTTTACTCTCTAAACTGTTTCTGAAATAAGAAATTTTAAGCAAGCCTCCCTCCCACCCAATCTTCTGGAAGACTGTTGTTCCAAGAGAACCACAATTGATTCACTAATTTTCTTCATAGTCTAATTAGTGGCTGTTATCAGATTAATCTATAATTATCTGGAAGGAGTTCATAGAATAGCCTTTTGGCAAAGTAAAATTGTGCTTTGAATTATTTTAAAATCACATATCGTGTAAAGATTCTAACTGCAACTCCTACAAAATTGCTTATAATTGCTCAAAATGTAACTCAAGGTTGTTTTTCTTTACAAGACTTTTCATAAAAATATTTCCTTAAAACCAGTCCACTGCAGCCCTAATCAGTGAATATGTGTATTCTCGCCTGTCTGGTAGATCTCTATTGATTTGAATTTGGATGTCTGAGGCTGTCATTGCACCATGACAAGGGTTTTAAAGTCATTTAAATAATTCCCTTTCCTTTGCCTCCATGCACTCAGCACAATTTTCTGATTATGCTGTGGTTTCTAAATAGATTTTTAAAGAGAAATCATGCATTACTGAGTGACCCTGGATCTTGTGGTCTGTTTTTTCTCATTGGAATTTTGGCAGATGCAGCAGTCTGTTGGGAGTTTCGTTAACGTGAAAGAATGATGTTAGTTCCTTAGAAAGTGAGGAACTCTGAGTACCCTGGCAAAATCATAATTTTAGACTTTAAAAGTGGTACTATACCAAAGAAATGCCTCTCTGATGTGGTCCACTAAAGGGCTAGCTTGTCCTAGAGCATCTTCATCTCATGCTCTATAAATGCTGCATAGGTATCATGTGCTGGCCATGCGACTAGGAAGGATTGGCTTCCTTGACACACCTGGGGAGTCTTTACTGTCTCTCTCCTCCTAACTAGCTATAACATGGAGTGGGGAGAATCTTCTTGTTTGATAGCTCATTTCCTGGTAAGAGCAGAGTAGAACATAGTCTCGGTCCAGCTTCATGGACTAATTCTACCGCTGTATACATGGCTTAACTTTTCCTCTTGCTTCTTTTCATTATTATTTTCAGAGATGAGCCATGTATTTTTCTACATTTTAACCCTGAAATGATCTGCTGGGTATTACCAAATATTACCATAATAGTTTATGTATCATCACAAGAGACATATGAATTACCTCAAATAATTTGTCATATACAGGATGACATATATGAAGTTACAGCTTCAGGAAATACTTATCCCTCATTAGTTATTTACCATGCATAAATATATATCCTCTCTTCATAAAGTCTTAAAAATAAATTTCTTTCTTTCCATATCTAACAATGCCTGTACAGACCAGGTCCTCAATTGCTATAGTCATAATATTACTTTTTAAATGTCTTTTGTCCTACATGGGTATAGTCATAAGGGCTTGAGACTGGGAACCAGGAGACATAGGCCACTAATTAACATGAATGTGAATAAATTAGTCACCTACCTGGACCTCAGTTTTTTAAGTATAAAAGAATAGGGATAGACTAGAAGCTTTCTAGAAGTCCTTGCTGCACTGAAAAGGAATTGCTTTGTCAATCCCCCAGTTCCCACCTCTACCCCAAAGTCCCAATAGCTCTCCACTCTTTAAAGAAGAAACTTTAGCATCTGAGGCCTTTATATTTATGGTAAATCTAATTTAAAACACTTTCCTCCTACTTGATCTTGTTCTACTGATGGTTCTAACCACATGGTTTACATTGATGACTTCTCCCTCTTTGCTCCTGCTGCTCTTCCCATCTCTTCCCTCTTCTGTGCTTGTTTCAGTTTTACCCTTCTTTCAACATCTGGATGAGGCATGCAGCTGTAATGCCTTCCCTAATCATCTTTCAACACTTGCCATGATTTTTGCCTTCATTAGGTTCACATTTGGCCTGAATATGCATTCCTGGGAACCTTGTATTCTGCAAAATTGTGCACTAATCAAGTATCAGAACTTACAAGGAAAATGTGCTTGGGGCAGGTCACTCAAAACCTAAGCTTTGTGACCAGACCACTAACAAGAATAACAGTAATCTGATATGGTTTTGCTCTGTGTCCCCACCCAAATTTCGTGTTGAGTTGTAATTCCTAATGTTGGGGGAGGGACCTGGTGGATGGTGATTGGATCATGGGGGCGGATTCCCCCTTGCTGTTCTCATGGTATTGAGTGAGTTCTCATGAGATCTGATGGTTTAAAAGTGTGTGACACTTCCTCCTAGTTTGCCATATGAAGAAAAGGCTTGCTTCCCTATTGCCCTTCTGCAATAATTGTAAGTTTCCTGAGGCATCCCCAGCCATACCCTCTGTACTGCCTGTGGAACTGTGAGCCAATTAAACCTCTTTTCTTTATAAATTACTCAGTCTCAGGTAGTTCTTTGTAGCAGTGTGAGAACAGACTAATACATAATCCTAATACAAATTTTAGTTTCAAAAGACCTAAATTCCAAATAAATAAAATACTGCCGTAAATGTATTTTAAAATTGAAAACAAAGGTATTTTCATAATGGGAGTGGCATGGGGGGAAAGATATCAGGCATAACTACTGAGTTAGAAAGACAAGAGCAAACTGTAGCAACATCTAGAAGAACCTGAAATAACTGTTTTCAAGACAGAGTACATGACCAAACTGAGTCAGGAGTACATGACCAAACTGGTGCAAATCTGCAATGGCTTGCTGTATTCAGCTGTATTGCTATATTCAATTTTGTTAGTGTTCTTTGAGTTCAACTGCTAGTACTTGGTGGCACAAATTATTACTGGGCCAAAATAATCATGTATAAATCAATACAACTTTAACGTTATCCTGGTATCATTTCTTCATTTACCAATCCCATAAATCCTATTTGTATTTATATCAAAACAAATTATTTACTTTTTTTGCTTTAGGTATTTTATGTGTCACTAGCAGATATTTTATTTCAGTAATAATGAAAAAGGGCCTAGGCATATGAAAGATTTCACTGGGTGCTCAGCTTGCTAATTTGTCTTCCTTACAAATGATTTCTGAAAACAATTACTTTCATGATGGGAATCTCTTTTACTGTCTTGTAAATTCCTTGAAGAGGATCATGCCTGAAATCTTTTTAGATTCCCAGAGGCACTATATTTTGATCTACTGCGTGCTCAAAATGTTCTTGACTAATGACTGATTGCTGAAAATGCACACACAACTATAATTGGAGGCAAATATTTAAATCTTATTTCTCTAACTAATGATGGTCTTTAAACCATTATTCTAAATATTTATCTTACCAATCATGAATACAATTAAGGAAATAGATTAAGGTTTGCATTCAGTAAATCAATGGAGGAAAAACTATACAATTATCTATATGTTATGTCTTATTGAGCTCGTTATTGTTCTGGTTAGAAATGAAATACAGCTGCTGAGGGAAACCACCTTTGTGTACAGCACTTTTGCCATTGTGGACCTGTGGGAAAAAGAGAGCCCAAACAATTCTAAGCATTTCCGCAATTCTACCCTTAACAAATTAAAAGTACCAATCCCAAAGGAATGGATAGCAGCTACTTAAAGCAGAAAGTGTCTTTGTATGTGGGAGCCAGCATACTTCCTGTGCTCAGCAGGCATGTGGTGCTGGTGTGGGGAACTTGTCAATGAGTGCATGTCGAGTGCCATCGTGCACTTCACACATGGAGGAAATCTGCTGCCAGGTTCTGTGTGCTGCCAGTAAACAGGTTGCTAAACCTATATTACTCTGAAAATAATCAGAATACGAAAATATGTTTCCTCTCTCCACTTTCTAACAGAATGCCGATAACGTGGTCTCTAATGAGCTATGTGTCACTCACATCTTCTAAGTTGAGAGAAAGGAAAAAACAGGACATACTATTTTAGAATCTGGTGGTGTTTTGTGTTCCTCAGAAGCCACTTTGGCCAAAGAGAACTTGATGTCAGGGTGGGTGAAATTATTAGATTTCTCCCTGGGGAAAGAGATATTGCTATGGGAAACAGATGGAAGTAATTGTGTGAAGTATAGGCCATCACAGAGGCACTACTGATGAGCATGGACACTAATAATAGGTGACAGATTCTTTTTTAGCGGTGGGCTCATGGTAAAGGGAGCAACTGAAGAGAGGTTTATTTATAGGAATACCTTGCGTTGTGGAGCACGGAAACTCAGCCTTCCAAATAGTTACTTGGTTTCACTGCAACTATTAGCTACCTGCAGCCAATATTTTTTATCTGCTAGATGTGACTAAGAATGTGACTCTAATTATGACAAATGACAAACACACTGAAAGCTGGAGTCCAAGGCCAAGTGCTTGAAGTCCTGGTAGTTATTAATGTTATTCGCTGGTTCTCAGATGAATTAATTTAAAGCCTATTTATCCTCTGGCCATTTTTCCTCTTTTAAAAATATTAAGAAAATGACCCCTTTTATTATGGTAATTTTCTCCTGCACTTTATAAATTTTAGACATATTACATGTTTTGATTAGAAAGAATATGACATGAGTCAATGTAGCTTCCATTCCAAGTACTTGCTGCTATTTGGAAACAGTATAGAAAAATAGTTAAAAAATATAATATTTAGAAGAATGCAGACCTGAGCCTGAATGATGGCCAGGGTTAATAACAATGTCTGCCCAAAGATTTTCGTGAAAATTGAATTTTCAGGGACTCTCAGTATTCACTGTCCTTCAGAATCTCTTGGGGAAATGTAAAAAATACGGACATCTAAGTCCGACCCTTAAAAAATCTAAAACAATTGATCTGTAGCAGACCTGGGCAGCTGTATTTTTACAAGCTCTTGATGTTCTAAGGTGCAGCTAGAACTGAGAGCAATTTACTTTAGATCATACATGTGCAAGCAGTATGTTAAAAGGGCAATGCCTGCTATAAGTTGTTATTTAGTTAATGGTAGTGATGGTGATGGTGAAGGAAGAGAAGGACTTTCTTTGTTCATCTAGGCAGATAATGGGCACAAGGAACTCTCAGTTAATTTTCACCTCAGAACAAATCACATTCTGATTTCTGAAATCGTAACACTCGGAAAAGAGTTTTGGAAAAATGAGGAAATAGCCTGTGACTTTCCCTTCCCATTCAAGTTTGAAGGGTCATCACCCAGTAAAATTAGCCTAATTAATGATGGGAGTCTCCAGGAAAGTGTCTGTTTAAAAACAACATAACGAAATCACCTTATTCAGGGAGGAGGGTGGGGAAGATTTCCTCTCTCTGTGCATTTCAGTAAAGTCCAAATAAGTTTATCTCTAAGAAGTTCCTTTTTCCAATTTCAAATATGGTGTATTGCTGATACTGCTGCACAAGTCATCAAAATGCTTTTCATCACTTGTAATGGGGAAAGTTAGAAAGTTTGTGCGTGTAAGGTGTTAAAGACACTGAAAAATAAAACAAGCCAACTGAACTGCTGAATCAGGTTTTTTTCCCGCCTCTCTGAGACGGAGTCTCATTCTGTCCCCCAGGCTGGAGTGCAAGTGGTGTGATCTCAGCTCACTGCAACCTCTGCCTCCTGGGTTCAAGCGATTCTCCTACCTCAGCCTCCTGAGTTGCTGCTATTACAGGTGCGTGCCACCATGTGCAGCTGATTCTTATATTTTTAGTAGAGGTAGGGTTTTGCCACATTGGCCAGGTGGTCTTGAACTCCTGACCTCAAGTGATCCACCTGCCTCAGCCTCACAAAGTGCTGGGATTACAGGCATGAGCCACCATGCCTGGCCTGAATCAGGTTCTTAAAGGACAACTTGAGGAAAAAAATACTATACATTATACCTAGAGATTGAATTATATATTAGCTCATCAGATCAAAAAAGTTCATTTTTCTGATATGAAAAAATAAATTGCATTTCAAATCTTGAAAGGTCTCATAATTTAGTTGTACTTTTTTGTATAAAATAATTTTCTTTCTCTTTTGTCTTGCAGATCATTGTGATCTCAACAGGATGTTAAATTTCTCAGAAGTTAGCATAGTATCTGTGAAAGATATCTTATAAAATGAATTTTAATGAACTGTTTGATCTTTTTTTCTGGAGTAATCCCTTTTTACAAGTGTTCTTGTGTTTTGTATATTATATTATTAGAAAGACAGTGGCCTTTGGCCTTTCTCCTTCTGAACTTTATAGACTCACAAAATAAAGATATCTGTTTCTTTAGCAGTAGATAACTAGTTTATGGTTACTTATTCTATCTCTGATAGCACAAAGAAACCAGAGAGATTATGGATGTATTTCTTTATATCCAAAGAATATATATATTAATATAAGTATTCTTATATATAATATATACACCCAAATAATATATATTTATACAATATATATAAAATATATGTGTGTGTATGTGTGTGTGTGTGTGTGTGTGTGTGTGTATATATATATGTATGTATGTATATACACACAATTTTTTTAGAGATGGGGTCTTTCTCAGTCACCCAGGCTGGAGTAGAGTGGCACCATCATAGCTCATTACAGGCTTCAACTCTTGGACTCAAGCAAACCTCCCTCCTTAGCCTCCCCACTAGACTATAGGCATGTGCCATCATGCTCACCTAATGTTTTTTTTTTCCATTTTTTTAGACACAAGGTCTCACTATGTTGCCCAGGCTGGTTTCAAACTCCTGGACTCCAGTGATCCTCCCTCCACAGCCTACCAAGTAGCTGGGATTACAGGTGAGAGCCACTGTGCCTGGCTCTTTGGACATACTAAATTTCTAGACATAATCTTATATATTTATTGTTGAGCAATTTTACCCCTACTGCAAATATAAAATCAGAATACCTAATGAACAATGTCAGAGCGCATGCACATTAAATTTTTGCTGACTCCAAAAGTTTTTGCTGACTCTACCATCTCCATGTTTTTACTTTAGGAGAGTATTGAAATATGATACTTAACTATTTCACTTAAGATTTTCATTATGAGTAGGACAATGATTGAGGAAAGCAAAAAAGAGAAAAGATTGCATCTGTAAATTTTCTGCAAGTTACCTATGGTGAGAGTATCTTCATTTGCTTTGAGGTCTATTTAGAGATAATTGGAGGAGGAACTTGAGCTCAAAGAATGTTCCCTCAGACAGAGTTGTTTAAACTCGGCTTATCAGAGATGAAAACAGTTTCTGACATTATCATCTGCATAGGTATTTGCCTGATTTTCAAACTATAAATAGACATTTCAAATTAGGAAAGAAAGGGTTCTTTATTTTTAAAGAAAGAAATTCTAGAAGAACATGGCAATATTTCTGTAAAGGACTGGGTATTTGTTAATTTTGGACTTCAGCAGACAGACCAGTTTGCTCAACAAACCAGTTGCTGCTGATATTCCACAGGATTAAATGTATCAGCAGGAGAAATATCAGCAGCAACTGATTTGTTGAGAAGACTCTGTACTTAGTTGAGACACAAACATGAAATGCATTCATTTTTAAATCAACTGTATTTTGTGGATCCTCCTTTTCCTATGGCTTGGTAATATTTTGGGCTGGTTTCCAAACTTTGTGGTCATGCTGCAATATGGATGAAACTTGAATTACAGTAAGTGAAAAAGGACAGTTACAAAAAGAAAAATATTTTAGGATTACACTTTTTTTAGGTACCTAGAGTAATCAAATTTATAGAGACAGAAAGTAGAATTGTGGTTTCCAGGGCAGTGGCGAGGGAGGAATGGGGAATTATTGTTTAATGGGTACAAATTTTCAGTTTTACAAGACGAAAAGAATTCTGGAGACGGATGGTGGTGATGGTTGCACAACAATGTGAATTTACTTAATGCTACTGAACTATACATTCAAAAATGGTTAAAATGATACATTTTATGTTGTGTGTATTTTAGTACAATTAAAAATGATATTGTAATGTTTTTGTTCTTGGGTTGGATAGTGGCCTCATGGATATTTGTTACATTATCAAGCTTTATTACTAACATCTTACTTACTTATTGCATAGATGAACAAGGTATTGAAAAAGATAATAAGTGAAAGGTCCATTAAAAGGTCCACATCTCCATCTCATGCCCACTTTACTGCTTATCTACTTCTTTCTTTGCCCTCTGGACTAGACTAAGGGACCGGATGTGTAGACGGGCATCATCTGTCCTCTCTCTCCTTCTCTCACCCATCTTCTGGCTCCCTTTTTCTCCTGGAGTGTTGCCTTGCAGAGGAAGATGATGGAAAGAAAAGCATCTGTTACTTAACTGCAGATTTAGTTTATCTTGGCTGTCTTTGTCTCCTGCTAAGACGGATTGGCTGATATTGTGGTATGCAAAGGCTTCTCCATGGGTGGCCTGGGCTCTCCCTTGACACAATCTTCTGAAGGCAGAGACAGCCTCCGACCCCACCTCTTTCTGACTTCCATCAACTACTGCCTCTTGTTCAAGACATCTTCCGAGTTCACTGGCCCCTGAGAGTCTCAAGCTTCCCAGCCCTACCAGGCTCCTACTGCTCCCTGCTGGGTCTTCTCTTACCATTTCTTTCCTCATCTTCCTCAGATAGGCAGAAAGAGCACACCAGAAAATGTAACATGTAACTAGGGAATGAGAAAGCAGCCTCCTCTTCTTGCAATATTTTTTGTTAAATGTAACTACTTACTTATTTTTTGGAACAGGTAATGCATTCACATAATTCAAAATGTAAAATATTCAAAAGAGTAGAGTGTGAAAAGTCTCCTTCTACCCGTCTCCAGCTTCCCACAGGTAACCTGTGTTATTGTGTTCTTATGAATCTTTCTGGAGAGTACAATCAAACATTTATATTCTTTCCTCTCTTGTTGACACAATGGAAACATACTATACACACTATGCTGTATCTTGTTTTACCACTTAACTTATATTGAGATTGTTTTGTCTCAGTAGATAAAAAATTGTTTTACTGCATTCTTAACAGTTTCAGAATATTCTTTTATTTATTCAACCAATTCCCTATTAGTGACATTTGGTTTGTTTTGAATCTATTGCTATCTGAAATAATATTAAAATATATAACTTTGTATGTAGGTCATTTTGCATAAATGTATATGTAGAATATGTATGTATTTATATGTAGAATGTGTGCATTTATATGTAAAATAGGTTCCTAAAATTGGAATTGTGGGGCAAGAGGGCATGTACATTTGTAATTTTTATAGATGTTGCTGAAACCCATCATAGATCTGTGCACCAACTAGCAAGATGCAAGTGTTCCTGTAACCTCTAACATATAATCTGGATAGCATAAATATTATCAATCATTTTATCATTGCAACTCTAATATGTAAAATATATCAGTAGTTTAAATTTCATTTCTCTTATGAAAAAATTTTTATATTGTCTTAAAGAGTTGCCGATATTTTCTTATTGATGGCTAGTGCCTATTATGTAATAATAAAAGCAGGTATGCTTGTGTGTGTGTGTGTGGGTGTGTGTGCATGTGTTGTGAAATTGCTTTTGATTGTGGATTTTTCTCCCTACCTTTTTGGTAATCATGTATTTTGACTTTTCTGTGGTGGAGTTCGCTATGAACAAATATTTAAAATTTTAGCACAACTTACCCTTATTTTACTTTATGGTCTCCAGGTTTTGTGTCATGGTGAAAAAGCCTATACCACTGAAAGATTAGAGAAGATGTCTCCCAGGGCTCTATTCAGTACCTTTATAGTTTTACTTTTTATTTTAAATTTTTGATTTAATTTGAATTTATTATGTTATAAAATTTTAGGTAGATGTCCAACTTTATTATTTTTCCAGGTGGTTACATTTTCCCCCAATATCATATTTTGAAAGATAAAAATCTAGCATCACCTTACTAATGTGAGATCATTTTTAGTATTTACAGAATTACCACATAGATTTGAGTTTATTTCTACTCTTTTTATTCTCTTCTATTGGTTTGAAATTTTGTTCATGCAAAATCACCACACTGCTTTAGTTATTTTGTCTTAAAGAGGATTTGATATTAATACATAAAGAGAATGTAGAATACCACTTTTTTTTTTTGATAGGGTCTCGCTCTGTTGCCCAGGCTGGAGTGCCCAGTGGTGTGATCTCGGCTCACTGCAAGCTCCACCTTCTGGGTTCACGCCATTCTCCTTCCTCAGCCTCTCGAGTAGCTGGGGCTACAG
This sequence comes from Homo sapiens, assembly GCF_000001405.40. Lineage (NCBI taxonomy): Eukaryota > Metazoa > Chordata > Mammalia > Primates > Hominidae > Homo > Homo sapiens. The sequence continues at coordinate 62,984,352 of NC_000005.10, forward strand.
GTGCCTGCCACCATGCCCGGCTAATTTTTTTGTATTTTTAGTAGAGATGGGGTTTCACTGTGTTAGCCAGGATGGTCTCGATCTCCTGACCTTGTGACCTGTCCCCCTCAACCTCCCAAAGTGCTGGGATTATAGGTGCGAGCCACTATGCCCAGCCATCTCTTTTATTACTCTTTTTTTCATAGATTTTTTTTCTGGTTATTAATGCTTTCTGTTTTATATATATATAAAACAGTTTGTGCAATTAAAAATCCTGTTGGTATTTTTTACTGGGATTGTGTTATATTTGTAGTTTAACTTATAGAGATTTAATTTTATGATACTAAATATTCTTATCTAAGAACATGATATACCTTGAGCCCTTTATAGCTTCAAGTTGAATTTTAAACCTTTGTTTACCTATGTGGTTTTCCATAATAGTGGTTTTTAAAAATAGACTTTAGTTTGATAGAAGTTTTGGGTTCACAGTAAAATTGAGTGAAAAATAGAGTTCCCCCATATCCCTTCCCTGCCTGTCCCCCACCGTCTCCCCAACTCTCAATATCCCATACCAGAGTGGTACATTTTTTACAATTGATAAACATATATTGATACATTATTGTCACCCAAAGTCCATTGCTTGTCTTCTTATTCTCTTGACACAGTCTTTTATAGAGCACAAGTGTTAAATTTTAATGAATTTCAGTGTGTCAGTTATTATTTTCTAGGAATATGCCTTTATGTCATATCTAAAAAGTCATTGCCTTCAAAAAGCCAGAATGTCCTCTTACTTCCAAAGAAGCCCACTAGTACACCAGAAATAGTTAAATGAATCAGAAATGACTGAAATGACAGATATAGAATTCAGAATCTGGATGACAAGGAAGCTCACGAAGTTTCAGGAGAAAGTTGAAAGCCAATCCAGGCAATTCAAGGAATCCAGTAAAATGATCCAAGAGCTGAAAAATGGAATAGTCAAGAAAGAAGAAAACCGAACTTCTAGAGCTAAAATTTCACTACCAGAGTTTCATAATACACTCAGAAGTATTAACACCCCAATAGACAAAGGTAAGGAAGGAATTTCTGAGCTCAAAGACTGGTCCTTTGAATCAACTTAGTCAGACAAAAATAAAGAAAAAAGAATTTTAAAAATGAATAAAAGCTTTGAGAAATATGGAATTATGTAAAGAGACCAAATCTGTGACTCATTGGCATTCCTGAGAGAGAATGAAAGAGAATAAACAACTCAAAAAATATATTTGAGGATATAGTCCATAAAAAATTCCCTAATCTTGCTAGAAAGGTTGAAGGTTTACATGAAAATCCAAAAACCCTGGCTAGATACTATAGAATATGACTTTCCCCAAGGCACATAGTTATTAGATTCACCAAGATCAATGCAAAAGAAAAATTCTTAAGGGCCACTAGAGAGAAGGGTCAAGTCATATAGAGAAGGAACCCCATCAGGCTATCAGCAGGCCTCTCAGCAGAAACCTTAAAAACCAGGACTTGGGGCCTATTTTCAGCATCTTTAAAGAAAAGAAATTCCAACCAAGAATTTCATATCTTGCAAAACTAAGCTTATAAGTGAAGGAGAAATAAGATCCTTCTCAGACAAGCAAACACTGAGGGAATTCATCTCAACTAGGCCAGCCTTACCAGTCCTTTAGGGAATGCTAAACATGAAACCAAAAAATGACACCAGTTACCACAAAAACATGCTTAGTCACACAGCTCATAGGCGCTATAAAGCAATCATATAATCAAGTCTACATAATAACTAGCTAACAACATGATGATAGGATCAAAATCTCACATATCAATACCAATCCTTAATATAAATTGGCTAAATGCCCCACTTAAGAGTCATATAATGGCAAGCTGGATAAAAAGAATATCCAACCATCTGCTGTCTTCAACAGATCCATCTCACAAGTGATGACACCCACAGGCTAAAAGTAAAGTGATAGAGTAAGATCTACCATACAAACACAAAACAAGAAACAACAGGAGTCACTATTCTTATATCAGATAAAATAGATTTTAAACCAGTAAAAATTAAGACGGACAAAGGAGGGCATTACATAATAATAGGGGGTACAACCCAACAAGAAGACTTAACTATCCTAAATATATACATATGCAACACTGGAGGGCCCAGATTAATAAAACACGTTATTCTTGGCCTATGAAAAGACTTAAAATACCACACAATAATAGTGGGAGACTTCAACACTCCACTGACAGCATTAGACAGATCATCAAGGCAGAATACTAACAAAAAAACTCTGGATTTAAACTCAATGCTTGATCAATTGAACATAACAGACATTCCAGAACACTCCACCTAGCAACCACAGAATATACATTCTTCTCATCTCCACATGAAACATATTCTAAGATTGATCACATCTTGGTTATAAAGCAAATCTCAATCAATTAAAAAAATTAAACCAGACCTTGCACACTCTCAGACCATAGTGCAATAAAAACAAATTAATATCAAGAAGATCTCTCAAAACTACACAAATTCATGGAAATTAAACAATTTGCTCCTGAATAACTCCTGGGTGAACACCAAAATTAGAACAGAAATAAAAAATGTTTTTGAAATTAATGAAAATAAGGACACAGCTTACCAAAACCTTTGGGATGCAGCTAAACCAATGTTTAGAGGAAAGGTTATAGCACTAAATGTCTTCATTGAGAAGTTAGAATAATATCAAATTAACAATCTAATTTTGCACCCAAAGGAACTAGAGAAAAACCCAAACCAACCCCAAGGGTGGCAGAAAAAAAATAACTAAAACCAAAGAAGAATTGAACAAAATTGAATTGTAAAAATCCATATAAAAGAGCAATGAAACCAAGGATTGGTTTTTTGAAAAAAGTAAACAAGATTGATATGATTCTAGCTAGATTAACAAAGATAAAAGTGAAGATCCAAATAAATACAATCAGAAATGACCAAGATGACATTACAACCAATCCCACAGAAATACAAAAGATTCTCAGAGAGTACTATGAAAATCCTATGCACACAAATTAGAAAATCTAGAGGAAATGGATAAATTCCTGGAAACATACAATCTCCCAGGACTGGATCAGGAAGATATTGAAACCCTGAATAGACCAATATCAAGCACTAATTAGGAATAAAAAACCTACCAACCAAAAAAAGTCTGGGACCAGATGGACTCAGAGCTGAATTCTATCAGATGTGCAAAGAAGAAATAGTACCAATCCTACTGAAACTATTCAAAAATATCAAGGAACAGGGGCTGCTCCCTAACTCATTCTATGATGCCAACATTAGCCTAATGCCAAAATCTGGCAAAGACACAATGAAAACAGAAAACTTCAGGCCAATATCCATGATAAACATAGATGCAAAAATCATTTACAAAATACTAGCAAACCGAAGCCAGCAGCACTTTACAAAGTTAATACACCGTGATCAAATAGACTTCATTCCTGGAATGCAAGGCTGGCTTAACAAATGTAAATACATAAATATGATTTACTACATAAAAGAATTAAGAGCAAAAAACCATATGATCATCTCAATAGACACAGAAAAAGCTTTTAATAAATTACAACATCTTTTCATGATAAAAACCTTCAACAGACTATGAGTCAAATAAACACGTTTTAAAATAATAAAAGCCATCTATGATAAATCCACATCCAACATGATACTGAATGTGCAAAAGTTGGAACCATTCCCCATTAGAACTGGAATAATACAAGTTTGCCCACTCTTATTACTCCTATCCAACATAGTACTGGGAGCCCTAGCCAGAGCAATCAGGCAAGATAAAGAAATAAAAGCATCCAAATAAGAAAAGAAAAAGTCAAACTCTTTCTTTTCACTGAAAATATGATTCTATACCTAGAAAACCCTAAATACTTTGCCAAAAGGCTCCTAGAATGGATAAACAATTTTAGTAAGGTTAAGGATACAAAATCAATGTACAAAACCAGCAGCATTTCTATACACCAGTAATATCCAGGCTAAGAGTCAAATCAAGAACACAATATATTTACAATAGTCATGAGGAAAATATAATACCTATGAATACAGCTAACCAAGGCAGTGAAAGATATCCACAAGGAAAACTACCAAACAATGCTGAAAGAAATCAGAGACAACACAAATAAATGAAAAAAAATTCCATGCTCCTGGATAGGAAGAATCAATATCATTAAAATGGCCAATTTTACTGCCAGTGGCCAATGAACTGCCCAAAACAATGTACAGATTCAATGCTGTCTTTATCAAACTACCAATGTCATTCTTCACAGAATTAGAAAAAAAAGAAACTATTTTAAAATTCATGTGGAACCAAAAAAGAGCCTAAATAACAAAGACAATCTTAAGCAAAAAGAATAAAGTCAGAGGAATCACACCACCTGACTTCAAGCTATACTATAAAGTAACCCAAACAGCATAGTACTGGTACAAAAACAGACACATAGACCAGTGGAACAGAATGGAAAACTCAGAAATAAAGCTGCATACTTAGAGCCATCTTCTCTTTAACAAGGCCCACAAAAGCAATCAATGGGGAAAGGACTCTCTATTCAACAAATGGTGCTGGGATAACTGGCTAGCCATGTGTGGAAGAATGAAACTGGACCCTTACCTTTTACCATATACAAAAATTAACTCAAGATGAATTAAAGATTTAAATGTCAGACCTCAAACCTTAAAAATCCTAGAAGAGAACCCGGGGTGTACCCTTTTAAGCATAAGCCTTGGCAAAGAATTTTTGTCTAAGTCCTCAAAAGTAATTGCAACAAAAACAAAAATTGACAAGTGGAACCTAATTAAGGAGTTCTGCACAGCAAAAGAAACTATTAATAGAGTAAACAGACGACCTGTAGGATGAGAGAAAATATTCACAAACTATGCATCTGACAAAGATGTAATATCTAGAATCTATAAGAAACATAAACAAATCAACAAGCAAAAACCAAATTATCCCATTAAAAAATGGGCAAAGTGTGTGAAAAGACACTTTCCTGAAGAAGACAAGTGGCCTGCAAACATGAAAAAATACTCATCATCACCAATCATCAGAGAAATGCAAGTCAAAACCCACAATGAGATACTATCTCATACCAGTCAGAATGGCTATTATTAAAAAGTCAAAAAACAACAAATGTTGGTGAAGCTGCAGAGAAAAAGGAACACTTATTCACTTTTGGTGGAAATGCAAATTAGTTCAGCTCTTACGGAGAGCAGTTTGGAGATTTCTTGAAGAACTTAAAACAGAACTACCATTTGACCCAACAATCCCCTTACTGAGTATATAACCTGTTGTTCACATTGAACAACTTCAATGTGAGTTGTTCTCACATTGCTATAAAGAATGACCTGAGACTGAGTAATTTATAAACAAAAGAGGTTTAATCAGCTCATGGTTCTGCAGGCTGTACAGGAAGCATGGCTGAGGAGGCCTCAGGAAACTTACAATCATGGCAGGAGGCAAAGAGGAAAGAGGTACGTCTTACATGACTGGAGAAGGGGGAAGAGAGCACAGGGGGAGGAGATACATACTTTAAAAAAATACAGATCTCATGAGAGCTCACTCACTATCTCACTGTCATGAGAACAAGGGGGAAGTTTGCCCCCTTTTCCAACATTGAGGATTGCAATTCAACATGAGATTTGGGCAGGGACACAAATTCAAATCACATCATAACCCAAAGAAAAATAGATCATTATACGGAAAAGACACAGGCAATTGTATGTTCATTACCACACTATTCACAATAGCAAAGATATGAAGTCAACCTAGGTACCCACAAATGATGGATTAGATAAAGAAAATGTGATATTTATACAGCATGGACTACAACACAGCCATAAAACGAATGAAATCATGCCCTTTGCAGCAACATGGATGAACCTGGAAGCCATAATCCTAAGTGAATTGATACAGGAACAGAAAATCAAATACCACAGATTCTCACTTATAAGTAGGAGCTAATCATTGAGCACACACATGGACACAAACATGGGAACAACAGACACTGTGGACTACTAGAAGGGGGAGGGTTGGAAACTACCTATTGGGTACACTGTGGACTACTGGTTGGGGAGGGTTTGAAAAACTGCCTAATGGGTACTATGCTTACTACCTGGATGCAATATTTAACAATACGTAACAAACCTGCAAATGTAACCCCTGTATCTGAAATATAAATTGAATTAAAAAATAAAAATAAAAGTCATTGCCATACCCAAGGTTATCTAGATTTTTCTCTTATATTATCTCATGGTAGTTTTGTAGTTTTGCATTTTACATTTAGGTCTGTAATGTATATTGAGTTAATTTTTGTGACGGGTATAAGGTTTTCGTCTGGATTGCTTTTCTTGTTTTTTAATATTGATGTTCAGCTGTTCTATCATAGCACCATTTGTTGAAAAGATTATCTTTTCTTCAATTTATTGCCTTTTCTACTTTGTCAAAGGCCAGTTGACTATATTTATATAGGTCTAGTTTTGTTTCCTATTCTGTTTCCTTGATCTATTTACCTATTCTCTAACCAATATCGCACTGTTTTGGTTACTGTAGCTTTATGGTAAGTCTTTAAGTCAGATTGTGACAGTTCTCTGACTTTGTTCTTTTTCTTCAATCTTGTTTGGTTATTTTGGTGTTTTGAATCTCAAAAGAAACTTTAGAACTAGTTTGACAATATCTACAAAATAATTTTTTAGAATTTTGATTGGGATTGCATTGAATCTGTAGATCAAGTTGGGGAGAATGAACATTTTGACAATATTGAGTTTTCTATCCATGAGCATGACATATCTCTCTATTTATTTAGTTCTTTGATTTCTTCCATTAGAGTTTTGTAGTTTTCTTTATACAGATTCTGTACATATTTTGTTATGTTTATGCCTAAGTGTTTCACTTTTGGGGATGCCAATGCAAATAATAGTATGTTTTAAATTTCAAATTCCACTTGTTCATTGCTGATATGTTAGAAAGCAATTAACTTTTGTATATTAACCTTGCATCCCATAACCTGGCTGTAATTGCTTATTAGTTCCCGGAGATTTTTTTCTGATGAATTCTTTAGGATTTTCTACATATACAATCATGTCACTGGTAAACCGAGACAGTTTTATGTTTTCCTTCCCAATTAGCATAACATTTTTTCCTTTTCTTGTCTTACTGAATTAGCTAGGACTTCCAGTATAATGTTTTAAAGGAGTAGTAAGAGGAAATCTTCCTGTGTTGTTTCTGATCTTTTTGGGAAAACTTCTCCTTTTCCCCATTAAGTATTAATATGATGTTAGCTGTACATTTTTTGTAGGTGTTCTTTATCCAATTGAAGAAGTTCTCTTTATTCCTACTTTGCTGAGGGTTTTTATCATCAATGAGTGTTCAATTTTGTCAAATGCTATTTATATGTTTATTAAAATGATGATGTGATTTTCTCCTTGAGGCTATTGATGTGATAGATTACATTAATTAATTATTGAATGTTGAACTAGCCTTGCATTCCTAGAATAAATTCCACTTGGTTATGGTATATAATTCTTTTCATAAATTGTTGGATTCAATTTGCTATTTACTTTGAGGATTTTTGCATCTTTATGAGGATATTGGTCTGTGGTTTTTTTGTGATATCTTTGGTTTTAATATCAGAGTAATGCTGACCTCATAACATGAGTTAGGAATTGTTCCCTCTGCTTCTATATTCTGGCAGTTATTGAATTGATATAATTTCTCTTAAATGTTTGTTAGAATTTGCTAACAAATCCATCTGGGCAAGAGACTTTCTGTTTGGGATGGTTACTAGTTACTGATTCAATTTCTTTAATTGATAAAGGCCCATTCAGGCTGTCTGTTTTTTCCTGTGAGAATTTTGGCAGATTGTGTATTTTAAGGAATTGGTTCATTTCATCTAGATTATCAATTTTGGGGGACATAGAGTTGTTAATAATATTCCTTTATTATCTTTTTAGTGTCCATGAGATCTGTGATTATGTCTCCTTTTTCATTTCCAATCTTAGTTATTTGTGTCTTCTCTTTTTATTCTTAGTCTGGCTGGAGGTTTGTTGATTTTGCTGATCTTTTCAAAGAACCAACATTTGCTTTCATTGATTTTTCTTCACTGATTTTCTGTCTTTAATTTATTAATTTTTGCTGTAATTTTTATTATTTTTTTTCATCTGCTTGCTTTGGAATTGATTTGCCTTGTTTTCTGGTTTCCTATGGTAGAAGCTTAGATTATTGATTTGAAATATTTATTATTTTCTAACATATACATTTTAATGTTAGAAAATTTTCAAAGCACTGATTTGCTGCATCCACAAAGTTTGATAATTATATGTTTATTTTCATTTAGTTCAAAATGTTTTGAAGTTTTCCTTGAGATTTATTTTTTGATCTATGATGTCTTAGTCCATTTTGTGTTGCTATAAATAAAGAGGATGGGTAATTTATGAAGAAAAGACATTTATTTAGTTCATGTTTCTTCAGGCTGTACAAGAAGTATAGCGTTCATATCTATTGGATTCTGGTGAGGGCTTCAAGCTGTTTCAACTCATGATAGGAGGTGAAAGAGAGCCAGTGTGTGTAGAGATTACATGGCAGGAGAGGAAGAAAAGGATGGGGGGATGTGCCAGGCTCTTTTTTAATGCCAAGCTCTTGTAGGAACTATTAGAGTGAGAACTCACTCACTCTCAATGGATTGTATTAATCTATTCATGAGGGATCTGCCCCCATGACCAAATATCCTCCCTTAAGTCCCACTTCTAACGTTGGGAATTTATTAATCTGTTTTCATGCTACTAATAAAGACATACCTGAGACTGGGCAATTTACAACAGAGAGAGGCTTAATAGACTTATAGTTTCATGTGGCTGGGGAAGCCTCAAATTGTGGCAGAAGGCAAGGAGGAACAAGTCACATCTTACATGGTGGCAGAGAAGAGAAGAGCTTATGCAGGAAAACTCCTGTTTTTGAAACCATCATATCTCGTGAGACTCATTCACTATCATGATAACAGCATAGGAAAGATCTACCCCCATAATTCAATCACCTCCCACTGTGTTCCTCCCATGACATGTGGGAATTGTGGAAGTTAGAATTCAAGATGAGATTTGGGTGTGGACACAGCCAAACCATACCATTTCATCCCTGGTTCCTCCCAAATCTCATGTCCTCACGTTTCAAAACCAATCATGCATTCCCAACAGCCCCTCAAAGTCTTAACTCACTTCAGCGTTAACTCAAAAATCCACAGTCCAACATCTTATCTGAGACAAGGCAGGTTTCTTCTGCCTATGAGTCTGTAGAATCAAAAGCAAGTTAGTTACTTCCTAGATGCAATGGGGGGTACAGGAATTGGGTAAATACAGCCATCCCAAATGGGAGAAATTGGCCAAAAACAAAAGGGCTACAGTCTGAAATATGCCAGGGCAGTCAAATCTTAAAGCTCCAAAATGATCTCCTTTGACTCCATGTCTTGCATCTGGGTCACACTGATGCAAGAGGTGGGCTCCCATCATCTTGGGCAGCTCCACCTCTGTGGCTTTGGAGGGTACAGGCTCCCTCCTGGATGCTTTCATGGGTTGACACTGAGTGTCTGCAGCTTTTCCAGGAGCATGGTGCAAGGTGTTGGTGGATCTATAATTCTGGGGTTTGGAGGACAGTGGCCCTCTTCTCACAGCTCCCCTAGGTGGTGCCCCAGTAGGAACTCTGTGTGAGGGCTCCAACCCTACATTTCCCTTCTGCAGTCCCCTAGTAGAGGTTCTCCATGAGGGCCCTGCCCCTGCAGCAAACCTTTGTTGAGGCATCCAGGCATTTGCATACATCTTCTGAAATCTAGGGGGAGGTTCCCAAATCTCAATTCTTGACTTTTATGTACCTTCAGGCTCAACACCATGTGGAAGCTGCCAGGCTTGGCACTTCCCCCATCTGAAGCAATAGCCCAAGCCGTACCTTGGTCCCTTTTAGTCATGGCTGGAGCAGCTGAGATGCAGGGCACCAAGTCCCTAGACTGCCCACAGCAGAGGGATTCTGAGCCTGGCCAACAAAACCATTTTTTCCTCCTAGACCTCTGGGTCTGTGATGGGAGGGGCTGATGTGAAGACCTCTGACATGCCCTGGAGACATTTTCCCCATTGTGTGGGGGATTAACATTTGGCTCCTGTTACTTATGCAAATCTCTGCAGCCAGCTTGAATTTCTCCTCAGAAACTGGGATTTTCTTTTCTATCACATTGTCAGGCTGCAAATTTCTCAAACTTTTTTACTCTGTTTTCCTTTCAAAACTGAGTGCCTTTAACAGCACTCAAGTCATCTCTTGAATGCTTTGCTGCTTAGAAATTTCTTCCACCAGATACCCTAACTTATCTCTCTCAAGTTCAAAGTTCCACAAGTCTCTAAGTCAGGGGCAAAATATCACCAGCCTCTTTTCTAAAACATAACAAGACTCACCTTTGTTTCAGTTCCCAACAAGTTCCTCATTTTCATCTGAGACCACCTTAGCCTGGACCTTATTATCCATGTTGCTATCAGCATTTTTGTCAAAGCCATTCAACAAGTCTCTAGGGAGTTCCAAACTTTCCCACATTTTTCTATCTTCTTCTGAGCCCTCCAAACTGTTCCAACCTTTGCCTGTTAACCAGTTCCAAAGTTGCTTCCACATTTTCAGGTATCTACTGCAGCACCCTACTCCTGGTACCAATTTACTGTATTAGTCTGTTCTCACACTGCTGATAAAGACATATCCGAGACTGGGCAATTTACAAAAGAAAGAGGCTTAATGGACTTACATTTCCACATGGCTGGGAGGCCTCACAATCATGGCAGAAGGCAAGGAGGAACAAATCATGTCTTACATGGCAGCAGACAAGAGAGGACCTTGTGCAGGGAAATTCCCATTTTTAAAACCATCAGATCTCATGAGACTCATTCACTATCATACGAACAGTGCAGGAAAGATCTGCCCCCATATTTCAATCACTTCCCACTGGGTTCCTCCCATGACATGTGGGAATTGTGGGAGTTACAATTCAAGATGAGATTTGGGTGGGGAGACAACAAAACCATATCAGGGATCAAATTTCACCATGAGGTTTAGGGGAGGACAGACATCCAAACTATAGCAAATATGTCATGTAGAAGTGAGTAATTTAATATCCAAAGATTTTGGAAGTTTTTGGCTATCTTTCTGTTATTTATTTCCAGGTTAATTCTATTGTGCTCTGATAACAGATATTGTATAATTTCTATTCCTTTAAATTTGTTAATGTGTGTGCTTTACAGTTCAGAGTTTCCTCTAGCTTTATGAATGTTTCACTTGAGTTTGAGAATAATGTGTAATCTGCTGTTGTTGGATGACATAGTCTATAGATGTTGATTATATCTAGTTGATTTATGGTGCTGTTGAGTTCAACTATTTCCTCACTAATTTTTCTGCCTGCTGGAAGTATCTATTTCTGATAGGGGGCACTGAAGTATCCTGCTATAATAGTGGATTCATATATCTCTCTTTATTATTCGGTCAGTTTTTGCCTCGCATATTTTGATGTTTTGTTGTTGAGTTCATAAACATTAAAGATTGTTGTGTTGTCTTGGAGAATTGAACCCTTTTTAATTATGTAATGTCAATGTTTATTGTTGATAATTCTTGCTCTGAAGTCTTCTCTGTCTGAAATTATTGTCTTCTTTTGTGTTTAGCTGCAGTTTTGTAGGTTTTCTTTTTTCTTTTTGTAGTAACATGTTTATTTTCTCATTTTATTTTGTGTAACACTGTAATTTGAATTTATAGCAGCGTAATTTCAGTAACATGCAAAATTTCTGCTTCCCATTTTCTTTCGATTAGTTTTACCAAGATATATGTTTCTTCATCCCTTTACTTTTAAAGTATATGTTTCTTTGTATTTGAAGTACGTTTCTTATAAACAACATATAAATGGATCTCGCATTTTGATCTGCTCTAGTCCAATCTTGGTCTCTTAAATGGTACATTTAGGCCTGTCACATTTAAAGTGATTATTTATATATTTGGATTCATAAATACTATATTTGTTACTGTTTGCTATTCATTGAGTTTGTAATATATATTTACAACTAATCCAAGTCCACTTTCAAATAACACTATATATCTTCACAGTAGCGCAAGTTCATCATAATATTAACAAAATAATTCTAGTTCCTCCCTTCTCTCTCTTATTGCTGTAATTTATTTCATACATAAGTATATATATATGCTACACATAATCAAATACATTGCTGCTATCATTATTTTGAACAAACTGTTGTCTCTTAGATCAATTAAGAATAAGAAAAATAAAAGTTTTCATTTTGCCTTCACTTATTTCTTCTCCAATCTACTTTTTTTCTTTACTTGGATCTAGGTTTTTGGCTTATATTATTTTCCTTCTCTCTGAAGAACTTTTTAAAACATTTGTTGCAAGGCAGAAGAACTACAAAAATTTCCTCTGTTTAAATTTTGTTTGAGGAAGTCTTTATTTCTCCTTCATTTTTGAAATGTTATTTTTCAGGGTACAGAATTTTAGGTTGGTGTTTTTTTTATCTCAAAGCTTTAAACGTTACACTGCATCCTCTTCTCATTTGCATGCTATCTTAATCTGTTTGAGCTTCTATAACAAACTACCACAGACTGTGTGGTTTACAAACAACAGACATTTATTCCTGACAATTTTGAAGGCTGGAAGGTCCAACATCAAGGCACTGGTGGATATGGAGTTAGGTGAAGGCCTATTTCCCTCTTAGACAGCCATCTTCTCACTGTTACTTCACATGGCAGATGAGGTGAGAGATCTCTCTGTTTGTTTGTTTGTTTGTTTGTTTATTTATTTATTTTAAATAAGGGCACTATTCACCTTCACAAGACTTCTGCCCTTGTGACCTAATCATCTCCCAGAGGCCCCACCTCCTGGTAACATTACTTAACGGGTTACTATGTCAACATGAATTTTGAAGGAACATAAACATTCAACCCATTGCACATGCTTTCTGAGAGGTTGAACTGAATTTTTATCTTTGCTTTTATATTATAGGTAAGGTGTTTTTCCCCTCTGGCTTCTTTCAAGAATTTTTCTTTAATTTTCTACAGTTTGTATATGATATGTCTGGGTTTAGTTTTTTGGCATTTATCTTGGCTGGGTGTTCTTCGAGTTTCCTAGATTGGTGATTTGGTCATGCCGTTAATTTGGGGGAAATTTTCGGTTGTTTTTTTCTCAAATATTTCTTTTGTTCCCTTTAATCTTTCTTCTGCTGGTATTCCCTTTACATTTATGTTACACCTTTTGTAGTTGTTTCACAATTCTTGGATATTCTGATCTCTTTTTCCCATTCCTTTTTTTTCTTTACTTTTCAGTTTTGGAAGCTTTTATTAATATATTTTCAAAGCTCAGAGATTCTTTTTGCAACTATGTTCAATCTACAAATGAGCTCATCAAAGACATTCTTCATTTCCATTAGAGTGCCTTAGTCGCTAGCATTTCTTTTTGATTATGTCTTAGAATCTCTATCTCTTTACTTATATTACCCATCTGTTCTTATATGTTATTTACTTTTTCTGTTAGCATATTAATCATAGTTGTTTTAAATTCCTGCTAACCCCAACATCTCTGCCATATGTGAGTCTAGTTCTGGTGCTTGCTCTATCTCTTTAATCTGTGCCTTTTGCCTTTTAGTATGCTTTATAATTTTTGTTGAAAGCCAGACAGAATGTATTACATAAATTGTACTCCAGTAAATAGGCCTTCAGTGGCTATGGTAAGGTGTGAAGAAAGGCATTTTATAGTCTTATAATTAGGTCTCACTTTCTTAGTAAGCCTATGCCCCTGTGCTGTCAACTCCATCAGTGCTTCTTAATCCTCCTCCGACCCCTTTAAATAAGAAAGGATAACTAGAATGGGCTAGAATTGGGTATTTTTCTTTACCCTGGTCAATTAGGCTTTGATAAAACACAAGAGGTTAGGCTTTAGTAAAATAGTTTCTCTTGAAGGCAGTTCTTGTTACAGACAGAATGCTTTGGTGTCTTTCAAAATACTTTTTATTCCTCTCCTGCCAGTGAAAGCATAAGGGGATTTTTCTCTGATATTTACCACGAGAACCTGATCAAGCTCCTGGAGGGAAACTCACAAAAGTGTGGGCACCTACAATGTCTAGGCCTCCTTGTAGTTTTTAATCTCTCAGATATGTTCATACTAAGCCTCCACCAATTTGTCAGTGACAGTGTAGGTTTTTCTACCGTTACTTGTCCCTAGGGGAAGTTTCTGCTTGTGGGTTTCTGCTCCAGTATATTGTAATTCTCCCTGTCTCTCTGTCCAATTTTTGTAAAAGCCATTTGTTCTGTGATCTCACTTGTATGATGAATCTAAGAATAATTATTGATTTTCTGTTTGCTTAGCTTTTCATTTGTTGTCAGAATGGAGCAACAACTTCCAATTTCCTTACATACTGAACTGGAAGCTAGAAGTCTCATATTACCCTTTAATATTAGTTTAATTCTAGGTATTTAATACTTCAAAATTGCAATTTTAAATTGGATCTTTTCCATCATTTCATATGCCAATTAGTGTTACATAGAAGCTATGTTTTCTTTGTATTAATTTCATTCAGTCATTTTGCTACATTATTTTATTATTGTAAATAATTTTTTGGTGGATTCTCTTGGTTTTCCAGATATACAGTCATGCTGGGTCACCACTGGGTCATCACAGTGTACAACCAGAATACAATGGCAATAGTGGCTTCTGAGTTTTGCAACATGATGGATATATAATAGTATTCCTTATCTAAAATGCTTGGGATCAGATTTGTTTTGAATTTTGGATTTTGGATATTTGCATATACATGATGGGATACGTTGGGGGATAGGACCCAAGTCTAAACATAAGATTCATTTATGTTTTATATATACCCTATACACATAGGCTACAGTTAATTTTGTATACTATTGAAAATAATTTTGTGCATGGAACCAAGTTTGTAAACATTGAACTGTGAGAAAGCAAAGGTATCAGGTGTGAAAATTTCCACTTGTGGCATTATGTTGATGCTCAAAAAGTTTTGGATTTTAAGTATTTTGGATTTTGAATGTTCAGATTAAGGATGCTCAACATATATATATTATATATATTATATATATATATTCTGTTAAAGATAGCTTGAATTCTTCTTGTTAATGTTTTAAAAAATTTAAGTAGAAGTGATTTTTTTTTTTTAGCACAGATGATACTTGAGGTTATCAGTGTCATTGTGGTTACAAGGAAGAGCAAGTGTATAGATAGAGAAGGCAAGAAAAATAGATTAAACTTGAGGAAACACCAGAATTTAGAGGGGAGGAGAATAAAGGTCATAGGGATGCAGTAAAAAGAGCATCCAAAGGAAAATATAACTGCCTGATAGTGATTTAGTCATAGGGATGCAGTAAAAAGAGCATCCAAGGGAAGATATAACTGCCTGATAGTGATTTAAAGTGCTAAAAATGTAAGTTATTTGTGCTTAAGCAGAAGTTCCAGTGACCAGTAGGGGTAACAAAGTCAGGATACCACTTCTTTGGTTTGGAAGAATAATATGTATTGGCTCTGTAGAATTGCAGTAGAATTTATAAATGATGTATGAAATAAAAAAGTATCTGTTATTTGCTGCAACGTTGCATTCGAAAGCAATCGGACAGGTCTACTGAGCTCAAGGCCCAAGATGAAGTAAAATGAAATTATTCTCTTCACTTTCTGAAACACTGAACCATTTCTTGTTTACCTAATGTTTCACAAAATTGAATCTGTTACTCTCTAGAGATACCTCACATCAGTTCTATGTTACCAACAACACAAAAGTGATTCTCAGTTGTCTAACATTTTCTCAGAAATATTTCTATATAATGCATATTTCAGCAATGCTTTTGAAAAGAAATGGTCAGTTTACTCAATTGGAAAGTGCAGATGGAAGTGGCAGAATAATTGCATCACAAGTGAGATCTTGCATATTTTGGAACTGCATAAACATGTAAAATAAATTGAGTAAAGAATCCAGAGAGTAGCTTAGTTTCCTTTGAGAAATTTTCCGTTACCTATCTTCCATTTCTCTTGTTAATTCAAATTTAACTACCTATGGATTTTTTTCATTATTTTAGAGATTTTTTGACATGTAATATAAATTTAGGGCATTATTCTTTGAACTTATTCTTCTACCTAATTATAGGACTATTGGTGGTTCCGCTAGGAGTTGATCTGCAAAAGTCTAGGTTCATAAACTTTTTTTTTTTTGATGGAAAGAGAAGAGGACAGATGAAGCAGCGAGGCACAGAGGCTGCAGAAATGAAGAAACATGAATAATGTTGAAGACAGCTGTCTCTATTCATTAGTCAACTCCAAGGATTTCTACCTGAACTATAGGAAGAAAAGTGCTGCTGGAAGCAACTCTTTTTATGAAACATTCTTTGAGATTTGGGAACAGACATCATGGATTTGGTGCCCAGAAGATATTTTTGGTAAAATGCCTTAGCTAGGTGTCTAAGAGAAAGCTCTGGAGACATCTTCCTTGAGTTTAAATCCCAGATCTGCACATTTCTAGCTTTGTGACTATGGACAAATTACTTTCCAAGCTTCAGTTTCCCATCTGTATTAGTTCTTTAGCTGCCATAACAAATCACCACAAACTTGGTGGTTTAAATAACAGAAATTTATTGTTTCATAATTCTGGCCTCCAGAATTCTAATATCAAGATGTCAGCAGGGCCATGCTCCCTTTGGAGGCTCTGAGTGAGAATTTGTTTCTTGCCTTTTCTAGCTTCTGGGGTGACTGCTGATTGGAGGTCCTTGGCTTGTGACTGCATCACTCCAATCTTTTCCTTTGTCTTCACATTCTTTGCTCCCTCTCTCTTTCTCTCTGTGAAATTTCCCTCTGCCTCTCTCTTAAAAAAGAGATATCTGTGATTTGATTTAGGACCTACACAAATAATCTAGGATAATCTTCCCATGAAGTTAAGATCCTTGGCTTAATCACATGTACAAATATTCTTTTTCTTTATGAAGATAATATTTACAGGTTTTGAAGCTGACCCGAATAGTCCCATAGATAGTTTTTTTTTTTTTTTTTTTGATAAATATTAGAGGTTGACCCTTCTGGTCTTAAAGGTTGAAACTTACATTTGTTTTAACTGAGTTCCTTCCTCAGGAAACCTTCAGGCCTCTCAAAGTGTCAAAGAACTGAAACTCACCAGATCATCACATCCAGACAATGAGATGCCAGACCCCTCATTCATCGTGATTGCTTCTTTTCCCCTCCCTAATTCTTGTTTCTTGTACACTGTTGCATTTCTTTTCTGCTATATAAACCCCTAGTTTTAGTCAGGGAGGTGGATTTGAGACTGAGCTCCTATCTCCTTGACCACAGCACCCAATTAAAGCCTTCTTTCTTGGCAATAATTGTCATCTCAGTCATTGACTTTCTGTGTGGTGAACCCCAGGACCTAGACTGAATCCCTTGTGTTTTGGTCACAGTTTTTGAAATTAAGACCTGATACCTGATATCTTTGAATGGCTGTTATTCAGCCTACTACAACATCCAATATAATGGTGATAATAACAATGCCTACCTTGTAGCCTTGTGATGATAAAGGAGAAAATGCAGATAAAGTATTTAGCATAGTTCCTGGTATACTATAAACATTAATATGTGTCAGATGTGCTTCCTTACTAAGCTGTAAATGCGTTATGAGCAGTTACCATGACCCTATTTTCAAACCACTGTTGCCCTAGTGGCCAGAACAGTGCCATTATAATAAATATTTGTGAAAAGAAGTGTGATAAAAAGGAATATTTTCCCCAAATTTATTTGCTCAAAAATGTGGCATGGGTGCACGAGGAATCTTGAGGAAATAGAAACGCTTGTAGAGATAGTGTTTGCAGCATTGAAGCATTAGGAGATAGTGTTTCTGAGTGGAATATAAATGTCATCAAGTGTGTACCACATGATTGGCAGTGGTGAGGAGGCCATCTCCAAGAGGTCTGGAGCAGATCAAGGCAGACACCATTTGATAGCGGATAGAACTGATTATGAACTCATATGAGATACCACAGAAGTTTTCCCAGAATACCTAAGTAAGTGAGATTTTGCTGAGATCTGGAACTCATGTGTTATGAGCAAGATGCTAAGAAAGGTCTAACCAATTAAATAAGCATGGCTGAATCTTTGTTAAATGAGTATATCTGGATTCTAACTTTCATCTTATTTCTATTGTTTTATTTCCCCCAGATTTATTTATTTGTAAAATTAACATATAAAATAATATGTATTTATCTGTGTATGCATGATGTTTTGAAGTATATATACATTATAGAATGGTTAAATCTAGCTAATTAATGAATGTATTACCTCACATAGTTATCATTTTTGTGGGTGAGAACACAACATCTACCTTCTTAACATTTTTGAAAAATACAATATATCATCAGTAATGATAGTCACCATGCTGTGCAATAGATCTCTGGCACTTATTCTTTTTATCTGACTATAAATACGTATTCTTTGACCAACATTTCTGCACCTTCCCCTCCCCCCAGCCAAGCCTAGCTGTTCATAACCAGCATTCTACTCTCTTCTTCTATAAGATCAGCTTTTTTATATTCCACATATGAGTGAGATCATGTGATATTTGTCTTTCTGTATCTGGCTTGTTTCACTTAACATAATGCTCTCTAGATTCATCCATGCTGTCACAATTATTATGGTTTCCTTCTTTATTATGGCTGAATGGTATTCCATTATGTATAAATACCACATTTTATCTATTCATTCATTGATGGACACTTAAGTTGACACCATATCTTGGCTATTGTCGATAGTGTTGCAATAAATATGGGAGTACAGATATCTCTTTGATATACTGATTTCATATCATTTGAATATATACCCAGTAGTGGGATTGTTGGATCATATGGTAGTTCTATTTTTAATTTTTTGAAGAATCTCTATACTTTTTTACATAATAGCTGTGCTAATCTACATTCCCACTAGCAGTGTACATGGGCTCTCTTTTCTTGACATCCTTGCCAATGCTTGTTATCTTCTATCATTTTGATAACAGCCATTCTAATAGGTTTTAGGTGATAGATTTTAATTTTAATTTGCATTTCCTGATGATTAGTGAAATTGAGTATTTTTAAATATACCTGTTGGCCATTTGTATGTTGCCTTTTGAGAATTTTATATTGAGATATTTTGGCCATTTTAAAATTGGATTATAATAATAGTAATTATTATTTTTTGCTGTTTAGTGGTTTGAACTCCTTTTCTATTCTGGTTGTCAATTTCTTGTCAGATGGATAGATTCCAAATATCTTATCCGATTCTGCATGTTGTTTCTTCATTCTGTTGACTGTTTCCTTGGCTGTGCAATAGATTTTTACTTTGATGTAATCCTATTTGTCTATTTTTGCTTTTGTTGCCTGTGTTGTAAGGGTCATATTTTAAAAAAATCTTCACCCACACTATATTAGGGTTCTCTAGAGGGACAGCACTAATAGGATAGATGTATATATGAAGGGGAGTTTATTTATTTATTTGTTTATTTTTTTAATTTTATTATTATTATACTTTAAGTTTTAGGGTACATGTGCACAACATGCAGGTTTGTTACATATGTATACATGTGCCATGTTGGTGTGCTGCACCCATTAACTCATCATTTAGCATTAGGTATATCTCCTAATGCTACCTCTCCCCCCTACCCCCACCCCACAACAGCCCCTGGTGTGTGATGTTCCCCTTCCTGTGTCCATGTGTTCTCACTGTTCAATTCCCACCTATGAGTGAGAACATGCGGTGTTTGGTTTTTTGTCCTTGCGATTGTTTGCTGAGAATGATGGTTTCCAGTTTGAACCATGTCCCTACAAAGGACATGACCTCATCATTTTTTATGGCTGCATAGTATTCCATGGTGTATATGTGCCACATTTTTATTAAGGAGTACTGACCCACACAATCACAGGGTGAAGTCCCACAGTAGGCTATCTGCAAGCTGAGGATCAGGAAAGTCAGTTTGAGTCCTAACCCCTCAAAATTAGAGAAGCCAACGATGCAGCCTTAAGTCTGTGGCTGAAGGCTGGAGAGCCCCTGGCAAACCACTGGTGTAAGTCCAAGAGTCCAAAGCTGAAGAACTTGGAGTCTGATGTTTGAGGGCAGGAAGCATTATGTCTGCTTTATTGTAGTTGTGCTGGCAGCTGATTAGATTGTGCCCACCCAGATTGAAGGTGGGTCTGCCTTTCTAAGTCCACTGACTCAAATGTTAATCTTCTTTGGCAACACCCTCACAGACATACCCAAGAACAATACTTCGCATCCTTCAATGCAATCAAGTCGACGTTCAATATTTACCATCATACACACTAATGTCATGGAGCTTTTTGCTTATGTTTTCTTCTACAGTTTTACTGTTTCAGGTCTTATATTTAGGTATTTAATCCATTTTGATTTGATTTTGTATGTGGTATGAGATAAGGGTCTAATTTCATTCTTCTGCATGTGGATATCCAGTTTTCCCAACACCATTTATTGAAAAGCCTGTCCTTTCTACATTGTGTGTACTTGGCATCTTTGTAAAATATCAACTGGCTGTAAATTAATGGATTTATTTCTGGGCTGCCTGTTCTATTCTACTGGTTTAAGTGTCTGTTTTTATGCCAGTAACATGCTGTTTTGTTTACAATTGCTTTGTAATATATTTCAAAGTAAAGGAGTATGATGCCTCCAGGTTTGTTCTTTTTACATAAGATTGCTTTGGCTATTTTGGGTCTTTTATGGTTTCATATAAATTTTAGGATTTTTTTTTACATTTCTGTGAAGAATATCATTGATATTTTGATGTGAATTGCATTGAATCTATAGATAGCTTTGGATAGTATAGACATTTTGAAAAGATTAATTTCAATCCACGAACACAAGATAGCCTTCCACTTACTGGTGTCTTCTTCAGTTTCTTTCATCAGTGTTTTATAGTTTTCAACATATCCTTGGTTAAATTTATTACCAAATATCTTATTATTTGTAGGTATTTTAAATGAGATTTTCTTGATTTCTTTTTTCAGATTGATTGCTCTTAGTATATAGAAATACTAATGATTTTTATGTGTTGATTTTGTATTCTCCAACTTTACTTATTCATTTATTAGTTCTAACAGTTTTTCTGGTAGAGTCTTTAGGGTTTTCTGTGTGTAAGATCATGTTATCTACAAACAGGGACAATTTAAGTTCTTCCTTTCCAATTTGAATATCTTTGATTTATTTCTCCTGCCTAATTACTCTGGGTAGAACTTCCAATACTGTATTGAATAAAAGTGGTGAGAGGGGCAACCTTATCTTACTCTATGTTTTAAAGGAAATGTTTTCAACTATTTCCTGTTCAGTATGATGTTACTTGTGGGTTTGTCATATACGGCCCTTATTGTGTTGAGGCACATTCCTTCTATACTTAATTTGTTGAGAGTTTTATCATAAAGGGATGTTAAATTTTGTCAAATGCCTTTTCTGCATCAGTTGAGATGCTCATATTGTTTTTGTTCTTGACTCTGTTAATGTGATGTATCACATTTATTGATTTGCATATGTTGAAACATCCTTTCATCCTTAGAATAAATCCTACTTGATAATGCTGAATGATCTTTTTAATGTATTGTTGAATTTGATTTGCTAGTATGTTGAAGATTTTTGCATCCATGTTCATCAGGGACGTTGGGTGGTAGTTTTCTTTTTTTGTTGAGTCTTTGTCTGGTTTTGGCATCAGGGTAATGCTGGCCTTGTAAAATGAATTTGGAAGTAATCTAATTTTTCAAAGAGCTAGAGGATAATTAGTATTATTTCTTTAAATGTTTGGTAGAATTGAACCATTACACCATCAGGTCCTGGGCTTCTCCTTGATGGGGGAATATTTATTACTGATTTAATAAATCTCCTTACTCATTATTGATGTTTTCAGATTTTCTATTTCTTCAAACTTCAATCTTGTTAGCTTACATGTGTCCAGGAATTTATCTGTTTCTTCTAGGTTTTACTTTGTATTTGTTGGCATATAATTGTTCATAATAGTTTATTATGGTTCTTTGCATTTCTGTGGTATTAGTTGTAATGCCTCCTTTTTTTTAAGCCTCTGATTTTATTTGAGCCTTCTCTCTTTTTTTTTACTTAGTTTAGCTAAAGGTTTGTCAGTTTTATCTTTTTAAAAAATCATCTCTTCATTTCATTAATATTTTATGTTGTTTTTCTAGTCTCTGTTTCATTTATTTCTGTTTTTACCATTATCATTTTCTTCCTTCTACTAATTTTGGGCTTTGTTTTTGTTTGTCTAGTTCCTGCAGGTGTAACATTAGGATGTTTGAGTACTTTCCTTTTTTGATGTAGATATTTAATAGTATAATTATTATAGTAATTATAATAATCCTTTTTTCTTATAATTGCTTTTGCTGTATCCCATAGGTTTTGGTATATTTTATTTCCATTTTCATTTGTCTCAAGAAAGTTTTAAATTTCCATTTTAATTTCTTTATTGACCCATTGATTGTTCAAAGCATGTTGTTTAATTTTGATGTATTTATGAATTTTCTGAAGTTCCTCCTGCTATTGATTTCTAGTTTTATATTATTGTGGTGAGAAAAGATACTTGATATAATTTTATTCCTTTTATATTTGTTAAGACTTGTCTTGTGACCTAATGTATAATCTATACTGGAGTATATGCCATGTGAAACTGAGAAACATATTAAACTGAGAAGGATGTATATTCTTCAGCTGTAGCTGTCTGCTGGGTCCATTTGATCTAGAGTACAGTTTAAGTCTGATGTTTCCTTGTTGATTTTCTGCCTGGATGATCTGTCTATTGCTGAAAGTGGGGTGTAAAAATTCTCTACCAATATTATATTGTAGTCTATTTCTCCCTTCAGATCTATTAAAATTTCCTTATACATTTAGGTGTTCCATGTTGGGTACATATATATTTATAACTGTTATGTCCTCTTGCTGAATTGACCCTTTTGTTTTTACATAGTGGCCTTCTTTGTTGCTTTTTATAGTTTTTAACTTAAACTTTATCTGACATAAATATAGCTACTTCTGCTCTATTTTGGTATCCATTTGTAATAAATATCTTTTTCCATTCCTTCACTTTCAGTCTATGTGTATTTGTATTAGTCTGTCTTCACACTGCTATAAAGAACTACCTGAGACTGGCTGGACACAGTGGCTCATGCCTGTAACCCCTGCACTTTGGGATGCTGAGGTGGGAAGATCACTTGAGGCCAGGAGTTTGAGACAAGCCTGGCCAACATGGTGAAACCTTGTCTCTACCAAAAATACAAATGTTAGCTGGGTGTGGTGGCGTATGCCTGTAGTCTCAGCTACTCAGGAGGCTGAGGCAGGAGAATCCCTTGAACTCAGGAGGTGGAGGTTGCCGTGAGCCAAGATTACACCACTGCACTCCAGCCTAGGAGACAGAGCAAGACTGTATCAAAAACAAACAAACAAAAAAAACTACATGAGACTGGGTAATTTATAAAGAAAAGAGGTTTAATTGACTCACAGTTCTGCATGGCTAGGGAGGCCCCAGGAAACTTACAATCGTGGCAGAAGGTGATGGGGAAGCAAGGCATATCTTACACAGTGGCAGGAGAGTGAGAGCATCGGGGGAAGTGCCACACTTAGAAACCATCAGATCTTTTGAGAACTCACTCACTATCAGGAGAACAGCATGAGGGAAATCTGCCTAATCTTGCTGATTATTTTTTAGGTTTTATTTTTGTAGATTCTTTCTTCCTTTCATCCTTTCTTACTGTCTTTCTTTGCAGTTAAGTGATTCTGAGAGGTGACAACATGCTAGCTGCCCTCGCTGGCTCTCGGTGCCCCCTTGGCCTCCGCGTCCGCTCTGGCCCGCTGGAGGAACCCTTCAGCCTGCAGCTGCGCTGTCGGGGACCCTCTCTGGGACTGGCTGAGGCCGGAGCCGGCTGCCTCTGCTCACCCGCAGGGGTGGAGGGGGAGGCGTGGGTGCAAGCCAGGGCTGCTTGAGGCACTTGTAGGCCAGCGTGGCTTCCGGGTGGTGGTGGGCTCCGCAGGCCCCACACTCCCTGTGGCTGGCCGGCGCCTGCGGGGCTTGATGGGGGGACGAGCTCCCTCTGGGCTGCTGGAGTGCCTGGGCTAGGTGCTGCAAAGTCCCCTGGTGAGTGCCATTGAGAGGTGAAGCCAGCTGGGCTTCTGGGTTGGGTGGGGACTTGGAGAACTTTTCTGTCTAGCTAAAGGATTGTAAACGCACCAATCAGCACTCTGTGTCTAGCTAGAGGTTTGTAAACACACCAATCAGCACTCTGTGTCTAGCTAAAGGTTTATAAACACACCAATCAGGGCTCTCTGTCTAGCTAAGCTGGTGGGGACTTGGAGAACTTTTCTGTCTAGCTAAAGGATTATAAATGCACCAATCAGCACTCTGTGTCTAGCTAAAGTTTGTAAATGCACCAATCAGTGCTCTGTCAAAACGTAGCAATCAGCTCTCTGTAAAAGGGACCAATCAGCTCTCTGTAAAATCGACCAATCAGCTCTCTATAAAATGGACCAATCAGCAGGATGTGGGTGGGGCCAGATAAGGCAATAAAAGCAGGTCACCAGAGCTAGCAGTGGCAACCTGGTGGGGTCCCCTTGCACACTGTGGAAGTTTTGTTCTTTTGCTCTTCACAATAAATCTTGCTGCTGCTCACTCTTTGAGTACACGCCACCTTCTCGAAGGTCTGCCCCTTTATTCTTGAGGCCAGTGAGACCACAAACCGACTGGGAGGGACGAACAACTCTGGATGGGAGGGACGAACAACTCCAGACGCACCACCTTTATGAACTGTAACACTCACAGTGAAGGTCTATAGCTTCACTCCTGAGGCCAGTGAGACCATGAACCCATCAGAAGGAAAGAACAACTCCAGACACACTGCCTTTAAGAGCTGTAACACTCACCACAAAGGTCTGCAGCTTCACTCCTGAAGTCAGCAAGACCACGAACCCACCAGAAGGAAGAAACTCCAGACACATCTGAACATCTGAAGGAACAAACTCTGGACACACCATCTTTAAGAACTGTAACACTCACTGTGAGGGTCCGTGGCTTCATTCTTGAAGTCAGCGAGACTAAGAACCCACCAATTCCAGACAAAATTCTTCTCTAATAATATGTTTTGATGCCTTGCTTTCTATTTCTTGTGCATCTATAACAGGTTTTAGTTTTGTAGTTAACATGAAGCTTACCAAAAACATCCTATTTTAAGCTGATAGCAATTTAACTGTGATAGAAAAAAATCCTGTACATTTTACTCCACTATCTCCTATTATGATTTTTTGATGTCACAATTTACTTTTTATACTTCATATTCTTTAACAAATTATTGTAATAATTTAAAAATAGTTGTCTTTCAAACTTGATATTGAAGATATAAGCATTTTACACAATATCTTTACAGTGTTAGAGTATTCTAAATTTGATTCTGTACTTTTACCAATGAGTTTTGTATTTTGAGATAAATATAAAAATAAATAGTGTTACTCATTACTATCCTTTTATTTTAGCTAGAAGAACTCCCTCAGCATTTCCTGTAATACAGGTCTGGTAGTGATGAACTCTTTCAGCTTTTGTTTGTCTGATAATCTTTTATCTCTCCTTCATTTTTGAATGACAGGTTTGCAGGATACAGTATTCTTAGTTGACAGTTTTCTTTTCCTTTTTTTTTTTTATTAGCACTTTGTATATGTCATCCCACTCCCTCCTGGCCTATAAGATTTCTGGCAAAAATCTTGCTTCTAGATGTATTGGAAGTCCTTTTTGTATTATTTGTTTCTTTTCTTTTGCTACTTTCAGGAACCTGTTTTTGTCTTTAATTTTTGACAGTTTGATGATAATATGTCTTGGGGATGTCTTATTTGGATTGGATCTGATTAATGTCCTTTGATGTTCCTATATAGGGATATTTATATTTCTCTCCATGCTTGAAAGGTTTTCTGTTATTGTTCTTTTTTTTGAGACACAGTCTCACTCTGTTGCCCAGGCTGGAGTATAGTGGTGCAATCTTGGCTCACTGCAAACTCCACCTCTCAGGTTCACACCATTCTCCTGCCTCAGCCTCCCGAGTAGCTGGGACTACAGGCACGTGCCACCACACCTGGTTACTTTTTTGTATTTTTAAATAGAGACAGGGTTTCACTGTGTTAGCCAGGATGGTCTCGATCTCCTGACCTCATGATCTGCCCGCCTCGGCCTCCCAAAGTGTTCTGCTATTATTCTTTAAGTAAGCTTTCTGTCCTTCTTTCTCTACTTCCTCTTTAACTCTAATGACTTGAACATTTTCATGTTATCCCATAAATCCTTTCCATGTTATCCCATAGATCCCAGAAGCCTGCTTCATTTTTTCATGCTTTTTACTTTTGGCTTTTCTGATTGAATAATTCCAATGTTGTGTCTTTAAGCTCACTGATGCTTCTTCTTGATCAAATCTGCTGTTGAAGCTTTCTACTGAAATTTTCAGTAGAGTTATTGTGTTATCTCTAGGATTTATAATTTTTATTGTTTCTATTTCTTTGTCAAACTTCCCATTTTGTTCATGAATTGATTTCCAAATTTTATTTAATTTTCTATCCATATTTCTTGCAGCTCCCTGAATTTCTTTAAAAGCATTATTTTAAATTATTTGTCAGTCATTTCATAGATCTTTTCTTATGGGTCTGTTATTGACCCTTTTATTTATTTTTATTTTTTTCAGTGGTGTCGTATGTCCCTGAATTTTAAATAATCCTTGTGTTCTTACGTTGATAAGTGTGCTTTTAAGGAGATGGCCACATTTCCTGTCCTTTGCATGTGTTCTTTGGTGGTGATAGACCTTTACTATTTAGTCTAGATTGGCCTTATGGTTGGACTGGCTGGTTGCAACCCTGGACAGGCAGATCTTAGTTGGGTTTTCTAGTTGGGCTGAGTCACTTCCTGTGCTCTGATATCAAACAGTGTTGCTGGCTGTGCTCTGTGGTCCAGTGAGACCACTGGCTGGGCTCTGTTATTAGGTGAGGCTTCTAGCTGGGCTCTGTAACCATCTCTGATTGGGTAGAGTTGCAGGTTGTCTTCCCTGGCTGGGAAGTACTGTTGTTTTGCCTCTGTGCAGTGTTTTCTATTGATACTGATGGTTAGTTTCTCTGATGTGATACCTCTGTTGGCTGGAACGCAGAGCAACTACCATGATTCATGCACTCGTTGGTATGAACCTCTTTTCTTTGTCTCCAACATACCCCCAGTTGTCTAGCCTGATGGCACTCCTGAACATTTCGCATGGGGTGAGGCAGAAGAAAGCCGCCTACAAGGGGTCCCAGAATAGTGAGAAAGCAGAATTCTTTCCCCAACTCACCTCTCCCACTGCAGAAACCATGAGCCTAAGGTAAACCTTTGTGTATAGCACCATGCTCATATGGGGGTGTGCGTGGGCAGCACAGTCAATAAAAACTATTCTTCTCACTGTCTGATTATGACTTTTCTCAATTCTGTGGTCCAAGGGGGTGTCTCTTAGCCTTACTTCTGAGTTCTGGTGCATTTATAATGGTCTTCTTCCCTGTGGATAATTGCTAGCTAGATTTCTGTGGGTGGGGAGTGAAGCTTGTGAACTCCTATTTTACTATCTTGCTGACATCACTTTCTGTTGTTTCTTTTTCTCTACTCATTTTTGTATCTAGAAGTTCTTACTTCTAATTGCAGTAATTTCTATTTCTTTTGTTGTATTAGTAGCCTTCATTTTCTTATACTATTTTTAAACTAGGGCAATAAATCTTTCATAAATGGTCACACTAAGCATTTGAATTGGTTAACTTAATCTGCTATTTATATATGGTTGCAAATTGATATCACACTAACAACTATAGCTGTAAAAATGAAACATGAATGTAGAAGTCCTTAATGGCAACAGCTTGAGGGTGAAAATATAATTAATTGTCCAAACCATGACACTTCCAAGAGTGAAAGGGAGCACTCTTAATAATTAACCTCGGACAGTCTTAGACAAATCAGGTTGAATGGTCACTCTATGTGACTGGCTGGTTGCAACCTCAATAGGCAGACCTTGCTGTTGGGTGCTCTAGTTGGGTTGGGTAACTTCCTGTGCTCTGAGGTTGAATGGTATTGCTGTCTGTGCTCCATGTTCTGATGAATAAAATAAAAAACGGGTAGGTTATCATAATATGGGCTCAAGAAGAAGTGTCAAAGGAGAATCATGTTGTTAAAAAATAAATTGGGCTATTAGGAAAGGCAGAATCTCGATAGATTAAAGACATGGTTAACTCTGTTTTTGTTGCCAATTATCACTCATCTGAGTTGCTAATTTCTGCTTTCTGTTCACCTGTTAGGACTTAATAACGGTTTATATTGTTGTCTTACTTGGGAAATGCTATTGCTGATACCATCTGGATGCCAGAGTTAGCTTGCCAAACTAATTGTTTCATCCACTTCTTGAACTGGGATTGTTGCCTGAATTACTGTGTAGTCTGATTCTAGGTTCTGGTCTTTCCAGCCGTGGCCACCTGTGTTATGAGATATGAAAGAAAACATTCACACATTCAAGAAGTAGCAACTTGGAACCTTTATATAGCAGCCTCATCTGATGACAGATTTCAGCTTGTGGTCTCACTGGACCATGAAGCATAGTCAGTAATACCATTTAGCCTCAGAGCACAGGAGGTCACCTAGTGCAAGTAGAGAACCATATAACAAGATCTTCCTGTTGAGGATGCAACCAGCTGGTCACATAGAGTGACCATTCAATCAGACTTGTTATAATATGGGCTCAAGAGGAAGCGTCAAAGGGAGAATCATGTTCTTAAAAAATAAAATGCATCATTAGGAAGGACAGAATCTCAATGGATTAAAGACATGGTAATGGTGGAGCCAACATGACTGGTTACTTGTATTAAAGCATAGCAATAAAAACTGAATGAGAAATGGAGATGTTTTTATGTGAGGCATGTGGAAGCTACGAACAATTTTTTCTATGATGTCATTTTTTCATCCTTCATAACTATGGGCCTCTCTTCATGCCACTAAGCAACACCCGTAGGTGTTGCTTTCTCCTTTTACTCTGTTTCTCTTACTTAGAAAAAATGAAAAATGAAAGTTTATTATTTTATTTTATTTATTAGATATCACTTTATGTTTCTTGTTAATTAAAAAAAATCAGTAAGTAGAATATTTGTTTCACTTTTTAACAAAGAGAACAAAAAGAGCTAAATTGAATTACTTTTAACTTATGTGGCCTTTGATTTTTTTCTTCTGTTCTTGTAGATCATAGGTTCTTTACTGGAGGGAACAAAGTTCTTTTTCTTGATTTAAGTATTTTAATTATACGTAGAACTTGATGTGGTTTATAGTTATTGTTGCTTTTAGCCAGTTGCCATCTGGATAAAGGGAGAAATATTAACATCTTAATTTTACTGACAAAAGAATTGGAGAACAGAGAAGATAAGCAATGTGTTCCAGATCAAACTGGGACAGTAAAATTAACATTAAAATTCAGTGATTTGAATTGTTATTCAGATTATTTTTCAAAATGTTTAAAAATATCAAAGTAAAGAAATTGTCTTAACAAATATTCATAAAACTGTCACTCGGTATCTTTTTATTAATATTTTGCAAGTTTGGGTAATATTTTTCTTTTTGTTTGAAAGAATACATATTTCTAATACAGTTGAAGTTCCGCTTGTACTCTTTCATGCTGGCATTCCCCTTCTTCCTTTCCCAGAGGTAATCATTTCTGAATTGGGTTTTAATAATATCAGATATTCTTTTATACTTCTAACTCATATATATTAGCTTACATATAATAAATAGCACTGTTCTTGTATTGAAAAGTCTTACAGTATGTATCATTTTGCAAACTGCTTTTAATCACCTGATCATCTTTTATTAATAAATATTTATGTTGCTGTATGTGCTTCAAGTTTATTGTAAGTGCAATTTCACATTTTATACATTGTATGAATATCCCATGATTTACAAATTCATTTTAGTCTAGTAATGAATATATAGGTTCATCTTTAGATTATATTTCATAGCATGCATTTATAATACTTACATGATTTCACTACAAATTGTTACAGGGGAACATATTCTATTCATGTTAACAGGAGTAAAACATTTCCTTTTTGAAGTTTTGTAACAAATGACCTATCTATAGTGTTTCTTAAGTATTTAAACATAGAGTTTCTGCTTCATTTAGAAACAAAGACTATCTCATGAAATGTATCTACACTGGTATGATATTTAGGAAGTAAAACTAAATATATAGATGAGTTTCATTTATATACTACATAGTAAAGTATGAATTCAATAAAGGTAGCTATTCCAGAACACTGTAGTGGAAAATAATAAAACATTTAGATTTTGGGCTATTTACTTTTGTTTTCTTTATTGCCCCAAATAGAAATATTATTGTTTCTGCTCATGACAGAAAATCAGGGAAATTAGAGAGAATACTTAAGTAAATTATGCTACATTTATTCACAAGATGGGATATTTTGCAGGCAATAAAATGATGCTTAACAGAAATTTAACACTAAGAACTCATATTAAGGTCAAAATACATAAATAAAAATTACATACAATACTATTTTTAAAAGGTAGAGAAGAGCCAAAAAGAAAATACTACGTTATTAAACTTAGTTTCTACATTCTTGATATTCCAAATATTCTCAATCCTGACTGTGCATCAAAATTGCTTATAAGAAAATTAATATGGTTATGGCTCAGTCTACATTTATTAAATTAGAATCTATAGAGGTGGGGCTTCTATCAATTTTGGCCTTTGAGGAATTCCACAGCAAATTATGATTTACAGGTTTGAGAACTAGTTGGTTAAAATATAAATCACAGGCCGGGCGTGGTGACTCATGCCTGTAATCCCAGCAGTTTGGGAGGCCAAGGCAGGTATATCACCTGAGGTCAGGAGTTTGAGACCAGCCTGGCCAACATGGTGAAACCCTGTCTCTACTAATAATACACAAATTAGCTGGGCGTGGTGGTGCATGCCTATAATCCCAGTTACTTGGGAGGCTGAGGCAGGAGAATTCCTTGAACTCGGGAGGCGGAGGTTGCAGTGAGCCCAGATCATGACATTGCACTCCAGCCTGGGTGATAAGAGTGAAACTTCATCTCCAAAGAAAAAAAAATTAAATAAATGAAAATAAATCACAACAAAACAAAACTGTAAAATTTTATTAAACTAAATATAGTATGGGCAGTGTAGGGGCAGAAAGGAGGTGATCCCTTTCCTCTTTATTGTGAAGCATCATGGCTGACACCCCTACAACACAAAACAGGTTAACAAGAGGAAAGCATAACAAATTTATTATGTGGACACATGTGTATGAGAATCATACAAAATATGAACTCAAAGAGGGACCAGATCATTCAGGCTTAAATGCCCTCTTCATAAGGAAGAGAAAAATGGGAGAATGAATAGGCTCAATGCTAAGACAATGATTACTATATGTTTCTCTTTGGGTGCTGGATGGGACAAGTTACAGGGAAGTGAGAGGAAGAACTGCATGGGAACAAATGTTGTCTTATTATGCAGAAAAAGTTACCTCATGTAATCTCTCTGAGTTCCCTCAGAAGAATAAATGAAAAGCCTATATGGGTGTGATGATGACTCCCAGTTTCTTTTCTGGTGGTGGATCTTTCCTGGTTATTTGATGGGATTCTTGGAGAGGGGATATAAGACAATTGCATTTCTTTTGGAGAAATTTCTTCTTAGTCAAATAAGAGAATTCCAAAGAAAGCACCTTCCTGGACTTGGGGGTGTGGGTGAGGGCCTGACAAGGTTAGAGAGACCTCAATTCTGGGGCAGATTCTAAGACTTTTCAGCATAACAAAGTGCCAGTCTTTGGGGTATCACGTTTGAACCCCTAACAAGCAGGCTTGTTGTAGGAGGAAGATAAAAAGATATACCATATTCATGAATGGGAAGGTCAATATAACAAAATTCTCATGATTCCCACATTAATTTATATACTGAATGCAATAAAATTTCACCTGAAGTTAGTGGAACTTGGCAGAATTATTCTGTAGTTTATATGAAATAATCAAGCCAATGAGACTAGCAAAGAGATAGAAAAAATGACTATAATGTTATAAATTTCAATATTTTATGAAGATCAAACAGAAACTATTTAATTAAGTGATTAGGTTCAACTGAAAATTGGAAGGCAAGAGATTACCAACTGGAACAGATCATTCGGAAGTTAAAAATATTGATGTAAATTACAAACAAGCAAAATAGTGTTAAACAGTGAGTTCAGAATCAAATACCTGAACTCGACATCAAGCAGTCATGTGTTTAACACTAATTTTTATCAAATTCCCACTGAAATAATCAAATAAAAAACCAAGGGAAAATACTTTATTAGCATTAGAAAGTAAATGTGTGGGTACCTTTTTATACCTTAAATTTGAAAAACATTGCAAAAAGGGAATCATTAAGAAAAAGTTGTTTTGCTAGATATTAAAATATTATAAACCTCTGAACAATATATTAGAGCGTAAATAGACAGATCAAAGGATTAGAATAGAAAGAGGCAGTTATAAGTGTATAAATGCCTAGTATGTCATTTAAGATCAATGGGCAAAGGATGAATTGTTAGATATATGTGTTGGGAAACATGGCTAACCATTAGTAAGAAGACAGAAGAAATACTTATATTCTACTTTATATCATATAATAAGTTACATGCTAGGTATATCAAAACTGAGAAAATTCAGAAGGAGATTTTATACCCTTATAACATCGCATTAAGCCCTTAACATAGCCTGGCAAATTTTACTATATTTATCTTACCAGCTTGCTTTACCCTCTGTAGTGACTCAAGTCTTCCTCTAGTCTATCAAAATCTCCAAATATTTCTTTCCATTACTCAAAGGAAGATCTAACTCTCTCTCTTTTTTTTTTTAACTTTTTTTTCAGGTTTAGGGGTACATGTGCAGTTTTGTTATATAGGTAAACTGCGTATCTTGAGAGTTTGGTGTACAGATTATTTTGTTACCCAGGTAATAAGCATAGTATCTGATAGGTAGTTTTTTGAATTTGTCCCTTCTCCCACCCTCCATCTTCATGTAATCCCCGGTGTCTGTTCCTCTCTCTGTGTCTATGTGCTCTCATTGTTTAGCTCCCACTTATAAGTGAGAACATGCTGTATTTGTTTTTTTGTTCCTGCATTAGTTTGCTTAAAATAATGGTTTCCAGCTCCATCCATGTTGCTGTAAAGGACATTATCTCATTCTTTTTTATGGCAGCGTAGTATTGCATGGTGTATATGTACTACATTTTCTTTATGCAATCTACCATTGATGAGCTTTTAGGTGTATCCCATGTCTTTGCTGTTATGAATAGTGCTGCAATGAACATATGCGTGCATATGTCTTTATGGCAGAATGATTTAAATTCCTTTGGGTATATACCCAGTAATGAGATTGCTGGATCAAATGGTAATTCTGTTTTAAGTTCTTTGAGGAATCACCACACTGATTTCCACAATGGCTGAATTAATTTATATTCCCACCAGCAGTGTGTAAGTATTCCCTTTTCTCCACAGCCTTGCCAGAATCTCTTATTTTTTGACTTTTTAATAATAGCCATTCTGACTGGTGATAGATGGTATCTCATCGTGGTTTTGATTTGCATTTATGTCATGATTAGCAACCTTGGGCATTTTTTCATATGCTTATTGGTTGTGTGTGTTTTCTTTTGAAAAGTATCTATTCATGTCATTTGCCCACTTTTTAATGGGGTTGTTTGTTTTTTGCTTGCAAATTTGTTCAAGCTTCTTATAGGTTATGTATATTAGACTTTTGTTGGGTGCATAGTTTGCAAATATTTTCTTTGATTCTGTAGCTTGTATGTTTGCTCTATCCATAGTTTCTTTTGCTGTGCAAAAGTTCTTTAGTTTAATTAGATTCAACTTGGCAATTTTTTTGTTGTTGCTGCAGTTGCTTTTGGTATCTTCATCATGTCTTTGCCAGTTCCTATGTCCAGAATGGTATTTTCTAGGTTACTTTCCAGGGATTTTATAAATTTAGGTTTGACATTTAAGTATTTAATCTATCTTGCGTTGATTTTTGTGTATGGTGCAAGGAAGGGGTTCATTTTTAAACTTCTGCATATGGCTAGCCAGTTATCCCAGCCTTGTTTATTGAATAGGGAGTTCTCTTGCTATTGCTCACTTTTGTTGACTTCATCAAAGGTCAGATGGTTGTAGGTGTGTGGCTTTATTTCTGGCTCTCTATTCTGTTCCATTGGTCTACGTGTCTGTTTTTGTACCAGGACCATGCTGTTTTGGTTACTGTAGTCTTGTAACATAGTTTGAAGTCAGATAATGTGATGCCTCCAGCTTTGTTCTTTTTTCTTAGAATTGCTTTGGCTATTTGGGCTCTTTTTTGGTTCCATATGAATTTTAAAATTATTTTTTCTAATTCTGTGAAGAATGTCCTTGGTAGTTTGGTAGGAATAGCATTGAATCTGTAAACTGCTTTGAGCAATATGGCAATTTAAATAATATTAATTCTTCCTATCCATGAGCATGAAATGTGTTTACATTCATTTGTGTCATCTCTAATTTATTTGAGCAGTGTTTTGTATTCTCATTGTAGAGATCTTTCGCCTCTCTGGTTAGCTGTATTCCTAAGTATTTTATTATTTTTGTGGTTATTGTGAATAGGGTTGCATTCTTGATTTGGCCCTCAGCTTAGATGTTGTTGGTGTATAGGAATGCTACTTATTTTTGTACATTGATTTTGTATCTTGAAACTTTGCTGAAATTATTTATCAGATCAAGAAGCTTTGGGGATAGAGTCTATAGGGTTTTCTAGGTATGGAATCATTTCATCTGCAAGTAGGGATAGTCTGACTTCCTCTCTTCGTATTTGGATGCCTTTTATTTCTTTCTCTTGCCTGATTACTCTGGTCAGGACTTCCTCTGTTGGAATAGGAGTGATGAGAGAGGGCATTCGCATCTTATTCCAGTTTTCAAGAGGAATGCCTCCACCTTTTACCCATTCAATGAATATCTAACTCTCATAGAGAAAAGAGAAGCCATCAGTTGGGTACTATTTAAAATATTTGAAATAACAAAACCCAAACTAAAAATGATCCATAGAAATAAAACAAATAAGAAAAACATCAATGTATCAGTATATTCTCCCATGTTGTTTTACCCTGTTCTCCTGCTTCAGCGGAGGTGGTGTCTTTGTTATTACACACTAAATTCTTCATCTATCCTTTGGATCTCATCCCTTCCCATGGTATGAGGTACAGGCAAATGTCAGAGATGTTGTAGGTTTGGTTCCAGACCACCATTATGTTAAAAAGTCACACAAACTTTTTGGTTTCCCAGTACATATAAAAGTTATGTTTACAGTATATTGTTGCCTATTAAGTATGCAATAGCATTGGTCTAAAAACAATGTACATATCTCAATTTAAAAATACTTATTGCTAAAAAATGCTAATGATCATTTGAGCCTTCAGTGAGTTGCAATCATTTTGCTGGTAGAGGGTCTTTTCTTAGTAGTGTTGATGGCTGCTGACTGACAATGTGGTGGTAGAATTGAAGGATAAGGTGGTTATTGTAATTTCTGAAAATAAGACAACAATGAAGTTTGCCACATCAATGGACTCTTTCATGAAAAATTTTTCTGTAGCATGAGATGCCAATTCTTTGAAACTTTGAAGCCAGGCATTGACTTCTCCTCTCTAGCTATGAAAGTCCTAGATGACATCTTCTTAAATATAACACAAGGCTGTTTTGTCTCCATTTGAAATCTGTTATTTAGTGTAGCTACCTTCATCATTGATCTTAGCTAGATCTTCTGGATAACTTGCTGCAGTTTCTTTCTTTCTTTTTTTCTTTTTTTTTTTTTTTGAGACAGAGTCTCACTCGTTGCCCAGGCTGGAGTGCAGTGGCACAATCTCTGCTTACTGCAAGCTCTGCCTCCCGGGTTCACGCCATTCTCCTGCCTCAGCCTCCTGAGTAGCTGGGACTACAGGTGCCTGCCACCATGCCTGGCTAATTTTTGTATTATTAGTAGAGATGGGGTTTCACCATGTTGGCCAGGCTGGTCTCGAACTCCTGGCCTCAGGTGATCTGCCTGCCGCAGCCTCCCAAAGTGCTGGGATTACAGGCATGAGCCACTGCACCTGGCCACTTGCTGCAGTTTCTATATCAGCACTTGCTGCTTCACCTTGCACTTTTGTGTTACAAAGATGGCTTCTTTTTCTTAAATCTCATGAACAAAGCTCTGCTAGTTTCAAACTTCTCTTCTGCAGCTCCCTCACCTCTCCCAGATTAATCATTTCTAGCTTTTGATTTCAAGTGAGAGATATGTGACTCTTCCTTTCACTTGAACACATAAAGGTCATTGTAGGGCTATTAGTATGCCTAATATCAAATTGTCGTGTCTCAGGAAATAGGGAGATTCAAGGAAAGGGAGAGAGACAAGAGAATTACTGGTTGTTGGAGCACTCAGAACATGCAAAACATTCATATTGATTAAGTTTGCTATCTTATATGGCATAGTTCATGGTGCCCCCAAATAATTACAATACTAAAATCTAAATCACTGATCACAGGTCACCACAACAGATATGATAATAATGAAAAAGTTTGAAATATTTCAAGAATTATGAAAATGTGACACAGAGACACAAAGCAAGCACATATTGTTAGAAAAATGGCTCTCATAGACTTGCTCGATGCAGGGATGCCACAAAACTTCTATTTGTAAAAACAACAACAAGAGAAAAACAAACAAAAATACCCCACAATCTCTGCAAAACACAATAAATTGAAGTGTAACAAAGTGAGGGTTGCCTGTATTTTAATGGTATTCCTCACACCTCTTTCTATTGTATCTTCAATGTCTTTTTCTCTATTAAATTTTTTCTCACTAGCATAACATGCTCTCATCACTTTCTAAGAAAATCATATTTTTATACATTTACTGCCTCGATCCTCTTATTCACAAACTTTTGGGAGTGTTTTTTCACTCTTGTCTCTCATTCACTCCTTTGCCCACTCTTACCTTCATCCTCTCTGACCTAAAACTGCTCCAATAAACTGCTACCCTTGAAGAAAATTTTATTTTTGCTAAATCTAGTGAACACTTTACACTTGCCCTCTCAGCACCTTTTGTTGCAAACATATTTTTAAGTTTACACATATAGCACACATAGTTTAAAAAGCACAGATTTTAAGTGCTTTTTAAGAAGCAGAGTTTATATTGCTCAAAAAAGTTTTACAAACTGAATACACCAGCATGGCCACCGCTCAGAAAAATCTATAGAATATTTCCTGTGGCCTGGAAGTCTTCTCCTTGCCTACTACCAGTCATTTTCTAGAGGTAACCACTGTTTTGACTTCTCTTACCACATATAAACTTTGCTTATTTTAAAAAATAGAACCTTAACTGTATGCACTCCTCAGTCTAGCTTCTTTGGTTCAACACGTTCAGGGGAGCCATCCATGTTTTTGCAGGGGGCAGTAGTTTTGTTTTCATTTTCATTGTGGAATAATATTAAATTGTATGAAAATCCCACAATTTATTTTTGCATTGTGGGTGACTTATGTGGGTTGTTTCCAGTTTTTGGCACTGTGAATAAAACTGCTATAATAGAACCAGAACATTTGGATAGCCAAAAGTTAAACCTTGACCTCTAACTCATGCCATACTTGTAATCAATTCCAGATGGATCATGAAACATTAAACAATAAAGCTTTGAGAAACATGAAAAAATATCTTTATGACTTAGAACAGGCAAACATCTCTTAGGTAGGACATAAAATGCACGAATCATAAAAGAGATTGATTATTTAGACTTATTAAAATTAAAAAATTTTGTTCCTCAAAGACACCATTGCCGTAGTAAAAGGCAAATCACAGATTGGGGAAATTTTTGCAGTAATAGATCTGAAAAAGAACTCATATCTAGAATATAAAAATAACTCATGCAAACCTATGAGGAAAAGATTCTTTTACTTTAAGTGCAAATTGGTGCAACTACATTGGAGATGTCTTAGCAATACATATCTACTAGAACTGAAAATACGCATATTCTAAGAACCAGCAATGTCATGCCTAGGTAAATACTCAACACCAAAAGATATGTCTCAACCTCATTTGACACAGTTGAGCACTCAAAAGCCTCTCTTTTCTTGGCCTTTATACTCTTCTTGTTTTCTTCCTATCTACTTGCCATTCTACCACCAGGGGAAAACCATTATTAATATTTCAGCATATATTCAGTAGGATGCTGGTAAATATTTAACTATGACCTCTTTGAAAAAAGCCCCTAATTTGTCACCTTTGCTGACTTCCATGGTATAAATATTCCCACTGTGGCCTATTTCAAGCTACCAATTTGATATCAACTAGCTTGTAAGATTCCTGAAAAATTTAAAATCAGCTCTTCTGAATAGATATGAGCTGGCTCTTGTATATCACAATAAACATAGCCAAAAGGTAGTAGTGGTGTAGTTAGGAGATTCTCCAAATTTCTTTATTCCCCAAAGCATTCTGTGCTGCACTAGTTGTTGTACTTGAGGCAGCACTTGCAGCTGCTTTCTGTAGAGTTTTGTTAGGTATTATACAACGGAGCTGAAAAATTCGTATTGCATAGTGACATACCT
This sequence comes from Homo sapiens, assembly GCF_000001405.40. Lineage (NCBI taxonomy): Eukaryota > Metazoa > Chordata > Mammalia > Primates > Hominidae > Homo > Homo sapiens. The sequence goes on from NC_000005.10 coordinate 63,023,058, forward strand.
GTTTTAACACCTTAGTACAACACATTACCTTTTCTATGTTTAGGTGTTTAGATACATAAATACTTACCATTGTGTTACTATTGCTTACAGGTCACAAACTCTTCTAGGACTTTCTTAAAAACTAGTAGCCATTGAACAAAATAGTCAATGTATCTTTTGAGACATAGCTAGTGCAATGACTGCAGACACTGTGAAACAAGCTGCTCTGATTATCAATATGATTCTAACAGAAGTACTTTTATGGCAACCAGTAAGGAATGAAGTCCAATCACAATTGCCTCAGTTATGAATTTCTGCAGCCTGGAATTTGTTTACAACAGCCCAGCATATATGGATATAAAAGAATACAAAGAATCTGAAGGAATTTTCATTCTGTATGGTTCTGTACAAAAAGAAAAATGAGCAAAGAATAAAAAGCAAGAACCAAGATACTCAATCCAAAATTGACATCCTGTGTAGGACTAACACAATATCAATCCTGACATCAACAGATTTTAGGCAGAGTCATTTTACCTGACCCAGGTACAGAGAGAAAGACAAGGTAAGATTAAAGCCCCTTTCCCACCCAATACCTACATAAATATTTTAAATTATAATATTCCATTGTTTAGATTCAACATAGATTATTTAATTACCTTATATTTATGGATGTTTATTTTCCATCCATTTTACCATTATAAAAATGACTTAACATTATTGGATACGAACATATTTGCACAATTGTCTTTATGTTTCTTAGGATTAATTCCTGGATATAAGACATTGGATTCATATGCTTTCCAGAATTGTCATGAAAACATACATTTTCACCACTGATATCACTTCTACCCTCACCAACATTTCTTGTCTCGCCTTTTGAAGGGATTGCTTCTGAACTAAACAACCAAAGACAAGTCAGAAATTTGGTGACTTCCCTTTTCAGGAAATTTTACTTGATTTCTGTGATGGTTAATTTTGTGTCATCTTGGCTGGACTATAGTACCCAGTTGTTTGGTCAAACACTAGTTATATGTTGCTGTAAATATATTGTTTAGATATGTTTAACAGTTTCAATCAGTTGACTTTAACTAAAGTAGATTTTCCTTCAGATATGGGTGGGCCTCTCCAATCTGTTGAAGGCCCTAAGAGAAAAGACTGAGGTTTCCCAAGGAAGGAATTCTGCTTCCAGACAGCAACGTGGAAACCATGCCTGGAAAAGCCTTGGGACTCAAAGCTGCAACATGCAGTTCTACTACCTGAATCTCCAGGCTATTGGTTTGCTAGACCCCATAATCACATGAGCCATTTCCTTAACATAAATCTGTTCCCTGCCATATATACTTCTAACTTATATATATATGTATATGCATACATGTGCACACACAGAGTCCTATACCACATAGTGACATTCCAGTCAATGATGAACTACATATATAATGGTGGTCCCAGAAGATTATAATGGAGCTGAAAAATTCATATCACTGGGTAACATAGCTGTTGTAACATCTTAATGCAACACATTACCTTTTCTATGTTTAGATATATAAATAATTACCATTGTGTTACAATTGCCTACAGTATTCAGTATGGTAACATGCTGTACAGGTCTGTAACCTAGAAGCAATAGGCTATACCATATAGCCTAGGTGCATAGTAGGCTATATCATCTAGGCTTGTGTAAGTAAATGCTATGATGCTCACACAACAACGAAATCACCTAATGATGCATTTCTCAGAAGGCATACCTGTTATTAAGTGATGTATGACAGTGTATGTATTTATCTATCTATCTATCTATCTATCTATCTATCTATCTATCTATCTATCTATCTATCTATATAGCTAGCTAGCTAGCTAGATATGTGCATGTGTGTTCTGTTTCTCCAGAGAACCTTAATACAATTTCTAACTTATACATTCACCATGGAAACTTAATTCAATTTTTTTTGTATTCTACCCCTTCTGGAAAGGAATAACTAATCTCACTTTTGAGGTTAACTACTCTCTTGGCTTAGAAGCTCCTTTAAAAGTTGAGTCTCTGCCTTCTTCTTTCTGGTTAAATAATCTCTGTTTCCCTCTTAGAAATCTTATTTTCCACTCCTTTCATTATCTTTGTGACTCTCCTTTGAACACTAAGTTCCCCTTGTCCTGTTTTGGTTGTTAAGTTGAGAAAACATATCAGAGAACTCAAAGACCAAGTTATTGCATCGTATTTGTCATCCTAGGATAATTTACTTGAGAGTTCACTGGATAAGTTGAATCTAATAATCTTGACATGTATAAGATGTCAAGTTAGCTATGACTTCATTTTTGAAGTTAAGACAGCTTTTAAAGCAATTTTTTGACAGCAATTTTCACAAGAAGCCAGGGGCTATCCAATTGATACTTAAAAAAGCTTAAAACATCATTCCATTGTCAGATTTATTGCCTAAGAATTTATGTGATGGTTAATTCAAATTATTTTGGAGAAAATAGTATGGTTAATTAAATGGAATTGAGTCATATAGATAAGTACAAGGAATGTGCTGAGACATCTTCTTTTGATGAGTAACTAACATAGGTCACTTGTCATTGCTTGGTTCTTTGCATTTTGATAGAAATAATGCATTCTCTTCAAGAATGAATGATTGGAACAGATTCTATTTTGGAGCCTTTATATAATTCTAGTTATGACTAATCACACAACTCTCTCTATTCCTTCTTCACTTTCTTCATTATCATTTTCCTCATCAAATTTTATAGTAAGGTTACAGTGAGCAGAGAACCGTTATAGTTATTTCAAATGCAAACAAACCAAACCAAGCAAAACCGAAACCAAAAACAAACCAAAACCAAAATCAAAACCAAAAAACAAATGTAAATGTAAACTATGGTCTTGTTCCTTAAGCAGCATACGATTTCATTAGAGCATAGAACAGATGGATTTACAAAGAGAACTGTAATACTGGAGTCAATTGAATAAGTTAAATGGTATAAATAATAACTATTACAGGGCTCCAGGAAAGATCAATAAGGCTCAAATAAAAGAAGACTTAATAAAGATGATGGCATCATAAAGCCAGGAAAAGATGAAAAAGAAGATGCTGTGGACTAAAAGGAAAAGGAAAAGCTGAGGAAGGGCTCATGAGGTTGAAGTTGTAAAAGCTGTGTTTCTTGGATTTATGGTAACCTTAGGAATATCAGGCTATAAATTATTTTGATGTTGGCATAATTACCTCTTCCAGGAAGTTTTTTGTGCCAGGTAATAAGAACTGGTACAATACAAGAGGAAAACACAATAGAAAGTATAAATGAAGAGTCTTGGGAGAGAGCCTGGGCAAAAGAACTTTTTTGCATCTAACTCCTCTGTAGAAAGTAGTGATATACATTCTATCTTATTTCAATATCTCTACCTCAGTAGTTTTGCTTTACTTCCTTTAGGAAAATGTAAGATTTCTGTTTTGCAAATTCTTTGCTACCCTGGGCATTGTGGAGCTTCTGGGCAGAAGCATTTGACTTGTAACTTTCTGCCTTTCTCCAATTAATATAGGAATAGCACTTCAGAACTGGCAACATAATGGGGGCCATAGATTTTTTTCTTTTTTTTCTGTTTTTCCTTCAGGAGGTATGCTACTTGAGTCTATGGTCACATATTTTTATGCTTTCTTTTCCTTAGAAATCTAGGGAGGTCTTTTCAGAGTAGAAAGTTATTTCTAGGATGTAAAATATTTGTTCTCTATAATATTATTTTTAGCAAAGGAGTGGAATAACCAAGTAAGTTGTTACTCACTGAAAACTTAACTTGGAACTGGATTTTGTATAATCTCAATAATTTCCATATATTTTTTAGGTTATGCACATTAAAACTATTACTAACATTTTTAAGGTGCTCAAATAGTTTGAAAATCTACTCTCTGAATGTGGATAAAATTAAAATACATGTTTGCTTTACCAATGTATATATTTACTTAGCTGTTGTGACTTATCATGGTAATAAAAATAACATTTTTTTCTTGAGTTTATTGCTGGGTACTATTGAAAACTATAATGAAGAGACAAATAAATATACCTTTTTCCCCCTGTGCCACTGTTTTCCAATTACTGATTGATGTATAGGCCTATATTATTTATTTGGCTTTATTTTTTCAGTCACTAAGCTGAATGACTTCATAAATAAATTTTTAACTCTCATCTCTTAAAATTATAATGACTATGCAAGTGCAGAGAAGTTCAGATGTTTTCAGTGGAAAAAACAACGCTTTCATTAATATTTTTAATTTAGCTTTAGAGGCAAATATCTGTGTATACCAGAGGACTTCTCTAATTCATGCCTCTCTTTATTCTATTACTCAATTCCCATTAATAAAAAAGGGGTCTGGGTTAGAGTTTTATTTCTGTCCTGGAGAGTTTCATGACAAAGCACAGCTGAATACCATAACACACTTTCCCCAAGCTCCATCAGCCCTTTTCTTTTCATGCATATTTCAGTTTCTACATTCCTAAAAGAAGTACAGTTCCAAAGATATGATGTGTTTTGACTCAATTTTGTATTCCCTAAGGCTGGTTTACAAAATATATATATATTTTTTTCTGTTCAATTACTTGCTTTTCTTTTTCCAAGTTCTTTGTTCTTGCTCCTTTTTTATAGTGTTTTCAACAGGAGTAGAATCCCAACATTAAAAAAAAAAGTTAATCCTATAAATTAAGAACTACTATTGGCTAAAATATGACTCTGGAATTACAATTAAATATTAAAAATAAATTCTTACATGTTCTAGATTGCTTCTGCCTATCTCTGATATCAGTGTTATAATGAAGTGCTCTGTATTTCTCCAGAAATAAGACTGAATTAAATTCTGCTAAATCTGTTATATATGATATATATTCTTTTTAGCAACACATTTCTAATATTTTGCCCTTGTTCACCTTAATTTTAGGAACTTTGTTATAGATGGGATACAATTTTATTAAAATAGTTATATATCTTGTTTTCTTATTTTTATAGGAAATTTAATGCAAAAGAAATTAATTTTTTTACCCTTTTCAAGAAGGGGTAAAACCTTGGTGGGTCTGTCTGTGTTCCTTGTCTTAAAGATTTATTAAAAACTTCTGCTTGGCCGGGCGCAGTGGCTCACACCTGTAATCCCAGCACTTTGGGAAGCCGAGGCAGGTGAATCATGAGGTCAGGAGTTCGAGACCAGCTTGGCCAATAGGGTGAAACCCCATCTCTACTAAAAAATACACAGATTAGCCGGGCGTGGTGGTGCACCCCTGTAGTCCCAGCTACTTGGGAGGCTGAGGCAGGAGAATTGCTGGAACCCAGGAGGCAGAGGTTGCAGTGAGCCAAGATCAGGTGAGTGCACTCCAGCCTGGGCGACAGTGCAAAACTACATCTCAAAAAAACCAAAAAAACAAAAAACAAAAAAAGCTTCTGCTTTACAAAATCAGAAGTTGTCAAGCACTTCAGGATAATCTCACATTTAGAATTTTGGGAGAAATGAAGGGCCTTTGAGAAAGAAGGCAATGTAGCTACTATTTAAGGTTGTGGAGGAGAAGAGAGAGGGAGAGATATGGAGACGGTATCTGAGACTAGGAAGGAGACAAGGGTTTGGAGGGTTTTCATAAGTGGCATAGATCTAGACCCTGTGTGCCACATGGTCCCACTGGGCTGATGGCTGAAGGGCGGCTATAGTCCCCAAGGTAGGCCATTGAAGACTGTAGCAGGTTCTGTGGCTGAGCCTGTTTTCAGTAGAGGAAAGCATGATGGTGGCCTCTGAGGGCATCCAGAGTAGCAGCGTCTGAGAGATGGTAGAGAGTAGGGGCTGACGGTGGCATCACAGTGGAAAATGACAGTTGTGGCTGTGGGAATCAGAATATGGCTTGTCAAAAATGTCCATGTCCCAATCCCAGAAACTTGTAAATATGTTACCTTATATGGCATAGGGACTTGGCAGATGTGATTTGATTAAGAATCTTGAGTTGGGGAGATTAACTCAGATTATCTGGGTGGGCCTAATGTAATCATAACAATCCTAGTAAAAGAAAGAGGGAGGCAGAAGGGTCAGAGGAGAAGATATGAGGATGGAAGCAAAGGTTGGAGTGATACGGCTGCTGGCTTTGAAGATAGAAGAGGGCCATGAGCCAAGGAATGTGAGAAATCTCTAGATTCTGTGAAAGACAAGGAAATGGATTCTTCCCTGGAGTCTCCAGAAGGAATATAGACTTGCCAATACCTTGATTTTAGCCCCATGCAATCCACTGCAGACTTCTGGCTCCAGAAATGTGAGATAATAAATTTGTGTTGTTATAAGTCACTATGTTTGTAGCAGTAGGAAATTAATACAGTTGCCACAATGGACTAATAGTCAGACTCTTCCCTCATTTTTCAGGTTCCCAGAGGTTAAGTTTACATTTGCCCTAGGGGAAAGAGGAGTTCCCATCCCCACCAAAAGTCCAAACCCAAACCCCAAAACCCTCCAAAATACTATCATCAGAGATACTATCATCAGAGATCTTATCATTCTAATGACAGGCACTTAGAGCCAGATATAATTTTATTAAAGAAAATAAAGTGATGTTTTGTGCAACATATTATGACTCATATATACATCATATATGCATGCTTACTTTTTTACTTTGATTCACTGTGATTCAAAACAAGTATCATATGATATACCTAAAGACTGAATTCTTATTTCCTTAAAAACTTGTCTATGTAACAAGTGTAACCCATATGTACTGGTAAGGAACATCTGAGTAATTACAATGTTGATACTTCTAACAGGTGAAGCCATAACCTTAGAGGCAGAAAGTCCTCTTGTACAATTGCTACAAGGTATTTGAAATGGGAAAACAGTAAGGGCAAAATGGAGAGGGAAGTCTTTTCAAAGCACATCTGGAGGCTAATTGAAGAACATACAATAGCTGAAAAAAATAGTTATTTCTCTTACCAGGGAGGGAGAATTATTATTTTCCCCGTCCAGGAGTAATAAATTGTAGTAAGGGTGGGAAGGTTTAGAGGCAGTAAGAGGCAGAGGGGCACTTGTAACAAAAGTGGCAGTAGCACACGTTTGGCAGTTTGTCAAGAGCCCTTTGAATTGAATAACTTCAGTTCAAAGGAAGCCCAGGCTATGAAACAAGTGCTGAGGTGCATACTGTTTCTGAAGAAAATAGCTCAGAGAAAAAGTTTTAGGAGACAATGGGTTAGCAAAAATTAGGATCATGCACAGGACGACAAAGAAGTAACAGTAAGACTTAGGCACAGTGTTTGTACCTGTGATAACCACTAAGTGAAAAAACAGACCTGTAGGAACAAAATCCTGAAAGTTATAATTCAGCAAGAATATTTTGTTAAGCTCTGATATTACAGATGATGGTTTTCTCTCTTTTTCAAATGTTCTGAAAGTGGTCATATAGTTCTTAAAATTAAAAAAAGTTGATTGGGAAAAATGTCTTTCAGAAGACAGCTGCTCTTTCTTCTATTTCTCTGCCTTCTTCCCTCCATCAATGAAGTCTTTACAGCCAGTTACCAAGCTGCTGAATCTGCGTTTAGCTTGTCAGATGGAGTCTTTTCTGGAGAGAAGCTCATTTCAGCAGACTCAGACTGTGCAGCATGAGACCCACAGAATCCTCTGTGTGGACATTATCAGATGCTTATTGGTGTGTTTTGCCAAATCGGCCTAGGCATTTGCAAATATCCAAGCTGTGCTTCCCACTCTCAAATGTCTGGTGGAATGACAGGATGTAGGAAAGTGATGCAGAAGTTTAACAGCAATTAGCACAAATCTCTGTGGGCTGTTGTTACCCAGCAGGATGCAGAGCAAGAGCAGCTGGGACATTTTAATTCATTTTAAAAGCTGGACTCTTTCCCAAATGGATAATGTTGGGGTCATAGCTGATCTCTAGAGAGACAGTGTAGTAGGGCAGGTAAACTTCAAGAGACTATGAGGAGGGGAGCCTCACACTGCCTTTATATCCCTTTCCTTCCTGAATGCTTCCCCACTTGCTCATTCCCTGGAACTCCAGGGGTAGTGAGAACCCAAGGCCTTAAAGGAATTCCTAGAGATACTCTTACACTTCAGGCTTTTCAAGTGAGCAAATGAGTAAGACTTGGTTGGCAATGTGTATATATCCATGACTTTATATTTTTATTTGGATTAAGTGACTAAATAAAATCTCACTTACAATTTTGTCCCTACAGATCTAGTTTGATGATTGGCCTGAGCCATCTCTTACCTTAAGGAGCCATTGTGCTATGTCCAGCTATATTATGATATATAGCATCCTGTCCAAGGGTGCCATAACTCATTGGTGTGCTGTTGGAGAAAAATGCTTTTTATTTCCCTCATCCCATTTGATCCTCCATGTTCTTACTCACGTTGGGGATGGGAATCATTCAGTGTAATAACATATCAATGTTGTGCAAGATGAGGCAATCTATTAAGCAAGAGAGAGGTTTGTATTTTTTGTAGATGCCACTTTCAAAAAATCCATGGGTAGAGCCATAGAGCCAGGAGTGCAAGTATTACGACAGAGGCAGCGCGAGGACAAAGGCTCTGGGACCAAAAACTTGGTGAGAGGGATATCCAGGCTGACTTGGCATTGGTTTTGTATCAACTAATACGCAACTTGAGAAAAGTAGAGTTATGTATTTAACTTTAACCTTATTACTTACATCTTGTGTCTGATAGCTGCTAGTAAGATTTTGACCTTTTTGATACGAAGCTGGACCCATAGCCTCTTCTGTATGTTTGGTGCTCTGGTTAAAATGTGTAATGTCGAGAAAGAGTAGCTTCCCCTAGATGGATTCAGGGGACAGAGTTATAGGGAGATGTGATAGGGAGTTATAGGGAAGAGCTCTTTCTTGCTGCTTTGCTGAAGAACTTATGAAGCTGACTCACAAGTCATGATACGGTTTGGCTCTGTCCCTGCCCAGATCTCATCTCAAATTGTAATCCCCACATGTTAAGGGAGGGACCTGGTAAGGGGTGATTGGATCATGGGGGCAGTTTTCCCCATTCTGTTCTCATTATAATGAGTGAGTGAGATCTGATGGTTTGAAAGTGTGGCACTTCCCTGCTCACTCTCTGTTATGCTACCACTTAAGATGTGCTTTGCTTCCCCACCCCCTTCCATCATGATTGTAAGTTTCCTGAGGCCTCCCCATCCATGTGGAACTGTGAGTCAATTAAACCTCTTGCCTTCATAAATTACCCAGTCTCTGGTAGTGCATTATAGCAGTGAGAAAATGGACTGATACAGAAAATTGGTACTGAGAGAAGTGGGGCACTACTATAAGATACCTGAAAATGTGGAAGCAACTTTGGAACTAGGTAATGGGTAGAGGTTGGAACAGTTTGGAGGGCTCAGAAGAAGTTGGGAAAAGGTGGGAAAATTTTGAACTTCCTAGAGACTTGTTTAATGGTTTTGACCAACATGCTTCACAGCAGCCCCTCCCATCACAGGCCTGGAGGCCTAGGAGGAAAAAATGGTTTCATGGGCTAGCTCAGGGCCCAGCTGCTCTGTGCAGCCTCAGGACATGGTGCCCTGCGTCACAGCCACTCCAGCTTCAGCCAGGGCGAAAAGTGGCCAAGGTACAGCTCAAGCCATTGCTTCAGAGGGTGCAAGCCCCAGGCCTTGGCTGCTTCCATGTTTTTCACTGGCAATTGTGCAGAAGACAAGAGTTGAACTTTGGGAGCCTTTCAGAGGGTGTATGGAAATGTCTGGATGTCCAGGCAGAAGTCTACTGCAGAAGTGGAGCCCTCATGGAGAACCTCCACTAGGGCAATGCAGAGGGAAAATGTAGGGTTGCAGCTCCCACACAGAGTCCCCACTGGGGCACTGCCTAATGGAGCTGTGAGAAGAGGGCTGCTGTCCTCCAGACTCCAGAATGATAGATCCATTGAGACCTTGCACCATGCACTTGGAGTGTGGTGCAAGCTCTCAGTGGATCTACCATTCTGGCACTAAATGCCAGCCCATGAAAGCAGCCACAGGGTCTGTACCCAGCACAGCCACAGGGGCAGAGCTTCCCAAGGCCTGAGGAGCCTACCCCTTGCATTAGTATGCCCTGGATATGAGACATGGAGTCACAGGAGATCATTTTGAAGCTTTAAGATTTAATTACTGCCCTGCTGGGTCTTGAACTTGCATAGTGCCTGTAGCCCCTTTGTTTTGGCCAATTTCTCCTACTTGGAACTAGAACATTTACCCAATGCCTGTACCCCCATTGTTTCTTCAAGGTAACTAACATGTTTTTGATTTTACAGGCTCATAAGTGGAAGGAACTTGCTTTGTCTCTGATAAGACTTTGGACTTGGACTTTTGGGTTAATGCTGAAATGAGTTAAGATTTTCGGGACTGTTGGGAAGGCATGATTGTGTTTGGAAATTTGAGAAAGACATGAGATTTGAAAGAGGCCAAGAGCAGAATGATATGGTTTGACTCTGTGTCCCCACCCAAATCTCATCCCGAATTGTAATCCCCACGTGTTGAGGGAGGGACCTGGTGGGAGGTGATTGGATCATGGGGGCAGCTTCCCCCAGGCTGTTCTTGTGATAATGAGTGAGTTCTCATGAGATATGATGGTTTAAAAGTGTGGCATTTCTCCCCTCTCTCACTCTCTCTCCTGCCACCATGTAAGACGTGCATTGCTTCCACTTTGCTTTCTGCTATGACTGTAAGTTTCCTGAGGCCTCCCCAGCCATGCAGAACTGTGAGTCAATGAAACCTCTTTCCTGTGTAAATTACCCAGTCTTAGGTACAATAGTTCTTTATAGCCGTGTGAAAATTGACAAATACAAGCCCCTTCCCAATTTGGTTGCCTTTCCCAAGGCAGCCCTCAGGGTAGTCACTGGGAACTGGGCTGGGAATACTTTGGGAACAAAATGTATGAGAATGATAGTGGCAGTTTGATAAATTCCTGGGATGTCCAGCAGAAACGTACACTGTCCTTCCTACTATTATCTTAAAATATGAGTATTCAACTTTGATTAAAACATGCCCTTTTTCAACCACTAGATTATTTGTTCTTTCGTCAAGACAGATGAATAATTTAGAAGATATTATGATGGTGGTGCAGTACAGATTATAATGGATCTGAAACAACTTCAAGACAGAGAGTTCTGAAGTAGCTGGTATATTGTTGCTCATAATTCAGGAGCATTGGTGGAAGTGTTGAAAACAGATTTTTCTTAACCTTCTTACTTGCATCATCCTTAACAAATGTCCTCTTTTTTTCTCTTTAAGAAGGAATGTTCCCCTTCACATTTATCTGTAAAATATTTGTCAAGAACTTCTACTACAATTTTTACTAGTCACTTATCTGATAAACTTAAGATATTTTTGAGGGCAGATTTTATTCCCAAGTTAACCAGTTCCAGTTTGCCTGGGGAAAACTGAAGACTGCATAGAAGGAGCAAAGGATGTGAAAGAAATGAGCAGAGTCCTTGCCCCCAGTATCCAGTTATGAATCCTACCTCAAGTTGCTCATAATGACCTGTGCATCCTGCTATTTCAGTTATTCATATTTGCAAATAGGGCAAGTAATGCCTACCTTACATAGCTTTATGGAAAGTGAAGCATCTAGTTATTGTCTTTCATAGATGAGGCAGCAACACAAACCCAGTGGATTCCCAAGGTTCATCTAGTCAATGTCTGAAAGAACAGAAACTGGAGTTCTAGAATTTTCCTGTCAAAACAGGCAAATTGTTCAAAATCACTGGTGTACATTTATTTTTCAGTGGAGTGGCTAAGAGCCAATCCAAAATTCTAGCAGAACTGCAGTTAAACGGGCTGTCTTTGATTTTCAATTATATGAGGGACCCATTATCTGAAGAATATATCCTGTCAAAGAATATAAAAAAAGTTTGTTAAAATATATTTGTAAAGGCAGAGCTGTCAATAAAATAAAGGAAGTTATAATAGGCCAGAAAAAATGAGAAAGCATGGATACAGATGGGTGAATGAGTGTTGGAGCTGGCCTTTGCCTGGAGGCGTCTGTCATGGTGGGTGACACTTTAATAGGTCACGTTTATGTGAGGATAAAGCCTGGTTCTGAGCATCATAGAGTTAGATAAAAGATCCTTGAATAAAGCTGGTTCACCTCCTGTAGTGTACCAGAAAAAAGTCTACCCCACAGAGATACTACCTGTTTGTGCCTTGGCTCTGGGTGGAGTAGGGAAACACAACCCTCCAGAAAATTCCTAACTCCAATCCTCCAGTCACATGAATTTGGGGATGGAAATCACATTTCCTGTGGCACCTGAAAAAAATAGACCTGAGTAGAAAATTTGTAGTGTCCCTGGGTCAGCTGTACCTCCAGATACTTGGCAGAAAGAAACATGAATCTCTCTGGAGGGAAACATTTTAAAACAAGACTTCAAAGAATTCCTACTCTGTTTTTGAAGAATATGAATGCACAATTTAAAAACAATTATAAAACATATGAAAAACAAGCCATCATAAACAAAACCAGCAGGAAAAATAAACTACAGAATTAAATTTTCAAAAGTTTCAAAACTTTAAAAAAATACAGATTTTGGAATGTTCAGACATCAAATATAAAGAATCATGTTATAAAATGCTCTAATGAAATAAAAGGAGACAGAAAAAGTGTAATGAAGGAACATATTTTTATTGACAATAGTTGGAGATATTTGAAAAGGAACAAAAATTAAATTTTTAGAAATAAAAAATATAACAACTAAAATTAGAAACTCTATACAAGTTAAGCAGCAGATTAGACATACTTGAAGAAAGAAAACCACTTAGTACACTGGTATCTCTTAAGAAATTGCTCAGAATGTAGCATAGGAAAACAAAAGGATGGAAAATATTACAGGGAAATTTAACACACATTGGAATTTCAGTAATAACGTCTAATTTGTTAGATTAAGAATAAAGAGGGCCAGGCATGGTGGCTCACGCCTATAATCCCAGCACTTTGGGAGGCCGAGGCGGGCGGATCACAAGGGCAGGAGATTGAGACCATCCTGGCTAACATGGTGAAACCCCATCTCTACTAAAAATACAAAAAATTTGTTGGGAGTGGTGGCGGGTGCCTGTAGTCCCAGCTACTTAGGAGGCTGAGGCAAGGAGAATGGCGTGAACTCGGGAGGCGGAGCTTGCAGCGAGCCGTGATGGTGCCACTGCACTCCAGCCTGGGCGACAGAGTGAGACTCCGTGTCAAAAAAAAAAACTAATTTCACTGGACAACGATTTAGTCAGGAAGGAGTGTGATGAGGGAAAACCATTCTAAGATCCTTGTGTTTTTGAGAAGATTGTAAAAATATTGGCTTATTTTAGACTTTAGTAAATTAAATATGCATATTAAAATTTTCCAGGTAATCACCAAAGAATGGAAATAGAGTTTATGTCTTCTAACCTAGGATTGGTAAAATAAAATAAAGGAAAAAAATAAGAAACAAATATTAATTAATTCTAAATAACTAAAGAAGAAAAATAAGAAAGAACAAAGGAAAAATTGGAGCAAAGAGGAAGCACAAGATAAGATAGTAGACAATAATCCATTTATATTAGTAATTATATAAATGTCAATGTGGTAAATTCCCTAGTTAAAATGCAAATCTTTTCAGAGTGGATTTTTAAAATTTCCACAATTTTCACTTTAGAAAAGATAGTGTCTTGGGCTGTTTATAGGGATCCAGAAAAATTCAAAGTAGAACGATGAAAAAGATAAAACAGGAAGTATAAAACAATGAAGAAAATTAATGTAGGTATATTAACTGGAAAGAGTGGACTTTAATGTAGAAAGCATTACCAGAAATAAAAGAGTTTATTGTATGTTAATTAAAGATTTGGGTTTTCAGGAAGATATTGACAATAATTTCTAATGTAAATGTACTTAATAACAGCTTCAAAATATATACAGCAAAAGTTGAACTGAAATATAAGCAGAAATTGCCAAATCAACAACATAATGGGAGAATTTAATTTGCCTCTCTCAGTAACTGATAAATCAAGCAGACAAAAATCAATAATGATATAAAAGATTTGAAGACTACAATCAACCATCTTGATCCAGTGACTATCTTTTGAACAATGACTGCTCCCAATAACTTGAGTAAAAAAATGTATGAATTTTGTTTCCTAGGTCATGGAATACTTACAAAAGATGAACTTATCGTAGGCCATAAAACATGTGTGCACAAATTCCAAAAACAGTTTCTTATAGGCCACATTCTCTGAACTCATTTTAGAAGGACTTAGAAGCTCATGTAATGGTAATGCAAAGGAGCTAAGCTTTTTATATAGTTGTCCCAATTTCTTAATACCTGGTTTTATTTAGTAGAGAAGGCATAGTCCAGTTTCTCTTTGAAGACAGTGAAATGTTAGATTAAAAGGAATAATTATTTGTGAGAAGGTGAGAAAAACAATGGTGCTAGACTCCTTTCTGAGATCCAGGCACACCATCAACTCCTGAAGTTTCTGATGCTAGAGAGGTATTTTGAAATATCACAGCCTTTGGGCCGTGCAAAACCAAACATGCTAATATTTTCAGTTTTTGTTGTTGTTGTTGTTTACATACTTTTCGGTGCCATCCATTGTAAGGAGCTGAAAAGAGTGAAGACACTGGAATGAGACAACCAAATATTATCTGAACCCTACAAAATGGTCTTTGAATTTCTCTTATAAGCCATCAATTATTATTTTGATTGTGCTGACACACTTTTCTCATTTTAGCCTTTTCTCATGGCCTGCTTAAAAAGAATTACTTTGCTTAAATAGGTTTTAGTATAATTCTTCAAATGAAGGATTCATTCAATTTTTTAAAAAATTCTGCATATAGCATTTTGCCTTTGTATTGATTGTTCTGCTGATTTGATGTAAAGTCGCTTGAATCTCACAGTCTTTAGATTAGCATTTGTTTTAAGCATGACATATTTAATGAATGCAATATATATACTTGTTAAATTCTTGTGTTATGTGGGAATTTCTAATATTCCAAAAATTTCAAAAATCTTAAATATATAGACGCTAAAAGCCCAAATTAGGTTATTTTTAAGTCAATTAATCCTCAGTTCTTCAGCTTCAAATAAAAATTTTTTTTTGGTATAAATTATCCCACTAATATGGCATATTTAAAATTTTTTTCATTGTAAAAATCTAAAACATAAGTGAATTATTATTACCGCAGAAATCAGGTAACAGCAAGTAATAAAATCACCTAGCAGAATCATAGATTTAAAGTAACTTGAAAAAGACTGCAAATAGAGAGAGAAAGTATTTAAAATATAAAGATGAGGATAACAGCATGAGTATAATGTTCAGTATGGCACAGAAATTTTCTTCAAATTCACTCACCCTTGGAGAGCATCTGATCAAAGTCATCTCCTTTAAAAGGCAAGTTACTTCCAAATATATCCGAATTATATGAAAGATCAATTAATTTGATATGTGGTATGTGAGGGGAGCCATCATAGTTGCAAGGGTATCATAAGGATTTTTATGTCAGCCCTTCCCCTTTTCTTTTTTAGAGTGGGACACCAAGGTTGAAAACTTCTCCTTAATCTGGTAGTGTTTGAAAAGTTGTTGCATTTATTAGAGACTCCTTGACAAATAAAATGGTGGCTGCTGCTGGATTTTTCTCCCAACATGCTTTTGGAGATGTAACTGGAGGGAAATTCAAAAACCGAAGAAAAGCCTTGATGTATGAAATGTCAACCTATTGATCAGCAAGCACTGCTGATCCTGTTAAGGGTCTACTTGTCATCTGAACAAGAGCTGACTCATCAATGGAGACAGGCTTCTGTTTTGAGAACCAACACAGAACAAAAATAACCATGTGCTTCTATGCTGCGCTGAGTCCTCTGGCAAAGGGCTTCCCAATTCAGGTCTCTACCTGGGTTGTCTCTTTGCCCCAGTGATTTCTAAACATTCTGGGAAAATTATTGAAAATGTATTAGTAGCCTGGAATATAACCACGTTTTGTAAACACTCCCCATTCAAAAGTAATGTATATGCTCTGCAGGTACAAACTTTAGTATATAGCTATTAATTTTACATTGCATTAATTTCTCTGTCAAAAACTGAGAGAAGTATATATAATTTTCTACTGTAATTGTGGTTATATGAATTTATAATTTATTATTGTTTTTCTAATAATTTGGTTTTACATATGTCCTATTTTATACAGCCTTCTGATTTTTAAAAATGCTTCCTTTTTATTTTCCTATTGTTTAGGTTTTCTTTACAATTTGTTACTTTTACCTGACATTTTTGTTCTTCTAGTGGTTATTTCACCTCAAAAATCTCCTTTCTATGTTAAAAATATGGCATTTTATAGCAGCTTGAGTCACTACTCTGTTCCAGTTAGATCTTTATATATATTATTTAATATTTGCAATAGTGCTGTATAGATTATTATCCTAATTTACTCATGAGAAAATAGGTTCCATGGAGTTAATTGCTTATTTTATAGCACGAAGCTAGTTAATTGGCAAGGCCAGAATTTGAACCCAGGCCTCTGTGGCTTCTTTTATTCACTGAACTCTATCATCTTCCTAGTTTAAAATACTTTTGTGTCTGTCTTCTCCACCATCACCTTTTATTTCAACTAACATTGAATCTAGAATTTCATTATTATTTTCTTTTTTAGGTATAAATTTATCTTTTCAGAGTTATTTGTATTTGTATTAAATTTCACAGTAATCTTGGTACAACTTTTTAAGCAGAACCTATCATTTCACTGATTATATTCCCTTTTTTCTTTGGAGTGAACCTATTTTGCTGTCCTTAAGAGACCTATCTTTTTAAAATTTAAAACTTTTATCAGGATCTATACAGTTGTGACTTCTGAAATTTTTTTAAAATAGTTAAATTTATAAGGCTACTAAATAGACCTTTTCTATCTAAAAGCCTTATTTCCTTTTCTTTTTGCTTTCAAATCATTTCCCCATTATTTATTTGGTGATTGCTTTTCCTCTGGCCCTTCTCATCTCTTAAAGTACTTCATACTGGGATATTATGGATAATTCCCATGTTGCCAGTGTTTTGTTCAGTGTATTTGTCTTTCTTTGAAAATTTCCACTGAATTCTGGGAGAGTTTGTTAAACATGTCTTCTAATGCATTTGTTTGTTTTTGATGTTTTCTAATTAATATAACTTTACTGCCTGGGTAAAATCCATCTCTCTTGATTTTCATCTGTAAACCATCTTTCCTAACTCATATTGATCCTTTTTCATACATGCAAATACAATTGAGATTATGAATACTTTACAAACTTTACAGAATTTGTCATAGTACATTTTAGGTATTTGTTATGATTCCCCAAATTGTTCACTTTTTAAAAACCCACTAAAATGTTTCTATTGTCTAGTAATTTTTGTCATCCTTACAGGTGGGTACTTTTTATGTGTCTAGGATTTGAAGTTGAACTGTGTGTGGTCTGTCAGAGACTATTTCTTTAGCCCCTTTAGTTTCAAATAAAGGGGAAAGCAGAGGTTTGCATTTTTCCAGTGGTTACATTTTGTCCATTTCAGAGTGAGGGACAGAGTACTTATGTGTCTGGAAACTTCATCATTGCAGCAAAAAATTCATCTACTCAACAAATATGAAGGCCACCTCTGAGTCAGATATGGCTGGGCACTGGAGATATAATGATGAATATGACAGTCTCGATTCCTGCTCTTACACGGTTTACAAACTCTTAAAGAATTCATATATCAAATAATTACACAAAAGTCTACCTAATTACCAGTAGTGGTAAAGGTTATAAAAACTTGCTGGGCTCCTGGCGAATTGGAGGGATGACAAGAAAGCATCATTCACAGTGCAGTGGGCACAGGGAGAAAAGTTGAGGGAGGTGGGAGTGGCCAGATGGGGCGGGGCCCTGCAAGCCGCATTAAGGATACTGAGCATAATCCAAAAGCAATGGAAAGCCATTGACAAATAGGAAGTGATTAAATGGAATATTTAAATTTTTTAAAGGCCCACTCTAGGTTTAATTATTAGGACAGGTTGTGAGGGCCAAGTGGATATGGGGAGATCACTGTAGAATGCTCTTGAGGCCATTCATACAAGAAGGACATGACTGTGGCTTGGACCATGCTGTTGTAATGGATATGGAATGAAGGGGACATATTAATATTTCAGAAATATTTAGGTTGGTCAGTATTATGAGGAGAAATGGATGACTGATTCACTGTGGGAATGAGAAAGAAGGATTTCACTTCTTTATATGTTGCAATAGCCTAGAGTTATCTGGCTGCCCCTTCTGTATCTGCTACATTGCTCACTGAGCACACAATCTACTCCAGGTGAGACTAAGAATGGACCCCTCTCTTCATGCTGGCATTTTAGTTAGGGAAGGTAATGGATGGTAGACGTTAAGTGTGCCTATGAATCATCCCACTGCCTATTTCTGCTCCCAGGATTTATGAGATAATATGGGATTGAGAGTGCAGATTCTAGAGTCAAACTGGATTTGGGCTTTGGTCCTGCCACTTACTGTCAGAGTATTTTGGGGTGAATTGCTTAGTCATTCTTGCCCCAATTTTCCCATCTGTAAAATGGGGATAATTCTAGTATCTACTTTATTTGGATGTTTTGGGGCTTAAGTGAGTTCCTATTTATAGAGCACTTTGAACAGCGCCTAGCACATTATAAGTGCTCCAATATTAGTTACATTTATTATTACTCTCTTTTGTTTTTTTTTTTTGGTGGTGGCTGAGGATCTTGTCTACTCACTGTCTTGACAGTCAATTCCATTATTACAGTGAATCTTTTCTCTGGTACAGTTCTACCTACACCATAGGTTGCATAAATTTTAAAAAAATTCTAATTTATGAGCAGTACCCAATGCTTTTCCTCTTAAAAAATTTCTTTGCTCACTTAGTTGGGAAATTGGGCTATTATTGCTCCCTTAAACAGAAATTCTCTATTAACTCTTAATGGTTACCAGTTCTGCCTTTCTGGCATATTCATGTATTAGATGGTAGAGGATTGATGTGGAATATTTAAGAAACTGGCCTGTGGGAATTAGCAGAAGGCATAACTATGTGATATAATGAAAAGTTATAAAAGGAAAATGTTACCAGTCAGGGTTCAACCAGAGAAACAGAGCCAGTAGGAGATATATATTAAGAGATTTATAGCTGGGCGTCGTGGCTCACTCCTGTAATCCCAGCACTTTGGGAGGCTGAGGCGTGTGGATCACTGGAGGTCAGGCGTTCAAGACCAGCCTGACCAACATGGTGAAACCTCGTTTCTACTAAATACAAAAAATTAGCCAGACGTGGTGGTGCGTGCCTGTAATCTCTGCTACTTGGGAGGCTGAGGCAGGAGAATCACTTGAACCCAGGAGTCAGAGGTTACCGTGAGCTGATGTCACGTCATTACACTCCAGCCTGGGCAACAAGAGCAAAACTCTGTCTTGAAAAAAAAAGTTATTTATCATAATAAATTGGTTTGTGTGATTGTGAGGGTGGCAAGACAAGTCTAATGTCCACAGGGCAAGCTGTCGGAAGGTCACTGAAGCTGAAACTCTTGGGCCAAGCTGATGCTGTGGTCTATAGGCAGAATATCTTCTTCAGGGAAGCATCAGTTCTGCTAAGGCCTATCAGCTGACTGAATCAAGATCATGTAGGTTATCTAAAATAATCTCCATCCTTAAAGTGAACTCATTTTTACTTTAATTGCATCAACAAAATATCTTCAGCAACACCTAGACTAGTGTTTGATAGAGTAACTGGGGACTGTAACCTAGTCAAGTTGACACAAAACTGACTATCACAGAAAGCAATTCTCAAAGCTCTTAGAAATAAGTTTTGTTTGTTTTAGGAGGGTTATATGATATAGAAATACAATTTTTGAGAAAGTAATTTCGTGTGGGTAGAAATTTTTTTATGAATACTTCACTTTTATTATTTGATTTTTTAAAAAAAATTTATTTAATGAGACGGAGTCTCGCTCTGTCGCCCAGGCTGGAGGGCAGTGGCACGATCTCGGCTCACTGCAAGGTCGCCTCCCAGGTTCATGCCATTCTCCTGCCTCAGCCTCCTGAGTAGCTGGGACTACAGGCACCCGCCACCACACCTGGCTAATTTTTTTGTATTTTTAGTAGAGATGGGGTTTCACCTTGTTAGCCAGGATGGTCTCGATCTCCTGACCTCATGATCTGCCCACCTCGGCCTCCCAAAGTGTATTATTTGAATTTTAAAAATAACTGGTGAGTTTTACTATGTGAAATGTATTTATTCTATATTAATTCACTATCCTTCTTTCTCCCAGCGTCCCCTCTCCCAAAACAATTTACTTTATTCTGAATCAGGTGACAGAGGCATCCATTAATTTTTGGTTGTGCAAGCTTCTAACTAGCTGTGTTTTCCCACACATTTTTAAAAAATCATATTCCCACCCACCTCTGTTCTTTTGTTAACTTCTCTTCTTTATGATAACAGCAGCTACAATGTCTTCCTGTTTTTTGCAACTTTAGTTTCCCGGATAGGCTTCTACGTAGTTGCCATCCAACCGCATCCATTGCTGCTTTGTATAAAGAGCTGGAATTTTCATCCTTCAGGTTTTCTCAGGCCAGCAGCAGAGCCAGCCAAGTAAATAATCCTTTCATGCCATGTGGGTGGACTTTGTTGACCCTACAAGAATAAGACTGGGCATATTCTGAGCTGAGACTATCTTGTCTGTGTTGCTTCAGTTGTCCAATTTTAATTTAGAATGTTCACTTTTAGTTCGCTTGATCTCCAGTGAGTTGAAATCAGTTGGGGTGAAATCAAAAGAATGCAAAAAATCCTGGGGAATCAGCAGCTTTCTGATGCCAGTCTGAGCAGCATGCTCTGTGGAAAAGAGGAACTCCAAGAATCCAGGAAAAAGAAGGCTAAAACAAGTGTCAGTCAATTGAAAGACAATGGTGTAAGAGAAAGAGAAATCCTAGGGAAATGGCAAACACCATCAAAGCTAAACGAATGGGGAACAGACTATAAAACAGATGATGCAATGTCTGGAAAATATGGCAAAAGGACTTTGAGAAAGGACCGTTTATTTTCTTCAACTGTCATATTTTGAGTTAATTAGCATTACATGTGGTCAAAAGCTCCTAGTATTATTTCTTCAGAAGTAGTTTTTCTTTTTTAACTTGCTATTAATTTATTTACCCTCCATTCACTCAAATAAGTATTTTTCTATTGGTTTATTTTATTTTTAGACATAGTTTAAACCAATGGTTCTTAATGCTGCATCAGTATTATATGGAAACTTGTTGGAAATGCAAATTCCTCGGTTGTATCCCAGACCGATTGCATTAGGAACTCTGGTAATAGGGTCCAGCAATTTGTGTTTTATCAAGTCCTCCAGAAAACTCTGATGCAAGCTCAAGTTTAGGAATTACTGGTTGAAAATATAAAAACTGGGCCGGGCATGGTGGCACACGCCTGTAATCCCAGTACTTTGGGAGGCTGAGGTGGGTGGGTCACCTGAGGTCAGGAATTCGAGACCAGCCTGGCCAACATGGTGAAACCCCGTCTCTACTAAAAATACAAAAAATAGCCGGGCATGGTGGTGCACTCCTATAATCCCAGTACTTGGGAGGCTGAGGCAGGAGAATCGCTTGAACCTGGGAGGCAGAGGTTGCAGTGAACTGAGATTGCACCACTGTACCCCAGCCTGGGTGACAGAACAGGACTCCATCTCCAAAATATATATATATATGTGTGTGTGTGTGTGTGTGTGTGTGTGTGTGTGTGTGTATAATTCTATAACAAAATATTATATATATATATATACAGTGTTTGAGGACACCTACTTTCAGTGTTCCATATCACATTTCTTGAGGCCCTATTAGAGGCCCTATTAGAGGATGCTAAGCATAGTACTTAGTCCATAACTTCTTGTAGGTCTGCTTCTTTCACAATGTCATCTATACTCACTTCAAATACATGAATCTATAATTTTTATCCTTGTCTGATAAGATAAAGTATAAAAAGTTTTCCTAGCATTTCTGGTCCTTTACATCTTTGTGATGTCTTCAAAATAAATTCAATTTCTCTGCTCATCTGAAGCACACATAAAATTCTTATTTTTAGGGATTTGATATATGGCAAATGTCCCTTGGGTTCATTTCAGCTGAATTTATAATCAGGCTCCCTAATACACTCTTGCTAGGAAGCAACTCTCAACCTTTTGAAGTGATTCACAACTAATTTTCCTTGAAGAGATCCTCTTATAGAACCTATGTATATTTGATAATTCTTGGTCATCCTACTCTGTAATTTTGATGAAACATAAAATGGACTAACCAATAGTATCTACTTCCCTTCAATGTTCCCTTCCCTTCTTCCATATAACTGCATTTATTAAGCCTGATTTTGCCTCTTTTTCCATTATCCTATTTGTAACTGACATGAGATACACTCTCCATGTGCCATACAGACTCTTTTCTACGTTCTAGAATGAGATGAGGATGAAGTAGGAGGATTCATTTGTTAGTTAAAAGTTGATGGCTTTGTTTCTTCTGTGGAATAGGAGGTGAGGTCATCTGTTGAGATTGGGGAAGTGGGTGAATTGGATGCATGGAGAAGTCTCGTCATAGTGGTAGTCAAAATATTGAAATACTACTAAGCCATACTATGAGTTCCCATATACCCTTATTTCTGTGCCCCCTCCCCTTGCCCAGGACCCCTGTAGCCTCCTATGATCCAGCATCTAGAGTCTAGCACTGTTGAACAGCAAAGGTACATGGAGTTCCTGTTCTGATCAATGGGTACCCGTACCTTTCTTGGAGCTAAGTGTTTTGAAGGTTATTGTGATCAGAGATTTTATGAGACATGAAAATGTTTCACATTGTTGTTGTATAGAACAGGACAGTGAAATCAGCACAGAAATGCCCTAGGATCCCTGAAGGCTGTATGGAGGGTTCAATTGGTGGTAGTCATTATGAATTTATGGTCTTCATTATTATGAGATTTCTTCAGGTATAGACAAGGGGAAAGTTGATATTTGGGCCTGTGAGGGGCTGGGGTTTTTCCAGAAGAGTTCAATAAAAAGACAAATAAGCAGAGAATAATTATCTACTTCTCAGGAAAATCTGTGAAATAGGAATGAAATGGGCAAGAAGATTTCCCCTGGGGTGTCTTTTCAATGGAAAAGTAGAAGATATCTAGAGTACAGTAAGTTCTCACACAACATTTTCAAAGAGGTTCTTGCAAACTGTGAATTTGAGTGAAATGATGTATCATGAAACCAATTTTACCACAGGCTAATCGATATAAATAAGAGTAAAGCTCCTATGGCATATTTCTGGTCATGAAAACATCGCCAAACTTCTAAATAAAGACCCCAAACATTTCTAATATTAAACATTAAAATAAATGTGAGCTGTACATACATTGAAAAAATATTAATAAAAACAAGTAAACTAATGATTTACCCAATTTGTAGTGAATCAGTAAGTGATGGCAGACATAGCAGTGGTGGGTTAAATAAAAATGTTTGCCAAATGAAAACTGTCCTGCCACTACACAGTTCAAACACAATCACAAATTTGACAGGCTTGCTGAACACTTTTAGACCACATCATATATTGTTGTGCACTTATATAATTGTCTTCTATCTTATGAATTTTTGTTTGACAGTAATTTGTATTCATTCATCTTCCAATGTTGCTTATTCCAGTTTAAGGTCATGGGTGGCCAGAGCCTCTCCTGGCAACTCAGGCGCAAGGCAGGAACTAGCCCTGGACAGGACGCCATCCCATTGCAGGGCCACTCACACGCACACCCACACTCACTCAGACTAGGGCCATTTAGACATGCCAATGTACCTGACATGCACATCTTTAGGATGTGGAAAGAAACTGGGGTAACCAGAGAAAAGCCACGCAGACATGGATTGAATATGCAAACTCTATGCAGACAGTGGCCCCAGCCAGGAATTAATTTTTTTTCTCATTAACGTTATTAAAAAAACAACGTTGAATGAAACAACATTATTTGAGGACCTGCTGTATTCTTCCTGGGATCATCTCAATCCATGACGTCTGCATCTTTCATGGTCTTTGAGCTACTTTATAACATTGTGAGGTGTAGAAAATGGACAGTAATGCAAATGATTCTTGTTCATAAAGATGTAAATAAATTTTGTCCAGTGGAGATGTAATTGATACTTGTCATGTGGATATTGATCAGTTTTGGATCTATTAGTAAATTTATTTTAGCATTCTTGATTGCCTATATATATGTCTGTTCTTTAGATTCTCCTTTGAACTGATGTTATATATCTTATTGGATTCCTATTGCTTAATGAGTTAAATAAAATCTTTGACCTATGTTCAAAGTATGTTTGTATGATAGTCAGGACTTCACTGTGAAAATATCCTTTCAGCATTACATTACTCATGACGTTGCACTGGATCTTTCATTTTCCTTCATTTATCAGTAAACTAAAGGTAAGGAGGGTTTATAGAATGGGCACATATCAAGAAGTGAAAAAAAAAGAACAAATTGTTGGTTTTGTGCAATGTTTCCACTAGTCTAGTGCGGGTGAAATACATATGTCTGTATGATTATGTACGATGATTCTACATACTAGTTAAATGCTCCTGTACTTGCATTTAAAACTGGCATTCTCAAATATAAAGATGAGTGGTAAAAGTCATGCTGAAAATGTAAAATTTTAAGTTTTACTTACTTAGAATGACATTAAGTAGCAAATAAAAACCACCATAACGAGTTGAGAATGAGGGAGACTGTAGAAAAAGAAAAAACTTTTTATTTTAGTACCCTAAATAGAAAACTTTATAGTTTAGTATCCTTTAAAGGTACTTAATAGTACCCTTAAAAGTCCACCTTTTCTCTTGCTTTTTTGAGCAAAAGGCTCTGCATTTTCATTTTGCACTGAGTCCCACAAATTATGTAACTACCTCAATTGGATGGGTCAATTCCTTCATTTAACAGATATTTCTAAGAGATGCTGTCATGTTGAAGGGTCTGACTTTTGTTCAAAATATTTTATAACAAAGAGTTCAAGCCTGCCTGCCTTCCTGCCTTCCCACCTTCCCTCCCTCCCTCCCTCCCTCCCTCCCTCCCTCCCTCCCTGCCTGCCTTCCTGCCTGCCTGCCTGCTTTCTTTCTTTCTTTCTTTCTTTCTTTCTTTCTTTCTTTCTTTCTTTCTTTCTTTCTCTCTCTCTCTCTCTCTCTCTTTCTTTCTTTCTTTCTTTCTTTTTCTTTTTGAGACACAGTTTCGCTTTTGTCACTTAGGCTGGAGTGCAATGGCATGACCTTGGCTCACTGCAACCTCTACCTCCCGGCCTCGAGTGATTCTCCTGCCTGAGCTTCCTGAGTAGCTGGGAGTACAGGCATGTGCCACCATGCCCAACTAATTTTTGTATTTTTAGTAGAGACGAGGTTTCACCATGTTGGCCAGGCTGGTCTCGAACTCCTGACCTCAGGTGATCTGCCCACCTCAGCCTCTCAAAATGCTGGGATTACAGGCGTGAGCCACCATGCCTGGCCAAGCCTCTGTTTCTGAATTCCACTGGCTAGGCTGGCATTGTCTACCAAGAGATTCATTCATTCCTTCATTTGCTCATTCAACAAATATTTAGAGAACACTTATCACATGCTGGGTCTTGAGTTTGGTTTAACATCTTTTGGACACTCATGTCCAGACCTCTGAACCCCGCTCACCATGCTGACATCGTCTTAGCATCCATCACTTGCTATTATCACTTAATTTGTTCCATATTGCCATGTGGGGAATAATAACCATGTGTTGTTTCTCTTAAGTTTTTAGAACTAAACACTTGCATCCTACAGACAATAAGAAGTAGGCCTGACACCTGACACCCAAACATGGGCCTCCCTATTCCTGGCTTAGTGTACTCTTCAGGCCTCCTCCCAGCTTCCACCCCTTTCCCACCCTGAGTGGGACATCTCAAATATTTATCAATTTTACTTGTCTTCTAGGGAAGATAGAATGGAGCTCTAGTGATAAGGAAAAGTGTATGTTAATGAAATAAGTAAAAGAAGTCTGTAAGTTACCAAGAACATGGTGAGAAGTGTGCTGAAGTAAGAACAGCTGAGCAGAGGGTTTTGTGTACTTTCTAAACAATTGCTCCCTTGCTGTTGTCCTTAGAGACATATTTGCTTCTCTTTGCAGTCTTGCTTGATCCATTTATTTTCATTTGAATGTTTATTTCTGTTTTTCTTTCTTCATTTTCTCTGTAGCCTTCAGTCATTCCTGACAAGGTGATTTTACCCTCATGTTCTCTTGGCTCTTATTTCATTTTCTTTCAAGAGAATGAAACATTCTACTTTATCTGGAAGAAGGAAAGTGTAGGACTTCACAAAACTTTCCATCTTGCAGATTGAAGAAAATATTTTTTGCTGCTATATTAGGAAAAATGGAAAGACCATAGAATGAAGAGAGATCATTTATATAGTTTTTCTTTTTTTAAATTATTATTATTATTATACTTTGAGTTTTAGGGTACATGTGCACAACGTGCAGGTTTGTTACATATGTATACATGTGCCATGTTGGTGTGCTGCACCCATTAACTCGTCATTTAGCATTAGGTATATCTCCTAATGCTATCCCTCCCCGCTCCTCCCACCCCACAACAGTCCCCGGTGGAAGATAAAAGACGTCCTAATTAGAACCATTGTCACCAAAAGCATGTCTGAATACATTATCTTCAAATTAAAATACCACAGATTTTAAAACAGATGTCCCTAAGCCAACTTGTAGTAATAACATTTATCAGGTTTGTTCAAGGAAAATAAAGCTGAAATTTTTCTAGACGTTTTTAATGGAAACATTGAAAATAAGTAACACTTGAGAACTGTGTTATCTTACAAATAGAGAAATAGACTACTTTGGTGATAATGTCAGCTTCATTTAAAGACAGGTTCAAATTTAAACTCAGGATAAGGAATTTATTTAATAACAAGACTATCTAGTTTAAGGATTTCGTGGAAACCATGTTTTCAGACAAACTGTGTCTTATATTGTAAGACTTACAGGAGATCATTAGTGAGTGTAAGTTTAAAGAGAAAAGGTAATGGCCACTCTCAGTCTTGTATAAGGCCCCATGGACTGATTTTTCAGTATGTGCTCCATGGAGATATTGGGGCCTTGTGCATGGCACTGATAAGGCTTCAGCAGAGGAAGCCAGTAAATCATGAGTTTTTTGTTCTTCTCCTTTTCTTGAAAGTTTCCCTCCTTTTCTTGAAAGTTTCCCTCCTTCCTTATGCTCTCACTGCAATTTCTGGTGGTTAGGGAAATGCCCAGAGAAAGATTCACAGCCATGGATCCTGAATTAGATAGATTAGCTTTGCCTACTTTTAATTAAATGCAACAGTTTCCTCAATATAACTAGTTTCCAAGAACTCCAACCCTGCTGGTCTGAACAATTCCTGTTGTCATTGAGTTAGGAATTTCCCTTCTCTATCCACTCATTTAATTGAAAACTGAAAAAAAATTATTTACTTATATATGCTCTTCCCTTGATGACAAATTTTAGAAATATGTAAAGTCTGATTCACATATTTAAATGGAAAAAGTGTGGTAGAAATATGGATACTAAGATATGAGAGACATTGGGAAGGAAGAGCAATGTGAGTTGGTGATTGCCCTGATGTAGGCATGGAAGAGCCATTGAAGATAATTTCAAGTTTTAACGCCTTGGAGGGATTTTATGACAGAGTAGGTGGGAACCAGTTTAAATGATTCAAAGAAATCCAAAGGGACTACAACTGAGAAAGGATCACTAAATTTGTTCATTTAGAAGTCTTTGGTAATATTTGAGTGGCCATTTCAGTAGAATTACAGGGACAGTTATTCTACTTCAAGGAATTATAGATGGGTGGACCTTGAGGAAGCAGAAGCAGATTATAAATTGTACACTCAGAAAACAGCAGTGTGGCAGGAGGGGCCAGTGGAGTCAAGTTTTGTCCTGATATTGAAGACCTGAGTGTGATTGCAGAGAGTGGGGAGAAGTGGTTGACAGTGTGGGAGGAAGGGAATACCAGGGAAATAATGATCATGAAAGAAGGATGGAAAGACAAAAGTAACCTCAAAGATGGGTAGGGAAATGCTGTTCTCTGTAATAGGAGGGAAGATGAGAAGTGCCTGGCATTGTGCCAAGTGCTTCACATGTGTCTTTCGTTTAGTCCTCACAACATCTATAAAACACTCATATCATTGTTGCTATTTCATAGCGTAGGAAACTGGGGTTTGGAGATTTAAATTACTTACTTGATAAATTCTGAGCCAGTATTAAACCCAGGTTTCTTTGATTCCAGAGCATGGGCTTATCACAACAGCACTGACATAAAATTGCCTGTATTTAACTATTTTTGACCTGTAAAATGGCCATGTTATATGGTCCAACTTAATAAAATTAGTTGAAGTGTATAAGAAATAAAGTGGAAAGACTTTTGTTTGATGGCCTTCATATTGGTCAGGAGTCTACTGGTAAACCACATAATCCACTCTGCTACTTTATGAGGAGAAATAATGTGACAAATGGTATTGTTTGGCTTACAGCATCTCTAGGAGGGCTCCAGAGCCAAGCCACGAAGCTCCACAGCCAGGAACAAAATTCCACCACACCACGGGGCCTGTTCTGGAATCTCAAACATAAAATGACAGAGATCAAACTCATCATTTCTCACCCTAAAGGTGACTTTGTTAATGACATTGCTGCAATTACTATTGTTAATGTGATTTTTGTTAATGACATCACTGCAATCACTATTAGCACAGTTGTACTGTCATGAAGGCTTGGAGTTATCATCTTATCATATTACAGTTGATTCACTGAGAGGCTGGTTAATCCATTTCATCCCCCTATCTACCCTGTCATAGGACCCTTTCAGGCTAATACATCTGCCATTGATTTTCTTATAATTCTACCTGGGCTGTTTTTCTCCCAGTTTCTGCCTGTTTTCTAAGTTTTTTTTTTTTTTTTTTTTTCAAACATCAGTTCTTCCAGGAAGCTTTTCACCATCTCCAGAGGCAGAATCATCGGCCTCTCTGGGACCTCACACAACACTGTTCTTGATCATGGTGCAGATCTCATGGGTCCTGCCATTAAAATGTTGGTATGAATGCTTGCTCTCTCTGGCTTTTCTTCCACAGGGCAAGCCCATGCTGCCTTCCATTTGTTTTGTTGTTACCCATGTCACCCAAAACTGTGACTTATAGAAGCTGTTCAGTACTTGTATATTGCAAATTCAGCAAACTTTTTATTAGCTCCAAGGGCTAACAAAGTGGTTAGTAACAGTAACTGGTTTAATATTTAGACAAAGAAATAAATATGGATAATGTAAAATCAGAAAATAGCAGGTTTCAGAGTTTAGGAAAAACTAATGGGAGGAAAACAGAGAGAGCAAGAAAATAAAAAGGCATTTAAAAAATTTATTTAACAAACTTCTAATGAGTGCCTATGATATTCAGATAATAGTCTAGGCATTGAAATTAGACAAGGTCCCCCCTGTGATGGAGCCTCTATTCTAGTGTGGGGAGGGAGAGAGATGAGAAGCAGACAGGTATGTGAAACAGCCGGGGATGGGGAGTGCCATGAAGAAAAGGAAGGGAAAAAGCCTAGTGAATTGTGGGGGTGGGAGGTGCTACAGTGGGTGGTCAGTGAGGGTCTTTTAAGCAGAGACCTGAATGAAGTAAGGGATTTCTGGGTGAAGAACATTTTAACAGAGGACATCTAAGTGCCAAAGTGTTTGCTGATGTGCTTGAAGCATGCTTGACATGTTGGAAGAATAGCAAGTGGACCAATGTGGCAGGAGTTTGAGTGAGAGAGAGAATGGTAGGAAATAGAGTTAAAGAAACAGTTGTATTATGAATTGGGAGAACCACAAACACCTTCCTTGCACCACTGAACATATTCAGCTGCCATGCTATTCCTGTGCAAACAAGGCTTCTGACGTTTATGGAATTTAATGATTGGGGGCAATACTTTTTCACCCATATACTGCATTTCCATAGAGTGGAAACAGCTCTACTTCCCACAAGTTAGCAGTATTGAAGTAGTACTTAAGTATGGCAGGCGGCTGTTCCAGCTCCCCAGAAGGTAAGCTAGGTTGGCCCTGCTGTGTGTGGCAGCTGCCTCCCAGTGAGGGGAAAGGACAAGGAAGCTCGTATTTGGCCTCAGTGCGTCATAGCATTGTCCAAACCAGCTTTACAGAGCTTTGTACTTTGTATAATGAAACTGTACTTTATCTGGCTTGCTCAATTCTTTACTTAGACCTTCCAAGGGAACCAGGAAGTGGTGAGAGGCTCACCAGCTGCCCTGCAAAGGCACTGTCCAGCTGGCACGTTTTCTGTGTCAGTCCTTTTTTCCCTAAATTTTTTTTTCTGTTTTCAAATTCCAGGGTTTCTCAACCTTGGCAGTGTTGACATTTTGGGTTAGACAATTCTTTGTTGTGGAGGGTTGCTCTGTGCATTGGGAGATGTTCAGCTTTATCCCTAATCTC
This sequence comes from Homo sapiens, assembly GCF_000001405.40. Lineage (NCBI taxonomy): Eukaryota > Metazoa > Chordata > Mammalia > Primates > Hominidae > Homo > Homo sapiens. The sequence continues at coordinate 63,053,477 of NC_000005.10, forward strand.
TACCCACTGCATGCCAAGAGCAACCCCAGTCCCCAGACATAGCCAAAATTCCAAGATACTTGCCGAATATCCCTGGGTGTCCAAATTGCCCGTGGTAAAGAACCACTGTCTTAATGAGTACAAGAATCTTGGGGAATGAAGGATTCCAAAAAGAGATCAATAATCATATGTTTTACACAAGCAGTTACTATCTTTCCTGGGACATGAGAGGCATTTTGTAGCATACTATTGTTTCCTTCCGAAAACTATAGGCAAGCTCTTCATTTTATATTTTTAAAGTTCCTTTTTTGGATATTTCTAAAGTCAAGTCTCAGAATAATCAATATATTTGAAAAACATTTTTTCTCCTGAGTGAGAATAACAAGTCAGAAAAATAGCAAGACTTTGCTATTTCCCCTCTCTGAACAGCTAGTTTTTCCTCCAGTCAAGATGGTAAATGGCTGGTGCACAACGATGAATTCAACTGTAGATTGTTGCTACATCTAGGTCAAATGGCTGTCTTTGGTATATATTCATCTTCCCCTGGTAGGCATTTCAAAGTGCAGAAAACTTTCCCTTTCTATCTTCTCTAGAGTTTCAGCAGCACATTCAGAATTACCACATGGATAGATTCCTTCAGCCTTTCCCAAATGGAAAGGACAAAACTGTTTGGGAAGTGGACCTTGATTTTCAAGGGTACTGTATTTGTTTTCCCCTCTTTACTCACTCCTTAAAGGGGTATAGGCATATGGGCCTAATGAACTGATTATGTAGAATAGGGCATTCCAAGTCGAGATGTCTTAAATGGACAGTTGTGATGAGTATACCAACGTCATTTCCCAGAAACCTCATTTTTATGCCATTCCCATATTGGCTTCATCCCTACTTATTAACCTTATTTCCTAGGGATCCTGTAATGAGCTGAGTTGTATCCCTGCCAAACTCATGTTGAAGCCCTAAGCCCCAATGTAGCAGTATTTGGAGATAGGGTCTTTAAACAGGTAATTAAGGTTAAATGAGGTCATAAGGGTGGGGCCCAAATTTAACAGGACTGGTGTCCTTACAAGAAGAGAAAGAGACGCCAGAAGTATGCATGCACAGAGGAGAGGCCACGTGAGGACTCAGCAGGAAGGCAGCCATCTGCAAGCTGGAAAGAAAGTCCTTACCAGTAAACAACACTGTTGGGACCTGGGTCTTGGGCTTCAGCTTACAGAACTGTGAGAAAAATTTCTGTTGTTTAAGCCACCCAGTCTGTGGTATTTTGTATAGCAGCACTAGCAAAGTAATATAGGTCCCTAGCAGATAGCCAGCCATTCTATGAACTGTGGATATTACCAATATTTTTTCCATGCTTGCCTCCACTCAAGCAAATATTACCTTTCATCTAGGCCCAAGTAAGTACTTCTTTTCTCAGGAACATTTTCTTTCTATTCTGTCCTCATATAACTTGGATTTTTGTAGGATTTATACTTTCTAGCATGCAATTTGGCTGTCAAGTATACATTGTCAGGTATTTCCCTATAATTTCAATACTACTTTTTGTCCCTTAAATATGTAAAAGATAAGCTTTTTCAACCCTCTCTCATTTCTATCAGGCAGTAGGCTTACATTTCATAATAATACCTAATGCCATTATAGTGTTTTATTATTTTAAAGACATTTCACAGACCTCTTTTTAAGAACTTTCATAGACCTCTGTTTGAGTCATGCCAGCATCTTCACTCACTTGATAGATATAACTGATTTTAGGTAAGGGTAAACTGAGGCACAGAACTAGCATTTGAGGAAGGTCTTGGAGTTCCGGCATTGGTCTGCCTGACCCCACTCTAGCTGTGCTTCTGTCTTTTTACAACACGTCACTGACCACATTGGACCTTACCTGAGCCCTGTGCTCCTAGAAAACAGGAACAATTAAGAAATCCTCCCACCCACTCGTTTGTGCTCTGGGAAACATCTTACTGCAAACATGTAACTTAGATAAGACTCCTCATAATCCCCTTGTTTATCTGCAACAAGGCCATACATACACCCTCCAAATGCTCATTCTTTACTTCATAAATGATTAGCTGACCTGTTTGTTTTCACTGACCAATCTGGATAAGATGCCAGCTAAAGTGACTTCACCAAACTTTAATCTGGCTTCTTCTCTTCCTACAGTCCCTGACCTTTGATCCACCTTCAGCTGCAGCCAGCCTTGGAATGTGGACCAACCCCTCCTGAATAACCTCTTCTGAAAACCTGCGGATTGCAAGATTCTGTCAACTGTCTGATCACAAAGCCTGCCTATCCCATTCTCCTGTGCTGAGTTCTTTCTAGCTTTGTTTACTCCTCCCTACAAAAGAAAATTCCCCCTTTTCTGCCTAACCTTTGAGACTTTTGCAAATCTTTAGTTGGAGCTTTCTCCCTGTTGCAGTAGTTTTCTTCCCCCATTGCAATAGTCCTTTTTTAAACAAATTTCATTTTTGAGTGTGGTAAAATAAACATAATATTTACCATCTTAATAATTTTGAAGTATGCAGTTCAGTAGTATTTATATTTACATTGTCTTGCAATCCAGAACTTTTTTATCTTGCAAAACTGAAGCTCGATTAAACAATAATTCCCCATTTCCTCCCCTATCCCAGCCCCTGGTGACTGCCATTTTACTTTCTGTCTCTATGATTTTGACTACTCTATGTATCTCATATAAATGGAATCATACAGTATTTGTCTTTCTGTGACTGACTTATTTCACTTAGCATAATGTCCTCAAAGTTCAATCATGTTATAGCATGTGCCAGAATTTGCTTCCTTTTAAAGTCTAAATAATATTTCATTGTATGAATATATCAGATTTTGTTTATCCATTCATCAGATGATGGGCACTTGTGTTGCTTTCACCTTTTGGCTATTGTGAATAATGCTACTATAAACAGAAATGTGTAAATATCTCTTTAAGACTCCGCTTTCAATTCTTTTTGATATATACCCAGAAGTGGAATTGCTGGATTATATGATAATTTTACTTTTAATTTTTTGAGAAACTATGTTTTGCATAGTGGCTGTACCACTTAACATTCCTATCAATAGTGCAGAAATATTCCAATTTTGTCACAGCCTTGCCAACTCTTGTTATTTATTTAATTATTTATTTTGATAATAGTCATCCTAATGGGTATGAGAGGTTGCAGTCTTTTGAATTAAGTGTCTCTTTACCTGAGTCTACATTTATTTTTTTGATATTACTTTTGAAAATACAACCAAAGATTATTCAGAATAATATGAGAGGAATCTTAAAGCTTTAACTAAAATTTACTGTGTTGTATGCATTTTTTTGTTACATATTTACCTCTTTTTCCTTGTAATGCTCAACATAAAAAATTTTGGAATATACAGAAAAGCATGAAGAAGCAGTAAAAAAAAAAATCACTTATCTTGTTAGCAATTAGAGGCAAACACAATTAACATTTTAACAACCACATTTATGACCTGGCAATGTAGAAGAGTATTCAATTTAATAAGCAATTTTTAGCACCTCTTCTATTCTGAGTTCTAAAGTTTACAGTGAATATTTATGCAAAGTAGTTAGAAAGGGGTAAGGAGGCGAAGGCCTTGAATGTTTTTCCCATACCCTTAAAGACATTTAACTCTTTAAAATTGGAGTGACTTAAATGAGTAGAGTGGCCTAAACAAAATATTGGGTTTTAACATTCAAAAGCTTTCTTTTGTCACTGAATCAATTGTCTTCACTTTGCTTCCAGATGTCTGAATTTAGATCCATATTCCACAATTCAACAAATAATATTTGATTTTTGCCTTTTCATTTTATATTACGTTTAACAAATCCTTGAAATGCCAAAAGTGTTATGAATAACCCTCCTTCCTGCCCCCTCTGCATACACTCCAAAATAGAAAATCAAGTCTACATTATATTTTTCTTCATTACTAGAGTCTTTTGACTTTATTCTGCCCATTTGGGTTTATATAAATTAACTCAGCAGTGTTTCTGTCCCAAGCAGGCACTATTGCCGGCATTATTGCCACTATTGCCTCTCCTCAATTTTGAAAGGCTCTGAATTCTGTAAAGTCATTAACGATTTTAGAGGCAGTGCTCTGGTGAGAAAGGACATAGAAATCATTATAAAAGTTTCTCTGAGCATATCTAACCATTCAACATGCTGCTGAGACTGAAAGGTCAAACAAAATATAGGGCATCTTCAAAGGATATCCTGAAAACAAGATGTAAACTTTCTCTTTCTTCTATGCATTGTGATGTACTGTACTGGAAGTGTATTAGTCAGAGCTCTTCAGAGAAATACGATCCATAGGAAATTATGTAATATGTAATATATATGTAACATATGTGTAATGTGTGTGTACATATATAATGCATGTGTAATATACATATATACATATAGTAATATATAAATACACATATGTAATATACATATGTAATATGTAATGTGTGTGTATGTATATGTACAAACATGTTATATATACATATATACACATATATTATGTATATTTTGTGTGTATTTAATATACATGTATTAATATATTACTATCATATACAGTATGTATATTATATGTATATATGTATATACAAATATAATTAATATATAAACACTTATAAATATTCACATATAATATGCATTATGTATATTCTATATGCAATATGTAATGTGTATGTAATATGTAATATGTGTGTGTATATATGTGTGTGTGTGTATATCTAAAAAATAGGAATTGACTAATGTGATTATAGAGGCCAAGAAGTCCCAACTGAATTTGAAGTTGGCATATGTTAGAATCTAGGCTGCACACTGATAAACTGAAACCATAGTGCATTTTCTTTTTTTCTATTTTTTTTTTGTGCTACCATCTGCCTATAGATAATACTATATTTACTTCCTCATGGCCTATGGCTTTTAACACCAATGTGAAAGTACATTGTAATATGTGCTTTTGTTTGAGGAAAGATTTTGCACGTGAGTTGATTCTTGAATTGTACATTTTTCTAGCCTTCACATATAGCCTAGTTGTAGGCATTTGCTTGGGTTTATTAAGCTTCACAGGAGTAGGGCTGCTGCTGTGATAAACTTATATTTTCTGTTGACTCTCTAGAACTTGAGGAAATGGGTCATGGAAGATTTGGGGTTAGAAAAGTCACAGTTCTTGGAAAGCTGAAGGAGCATATCATTTCTGGCAGATGTTTTTGCCTTTATCTGCTGAAGGTAGATTCCGTTTTTTAGTTAGGTACATAGGCTAAATGTTTCTGGATGGAATGGAGCAGAATAAGAAGTACAAGGACCTGGGGGAAGATATTTGCTTTCATATATATTTTAAGATTTTCATTTCCTGTGGATCAATAGAGGAGAAGTTTACTTTAGAAAAAAATTAAACTGATAATGTGAAGAATTTCATGTTATTAAAATTTCAGGCATTTTGGAAAATATAAAATTTGAACATTTATATTATTGAGGTTGTATTTTCTGAATCATCTTCATGCCTGGTCCTTATCAATTAACCCTTTTACATGTGGAAATGGGATAGAGTCATGTCTCAGACTGTGTACAGTATGGCTTTTGGATAAATATAATTAAAGTTTAGTCCTGACTCATTCGATAGGCTTCTAAGACAATACGAAAACATATTTTTAAACCAAGAGGAGTTCTACTTTATTTCATTGATTCGAGCAGATACACAGTATCAGTGTCAAGATTTAGAAAAATCAGGCATAGCTTTTTGATTGACCATCCCCCCATCCCCCTACACAAACACTGGGGCTTACAGGAAAAAGAACAAAATGTGGTGCATTATTAGCCTTAATGCTCCCCTTTCATACTTTTTTTCCACGGATGTGTCAAAATTATAAATAAGGACATGTAGAAGGTAGAGTTTTTGGCAAGGAACTGAGTAAAATGGTCAAGACTTGGGTTTCTGCCTGACATGTCATAGTATTTTTTGCCTGCCTTCTTTTGCAATAAGATCCTAGTTGTCCGTAGATTACTGTTCTTTCTGTGTGGTCTGGATGAAACAATCACTGAAGATGCCCCAGTCCTCTCTACAATGATGGGTAGGGACTCAAGCAAGACCAACAGAGTCCTTCCTGGGAGTTTGATTTTAGAAGACTTGTACTCCTTTTCCTTCATCACTAAGACATACACGGTTTCAATGACTATGGACCCACTTATTGAGAAGTGTTATTAAATAGATTTTTTAAAATTCAGAAAGGGTGATTCCAAGGTAGAAAATTGTTGGAGCTGAGCCATTTTGAGGCCAGAGGCCTCATAAAGAGACCCTCCCTGGGATGCTGCTCCCCATACCCTCAGAGCTGTTCTAGTTCTTGCCTTTCCTTAGGATTCTGTGAAGCACTTCATTTGCTTCCTGTTGTGGTTATGCTAGTCAGAGTATGTTCTCGTGCATGTGATGTAAGCCCCAACTAACTGATATGCTCGTGATGTCTCTGTTTGAGTTGACTTTCTCTGGATCAACTTCAGTTTGCTCTCTGCTCTTCTCATGTCTATGGAGTGGCACACCTTCCTTGGAGAGGGCTGTGGAAAGGGGCTGAGGAGGCTTCTTTGGTTGATTTTAGTGCAGGCTTTGGGCTAGAGGCACCAAAAGAGTCTCTTGACCATCACATAATCCAGTCTTGTTTATCAGGGCTAGAGGTTCTTGATGGAACTTCAGACAAATCCATATAACAACCAAAAATGAGCTTTTGCCTCCCTTGTTTTCTTTGCATATATCTTGCTTGTTATGGACTGAATTGTGTCCCCCCAAATTCACATGATGAAACTCTATCCACCAAACTGATGAAATTTGAAGATAGAGCCTTTGGGAGATAATTAGATTTAGAAATGAGGTCACAAGGGTGGGGTTGTAACCGAGTATCCCCGTTTTTCTAGGAGGTAGTTTAATTTTTTAAATTATTTTCTCTTCTTTTCTCTTTTCTTCTTTTCCCCTCTTCTCCCTACCCCCTTCTTTCTACTTAGCCCTTTAGAAATGTAAATATAACTTTCACCTCCCCCTCATCAGACATTCCCTACAGGGCAAGTTCATTTAACTATGTGCTCCAAGATTTAACTATGTGCTCCTGGAGAGCTGACACTTGGTTTGCAGACCAAAGTATGCCCCATGGAACTCTCACCTCCAGGGGACTGCCTGTGAACTTTCACCCTCCAATGGGAGTGGGGGGTGATCTCCTCGGAACTCACACCTGCCAGGAGGCCATGTCAAAAGCATGCCAACTTGACCACTTTTACAACTTACTTCTGCCCAGGAAGGTGCCAACTCAACTGCTTGGTAGATAAGGCACCAAGCTAGCAGGAAGACCCCCATCCTTGCTTACTCCCTTCCCTACCCCATAGAAGTGCCCGCTTTCTGCTCCAGAAGTGAAGTGGCACATTTAAAGGCAGGACGATTTGTGCCCCTTTCCCCAAGCTAGCTTTTGAATAAATTCACTTTATTTTTGGATTTTTGGACCAGACCTCGCTCTTGTTAATTGGACTCTGCAAGTGGTGAGCAACTAACCTGCTTTTCAGTTACAGGGTCTTTTTGTTGGAATTAGTGCCCTCCTAAGAAGAGACAACAGAGAGCTTGTTCTCTTTCTCCCCAGGGACATGCACCAAGGAAAAGCCAAGTGAGCACACAGTGGGATGGCAGCTGTCTGCAGCCTCCCTGGAAGAGGATCCTCTGCAGCCTTCCTGGAAGAGGATCCTCACAAGAACCCACCATGTTGGCACCCTGACCTTGGACTTCCAGTCTCCAGAATTATGAGAAAATAAACATCTGTTGTTTAAGCCACTCAGTCTGTAGTGTTTGGTTATGGCATCCCAAGGTAAGACATTATTCATGAACTTCTAGTAGGGCTAGGTGGCAGTTGAGGGAGAAGAATTCTAATCAAATGTCACTAGAGAAATGACTGAATAAATCCACTATCTTGAGTTATTTTCCAAAACTTGATGAGATGGGGAAGTACATATCATTGCCAACCTACAGCTGCATAAGCTGTAGGTCAGAATCTATATGGTATGACTGCATCAGGATAGAACTCAGGCAACTTAGTCCAGAACTCTATGTCTTCTGCATTCTTGAGGCCACTTCACATGTTTTGATTGAATGTGGGCAGAGAAGCTGTTCTAGAGATTTTAAGAGTAGGCTAGCTGTTGGGAAGGAATTGTTTGTCAAGTGTCCCTAGTCCCTGCTCTCACATACTGTAAATAACCCACTCATATTGTTCTAAGTCATTCCTTGCAAGTTTTAGGTTGAGCCATATTGCAATGCTGTCTGGTAGGTGAAAAACTGTCAAATATCAGCTATTTTATGTGATCCAACCAACACCATTGGGAGATGGAGCCCATCCCTCACTACTCCCCTTTCTCAGCTACACTGTTCTGTTTGCTGTGCTTCACCCGGGAATGTTCTTGCCTCAGGGCCTTTGAACTATTGTTGTTTCTATCTTGACTGGCCTTCTTTTAGATATCCACTCCCATCCTCACTTCAGAAGTTTTATGGAAACATTACCTTCTTCAAGAGGTCTTCCTTCACTATCCAGTCTAAAATTTCCATCCCTTATCCTGGCAAAACACTTTTTGTGAAACTAAATTCTCTGCTTTATTGTTTTCTCTTTAGAATTCACCACTATTTTACGTAGATAATTATTTATTTTTATGTATTGAGTGTCTTCACTAGTATAAGGTGAACCCCAAGAGAGCAGCGATTTTAGGTTGCTTTATTCACTGCTGTATCTCCAGCATCTAAAATAGTGCGCGACACATAGTAGGCGTTCAGTAATATATATTGGATAAATAAGTGTGGACTGACTGGTGGTAGCCATAAATCCATGGCCCCAGATCTTTGAGAACACCACACCAGTGATGTCCACTTTGGTGGCATGTAAGGATTGTGGAGGTCTCTGTAGGTATGGAACAGACCAAGGAGACAGGATTGATGCCCATTCCTTTCTTGTATAAAGAGGACAGCTCAGCTTTTTTCTCCCTTATATGTTGGGTTTCAGGTGAGATTTCATTAGGAAAATGGTTTGTGGACATTTCAAAACCTACTGATATGGGATAACAGAAAAGTTTACAATTGATCATGTAGTTCTGAGCCTAAAATATTGTGAATAATCAATGTTTCTTCACCACTCCACAAGGAGAATGTAAGGGATGGGGTATGGGAGTCAGCCACAAAATCTCCAAATTCAATGATCTTCATATTTGAGAGATTTTAAAAATTGTTCATAAAATGTAAAAGCTATTATATTTAAACAAATTGTTCAAAACTCCCTCTTCTTCATCCCCAGATATATTATTCTATATTAACTGTCAATGTGATTGAAAATTCTTAATGGGGAAAGGGGCCAGCAGTGTTATCTATTATATATTTCTTTTTTGTTTGAAAATTGACAAGTGCTAGACTGGCCAGAAGCAAAGTTAAATGGGCATTAAGAATAACAGTTTGTAGTCCACATTCTCCCAATTTTGTATATACTCAACACATTTTAAAATACACAATGACATGTGTATTACATGTTAAGGCCATGATATAAAGACATTAGAAGAATCTGTGTGAAAGCAAGAGGGTGAGCCATGTACAAAAAATAATCAAACTATATCTGTCTCTATTTGTTCTCTCAGTAACGTGGCCCAGAACCCTGCCTCATAGCCGCCTGTGGTAATCTCACAAACTGATTTTACACCGGAGGCAATAACAGCCAGAGATCTGCAGGGTCACACAGCTAAACGCTTAGCAGAGTGAGGATTAGAAAATGGATCATCGAATGCCACCCAATCCCTCTTTTTCCTGTGGTACATTACTTCCCTCTTAAAAATCATTCACAATGAGCACAAATACTTTATATGTTAATACAGAGCTCTACTTTAGCGAAAATGTATACATAGAAAATATATAATTCAAATTTTAACCACCCTATCTTGACTGCGAATAGAAAAGGAACATGTTAACTGAAATAAACATAAGTTGAATATTAACAATGATGAATAGAAGAAATATCATTTATCATACAACTGAAAACATGAAAGACACCAGGAGAAAATAGATGGGACTGGAAAAAAGAAAAGAAATTCATGTGACAGTTACAGGAGAGTGAATGAAATTCTAGTGAGTAAGGACGAAAACATCCATTAGGAAGGTGAGGAGAGCTTAAGGGCCCAGTGACCATGTAGAATGCAGATGATGGGTGATGGGTGCAGCAAACCACCATGGCATGTGTTTACCTATGTAACAAATCTGCACATTCTGCACATGTATCCCAGAACTTAAAGTACATATTAAAAAAAAAAAAAGAATGTAAAATGCAGCTGTTGTAGTGAAATGAGCTCCTTGGTATAGCTTTTTCTTGCCCTTACATCATCTCTGTTAAACAAACATAATGGTTCTTAAACTGTTTTTGTTGAGAGGCCTTTTGAAAATCTAGTTAAAATTATAGACTTTCTCCCAGAAAAAAGCCCGTTGGCATAATGTCTTTAAGGACCACTAACCGGTGTGCAAAGGTAACTTTCCCATTTACCTGTAACTGAATTTAATCTCTATTGCAAGCCTGCATTCTGGCTGATAGTAGGACCTTATCCAGCTACTGCTAAAAAACTATCCCTTTAGTGACTTCTCTACGATTTGGGATTTAAAATAACAAATCCTTTAGTGACTTCTCTATGATTCAGGATTTAAAATAACAAATAATGGTATTTTCTCTCCTCTTTCTCCTTCTGGGGGTTACTTCTAAAGTCTGGGGTTCTGCTTGAGCTTGATCTGCTCAGAGCTGGTATCTGCTGAGATGTACAGTGGCATGTTGGGGCTTCTGCTCATTGGTGCCCATCCGTACTTGCTTTCCTCACCAAGACAGATGTGTCCCCATCTTGCTCCAGTTACAGGACCCCTGCTGCATTTGATGCTGAGTCCTTTAGTCCTGACTACTGGATTCCTTCCTGCTATATATATATTTTATATGTAAAAATTATATATATGTATAACATATGTGTATATGTAAAATATAATATTTTAAATAGTTTATATATATTATTTTCAAATATCTGTGTTTATTTGAGATGGTTTATTGGTAGTAGCTAGATTAGGTTCTAGTATCAGAATGCAGGCTTGAGATAGAGATTAAATTCAGTTATAGATAAGTAAGGCAAGTTACATTTTGCAAACTAGTGATCAATATATACATATACAGATATTTAAAAATCATGAAAAAATATATATGTGTATGTATATATATAGACATTTGAAAATTATAAATTTACCTTAGTTACTTCAAAGTAAATTTAATACCATGAAATTCTTCATGTAACATATGTGTAACTCCCTTCCCCCAGTGAAAATGCTGGTTACCAACAATATCAATCCATTAATTCATTATAAAATCTTAAAATACACACAAAATAGTTTTAGAATTACAACAATACCAACACCAAGAGAAAACTACTAAATATGGTAAAATTTATTTGCAATTCTTTTATTATCTTAAATTATATCCCACTAAACCTACGTGTGTTCAAATATGCTCCAATTATCTTCTCTATAGTTATCAGTTTTATATGCAGTTAAGATTGTTCGTTTCTGTTAGTAAACAATTTTAGAGCTTGAGTTTTTTTCACTCTTTTCATTTAATTTTAGATTTTTGAACATATAAATTGTTAATATGTTTTAAAAGCCCCAACTGTTTACTATGTCTACTCTTCTGTCTCACTCACTTCCCCATCCCTTCTTCTCCATCCCCATCTATCCCCTATTGTAAGTCATTTTCATTACTTTTTCATTTACGCTTTCTAAAATAAGAAAATACATATACCTATTGTTATATCTCCAGAAGGACAATACTTTATGACCAAGCTATTTATCCTGTTTCACTCAAAGTCTCCAAGCTGTCAAGGAGAAAGGAAATTGGAAGAAGAGAGCTAGGGAGAGGTGTTAGAGGTGTCAGAAGTCCTGCACCTGCCCCACGTCCCAGGAAATGGAACAGAAAGAGCCACAGTTTTTCAGGTCCATGAGCCTAGGGAGGCAGGCAGGTTGGGAGATGGTTGGAAGGAGTGAGGTTGGACATGAACAGTGGGTGGTTCTTGGGGAGGGGTATGCAAGTGTTCTCTGTAATTTTTTCAACTTTTTTACAGGTTTGAAAGTTTTCTAGATAACAAATTAATTAAAAAAGGGAACTTCACACTATGAATTAATCGAGACCTGGATAATGTTGTTTTGCACAGAAAAAAGGTGAATGCTTTAAACATAGACATAAGCACCAGTGAGTGGCAGGGACGGAGTGGTACTCAGCCACTCCAGCTACACATCTGTCATACTTGTCATTAAATCCATGGTAAGCCACTTGCGGGACCTGCTGGCTTCAGAACCTATCACAGAAAGTCAGGACTGCAAATGCACTTGAGCACCCAGCTGTGTCTGTAGATTAAATAACACCTCTCAACTTTTCTAGCACTCCACAACATCAATTCTGCTCTTATAAATTAAAAAAAATATTTAAAAATAAGCTGGGCGCGGTGGCTCACGCCTGTAATCCCAGCACTTTGGGAGGCCGAGGCGGGCGGATCACGAAGTAAGGAGATGGAGACCATGCTGGTTAACACGGTGAAACCCCATCTCTACTAAAAATACAAAAAGTTAGCCTGGCGTGGTGGCAGGTGACTGTAGTCCCAATTACTCAGGAGGCTGAGGCAGGAGAATGGCGTGAACCCGGGAGGCGGAGCTTTCAGTGAGCCGAGAATGCGCCACTGCACTCCGGCCTGGGCGACAGACTGAGACTCCGTCTCAAAAAAAAAAAAGAAAAAATATATATAAGCATACTCCTACTCCTTCTATTAGTTATCACCGGGGACTGTTGTGGGGTGGGGGAGGGGGGAGGGATAGCATTAGGAGATATGCCTAATGCTAAATGACGAGTTAGTGGGTGCAGCACACCAACGTGGTACATGTATACAAACCTGCACGTTGTGCACATGTATCCTAAAACTTAAAGTATAATAATAATAATAATAATAATAATAATAATAATAATAAAATAAAACTCAAAAGCCAGGAATTCAGAATCTTTTTCTTCTGGTTACTTCTATGGACTCATTGCTCATCTTACTTACCAATGTGTGGTAATAGTGCTACCAAGTTTTGTCTCACTGGAAGAATTTCTCTGAGGGCAGATAATTGGGTCTCTTTCGTTCGTGCTACATAAAGCCTAGAACAGTGCCTTGTACTTGGGATGTGTCCAATATACTTGTTGCATAAATGAATGGGGCAGTCCATAAGGAGGGAACCACATTAAAATGACACATATTGTGCATCCACACACGCATAGAATTTTGTCTACATTTTAGAGCCACTGCTCCCTGAAGTCCATCCTTAGACTCTAAAGGAAAAATTCCTCTCTACAATTTTTCCTTTCCTCTCAGTAATTTTTTTTACTGATCCTCCACAGTCTTTATTTCTCTACCACTCCATTGTCACTTGGAAATAGAACCCATAGGCTTAGCTGAGTGCCTATTTATGTATGCATTTTATTTTTTGGAACATATTTTAAACTCCTTAAGGACAGAAACTACTTCTTGTATATTTTGTTACTCTTTTTTTCAAACCTACGACCTGATGTAGTCCTTTTTTTTGTGAACATTTGTTAATTTTGGCTCTTCTTGTTTCCATTTCTTCTGCTTCTCTTGGTAATAACATTCCGTATTCCTTCTGGGAAATTATCTCACCTCCATTTAGTGAAGAACTGTGTATAAGAGAAAGTTGCCCTACCCTCTCTTAGCCAAGTTTGGGGGAGGGGAGCTGTGGAAGGAATAGGTTAATAGCTAGATTGCAGCTGTCCTTAGCATCATAATTAATTGAGGTAAGATAGACCATTTTCAACTTCCTTAAAACACCGGCTTAAGAAATTTATTCATTGCAAATAAATGAGGGTCTTTCTGGGGTTGCTATGAATACATTACTGATCTGTAAATATTCTTTCATACTGCACTTGGTTGTCAGGATAATTTATTATATAAACTGTAATTTTTGCTTTGTAGCTACACAAAAGGAAGCTAGGATCCCTCTCCCTTTCAGTCCCCCAGAGATAGGTAATTATAATAGTAAGGTATTTAAGCTGAGGGGCTGTAGCCCCTGTGGTTTTCTTTCGCTTACGTGATCCACACTCACACCAGTGCTTGTCCCTAGACTAAATTACATCTCATATGGTGACTGGGACATTGGATACTGTGTCTGTGGTGTCCAAGACCTCCATGCTGCTGATGTAGAATGCTGCTGTCCCTGTTCTTTCTCCTTTCTTAAGGTTAAGTAAACTTAGTGATAGGTAAGCCTATTGTATCTTACGCATTTGATTGACATTTGGAACTGAAACCCACTCCCCAGGACTTGCAATGTGTGACTTAGGCTGAGAATGAACTTTCTCTTGGGACGTTGAATCTTAGATCGGTGGCATGTGTTCTAAATGTACTTAAAAAAATTCCACAGGCAGCATAGCATTCTGACAAAATATAGAAGAGTTCTTGCTCCCTGGACTTCAGAACTACTTATGTTTCTGTCTATTTCTAAGCGTGCTATCTTTCCGATGAATTTCTATTTAGTTAAGTTAACCAGAGGTGGTTTCTGTTGATTACAACGAAAGAACCCTGACTATATGGCTATGAATAAGGTTAGTAAGTTCTCAGTCCACTTTAATTATTTGGTTATTGTCTCAATTTTCTCTTGCTGTATAAGAAACCACCTCTAAACTTAATGGCTTAAAACAACAAACATTTTCTTTATCTCACAATTGTGCAGCTCTGCAGGTTAAGCTGGGTTTAGCTGGATAGTTCTTCTGGTGTCAACTGGAGTCTCCTATGTTTCTATGCTGAGGTGCAGGTCATCTGGGCAGCTCTGCTTCTGGGAGTTGATGGGCTATCTGGGAAGTTAGCCTGGGCTTTTTCATATGGTGATAGAAGAGCATCAAGAGAATGTGGGGCTGGGTGCGGTGGCTTATGATTGTAATCCCAGCACTTTGAGAGGCTGAGGCAGATGGATCACCTGAGGTCAGGAGTTCGAGACCAGCCTGACCAACATGGCAAAAACCCCTCTCTACTAAAAATACAAAAATTAGCTGGGCGTGGTGGTGTGCACCTGTAGTTATGGCTACTCAGGGGGCTGAGGCAGAATTGCTTGAACCTGAGAGGTGGAGGTTCCAGTGAGCTGAGATTGCATCATTGCACTCCAGCCTGGGCAACAGAGCAAGACTCCCTTGCAAAAAAAAAAAAAAAAAAAAGAGAGAGAGAGAATGAGGGACGTGTTGTGGACTGATTTGTGTCCCCCTAAAATTTATATGTTGAAACCCTAACTTCCTTATCATGTGACTATATTTGGAGATAGGGTCTTTAAAAGGGTGATTAAGATAAAATGAGAGAATTAGGGTGGGCCCTAGTCCAATCTGACTAGTGTCAGAGTATAAGAAGAAGAAATCTGAGCACACAGAGAGACACCCGGGGCATGCAAACACACAGAAAAGACCATGTGAGGACACAGCAGGAAGGCAGCCATCTGCAAGACAAGAAGAGAGAAGCCTCAGAACAAATTGAACCTGCTGACAACTTGATCTTGGACTCCCAGGCTTCAGAAACATGAGGACATATGTTTCTGTTTTTTAAGCTACCCAGTCTATGATATTTTGTTACAGCAGCCCCAGCAAACCAATATAGAAAGCATGAAAGGTCTCTTGCAGCTCAGGCTTAGAGTTGGTCCACATCACTTCAGCTGCATTATATAGATCAAACTTAGTCACAAATTCGGTCCAGCTGGGAGGATGCATTACACATGGGTATGGATACAGGGAAGGGAATAATTGTGGCCACTTCGCAAACTATCTGTCACAGTAATTAGACTGATAAGGAAGTGTGCTGAGTACAAATAGATATTAATGCAGGAAATGTTGCTGGGTACTTTAAATTGTAATGGAAATGTTTTATCCAAAGCCTATTTCTATTTGGTTGGAATAGGTGAGCTGATGTTCATCCAATGGCACAATGACAATATGTCCACTGCTCCACTTTTTGTAGTGTGAGCCAAATGCCATGACAAATTATTAGAATGTGGGAGGAATGGCACTTTTTTCTTTATAGATCAAGTTAAGGCATTAGATTCTACAAAACTAGTATCATCATTTCTAATTAATTTTTCAGAGGATAGTTGCCAAAGTCTTGTCTTTGACAGGATGAAATGGTGGAAGAGATCAGAGAAAGCTCTTTGTGTTCTTTTTTGTATACTACAAACCTTTAGAGAAGGATCTATGTCTCATTTGCCTTTGTATCTCTCAGTGATCATGACAAACTTTACAGGGAAGGTACCCAAATATTTAAGCATTAGTACCAGCTTCTATGGTGGAGAAGACCCTCATCAGTTATGTCTTGCCTCATGTTACTGGAAAACTTAATTTCTTTTTTACTTTGAATTATAGAATCAGGTTAACGTCAGGGATAGACAGATTCATGTGGTTCCCTGCAGAATTAAAGAAAAAACTGTACTGCTTCAACCCATATTTTAAAAATATTTGTTCAACATTTAGTGAGAGAAACCAATTTCATAATAATAAAAATGATACATTTCTCTTTTTTATTTAATTTTCTTTTCCTATTTTAGTTTCCCTCAAGTAAAAATTTACATCCATGAAAGTGGTAGGAAACAGTAAAGTATTAAGGGATTTTATAGGGGGCAAGAGAAGGGCATTTGCATCACAAGTGACTGCGGTTTCACTGATTGCCCACAAAGCTCAGTGAGCCCTGCTTCGTCTTCTAAATCCCTCTTTTCATCCTCAGAGCCACCAGGTTTCCGCCCTGTTTCTTCCTTCATCCATTCTCTGCCTTTTTGCTCCTACTTCACATGTTCTAAATCTCTGGGATTCTCAATCCCTCTTTACCTTTCTTACTCAGGACAATTTAGTGCTATTAATGGTTCTACATCCAAACTTCAATACTCCTTATTCATTAAACCTGCCTACAGTAACGTCAAAGACCATTGTATTAAGGACAAAGGTTTTACTTCTGTTTAACAAATAGAAATTCCTCCAGAAACCAAAATTTGCTTTCCTTAGGATGGGAAATTAAACCTGACGAGTTTACTATGAACAATTCCTTTTTTCTTTTTTGGAGATGGAGTCTCTCTCTGTTACCCAGACTGGAGTGCAGTGGTATGATCTCTGCTCACTGCAACATCTGCCTCCCAGGTTCAAGCGATTCTCCTGCCTGAGCCTCTTGAGTAGGTGGGACTACAGGTGTGACACCACACCCAGATGACTTTTGTATTTTTAGTAGAGATGGGGTTTCCCCATGTTGGCCAGGCTGGTCTCAAACTCCTGACCTCAAATGATCCACCCACCTCGGCCTCCCAAAGTGCTGAGATGACAGGTGTGCGCCACCATGCCTGGCCACAAATTTCCATAGTAAAATTAATAACAAGCAATTTCTTACATGGTCTGAATAGGGGTGGGACAAATTTACATTTTCCACTATGTAGTGTTGTTTTGGTTTGTAAACTTGAGTTAAAATGATTCCCACCATATTTTAGCAACTCTTATGGAGTGGAGTCCTGGAGGCTGTCAACTTGTCTAATCTTTAATACAGCCCTAGTTATTGTGATAATGGAATTAACTCTATCTGTGGGAAGATTACTGACACAGAAATTGGGACGTGAAAGTTTTAGTCTATATCCACCCCCACCTGAACACAGTCATTCACATTGGCTAGGCAAGGTTATTTTGCAGTGGCCTGAAATATCACCAGCTTAGTACTAACATAGTAAATAGCTGCTATAGAAATAATGTTGTGGGAAATAATATTTTCTTAAAATAATTTCATTTTGCTAACATTTGGAAAAATTTAGAACATCAACACGACTTAGTATTTCCATTATGAGCCCTCAAAAAGACACGCATTGTAAAAGTTAAGAGCTAGACTGCTGTCTACCTTGTGTTTCGCACATGCAAAAAGCATCAGGGCCATCTTGGAAAGGGAAAAACATTATTTATACAAATACACACACACATGCACACACACACATGCACACACACACATGAATGGGTGGCACAGGATGCTAACAAGAGGGATGATTTGAAGGGTGTATTTAAAAACTGGCACTGTATAAAATATCCATTGTTGCCCTTTTCAGCCTTATGATTTGGAACTCTAATTGTATTTATCATGGAGGACTCTGAAAATATAAGAGGTCAAGTGCTTTTAGTTACTGTATCAGATTCTTTCAGCACCAGTTGATTTTATTGCCAGTCACTGCCGTAGAACAAATTCTGTGCAAGATCTCATGAGCTTCACCTGGACACAACCTGATTGCACTTCATCTCGGGCTGGCGTCTGCCGCTCACTTCCCCTCCTGTGATTTATCTGCTGATGCTACATTGGGAGTGGGAGGTGTGGTAGGGGGGTGGCAGACATTGTGGAAACTGCCTCTAGGTTCAGATGCACAACTCAGACGTGCAGGGAATTCAAGTTTTAGAAGGTGAATCTTTGGCAGATGTGAATAAATACTTCCTCTTTATTCCCTCCTACCGTCAGGTGGTCCTGACATGCATTTCATAGGAACCCTTAAGAGGTTCTGTGAAATGGAGCAACAACCAATTGCTCCAGCAGTAGCCATCTTCATAATGCATCTTTCTGTTGTTTCTTCCAGCTTTTTCATCCCATTTCACTACTACTCATTCCTGCTCCTTGGATTATATTCCCTGAAAAGGACTTAAAGTCTTTGTTTCTATTTTCTAGAGAATGCCGGCTAAAATAGTCACCGAAAGAGAGGAGAACATTAGGAAAATAAGAATACTATAAACTCAAACTTCGCTTATTTGAAACTGTGATGTAGTTTGTGTTCCCACCCAAAATGTTATCTTAAATTGTAATCCCCATAATCTCCATAATCTCCATGTGTCAAGGGTTAAGGGAGAGAACAGGTGGAGGAAATTGAATCATGGGGGTGGTTTCTCCCATGCTGTTCTTGTGATAGTAAGTGAGTTCTCACGAGATCTGATGGTTTTATAAGTGTTGGGTAGTTCCTCCTGTGTTCATTCTCCTTCTTGCTGCCTTGTGAAGAAGGTGTCTTGCTTCCCCTTCGCCTTCCTCCATGATTGGAGTTTCCTGAGGCCTCCCCAGCCATGCTGAACAGTGAGTCAATTAAACCTCTTTCCTTATAAATTACCCAGTCTCGGGCAGTTCTTTACAGCAGTGTGAGAACGGACTAATACAAACTGTTTTATGTACATTGGGTAAGGATCTGTCTCTACTTCTACATTTTATTTTATCCATAAGGCTGAGAAGCAATCTATCTCCACTTCTACCCCCCATTCTTTGAAATATCAGAAAATATTTGGTACAGATTAGACACCCCAAATTAAAAAATCTGAAATCCGAGCTGCTCCAAAACTTTTTGAGTACTGACATAATGCTCAAAGGAAATATTCTTTGGAGCACTTCAGATTTCAGATTTTTGGATTTGGGATGCTCAACTGGCAAGAATTTTGCAAATATTCCCCAATTTAAAAACGTCTGAAATCTGAAGCATTTCTGGTTCCAAGCATTTTGAATAAGGGATACTCAACCTATATTTCCATTCCCCCTCAAAAGACTGAAAAAAAATCATAAAGCCCATTGGAAAATAAGAAAATTTGAAGAATTTCTAGAAGATAGAATTGAGATCAGATTGCAAGAGAAGAGCAGAGAAAATCATGTCCCAGGATAAATCTCAAACCTACCCATATCTTTCCACTTCCACTGCCACAGTTCTAGATCAAAGTGCCCTCATCTCTTATTGAGATTCCAGCAGGTTCCACTTGGTCTCTCTGCTTCGCTCCTGTCCTCTTATAGTTCCTTTCGCAGGCCTTAGCCTTTTGCAGCTACTCTTCCCTCTGCCTTAAATGCTCCTTACCTGCATCTTCCCATGGCTGGCTCCTTCTTATTCTGGAGATCTCACTTTAAACGCCTCCTTCTCAAAGCAGCCTTCTGATCTCCTAATCTAAAGCCTCCCTCCCTTCCTGCTCACCTCCCATCACTTTCTATTACATGTCTCCATTACTTCCTTCATAGGATTTATTGAATCTGTTACAGTTTTATGTTTATTTGTTTGCCTTCATGTGAGTTGTCTATTTCTCCCATTACCTTAGCAGTGACACAAGGGCAGGGACCTTGTCTGTTGTCTTGACTGCCTTATTTTGGGCTGCCAGCACAGTTAGTGATGCACAGGGTGGAAAGAATGACACTTTTATTGGGGGGCTGTTTATTCAGTTCTCAAGCTCTTAGCCAGCTGTGATGTTAGATATCGGGAATTTTGAGAGGAATAAGGCACAGGACCCTGCCTTCCAGGAGCTCTGAGTCAGAGAACAGGGAAAGAACTTGAGCTTCCTGTTTTCTTATTCGTAGTTGATCATTTGTGCTATGTATTTTATGTTTACTATTAGACTTTAAGCATTCCAAGTACAGAGTCCCAATCATCTTTGTATCTCTGCAGAGACTACATATATGGTGGAAATAAAATATTTTTGGAAGCATTTAAAATGTTTTAAGGGCGCATTATAAATCTGATAAATTAGTGTTATTAATTACCCAGTGCAGTTCAATCTATGACCATTAACTATTTGTTGCTAGTAACTGAACGAAAAGAAGATGTGTGTAAACAAGAGAGAGAAAGATAGTGGTGAGTGAACAACAGACAAAGTGAGCAAAATAAATGTTGGATTTGAAAGCCAAGTCCCTTATTGCTATAATGACTTTCTTCTGCTTCTCACTTTCTTTCCTGGAACTTTAGAATAATTTAATAATAATAATTTTTAAGGTATCCATAGGAAGTTGAAAAATAAGTATAGTGCAATTTCAACACCATAAGACCTAAAATTCACAGGTGGTAATATTGTCTGTTTTAAAATTTAGCTTATTATTTTCCAGTTTTGGCATTAGAAGGTCATATAAATTAATTAAAAACATAAACATACGTTCAGCAGCAATCGTTTAACTGTGATCTTTTGGGAGAAGGCACTCGTGTACCAGTTTCATCGATGTAGGGCAGGAAGCTTGGAAACATCACACACTTATAATTTTATTAAGTATTAATGAAGACCAATATAAATAATGCATTTCCTATTATGTTTATTAAGCCAATGGGGTCTAGTATAGCCTGAGGTAATATCACTAAGACAAAGAAAACTCCAGCTGCGCATTACCTGATAGTTTGCCAAAAAGGGATCTAGGTATTACCAGTGGATTTACAAAAATGTGTGAACTAATGCTTAATAAGTACAATTTGATGATGACAAAGTGACCTATTGAGATAAAAGTCCCTGGAAGGTGAGACTTGGTGTCTTTTCAGATCAGGCATACCCCCAGATGTCCTGGAGCCATCTGATTTATGCTTTAGAAAGAAAACTAAAGGAAACTGTGTGTGTAATGGTATTTATTACAGAATAAATATGCTGTGGAATATATAAATAAAATGTAAATAAAGAATGAAAAGTAATCCTAGAGATTTAAAAAAATGTGTTGTCCAGGCCAGAATTCATATTTGGAAGAATAATAAAAGGGCATTTGAATCACAAGAACATGAATAAAACCTAAAAATTGAAAATAAGGAAAAAAGTCTGCTTTTACTCACTTTATATCCTCCCCAGATAATTTCATTCACTGCCAGCGTTGTAATACAGATAACTGGGTGTACATGTGAACTAGAAAAGGAGCTGTAGCCATCCTTTACCAGATAACATTCTACTAAAGATCCTTCACCTGAGCTTCTCACATTCAACTGCCTCTAGACATCTTGTGTGGATACTCTCGTCCCTCGCACTCAGCATCCCCCAACCTGGATCCATCACTTTCCCTTGAAAACCTGTTCCTCATGGCCATCACCACCTAGCAAATCTCCCATTCATTCTTCCCCCCCTTCCATTTATTCCTCATATTTGGTTGTTCGTTGAATCCTGATGCTTCTATTTCAGAACTGTCTTTTGAATTCAAGCCTCTCCCCTCTACTTCCCTTCCCACTGCCTCAGCAATAGAATCTAGCAGGTCTGTACTTCTCCATCCTTCTGAATTCCTCTCCATCTTCCATATGCTGCTGCAGCAGTCCCTTACTCTGCAGGCCACAGGTGATGCTCACACTCCTTGTCACGCCATTGAGGTTACTAACAGCTAGGTCCCAACACACCTCTCCTGTCACAACTACTCACTCTTCCAAAAGTCCAGCTCCTTGGAAGTCTTAACCTTGTCGCAATAAGATAGGCTACCCTAATTTCAACTCCCTTGTATGTAAAGTGCCTTCTGCTTGGAGTGCCTCTATTCCTCCTTCCAGCATCCTCCTTGAACTGTCTCTAAATGAATGATGGTCTTGGATATTGGTTAGGAATATGGGCTATGGAGACATATAGGCTGGGTTGGAATCCTCCATTGACTTGCAATGTGATCTTGGGCAAGTCACTTCTCTTCTCTTGATTTCTATGTCCATAAAATTGGAAGAGGAATAATGATACCTGCCTCATAAGGTTGGTATAAGGGTTAAATGATAAAATATATGTGAAACTTCTTATGTCATGCAATGCCCTTCACAAGCAGGCCTCAGTATCTCTTCCTTGCATACAGTAAATACATAAGTGTTAATTACTATGACCAGAATTTCCCAAGGCAGAGTTAGTTTTCCTTGGGAAATCTAAAGATGAAATCTGGGTTCTCTAAAGATGAGGACTCTGGTATCTAGAAAACTTGCTCATTTAGAAGTGTGTCTTGGATTCCTAGGAAAGTACTGAGGAAGTCTTCATAGTTAGGAAAAGGAAAATCATTTATTTATTTCTTCACTGTTCTAGGTATTGGGAATTCAAAGTGATCGGTTTGTTGAACAAACCTGCCACAACTAAAACACAAAATCATCCTTTTTTCCCTCTGCTCCTTTCCACTTTCTCAGCCACCAGACAGGAACTCATCAGCTCTCATGGATGTTCTGTTCACTCTTGAGTAATAGACATTCTCTTAGTCACTTAAGTCACAAACTCCATCTCAATTCAGTAGAGTTTGCAGCCTAATACAAGATTAAAACTCTAAACTTAGTGTTACGTATTTTCCTTCCTTCAACTCTACCTGCATCATGCTCACAATGGTAAAAGTGAGTTTGGTGCTAAACAATGAAGAATAAACTATAGCCCCAGTTCTCAAGGAGCTGACTGCCTTTTGAGGGGACAGACAAATGGTGGATCAGATGGTGGTGTGATATATGCTGTTACAGAGATATGCTTCAGGACATGGCAAAGCAGAGGAAGGGTGCTGAAATGAGAAAGGTTTCCAGCAAAAAATGAAACACAATCAAAGCTGTGTCTTGCAGGACTGGCTGCACAATTCTGAGTGAAGAAAGCAGGGTGAGCAAGTCAGGGAAAGGATCATGAACCTGAGTATCACTTTGTCAAAGGGATCCACTTTGTTTTAGATTCTAAGAGAATCATTTTTGCTGATTGTGATGCTAAAATGTGTATGGCAACATACTCTTAGGCATGGGCTCTGGTTTAGATAGGGATTAGATTATGATTTGTGATTAGATATGGAGTAGATGTGAATTTATTTATTTTTTTTCAGGTTCTACCATTTGCTAGCTATATGATCTTGGGCAAGTTGCTTAACCTCTTTGAGTCCCAGTTTCCTCATCTAAAATGGGAAGATGATTACCCACCTCAAAGGCTGCATATTATAAGAAGAAAATGCATATGTAAAGTCCTTTGTACTAAGCCTGGACCCTAGTCTGGGCTTAATAATTGTTAGTTTTTTTACTGAAACTATCTCCCACTTGCTCCCTGTTTTTACTTTGTATCTAGGACAGATAGGAAGAACTAAAGGTATACCCTTAGAAACAGGGACAACATTACAATTTAAATGTGAAACAGTATGAGCCAGAATTATCATGTTGGTAGGGGCAAGGGGAAGAAAAGCCATACATAGGTGGAAAAAATGTCCTAAAAGAGACTAGCATTGACTGTTGTCATTGTTAATTTTTAGTTGCATTTTTATTTGCCCACTCGCTGATTGTGTGTGTTTGGACTGCCGTGAAGGCCTATCATCATTTTCATGGTATTTTGAGTGTAGCTTTGGACACAGTTTGAGATCTTCAAATGGCAGTTATTTTATTCCAAAAAAATTTCTATATGAAAATGACCTGCCACCTGGGAGATTATAACCTAGAGGTATCACTATTAGTTGAGCCAATAATTGTTGGAGCAAGATTACCTCAGACAAATAAATGGTATGTGATTCTTAATTGCTTCTGATTTCTAACACAGATTATTGTGTTTTAACTAAAGTAAATATTCATTTATTTGAAGGGCTCTGCTTAGAAATGGTGGGGGCTGTGAATTCAATCCAATTATAGAAGACTCATCAGAAGCAATGCAATGGAAACAGCATGAGACCAGGAATCAGAAAACCTAGGTTCCGGTCCTGTTACTGACTGGTTGGGAAACTGGGCAAGGAACCTTTTTTTCTCTGATAAAGAAATATGGTCAGGTAGATGTGGTATGGTGAAGGGCGTTGTTAACATACTTCCTCACCCCTCACATTTCTTTGTCAACATCATTACTTTCCAACTGTTGACACCACTAAGCCTCAACTGTCACCAGAGGTTCAAGTGGATAGTGAGGGGAGACAAAACCCCATTTCCATCCCTTTGGGTTCTGGTTGAGTCCAAGAATTAAATTGACATAAGATAGATCAACAGGAGAAAAACAAGCAAATTTATTTACTACAAGATTTATGTAGCCTGTGAGCCCTCATAAGGAAATGATGACCCGAAGGAGCAGTTTGATTCAGCACTTACATACTGAATCAGACCAAGAATAGTAAGTTGTGAAAAGGCAACAAAATATTGTGAAGTGGCTTAAAAGATGAGTTATTTTAACAAGGTGTGTACAGAATTCTTTCAGTCTAAACTTCTCATTCTTGAGGATAATAATATTCCTTTTGGTATAGGAAGGGTATCTTTCATGTGGGAATTTCATTTCCTGCTTTTAAGAAGCAGGATAAAAGGTCAAAATAAACTTTTTGTACTGCTTTTTTAAAAAGTGTCTTTAATTCAAAACTGTCAATATGCCAGAAGAACATTTTTTGAGCTGCATATTCCTAACTCATTCAATATGAAAGGGTTTTATAAACATAAGAGTGGTATACCAACATGATTATGTGGGCATCATTATTTGTGTTATTGGTTTTTTTGACCTGTTGCTAATGCAAAAGTGGAATTTCTATTAGTGACTTTGTTATAGGACTGTTATTCTTAATGAAAAGTATTTCACATGAAATATATCATTTAAAAAATCATGACTATGGATATGGTTTGGATTTGTGTCCCTACCCAAATTTCATGTCAAATTGTAATCTCTGATGTAGTAGGAGGGGCCTGGTGGGAGGTGATTGGATCATGGGGGAATATTCCCCTCTTGTTCTTCTCATGATAGTGAGTGTGTTCTCACAAGATCTGTTTGATTAAAAGTGTGTAGCACCTCGTGCTTTGTTCTCTTCCTCCTGCTCTGGCCATGTAAGACATGACGACTCCCTCTTTACCTTCTGCCATGATTGTAAGTTTCCTGAGTCCTCCCCAGCCATGCTTCCTGTATAGCCTGTAAAACTGTGAGCCAATTAAACCTCTTTTCTTTATAAATTACCCGGTCTCAGGTAGCAGTATAAGAACACAATACAGAAAATTGGTACTGGGAAGTGGGGCAGTTGCTATAAAGGTACCTGAAAATGTGGAAGCAGATTTGGAACTGAGTAATTAGCAGAGGTTGGAACAGTTTGGAGTGCTCAGAAGAGACAGAATGATGAGACTTTTCACTGTAGGCTTTTGAGTTAATGCTGAAATGAGTTAAACCTTGGGGGGCTGTTGAGAAGGGATGATTGATTTTGCAATCTGAGAAGGACATGAGATTTGTGAGGGTCCAGGTGGGATGGCAATGTCTGAATTTGTGTCCCCACCCAAATCTTATGGTGAACTGTAATCCCCAATGTTGGAGGAAGGGCCTGGTGGGAGGTGATTGGATCACAGGGTCGGATTTCCCCCTTGCTCTTCTCATGATAGTGAGTGAGTTCCCATGAGATCTGGTTGTTTAAAAGTCTGTAGTACCTCCTGCTTTTTTCTCTTCCTACTTCTCTGACCATGTAAGATGTCAATCCTTCCTCTTTGTCTTCCACCATGATTGTAAGTTTCCTGAGGCCTCCCAGCCATGCTTCCTGTAATAGCCTGTGGAACTGTGAGTCAATTCAACCTCTTTTCTTTAAAAAGTACCCAGTCTCAGGTAGTTCTTTATAGCAATGTTAGAATGGACTAATGCAACTATTTGCTTGTATTGTTCATATTTACTAATGACACTTGTAGTGCTGTCAATGACAGAGTAGCTTGAAGCAGGACAATGTTTCAGAATTATTTGTGTGTTATCTGCTGCTGAGTTTGTTCAGCAAATAGCTTCACTCTTGGTACACTGTAACGTCTATCACTGATGTGGACTGTATGTAAAAATAAGGAAATGTTTGTTTTCCAGTTGATTACTTTGGTTGGGATTTGATGTTGTCATAACAACTGTACTGGTTCATTATCATGCTGCTATGAAGAAATACCTAAGACTGGGTAATCTATAAAGGAAAGAGATTTAATTGACTCACAGTTCCACAGGGCTGGGGAGGTCTCAGGAAACTTAAAATCATGGTGGAAGGGGAAGAAGACACATCCTTCTTCACATGGTGGCAGGAAGGAGAACAAGAACTGAGCAAAGTGGGAAGCCCCTTATAAAACCATCAGATCTCATGAGAACTAACTCAGTATCATGGGAACAGGATGGGGGAACCACCCTCATGATTCAATTATCTCCACTTGGTCCCTCCCACAACACATGAGGATTGTGAGAACTACAGTTCAAGATGAGATTTTGGTGGGGACACAGCCAAACCATATCACCAACATAAATAAACACTAGTAATATATAAGGAAATTTAAAATCCTGTCCATTAAATAAAAAAGAATGTGAGACTGAAGTATTTTACTAAACATCCTATATTATAGTATCATATCAAAACATGTTTTTACCAAATGTCTAGAAATATGGTCCTCTTTAAGATTTAGCACATAAAGAGCCATCCCAACCCAAATCTGTGCTTTCCACAAAATATTTTCATGCTCTAAACTTAAGGAAGCTTTTTAGATAACAATGGTGACTGAAAAATTTGTGCCACTTTAAACAATCTTAAATGACCCACTCATTGAAAAACCCTCTTTGTTTACTTTCACCAAATACCACAAGAAGCTGGGACATGATCTTGAGTTAATTATGGGTACAGGACTTTCCACAATAACACTGAGTTGAAGATAGGTTGACATTTTCAGTAATGTCATGGGTCAGAAAGGTAAGCTAATTTGGGCTCATGTAAATCCAGAAAGCAGCTTTATGATTTACACAGTAAAAGGAAAGAAATGATCCCTAGAATCACATTGGAACACTGCATTAGAAGGGCCCTAAAGTTCATCTGGTTTAAGCTGTAGCACTGTAGGTCAGGTTGGTTGGATCCAGAGCTTATAGACTGCTTGATCTGGACAGTGTCTGGGCTGAACACAGAACTAAAGGACCAATTGAGGCGTTTTAGTTAATCCTAGAGTGGTAGATGAATTTTCCCAGTGGCCAACTGCCTGTTGTTAAGGTGCACACATATATACTCATGGCTGTGTGGGAGCATATGTGAACCTCCCCTCCCCATCAATGGCATGCAAAGAAAAGGCCTGGTAATAAGAATAAGGAAAAAAGCCTCTTTCTCTCCTACTTCTGCCATTTACTAGCTGTGTGCTATAGGGCAAATCACCTAAAGGATGATAACTTCACCTAAGGGGCTGGATAACCTTATTTTGCCCATCTACATCCCCCACCATCCTTCCTTAACCCATTCTCTGTCCCAGGTGATCACCTTTATGGACTACATTTGAGGGTTCTTAGCCTTCTGGTTTCCTGTTAAGTTTGTTAAATGCTGGGTCCCAATAGGAGCCCTGAAGAAGGGATAATGGTGAGCTTAGAGTATTATTACCCCAGACCTCCTTCTGTGGGATCACCTGGGCTGAGTCTCAACCAAGAGTTGTAACTATTGTCAGGAAGACCATCCTTATGTGACTCATCCTGCTGTCCCCTTTCTCTTACCTCATCAGTCCCTCCAAACCTTACAAGCTGAGTCATCCTTGATAAATAGTTTTTTAATTAAACCCTTTTTCAAGTCTCTTACTTTGGCCATGTCATCTGTTTCCTGCTAGCATCCTGACTGGTATATTTAACAAACTATCACTGAGAAAAAGAACTCTTAAGTTATGTCTCTGTTTATCATAAAAGGGGATCATGGTGGTCTGGTGATGGCCATCATGAGCTGAAGTAAGAAGGAAGGGTGCATAGATGTCCAGAATTAGCCATGTCAGAAGTGTCCTCTAGCTCTTAACATTCTATGATTCTATGTATAGGAAACTGAAGGAAGCCAATTACGTTTTGAACTTTTATATTACTATAGGGTATCTGAACTGAGATAATGAAACAAACATAGTTCAAAGGAAGGCACAAGCAAGGTATTCTTATGAAAACCAGCAGTGATTCCACACATAAGTCATCTAACACCTTTCAAATATTGCTCATTATTTTTAGCACTGGATTACTTTTCACCAAGTATGACTTATATGTGTTGTGTATTTTTAAATCTAAATCAATGCTTTCTTGTAGCAATATACAAAGGCTAGAAAGTATACAATGGCCACACAGTCCTGGTTTGGCAATATGGGAAGAATCTTTATTATCAATTATGGTATTAAAATTATTCCTAGGACTATGGGTATATTTTCTGTACTTCAATCTTTTTTATGTTCCTACCTCGCTCTCAGGTTAAAACAGAGATGACATATACTAATGAACTTTTAAAATACCAATACCTTTGAGTTTTCTTATAAGTTTTCCTATTGTGAATATACTGTCAAAAAAGCCAAACGTGCCTATTTCAACCTTCACTGTGGTGAGGCTTGTAGGGTGATTTGGGTCATCTTTCTCTGGAACAGGTTTTTAGCCAGCTTCATTTTAAAAAAAGGATCAATGATCAGAACTGCCTGTGATGCACAGTGTGAGTAATGGCTTTAAAGAAGTTTTTGTGCCAGTAAGTCTTGCTTGCATTCTTTTTTTTTAATTTTCATAAAAGATATTTTATATAAGCCATCATTTTCATTTTCAGAAAGATAAATCAGAGAAAAAAAAAGGATGAGAACCCTTGAAAATAATCTTAGTAGGATGAGGTGACTGAAGCTTTGAGACACACGCTTTGGAAAGTGGAGGGAACACTTACTGCAAGTGGAAGCTTCAACCTGAGAACTGGAGGCAGGCAGCTTACAGTCTGGCCTCATTGGCAAGCTTCAGGGAAGGAGGTGGAAGATGCTTCAGTTCCTCCCCCTCTCTGCAGAGGAGCACGTGTGCTCATCTGTTGTTCTACTCCATGCATAACTTTTCAGGAGCTGGACCTTGTTAGGGAGGCCTGACGATGTCCAGGTCTGTGTGTGCCGAGTTTAATTTGGGGTGCATTAGTCACAAGTCTTTTTGACGAACAATCTAAATTACATTTCTTCCAACCTATTTATCAACTACCAAAGGGGGGTCTTTTGATTTCCCTCTCACCAACTACTACCTCTGTGTCCCAATTTGTCTTGAAATCAAGTAAAGAATGCTTATTCTTAGGGCCATCGTTTAAGCTCCAATATGGTTATTAGTACTCATAAATTTTTTTTTTTTTTAATTGATCATTCTTGGGTGTTTCTCACAGAGGGGGATTTGGCAGGGTCATAGGACAATAGTGGAGGGAAGGTCAGCAGATAAACAAGTGAACAAAGGTCTCTGGTTTTCCTAGGCAGAGGACCCTGCGGCCTTCCGCAGTGTTTGTGTCCCTGGGTACTTGAGATTAGGGAGTGGTGATGACTCTTAACGAGCATGCTGCCTTCAAGCATCTGTTTAACAAAGCACATCTTGCACCGCCCTTAATCCATTTAACCCTGAGTGGACACAGCACATGTTTCAGAGAGCACAGGGTTGGGGGTAAGGTCATAGATCAACAGGATCCCAAGGCAGAAGAATTTTTCTTAGTACAGAACAAAATGAAAAGTCTCCCATGTCTACTTCTTTCTACACAGACACAGCAACCATCTGATTTCTCTATCTTTTCCCCACCTTTCCCCCTTTTCTATTCCACAAAACCGCCATTGTCATCATGGCCCGTTCTCAATGAGCTGTTGGGTACACCTCCCAGACGGGGTGGTGGCCGGGCAGAGGGGCTCCTCACTTCCCAGTAGGGGCGGCCGGGCAGAGGTGCCCCTCACCTCCCAGATGGGGTGGCTGGCCGGGCGGGGGCTGACCCCCACCTCCCTCCCGGACGGGGTGGCTGCTGGGCGGAGACACTCCTCATTTCCCAGACGGGGTGGCTGCCAGGCGGAGGGGCTCCTCACTTCTCAGACGGGGCAGCTGCCGGGCGGAGGGTCTCCTCACTTCTCAGACGGGGCGGCGGGGCAGAGGCGCTCCCCACATCTCAGACTATGGGTGGCCAGGCAGAGACATTCCTCACTTCCTAGATGGGATGGCGGCCAGGAAGAGGCGCTCCTCACTTCCTAGATGGGATGGCAGCCGGGCAGAGATGCTCCTCACTTTCCAGACTGGGCAGCCAGGCAGAGGGGTTCCTCACATCCCAGACGATGGGCGGCCAGGCAGAGACGCTCCTCACTTCCCAGACGGGGTGGCGGCCGGGCAGAGGGTGCAATCTCGGCACTTTGGGAGGCCAAGGCAGGTGGCTGGGAGGTGGAGGTTGTAGTGAGCCGAGATCACACCACTGCACTCCAGCCTGGGCACCATTGAGCACTGAGTGAACGAAACTCCGTCTGCAATCCCGGCACCTCGGGAGGCCGAGGCTGGCGGATCACTCGCGGTTAGGAGCTGGAGACCAGCACGGCCAACACAGCGAAACCCCGTCTCCACCAAAAAAATATGAAAACCAGTCAGGCGTGGCGGCACGCGCCTGCAATCGCAGTCACTCGGCAGGCTGAGGCAGGAGAATCAGGCAGGGAGGTTGCAGTGAGCCGAGATGGCAGCAGTACCGTCCAGCTTCGGCTCGGCATCAGAGGGAGACGTGGAAAGAGAGGGAGAGGGAGAGGGAGAGGGAGAGGGAGAGGGCGAGGGAGAGGGCAAGGGCGAGGGCAAGGGCTTGCATTCTTGTCAAGCTGTTTGCCTGTGTGGGATTTGATCATTTGAACATATCGGTAGCTGACAGAATTTGACAGCTGCTGTAGATGTCATTTTTTTGTTTTTGTTCTTAAGACATTCTTTTAATCTTTTTTTTTTTTTGGAGACGGAGTCTCGTTCCGTTGCCTAGGCTGGAGTGCAGTGGCGCCATCTTGGCTCACTGCAAGCTCCACCTCCCGGGTTCACACCATTCTCCTGCCTCAGCCTCTCAAGTAGCTGGGACTACAGGCACCTGCCACCACGCCCGGCTAATTTTTTTTTTTTTTTTTTTTTTTTTTTTTTGTATTTTTAGTAGAGACAGGGTTTCACCATGTTAGCCAGGATGGTCTCGATCTCCTGACCTTGTGATCCGCCCGCCTTGGCCTCCCAAACTGCTGAGATTACAGGCATGAGCCACTGCGCTCGGCCACTTTTAATCTTTTAATGGTTCTCCTCACAAAGCAATGACCCAGAGCAGCTGCCACTTTTGCCCATAGGAAAAACTAAACCTATCAGTTATTGGGAAAATATTTTTTTATCCTATTGGCTATAGGATAATAAGAGGAAGATAAGACTTCTTGCTTTGTTTTCCAGATTTCTTTTACACATGGTAGATTATGTAATCCTTGGGCCAATGTAATAAAGTTCATAAGAAAAGTGCTTTATTCCTGTTTTATGAATGAGAAATCTGAGGCAGAGAATTGTTATTAACAGGGAAGCACTGGCACTCTGGCTTATTAGTTCATAACTAGGCTTTAATTTTCATTTTAATTAAATACTTGGATTTAATCTCAAATATGACAAATAATTTTAGGAGAGCATACCCCATTCATATCTAGGTTCTAAAAAACGGCTAGTAATTGAAGATAATACTTTCCACTTACAAGTTACCCAGTCTTACTAATGACATTTTTTTCCATCTATATGTTCAATTTGAGGCACAATTATGGTCTTGTTCTTCGAGACAAAGAACAGACCATTAAATAGACTAATTCCCTCCCAGCCCCTTTCTGCCTGTTTTCACGCTGTAGAAAACACTGAACATCTGGTTTTTCTCCACTTGAGCCCTGTATTTGAATTTCAGAACATATGGGTCAGAGCACTACAGGAAAAGAAAGATAGAGATTTATACAGATGACTTTGGCAATTCTAACCTTCTTTTTTCCAATGAGTGAAAATGTCTTTGTGCATGCTGCATGTCAGAGCCCTTGCTTTGTGCTACACCCAGTATCCCTTTCATGAAATGTATATGATAGAAAGATTGCATGTGGAAAATCTAGGGCAATTATACTTATTAGCAATAGAAAGGGCCTGGACTTGCAGATCTCAGAGATCCTTTCAGTTTTAACAGCCTGGACTTTCAAATATTAACAGTGGCACAATGTTATCTCCAAGTGATTGTGTCATGATGGTGTTGGGGAGATAGCAAAAGAGCATGGTGGGAGGGCCGGGGTTAGGAATGGGAGTGGGATGTGGCTTCAATAGATATATGACCTAAGAAATGGGATTGAAGGATGAAGGGCACAATGATGAGAAATATTATAGAACCAATTTTAGAGAAATAATGGATAATCAGTCATAAAGTTAGAGTCATCATAGACATAATTCTGTGGACCCAGAGCAGGGGAAAGGGGAGCTAAGATGTCAGCATAGTGTTAAAAAGTTTGGGTTCTGGAATCAAAGCACACGGATTCAGATCCCAGCTCTGCCACCTACTAGCTGTGTGACCTGCACTGATTAGCACTCCTTAGAGCAGTAGTTTCTGTTTGTTTGCATATGAGAACACTAGATTCACTGGGGGGAGTTTTGAAAAAATACTGATGGACAGGCCCACTTCTGAAACAATCCAATCAGAGTTGGGTGTGGCAGGGGCAGGCTTGAGACCCTAATTTGAAAGCCACAATTTGACAGCCAGGGTTCCCAAAGTTCTTTGTGCATCACCATCAACTAGAGGGTTCATTAAAACAGATCGCTGGGCCACACCCTCATAAAAAGCAAAATTGAGAACCAAATAGTTTGTCTACTATCAGAATATTTGAATCTATAATTGTCCTAAAACATCTGATACTTGAATTATTAAATAAAAACAATGATATAAAGGGAACAGGAAAAAAAGAATGAAAAAGAATAATTCTGTATAAGATGAAGGACAAGTTGAAATTTAGCACATACATGGAATTGAACATAATTAAATCATTAGGAATTCTGCGGTTCAAGTTTTCTGTCTCCTTTTGAGTGAATTTATAGGTTGAGTCCTCCTGACACAAGCAATTTTTTAAACATTAACTACAGTTGGTTTTCTGAGGTGAGAAATTATAAATATCCTAAGAAAATCATCAATACTAGAAGAAAAAATATGGCTACTCTCAGGTGATAAATGTTAACATAAAAAGAGACCAATTTGTACATGGAAAATCTAGCCCTAAAGCATACAGAGTGTAATCTGGAAAATGCTGTAATAGTGAAATAAATGTAATTTCTGCCCTCTCTTGATGATGTCTTTTCCTGGAAAGCTTTGCTTCTTTATTTTGGTTCTGATGTAATATGGTAGAATTAGAATGGTCTCTGCTCTAGAGCCTTGCTATACAATGTGTGGTCTAGAATCCTGAAAGTGTGTTAGAAGTGCAGTATCTCAGGTATCTTCCTAGACCCACTAAATTAGAATTTGCACTTGAACAAGATTCCTGGGTGAGTTACATGCTCATTAAAGTTCCAGAAGCTGCTCTACAACATTCCGACATTGTAACTCAGGGGTTCTGGGGAAGCAGATCATGCTCTAACAGAGTGTGTGAAGATACATGAGCTTAGATGCTGCTCCAGTTAAGATATGTGTTGGTTATAGACAAGTCTGCAGAGAAAAGTCCCAAAGAAGAGGACACATAGGCTGTTGTCAGCATTTACCTTGGCCACAGGGTATGAACGTTCAGGCCAATATTGGGTGAAGAAAAGGTCAAAGGATGGGGAGACACTCTCATGACACTGGCTGAAGCCACTTGGTCCTAGTTATCTTGTCTTTCAAAAGGTTAACCAGATACTGATAGAGGAATAGGGAGTGAATAGAAATAATAAGAAAATGCCATCACCACTGGTTTGTTGAAGGTTTATCCTAGTGGGATACAAACATGCAAGGGTCTTGTTTCTTTTCAGCCAGTGCCTTTGACCTCATTCTGTTGAATCTGCTTTCAAACCACCTCCAGCAATTAAGTCCAGGTCAGTCTAATCTAAAACTCCAGTCGTATCTGCCCTGTCTCCTAACTCAGGGTTTATTAATGCCCAGAGGGGGCCTGAAGTGAGAGACAGGGAACTTGCTGTCAGATTCCATTTTCCTTTTTTTTTTTTTTTTTTTTTGGCCTTCTTTGGTGTGTTGGGCTAGGGAAGAGGGAGCTGGGAAGAGAAGGGGAAGATGGAAATGGATGTTTGGACACACACGTAATCTCCTTAGGTGGCCCTGTGGAAGAGACTCCTGATTCATAGTTCCTCTCATGGAAGATCTGTCTCCAGCTTCAACTCTTCCAAACTCTTCTCTTGGATTCCAGCTTCCTCACCATCAGGACATCACATAGTCACAAGCTCCTGCTGATTTCTGAAGCAATAGACAGCCCTCTTGATTAGGGGGCTAGCTACATAGTTCAAGTCCTGCTTCCTACCACAGCATTCTCTTTACCTATGAGAAACTCACACATCCTTGTGTCTCTGCATGGTTTCACCTTCATTACCTCCTTTCCATCTGTGTTCAATTCTCTTCTCTATTCAGATAGGGCCTGAGGGCAGAGTAGCACGTCACACTGGGGAATGAGATGTCACGTCTCACCTTCTTGCAGACATCTTCAATTCCTACAAGTGATCCTTTAGAGGACCCCCCACTGGACTTTATGGGTGAACATTCACCTTCCTTCTTCATTCAGTGAGGTGGAGCTTCAGTGCCCCAACTAGACTCAGTATCAGTCACATGGGATTCAGAGGATCTACATCTCCTACCTCCTTTTCCCCCTCTCTAGTCTCCTGTTTAAGATATGAGAGAGTGTTCTGAGGGATGTTTGTAAGCAACAGTTACCTCTTACTAAATCTTGGAGGGGCCGTCTGTTTTCCAAGTTATTTGCACCTTATTTAGGATGTGAGGTATTAGATAATCCTGTGTCCTAAGTTTTGAGACCCAGTTGCCAATTCCAGAACAGTAGGAAAGGTTCTACTTAACAATCTCCTACAGTATAATACACACTATTTATTAATCACTTCCTTTGTACCAGTTGTATTAAGTCATTTACAAATTTTATTTCACTTAATTCATATGACAACACCATATGGTAGTTTCTATTATTTTCATTTAAACAATTACTGTAATGAACTTTTGCCATATCTGGTTACATAAAATATTTTTAAAATATTGTAATAATTCCACATAATGTAAGTTTTAACTGTCCCAATGAGGAAACCAACAAGGAAAACTTCCTCTGTTTCTGGGTAAGAATAAGTGATTTAGATTCTACCCATCAGATGCACCTGTAAGAACTTCATTCTGAATTGTTACATGGGGGAAAGAGGCATGGTGCTGAGTTTTTATCGTGTAGCAGATACTGAGACAGAGAGACAAGGGCTCTGTTACTGGCCATGGTGAGAGCAGCATCCTGACTTGAGGATGGCTGTGTCAGCAGTTTACTTGACAGGCTGGTTTTGAGAAGTGGCTCTGGGAGTTCCCCCTAGAAGCTCAGCCCAGTGTTTGCCTCTTCAGCCCTTCCAAAGATTTTGGGGGCCCCCTCTGTCTCTTACTAAAAAATTCTTTGCTTATACCAGCTGTGCAGGTATGTTGGCTGTAACTAACAACAACAAAGTCTATCTTGCTTCTACTCTCCATATTTGAAGGCACATTGAAAGAGAGAAAAGCCACAGGCATGAATGTGAGCTGTAACAATAATTCTTAGAAAAATCTAAGAGTCAGGATTATCAATGTTTATAATATTTTTCTGTGACCCATTGATATATGCTCCCTATCACAGTGTTCTTTTGAAACTAAAATGCTCATGAGGAAAATGTTTTAGATATGTGAAGACTTGCTCTAGCTGCAAAATGTTGTTTACAGACATGCACATTTAAGATTTTGTTCTTGCATTGGTTTCCTGCATACAATTCTTCAAATTTGTTTCACTGAGGCATGGGATCATGGGCCAAGGAGTCAGAAGACCTGTTTGAGTCCTGGCTCTTCCAATTATTAGTTGTGTAGTCTTAGGAAAGTCTACTAACTGCTTTGAGATTCAGTTTCCTCATTACAAAATTGAAACAACCATAGCAGTAATATTTGCCAACCATACATGGTTGCTGGGAATACCAAAACAGAATTTTTATGGAGAAGAATTAACATAAATAAAATAATCATTATTATAGCTATGTTCTTTTGAATAATGTCTGTGAGTAAAAAAATGGTGGGAAATAAATGACTCTTAAAAACTCAGACTATTAGAAGAAAAAAGGAGGATTTCCAGCAAGATGGCTGAATAGGAACAGCTCTGGTCTGCAGGTCCCAGCAAGATCAATGCAGAAGACAGGTGATTTCTGCATTTCAAACTGAGGTACCTGGTTCATCTCATTGAGACTGCTTGGACAATGGTTGCAGCCCACAGAGGGCGAGCCGAAGCAGAGCGAAGCGTCCCTCACCTGAGAAGCGCAAGGGGTTGGGGGATTTCACTTTCCTAGCCAAGAAAAGCCATGAGAGACTGCACTGGGAGGAATGGTACACTCCTGCCCAGATACTGTGCTTTTTCCATGGTCTTCACAACCAGCAGACCAGGAGATTCCCTCTGGTGCCTGGCTCGGCGGGTCCCATGCCCATGGAGCCCAGCAAGCTAAAATTCATTAGCTTAAAATTCTTGCTGCTAGTGCAGCAGTCTGAGATCAACCTAGGATGCTGGAGCTTGGTTGGGGGAGGGATATCAGCCATTGCTGAGGCTTGAGTAGGTGGTTCTATGCTCACAGTGTAAACAAAGCTGCTGGGAAGTTCAAACTGGGCGGAGCCCACCGCAGCTCAGCAAGGCCTACTTCCTCTCTAGATTCCACCTCTGTGGACAGGGCATCTCTGAACAAAAGGCAGCAGCCCCAGTCAGGGACTTATAGATAAAACCCCCATCTCGCTGGGACAGAGCACCTGGGGGAAGGGGCGGCTGTCGGCGCAGCTTCAGCAGACTTAAACGTCCATGCCTTACAGACCTGAAGAGAGCAGTGGTTCTCCCTGCACAGTGTTTGAACTCTGATAACGGACAGACTGCCTCCTCAAGTGGGTCCCTGACCCCCATGTAGCCTGACTGGGAGACACCTCTCAGTAGGGGCCAACAGACACCTCATACAGGAGAACTCTGGCTGGCATCTGGCAGGTGCCCCTCTAGGATGAAGCTTCCAGAGGAATGATGAGGCAGCAATATCTGTTGTTCTGCAGCCTTTGCTGGTGATACCCAAGCAAACAGGGTCTGGAGTGGACTTCCAGCAAACACCAACAGACCTGCAGCTGGGGGGCCTGACTGTTAGAAGGAAAACTGACAAACAGAAAGGAATAGCATCAACATCAACAAAAAGGACATCCACAAAAGAACCCCATCCATAGGTCACTAACGTCAAAGACCAAAGGTAGATAAAACCACAAAGATGGGGAGAAACCAGCGCAGAAAGGCTGAAAATTCAAGAACCAGAAGGCCTCTTCTCCTCCAAAGGATCACAACTCCTTGCCAGCAAGGGAACAAAGCTGGACGGAGAATGAGTTTGACAAATTGACAGAAGTAAGCTTTAGAAAGTGGGTAATAACAAACTCCTCTGAGTTAAAGTGGCATGTTCTAACCCAATGCAAGGAAGCTAAGAACCTTGAAAAAAGGCTAGACGAATGGCTAACTAGAAGAATCAGTGTACAGAAGAACATAAATGACCTGTTGGAGCTGAAAAACACAGCACAAGAACTTCGTGAAGCATACACAAGCTTCAATAGACGAATCAATCAAGTGGAAGAAAGAATATCAGTGATTGAAGATCAAATTAATGAAATAAGGTGAGAAGACAAGAGTAGAGAAAAAAGAGTAAAAAGAAACAAAGCCTCCAAAAATATGGGAGTATGTGTAAACATGCTTCTATCAAACAAACCTATGTTTGATTGGTGTACCTGAAAGTGATGGGGAGAATGGAACCAAGCTGGAAAACACTCTTCAGGATATTATCCAGGACAACTTCCCCAACCTAGCAAGGCAGGCCAACGTTCAAATTCAGGAAATACAGAGAACACCTCAAAGATATTCCTTGAGAAGAGCAACCCCAAGACACATAATCATCAGATTCACCAAGGTTGAAATGAAGGAAAAATTATTAAAGGCAGCCAGAGAAAAAGGTCGGGTTACCCACAAAGGGAAGACCATCAGACTGACAGCAGACCTCTCTGCAGAAACCCTATAAGCCAGAAGAGTGTGGGGGCCAATATTCAACATTCTTAAAAAAAAGAATTCTCAACCTAGAATTTCATATCCAGCCAAACTATGCTTCATAAGTGAAGGAGAAATAAAATCCTTTACAGACAAGCAAATGCTGAGAGATGCTGTCACCACCAGGCCTGCCTTACAAGAGCTCCTGAAGGAAGCACTAAACATGGAAAGGAACAACCAGTACCAGCCACTGCAGAAACATGCCAAATTGTAAAGATCACTGATGCTATGAAGAAACTACATCAACTAATAGGCAAAATAACCAACTAGCATCATAATGACAGGATCAAATTTACACATAACAATATTAACCTTAAATGTAAATGGGCTAAATGCCCCAATTAAAAGACACAGACTAGCAAATTGGATAGAGTCAAGACCCATCAGTGTGCTGTATTCAGGAGACCTATCTCATGTGCAGAGACACACATAGGCTCAAAATAAAGGGATGGAGGAAGATCTACCAAGCAAATGGAAAACAAAACAAAACAAAAAGCAGGGGTTGCAATCCTAGTCTCTGATAAAACAGACTTTAAATCAAAAAAGATGAAAAGACACAAGGGCATTACATAATGATAAAGGGATTAATGCAATAAGAAGAACTAAGTATCCTAAATATATACGCACCTAATACAGGAGCACCCAGATTCATAAAGCAAGTTGTTAGAGACCTACAAAGGGACTTAGACTCCCACACATTAATAGTGGGAGACTTTAACACCCCACTGCCAATATTAGACAGATCAATGAGACAAAATTAACAAGAATATCCAGTACTTGAACACAGCTCTGCACCAAGCAGACCTAATAGACATCTACAAAACTCTCCACCCCAAATCAACAGAATATACATTCTTCTCAGCACCAGATTGCACTTATTCTAAAATTGACCACATAATTGGTAGTAAAACACTCCTCAGCAAGTGTAGAAGAATAGACATCACAAAAAAACTGTCTCTCAGACCACAGTGCAATCAAATTAGAACTCAGGATTAAGAAAGTCACTCAAAGCCACACAACTACATGGAAACTGAACAAACTGCTCCTGACTGACTACTGGGTAAATAACGAAATGAAGGCAGAAATCAATATGTTCCTTGAAGCCAATAAGAACAAAGACATAATGTACCAGAATCTCTGGGACACATTTAAAGCAGTGTATAGAGGGAAATTTAAAGCACTGAATGCCCACAAGAGAAAGCAGAAAAGATCTAAATTCAACACCCTAACATCACAATGAAAAGAACTAGAGAAGCAAGAGCAAACAAATTCAAAAGCTAGCAGAAGGCAAGAAATAACAAAGATCAGAGCAGAACTGAAGGAGACAGAGACACAAAATAACCCTTCAAAAAGTCAGTGAATCCAGGAGCTGGTTTTTGAAAAGATCAATAAAATAGACCACTAGCCAGACTAATAAAGAAGAAAAGAGAGAAGAATCAAATAGACACAATGAAAAATGATAAAGGGGATATCACCACAGATCCCATAGAAATACAAACTACCATCAGAGAATACTATAAACATCTCTACACAAATAAACTAGAAAAATCTAGAAGAAATG
This sequence comes from Homo sapiens, assembly GCF_000001405.40. Taxonomy (NCBI): domain Eukaryota; kingdom Metazoa; phylum Chordata; class Mammalia; order Primates; family Hominidae; genus Homo; species Homo sapiens. Next base: position 63,093,714 of record NC_000005.10, read on the forward strand.
GATAATTTCCTGGACACATACATCCTCCCAAAACTAAACCAGGAAGAAGGTGAATCTCTGAATAGATTAATAACAGGTTCTGAAATTGAGGCAATAATTAATAGCCTACCAACCAAAAAAAGTCCAGGACCAGATGGATTCACAGCCAAATTCTACCAGAGGTACAAAGAGGAGCTGGTACCATTCCTTCTGAAACTATTCCAATCAATAGAAAAAGAGGGAATCCTCCCTAATTCATTTTATGAGGCCAGCATCACCCTGATACAAAAACCTAGCAGAGACACAACAAAAAAAGAAAATTTTTAAGTCAATATCCCTGATGAACATCGATGCAAAAATCCTCAATAAAATACTGGCAAACTGAATCCAGCAGCACATCAAAAAGCTTTTCCACCAAGATCAAGTTGGCTTCGTCCCTGGGATGCAAGGCTGGTTCAACATATGCAAATAAATAAATGTAAACCATAATATAAACAGAACCAATGACAAAAACCACATGATTATCTCAATAGATGCAGAAAAGGCCTTCGACAAAATTCAACAGCCCTTCATGCTAAAAACTTACAATAAACTAGGTATTGATGGAACATATCTCAAAATAATAAAAGCTATTTATGACAAACCCACAATCAATATCATACTGAATGGGCAAAAACTGGAAGCTTTCCCTTTGAAAACTGGCACAAGACAGGGATGCCCTCTCTCACCACTCCTATTTAACGTAGTGTTGGAAGTTCTGGCCAGGGTAATCAGGCAAGAAAAAGAAATAAAGGGTATTCAATTAGGAAAAGAGGAAGTCAAATTGTCCCTGTTTGCAGATGACATGATTGTATATTTAGAAAATCCCATCATCTCAGCCCAAAATCTCCTTAAGCTGATAAGCAACTTCAGCAAAGTCTCGGGATACAAAATCAATGTGCAAAAATCACAAGCATTCCTATACACCAATAACAAACGGCCAAATCATGAGTGAACTCCCATTCACCATTGCTACAAAGAGAATAAAATATCTAGGAGTCCAACTTAAAAGGGATATGAAAGATTCCTATGCAGCCATAAAAAAAGATGAGTTCCTTTTCTTTCCAGGAACACAGATGAAACTGGAAACTATTATTCTCAGCAAAGTAACACAAGAAGATTAAACCAAACACCACATGTTCTCACTCATAAGTGGGAGTTGAACAATGAGAACACATGGACACGTTGCGGGGCGGGCAGGAACATTACACACCAGGGCCTTTTGGTGTGGTGGTAGGCTGGGGGAGGGGATAGCATTAGGAGAAATACCTAATGTAAATGACGAGTTGATGGGTGCAGCAAACTAACATGGCACATGTATGCCTGCGTAACAAACCTGCACGTTGTGCACAAGTACCCTAGAATTTAAAAATATAATAAAGAAAAAAGACATTTTTAGGAAGGTATGGAGAACAAATATATATTTTTTGTATGCAAATTTTTCTTTTTTTTTCAAATTTTGTGAGGCTTCTGATCTTTTATTAAGCATGGATATGTTTTAATGTAGCTCTTTAGAGCTCCAGGAGAGTCAAATACATTTCATCTGTATTTTTGAAAAGGACGGCCAATTTTCTGCATGTTTTGTTATCCCTGAAAACTTAATTCCAAAATATTACTTGTTCGGCCAAATCCACTGAGGTTGCCCAGAGGTTCCAGATCTCTGATGCTGGGTAGTTGCTGAGTCAAGTTTGTCTTTTGCAGATGGAATGTAAGGATGCTGGAGCACTTATAGTGTCTAGTGAGGACAGCCAAGGACGTAACCATAAGGAACTGCTCTCTCCTGCCCTCTCCTTTTTTCAGAGGAGAAGGTAGGTCTGACAAAGCAGCCACACATCCTCTTGGGTGTACTGCACCCCTCTCCTGCCTTTCCAATCTGTGCTGCAGGATTACTCCATTTTTCTGAGCACAGAAATTAAACAGAGCACATTTTTTAGTAATTTGCAAAAGTGGGTATGATCACAGGATAGTCTTGTTATTATAATTTTCAATCATGTTCCATCCTCATTTTTCTAATCATTGTATGCATAGGATGAGCTGGTGATAGCTATATTTCCTGGCACCTGGGACCACTGTACACTGAGAAAGCATTTGTAATGGGAGAATGGGCTCCACTTGCCACGGGGCCGCTCTCAGCAGGGAGCCTCACATGTCAGCTGCCCAGCTGGGGAGATGGCAGAAGCCAATGAGCACATGATAAGTTACCTCTCTGGTGTTATCCTGAAATCTTCAGTAGAGTTACTTATTTCATAATATTCTGACTGTGATTGGATTCCCTGAGGGAACTGGAGAAAGTCTGAAAATTCTGTACAGCTGATAGGATGACAAAGCAGAGACATTTTTGAAGAAGGAAGGTTGAAATGTGGATTAAGCGTGGAGAGGGCTTTTGACTTGGAAACGGGTTGCAGACAAAGTTGAATAACATTTCTGGGGTCAAAGAGGCTTGGTGGATGCTTGAGTTATATTTAATGGAAACAATCCTCGCTATAACTAGCATTTGAGTGGTGCTTTACAACATACAAAGAGCTCTTTATACATCAGATCTCATTTCATCCTCCTAAGAAATCTTTGAAGAAAGTATTAGTGTTCTCATTTTTCTTACAAGGAAGCTGAGGCTAAACTTTCTTGTTTAATTAACTTAAACTTACATAGCTGGTCAGTGGCAGAGATAGATATGTAACCTCATCTAAAGTACCACAACTGTCCTGTTGATCACATTGGGGAAGATGATGGTGACTTTTCATTATATTTATTTATTTATTTATTTATTTATTTATTTATTATTTTACATTACAAGGATCTCACTTCAGGCTAAGAAACTGAGGCTTTTGTTGTCAGTTCTGAATTCTGCATTGTAGTTCCAACATGAAAAGTTTAGATTCTTTATTCTTTTTGGTTTTCTTTACTGGAAAATATTACTTGATGTTATCTGTTATTTGTTACATTATTTAAGTAAGCACATGGAAACAACTCTATGATTAAAATCACTCTGATAATCCTTTACTTTTCTCCCAAGAAAGATTTCTTCTTTCACAGCTCATTGGCCTGTTTTTTACTGTAAAAATCAAGTACTTCATGGAAAACTAATTTTTTTTAGAAAGGTGATTTGTTACTATAGTGGAAAAATGCTATTTCCAGAAGCAGTAATTTAACTGAGTTTTAGACTACTAGAGCTCCAAAGAGCTAATACAATAATAGATACAGCTACTACTATCAACTGGATGATGCTGAAAAGGAAAATAAAATTTTGGTAAATCATAAGAAAGATTAAACAGTTATAGAAAGAGAGCAATGGGATATTTCCCCCCTAAAAACAATGAGAAGGAATCCTCAGAGAATAGAAGGAATCCTCACTGTCTGTCTCGGGAGGGAAATCACCCCCTTGTCATTATGGAGCCTGAGGAAAGGACGCCTGTTTCTGAACATACGTATAAATCATGAATATGCAACTCGCCCTCAGAAGGGTGAAATGTTAATCCTTAGCAGGATTTTAAGTCAGAATATAAATCAGTTCAGCAGTTATTTTCATAAGAAAATATTTTAACAGGTTTAGAAGTCATGGAAAATACCAGGACACAGGACACTGGACATTTGAAGAGAGAGAGTAGCAGCACTTGCAGGGGCATGACAAAGACTGTGGGAAGGGGCCTGACTCTTTAGTCTTTCTGAAAACAGTCCAGGGACACTCTTGCTCAATTCCTTATCTAACAAAGACAGGCTTAATATCCTGTAAACAAGCTATGAGATAAAAAATATATAACCTTTTATATTACTTGTGTTCCTGATACAGCCAGTGTGGTCAGATGAGAGGCTTTGCTTCACTGATTAAGAGCGCTGAACTAATAAGGCCACTCAAAGTTATTTGTTCATGGTGAGCTTTGCCTCCTAGATGAATAGCACCTGCCTATGCAAAATTGTGCAGTAGACAAAGTGAAAAGTTTTGGGTTTTTTTACTCTCTTTTGCCTCCTTCCCCTGTGCCCAGACTTTTTCCACACTTCCCCCTTCCTTAGTCCTACTTCTGGCATAGTCTGACTCATGCCTGGATTCCCAAAATGTCACACCTGTACTCCTCTTGGGTCTGCTCCTGGCTGGGTCCCAATGATCCTAGGACCCTGTTTTCTGTTAGATGAGAGTTTCTGATGACCCATAATTTCCCAACCTATACTGGGATTTTAATGGATGTAATGGAGCGTTCCTCCAGATTTAATAGTGGTGGTGGGGTGGGGGGGCGGAGAGGGGGGCATGCTCCTTGGCAAAATGTTTATGAAATCTTGCACACTATTCCTATCACAATGCTCATTTTATATTAAAAGCTTGGAGAAATCTTTCAGAAATAAACTTTTGTAACGAATTCAGTATGGAACACATTATTATAATAGAATGCAAACTAGGGTGTACATTTTTATCATTTCCAGATAATATATTTATTTAAGAATGAATATAAAAATGCCTTGACCTTGTGTAATGACCCCAATTAAAGAAATTTCAGGTGCTTCAGTGGGTATTGGCTGGTGGTATATGGCACAGGGATTTTTTGATGTGATTCAAATTATTTACAGCTCTGTTAAGCTAAACCATAGTTTTGGGATAATTTAAATACTTCTCATCCGTTTGGACAAAACTGAGGAGAAATTTGAGTGAAGCTTAAGGCTCTTGTTTCAGCATTTCCATGTCGCCAGCTATTCTTTTGAGAAGTAAAATATAATCCTTTTCCCATTTGTGCACTAATATTAGGAGACTCAACATTTAAATAATGGATTTGACCTGGGAATCCTTAGGATTGAATTCTTCCTTCTGTTATAGGCACCCCAGGTCAGAAGCAGAGATCTCTGATCATGTGATTAGATAGCTAAATTGAGGTCCCTTCTTATTCAATCCTCTGCTAATGAAAACATTTCTGCTTACCTGGGAATTGAGATATTTAGAAAATTAAAAAGTTCTTATATTAAGATGCCTCTGGAAAGCCTCAAAATGAGGTCACAGGCCTAGAAGAAATATATACTGCTTTAGAAATTTAGGCTGTCAAATGGAATCTGGAGAAAAATGCTATCAGTTTAATTTCCTCTCTCCCTTTCTTCCCTCTTTGTGACTGGAACATCTCTCTCTCTTTCTCATAATCTATTTGGATGCCAGCTTTCTTCCCCTGTGTCCCCCATTAATATAGACATTTATGAGTTATTTGGCTTAATAACTTTTTAAATCAAACCTTATCTTTGATTGTGGCCATTATGTTGCTTATCTTTCATGGAGAATGTCTTCCTGGTTTCAACTGTTTGATCTAGGAAATAATTGAAAAGGGTATGACTGGAAGCCTCTCCCTACATGTACTTTTTCTCTTTCCTTACTTTGGTTATATGTGATGACAAACAAGAATTTTTTACTAAGCCATACTATAAATCAAGCAGACTGATGTCTGAAATACAGAATTTGGTGAGTTCCACAGAAATCATTTGGATGGTTTTATCAAGCATACTTTTTCAACCAGACACTATGAGATTCTATTGCTGACCATGGTAAATCCTAGAACAGAAGCCTCTTTCTAAAATCCCAACCTTCTTAAGCATGCTACGTAATTGTGCCTTTTAAAATTTCTTACTAATGAAGACATGCCATTGATAATTTCTTATTAAATTTATAAAATGTTTTATTTATATAATTTATATCTCTCTCAGAATCAATGTAATGATGGTTTCTTAGAATAAGTGCCATGCTCAGTATGGTCTAACATTTCTAATATGTCAGGTCATTATAGTGCTTTCTGTAATCAAATTATTTTAATTGACAGACTAAGTCTTCTTGTCTGAACACCAGTTAATTTTAATTCCTGTCATTTTCCTCAAAAGATGGAACTCTTGGCCTATCCATGGCAACTTTCATAGTTGGAACTAGTTTTGCTGATGATGTTGACTTCTACTCTTTCCTCTAACCCCTTCGCTGGGTTTGACCAAGGATGATGCCAGCAAAGGGCCAGGAAAGTAAAGTGCACAAAAGCATCCAACATTAAAATCCAAAGAAATATACAAAATCTTCAGGAAGAAAAGCTGTATCGTCTCCCAGACTGGGAGTTTTCCCCACGCCACATGGTCGTTAGTAAGATAGGTTGAGGATTTATGATTATGCTTGTTTATTTATATTGACTATGATTATGTCATGGGGAAAGTCTGTAGAGCTGTACTACCTCAACAAGTGCATGACATCATAGGCTGAGTAAAATCACCTTGATTTGTAACTCAGGGCCACCCTGGGGTTCCATCCTTCGTGGGCAAACTTGTCTCAAACTTTTTTCTTTCCGCAGTTTTTCTCAAGGTAGATCTAGGCAATGTGTTATCATGTCCCTATTTACTGTTTAGTTCTTTTTTAGCATTTTTTCTTATTATAATATGAATAGAATTAGGTAGATGCCATTCATCTAACTGGTAGATGCTCCCCAAACTGGGTCAACTGGGAGCACCAGTCATGGAGTATAATCTCAGTAGACCATTCTATTTAGTCGAACTTCAGATCTGTTCATCCCACTATAGTGGATGAAAGAATATAAACTGTCTTCTATTTTTTCCTTTTCTTGCCTCTGTTTCCCAAATTATCCCATGAACTTATCATCTTTTGCATTCTGGTTTTTACTACTAAAGCCTAACACTTTTCACTTCCTCAGTTGGATGGATTTTCCTACTAATGTGTAACTTAAGATGCTACTCAAAAAAAAAACAGTAACTATCAAACACTTTTCAATTTTTGATCTAAAGAATTCTAGTATTATAAGATATTAACATATACTACTAAAGAGTTTTATGAGATTAAACATGTTAGAAAAATAATACATATCACTCTTTTTTGGAAATTTACCATATAAAATATTAAACAGTCCAGGAAATCTTAAAGAGACCTGCTTAATTTTTTCCAGTCTAACATTTATGAAACATTTGAGCACATATTTTTTCACTCTACCTCCTATTAACACTATGTGCAACAGCATTGTGTGAAATAATTGTAAGGAAATGATTTTTATATTTATAGTAGGGGTAGTTTTGAAGTCATACAGACAGCTTTGCCACCTACTTGCTGTGCTATTTGATATGCTTAATACTTCTGTGCCTCAGTGTTCTCTCATGTAAAATGGAGATTACCTATTCTACTGACTTCATGGGGTTAACATAAGGACTGTATTAGTTAGGGTTCTTCAGAGAAATAGAACCAATAAAATGCACACATACATTTATTATAAGGAATTGGTTCACATATTTATGAAGGCTGAGAAGTTCTGAGATCTGCAATTGGCTTTGGTAAGCTGGAGACCCTGGAGAGAAAATGTACAGTCCCTTTCTTTCTGAATCCGTATCTAATCAGGAAAGCCAATGGTATAAAGTTCCCCAAAAGGCTCAAGACTCAAGAAGAACCAATGTTTCATTTCAAGTCTGAAGGCCAGGTAGTTCTGATGTCCCTGTTCAAGAGGAGTTCCCTCTCAGTCTTTTTGATTGATTCAGTCTTCAAGTGATTGGATGAGGCTCACCCACATGGGAGCAGGCCTCAAATGTGAATCTCATCTAGAAGTACCCTCACAGAAACACTCAGTATCAGGTTTGGCCAAATGTCCAGATAACTGGGGGTCCAGTCAAATTGACACATAAAATTAACCATCACAAGAACCTAATGAGAAAATGTGAATAAAATTATTTGTACAATTCCTGAAACAGAGTCAATAATAGGTAATGTTGGATATTATTATCATGATCATGATCATCACCATCACCACAATTGTCATTGTCATTGGTATCTTAAAAGCTTAGTATGTTCCTATTCTCAGAATCTTTTCTACTTCAAAGAAGAAACCCTTGACTAATAACAGAAGGAAACTAGCAGATAAATATTCTCTTTTGTCCTTTGACTGGAAAGTTCTAAAGCTTATTTTACATAGGTCCTCAAGGGGTCTCCAGTGAGATAGAATCCCCATTAATGACAGCAGTGACTAAACTGCTAAGCCACCTTTGGGTTGACTTTCCTTCTTTCCCAAATTCCTAGTCCCAACTTCTATTCCTTGGGATCATTTCCCAAAATAAACTCTTTGCTTGCAAGCTCTAGTCTTAAGCTCTGCTTCCTTTTGGAACCCAAGCTAAGACACATAGCCAAAAGTCAGGAGAAGAATTAATACTCATTTTTACCCTAATTATAGTCACTGCAATGATGGTGTAGAAAAGTTTATGATATAACATGCGAAATGATTTCAGAGTACAAGAAAATAGTTTTTCAAGTAGCATTCAGCCTAAGAGTTATGCTTTCATAACAGGAGCCATGGCAGTCTCTCAAAATCCTCTAAGAGCTTAGAAAATATTTTGTGGAAGTGAAACACAGGCTATTTACAAGCAGTTACAACAGACCTATTTGTAAAAGTGGGCATGAATTGCACTTACAGGTTTTGTATTAACCTGTATTTTCTCAAATTGATAAAAGCTCTGTCTTTGAAGTCTGAACTTTGAATAATGTGAGCAGAGGCTGCAGATTTTTACAGTGTGTGTATTAGTCCTGGTCTAAGGCACAGACCAATCTAGAATGGACTGATGTGGAATTGTATGAGGACAGCATCTGAATACAGAAGACAATTATGTATTGCATACAATTTGAATGATGACAGAAAAAGAAGCCTCAGCCGCTTTACTTTTTTAAGGCTGCCAAAGATGTAGACTTTTGCCAATGTCCTTGTGAGATATTGTGGCAACAGAAGACATCAGACTCACCAACTGTGTATATTTTTTGCTATAGACACATTTAATTTTGAATGTCATTGTTTAATAAAACATGCATAATTCATCCCAAAGTATTGTTTTATTTCTTCTCAGATGCCTCTTATTTTCCAAAGCTGCAAGTTAAACCTTCCATATTTTTTTAGGGTTATAGAATTGAATCAATGGGCCTCAAGTGAAAGGAAGATCATGAAGGCTGTGCCTAGAAAAGGTGAGTGTTCCATTCTGTATCATGCCTGAACATGGTTTGTTTCTGTTAGGGTGTGCCACAGAGTACGTAGCAGTGAATGAGAAAGAGCACCACACACAACCATTCTATACCAGTTTTTGTGCTTTTCTGGAGAACAAGTAAATGTAGCACAATTCTTTCCTTAGGAGGCAAATTGTCTGTTGCACAGTTAAAAAGTAGCTGATCTGGGAAAGTTGAATTGAGAGCAGTGGAACAAAAATAGAGTTTCTTTTTGAAGTGGCTGTAAGCTATAATTTTTCACTTTGGATGCAGGTTTCTGAGACTGCTTAACTGGTGTCTGAGAGGAATATGTAAGAATAAAGTGGAATAGTGAGGTAATGAAGAGTAGGCAAATATATTTTTTCAAGAAGTGAAGACTTTAAAGTATGAAAAGATACTTTTAAAGAAAAAGTGAAATTAGAGAAAAATTGAAATTTCATTTAGTGACAACAATACTGACATTTTTCTTACTAATCTTCAACTACTGCCTCCTCCTCCTTTTTTAGTTCACAATCTCCCTTTTCATTGCAAAATTCCTTTCTTTGAAAACTCTAAGGCCAGGACTGAATTCGGCTGTCTTGAATTACATGACTAAACTCTCAGCTACTGTCTGCTACGGTATTACATACAAGAGTGTTCTCTTGTTTACAGGATGGGATCTACCATATGAATTCTTAAAACAATTTTCTTTTCAAAATCCTTTGTGATTGATTATTTGATTGCTCAAATAATACATATCAATGTCAAAAATATAGATAAGGAAAATGATCCATGATTTACCATCCAGTGGTAACCCATTTAATGATTTCATTATTTATCTCTCCAGGCTGGAGGGTGGCATATGGGGTGAGAAGCAAAGGGTGGTTCACAGACTATCATCTGCCTCCAAGTTACTACGGGTAATTTTTCAAAATGCACCTTCTTGGTTTCCTCTCAAATCCTGCAGAATCATAATTCCTGTAATATGAGTCTCAGGGATATGTGTTTTTAATAAGTATAGCAGGAATGATGTTCACTAAAGCTTGAGAATCACTGTTGCAGACTTTTCTTTGGTGGGGGGTAGGGGATATGAAAGAAACAAATCAATTTCAAACTGAAAATAACAGATTCTACACTGGATCTTAACTAAAAGGCTGAGGAGTGAAACAAATCAATTTTAAAAGAAAACTGATGTGGAACTCACTGTCTTGAGTTCTGGCCAGTTCTTTCTTGCAGTATTTTAGGGAACAAAGCACCATAGACCACAGGAATATTAGATATACTGAGTCATGATCCTTTTTGGAAGGAACATTCTTTAAACTAGATCTGTGTTTGAAACGATGGAGAACTTCCACATGCCAAGTGCTTCTACTATCTGAAAGTGGGGAACACATTTCACCTAGCCTTCAGGGGTGAAATGACTCTTCCGAAGCACTCACCACTGGCCAGGGGCAGGGCCATTTCAGAACTGAGGTCTATGAGTGCCTGTTCCAGGCTCTCCCCTCTCCACCAGGCTGAGTGTCAGGCTCTTCCTGTATACGAACTTGTTTTACTGATAAGAGAAGTGGGCTACTGAACCTAAATGTCCAGGGGAAGAAAGAACAGAGTAATGTAGTATACCTTGTCAAAGGACAGAGTTCAATTATTCCCTCTTCTGTACACATTTCTACTGTTTTATTCTCAATTAGTTAGAGGCAAAGGTACTGTCTTTTGGTTACACTCACAACATGCATTTTATAGAAGTAGTTTCAAAAGAATTGTATTGTCAAGTATATTTGCACATTATTTATTTTGCCAGGGGTATTCTGATCTGGGGTCAGGTAAAGTGGCTTTTGTTGTAACTGTTCTTGTTATATTAATTGTACTTCAAATACAGCACTCTTCCCATTCCTTTGAATAATTGGGTGGACTAGGAAAATCTCTCCTCTAATTTATTAAGTGTTTTTTTAGAGTGAGTATTCTACAATAAATGCACACTCATTCTCATAAAATACTCCTTTTGTTCTTGGTAATCTGTTTGTTTTATACAAATATTGTGTGAATTTATGCTTAACTCATTGGAATTTATTGTTATTGACCATTGTTTACCCATGTTTGCAAATTTGAAAAAAATCCCAAAGACGTGAGAACTTAGAATTTCCAACTGAAGAATTGCTATTTTATAAAAGTTTAGTTTTATATGAAAGACTCCTGAGGAATAGTGTAAAATTTTTGGATTTTAGATTATTTTAGTAAAACATCCAGATAGAGACAATTCTAGCAGTACAATCATGGTCTGTTTAGCTAACTTTTTTTTTGGGCGGGGAGATGGAGTTTCGCTCTTGTTGCCAAGGCTGGAGTGCAATGGCATGATCTCAGCTCACTGCAACCTCCGCCTCCTGGGTTCAAGCAATTCTCCTGCCTCAGCCTCGCGAATAGCTGGGATTACAGGCATGCGCCACCATGCCTGGCTAATTTTGTATTTTTAGTAGAGACAGGGTTTCTCAATGTTGGTCAGGCTGGTCTCGAACTCCCGACCTCAGGTGATCCACCCGCCTCGGCCTCCCAAAGTGCTGGGATTACAGGCATGAGCCACCGCGCCCAGCCTGTTTAGCTAACTTTTAAGCATACAAGTGGAATTCATTAATATGAGAGATTTCCCCAGAGACAGCATGTGGCAGCAATCTTTTATAATTTAATTTCTCTGAACATCACACTGGAAGTCCTGAGAAATATTTCAGGTTACATGAAATAAGCAATTGTATTTTTCTATAACTGTTTAATAAATGAAAAGTAATCCTGAAGCATGCAAACTTGCATAATATTTCACAAATTTAACAAATACTGAGCAATTAAGAGAATAGTGCTTTACAGAAAGTCCAGTAATCAGAAAAGACTGGCACCCTAGTCAGTGTATCCAGGGCTTGAATCTTACCTTAGGGGAGGCTCCTCTTATAACCAAAGTGACCATGCAGGGTTACACAGTGATTCTTCTGGGATTTTGCAGCTGTTTATGGAATGGATTCATTTTATTCTTCCCAATGGATTTATCTCGTCATGCTGCCTTTCAGAAAATGGAGACCAAATAAAACAAAAGCATGCAGCAATGAAAGACAGGCTCAGTTGTTCAAGGTTATTCAGAGGCAGGGAAAAAATAATCATTTAGAAGGCTAGGTATTTTTTTTAATTAGGATATAGCTCCCTAAAGAATAATAATATTAAAACATTTATGTATTATATCAGGCTGCTATTACTGCAACAGTGCTATGGTAATTATCAACCACAAAAATATTACTGGCACATGATAACAAACATTTATCCATTATGCACCTGCGGGTTGGTGTGGGCTCAGACAGTCTTGGCTGGCATAGCTGAGCTCAGCCTTTCTTTGTCATTTATTTGTCAAAAAGGACTCATTGTCCTTTCTTTGGAACTACTGGGCTATTCTTTCCTTGGCAGTAACAAAGAAACAAGGCAGCAAGCCCCAGTTCAGACCGCAATCTAGACCTCTGCTTGTGACATGCCTATTAAAAGTCTCATTGGCCAAAGCAAGTCACATGGTCAAACCCAACATCAATAGGGTGGGAGGCCGGGCTCAGTGGCTCACGCCTGTAATCCCAGCACTTTGGGAGGCCGAGGCGGGCAGATCACGAGGTCAGGAGATCGAGACCATCCTGGCTAACATGGTGAAAACCCATCTCTACTAAAAATACAAAAAAAAAAAAAAAAATTAGCTGGGCCTGGTGGCAGGCACCTGTAGTCCCAGCTACTTGGGAGGCTGAGGTAGGAGAATGGCGTGAACCCGGGAGAGGCGGAGCTGGCAGTGAGCCGAGATCGCGCCACTGCACTCCAGCCTGGGCGACAGAGAGACTCCGTCTCAAAACAAACGAACAAAAGAAGTGAGGTGTGTGTGTGTATGTATGTGCCTGTGTACTGAACAATAACCTAATCATCTACATTTCTATTCTCAAAACTTGTTCAAGTCTCTTCCGATTTTGATTGAATTGTGCTCTGTGGAACAATTGAAAGGAGCAGACTTTTCCTAGCTGCATCTGATAATCGCAAACTTCCTTCAGTTATTTGGGGCCATCTACTACTATAGATGTCTAAGGAGTTCTGAAACGTAAAGAGTAAGCTTCTAATGTGGCAGTAGTTGCAGAGTTAATAGTTCTGCAGAACACCAGCCCTTGGGATTCATTCCCATGAAAGAATACTAGAAGAGGTCTCATAAATCTCAGCTACTAAGGTATACAGAGGTGGTGGATAATAGTTAAGCCTTTGATTTAGTTCTCAAATCTTCCCCAGGAATGCAGTACATGCATATGAATCCAGAAACTACTAGAGAAATCAACACTCTACTGAAATACTCTTGTTATAAATACAGATACGTGGGGGATGATTACCAAATGTGGTTGGGTTTTTAGTGGAACGTTTATGGAAATTACTTTATTTGGGTTCAAATGCTTGTATTGCCACTGGCTAACAAGTTGTCTCATTTCCTGAGATTCAGTTTCCCCATCTATAAAATACAACCCTTAATGCCTGACTAATAGAATGTGATAAAAATAAGATAATGGATGTGATTATGGAGACAGTACTTCATTGTAATTTATAGCATGAGCTCTGGAATCAGTCTGTTTGGGTCGAATCCTGTCTCTACTACCTATTAGACAGGTGACCTTATACTTGTCTCTCTGAATTAGTTTCCTAGGGCTGCCGTAACAAATTACCAAAACTGGATAGCTTAAAGCAACAGAAAAGTACTCTCTGATAGTTCTGGAAGCCAGAAGTCAAAAATCAATGTGTCGGCAATGCTGGTTGCCTCTCAGGGGGCTCTGAGAAAGAATCTGTTCCATGTTTTCCTCCTAGCTCTGGTGGTGACCAGCAATCCTTGGGTTCCTTAGCATGAGACAGTGTAACAGCAATCTCTGTCTCCATCTTTACAGGGTATTCTTCCCTATGTCTCCTCTGTCTCTGTCCTCTTTTCTCATCAGGATGCCAGTTATACTGGGTTTAAGGTCCGCTTAATTCAATATGACCTCATCTTAACCAATTATATCTTTAGAGGCCCTATTTCCAAAAAAGGTCACATCCATAGATACTGGGGGTTGGGGCTTCAACATTTCTTTTTAGGTACACAATTCAATCCACAACAGTTTATTCTCTCTTCCACCCTAATATTTCAACATTAGAACATAGTTCACCCATGTTTTCTGCCACTTTATAACAACGATCACCTTTCCTCCAGTGTCGAAAACATGTCCATTATTTCCTTTTAAAGGCTCACCAGAAGCACCTTTAACATCCATAGTTCCATGAAACAAATGCATTTTCTAAAGTTAATGTTCTTGTCTGTAGCATGAGGATAACAATCACATTTTAGAACAATTGTGAAAATTAAATGCAATTGTCTATAAAGAATGTTTAGTCTAGGAAATGGCATATTGCAAATGCTTAATGAGACTTGGCTTTTATTTAAGTATTAGGTTGAACCATAAGAAGTTGATGTTTTGTAGGTTGCAAATAGTTAAAAATAAGCAAAGCCTTTTGATATACTTTGAACTGTGTGAAATTCCCATTTTCATAGATCAAAAAGTCAAATATCAGTAATTCTATGTGGCTTAGCCTAATACTTTACAGTGAGTGAGACATTGACACACCAAGGTAAAGTATCCTTAGTGAGCCATGACATTTTCTTCTTAAAAAGCATCTCAGGACAATTATTTCAAGCTAAAACAAATACTGGATTGTTATATGAATTCTTTATTAAACTATTTTTAATTACAAGTGAATTCAACTTTTTTGCTTATTGATAATCCAGTATTTAGTGAAGAAACATGAAGCATACATCCAGGTATTATTTCATTTTTATTAATACTATCTGTCACTGAATCAGGGGCTTTCTAAATTAAACATATGTTTAAATTAGGATGAGATCACTGTCTTTACTTTTCTTCAGTTGGGTATATAGTAGCTTCACACCCTAGTCTTCATTTCTTCACTATTTTTTAAAAACTTCAATTCAGATAGTAAAAAATAGGTAACCAAAACATCTTTCACAATACTATTCTAGTGGTCACCTGGGTATCTATTATACAGGGTTCTTACAAGGAGAGAGAAGAAATACCATTAATATAAAAATACAATGCCACTGGAATTTTCTATGGAGATAGTGATACAATTGGAACAAATTAGTTGAGGATAACATTTATAAATTAAAGGGTTTTTCCCAGTGTCCCCAAGGCAGCAGTACAGGCAGGAAATAGGAAATTGAGGTGAATATTAGAGTGTAAGAAAGTGGGAAATGAAGCTTATGTGAATAAGATGTGTATACATTAAAAGGCTTACTGAATAATCTGTCAGGAATGGTGACTAAATTGAGGCCAAGAATTGTAAGAGATTATTGATTTAATATAGAAAAATTGTAAATTCTAGGGCAAGATGGATGAAAGAAATGGAAGGCATCTCAGGTCCTATGAGGAGGACAATGAAGAAGCCAAGAAAATATTCGTCCTTTCAACAAAATTTCTAGTTATATTTTTGATGTGCTAGTTAACTAGTGCAGCTTCTGCATATAACTGATTCTCTAAAAATATTTGTTGAATGAATATGAATAATAAAATAGGATAATATTAATTTGATTTAGAACAAACTTCTCAAACAGAAATTTTAAATAATAAAGAAACTTGCCATCCTAGTTTCAACATAGGTAGCCAGAGCTAGAGGTAGGATTGTATAATAGAAAAGAGCTGTATTAAGACTTGGACAGATTTGAATTCCAATCCTGAATCCCTTTTCTAAAGCATGTATGATGTAGTACAGTCACTAGTTCCACTGCTGATAGCATCCCCAGTGAATTGGGTGGGCTGCATCTTTCAAAAACTTAAAAAAATATAATTCAAGACAACACATCTCTTTTAATTTTTAAAGTTTTTTTTTCTTATGCTTTTGTGATGGTTGATTATGTGTTAAATTGACAGGGCTAAGGGATGCCCAGATAGCTGATAAAGCATCATTTTTCTGTGTGTCTATGGAAGTGTTTCTGGAAGAGATTAGCATTTGAATCAGTAGACAAAGATCCACCCTCACCAATGTGGGCAGACATCATTCAAACCATTGAGGGCTCAGATAGAACAAAAAATTGGAGAAATAGTGAATTCTCTTGCTTCTTGAGCTGGGCTACCCATCTTAACCTGCCCTCAGATATCAGAGCTCCTGGGTCTTGGGCTTTGGGACTCTGGGACTTACACTAGTCATCTCCCTGGTTGTCAAGCCTTAGCACGTGGAGAGAATTACACCACTGGCCTTCCTGTTCTCCAGCTTGCAGACAGCATATCATAGTACTTAGCCTCCATAATCTTGTGGGTCAATTCCCATAAGTATAGGATATATATATATATATATATATAAAATTCTATTTCTCCAGAGAATCCTAATACAGCTTTTCATACCGTCCTTTTTAATGGTTTCCATTTCTCTCAAAATTCACTTCTTATGATCATTTTTATTGAATCTCCACCAATTACCTTTTTCCAACTCCTGAACTGCTTCTTAGCTTCATCTTCTGCTGGTAACATACCCTAAAGTGTTGCTTAGACCTGAAATTTGGAGTGACACCAGTGGTCTCTATGTTCCAACAGGTGAGAAGAAACAGTGTGTGTGCAGTTGGGCTGTTAATGGTGCCTAGTGTTACTGATCAATCCTGGGATTCTAGCATCTCAGAGGAAGGCCCTCCAGGGAATGTGATGATTAAGAAATTCAGGCAGGAAAAACAAGGGGGGATCCTTGTTGTATCTGAGAATCCAATGTCTTATACATGCAGGGAAATTTCACAGAAAAGTAAGCGTGGTAGGTCATAGAGAAGGAGCACAATACTAAACTGATCAATCAGCAACAGATTCGTAGGAGGAAGATTAGTTCTACTGGGGAGCTTGTGGTCACAGGGAACTTCTGGAAGCACAAGGGGAGAGTCTGATCTGAGGTCTAATTAAGGCAGATACGAGTTAAGGTAGGAAAACATCTATTTAGATGCAGGATTCTAATATAATTTCCTTCCTTCCTTGCTTCCTTCCTTGCTTCCTCCCCTCCCTCCCTCCCTCCCTCCCTCCTTCCTTCCTTCCTTCCTTTTTACAAGGTGAAGACAGTGAAGAATCCTTACTGTTCCTTCCTTCCTTGCTTCTTTCCTTCCTTCCATCCTTCCTACAAGGTGAAGACAGTGAAGATTACTTACTGTTACTTACTGTATCTGCCTATGGTGTCTTTCCATTTTTTATTTTTATTTTTTTGAGATGGAGCCTTGCTCTGTTGCCCTGGCTGGAGTACAGCAGAGTGATCACCGGCTCACTGCAAGCTCCGCCTTTCAGGTTCACGGCATTCTCCTGCCTCTCAGCCTCCCGAGTAGCTGGGACTACAGGCGCCCGCCACCATGCCCGGCTAATTTTTTGTATTTTTAGTAGAGATGGGGTTTCACCCTGTTAACCAGGATGGTCTCGATCTCCTGACCTCGTGATCCGCCCACTTCGGCCTCCCAAAGTGCTGGGATTACAGGCGTGAGCCACTGCGCCCGGCCTTCCATCTTAAAAAGAAAAGTTTTAATGGTTTGATGTGTACCCAGCTCATGAGTTTATCTGGTTTAGTTCTTGGATTTGCCTTGGAAATCTATCTGCCAAATATTCTAACCTGGTCTTTGAGGTGATTAAGAGGAATTAAATAGCTATCAAATTGAACTTTAAAATGCTTTCTAATAATAATGCCAGTTTAGCAATTGACTTGATGAATATTAGTCAAAAGAATCAGTGTCAGTCATTTGGTGCCTAAAAAAAATCAGACAATCAACTGGGAATATTTGTGTATAAAATGTTGACATTAGTCAATTGTAGCGTGTTATAGTAACTTCTCTAGAGGCTTCAACCACATTAAAAGATCTATTTGTGCTTATGACACAACCTGCTCCTGAAGAAACCACTGGGGATGGCTGAGCTTATGCTTCTATGAAAGCTTCTAATTCAGCTGGTTAGGTTTCATTACATGATTCATGTAATCTCTGCTTCATTTTTCTTTAGGAGAGATAACTTAGTAATAAGCCTCCAAGTTAAGGGGCATTTAATAGGATATTATCAATTATAGGTTTTCCCAGAAAGTTCTATGGTCAAAGGGCCAACTACAGGGAAAATGGTCAAATTGTATTTACTGCAAATGTTACTGTAGTTGGGAATCTTTTTCCTACCTAAGAACTAAAATTTTCATGAGGCAGAGGAGAGGGTAGTGCCTCTCTTGGAGTACAGACATGATTTGTCCTTTTTTCAACATACCCCATATAATGAACTTGTGTCCTTTAATTGCATCTTCCCAGCCCCAAATGCCAATTCAAATTCAGAGTTTTTTCTCTCAAGGTTTAGGCTCTACCTTCTGTAAGATCAGTTAATTATTAACTAATTTGTGTAATCTTAGGCATGAGGCATGCCTGGATCCCCTTAGTAGTCCAGAGTGGTAGCATCCATGAGAATGGGGTGGATTTGGGGGGAAATGATTGCCTTGATGTCCTGCAGACATCAAAGAGGTTTAGCAGATGTGTGTCCAGAGGGGAAGAGTGAACATAGAAGTTATTGGTGAAGATGATGAACTCTGTCATCTCCTGGATAAAGTAATAAATTAGATTTTTTTCTTAAAGGAAAACTGCTAGATTATCAGTTATTTAGTTTGTCTATTGGGTACAAAAATTAATATAACTAACTTGTAATGTATTAAGCTAGAGCTATTTATACATTGTCATAGTGGTGGATTAAGTTCACCAAGATTAGGCCATGAAGTCTCATTAAATCCATTTATTTATTTGTAGTCAAGATAAAGAATCAAAGTGGTGTTTTATAATAATGTCTTTAATTGTGATGGGTAAAAAGACATACAAAGCATTGCCACATACTGGTCTACATACTGATTATGTAATGGCGTTACTATAATAAACTATACCAGAAATGCTGTTCAGTGGAAATGATTGATGAGTTAGCTTCTAATTATAGAACTGATAGGGAGGAACTTAAAATTCTACCAATACTTCAATATTACTTTATATGACTTCTCAAGTATAATATTTATGAATTATGGTGATATACATGTGTCATTTTAGAGTCTCCATTTATTTGCACACTATGATGTATTTGTCTTTTAACAGTACTTAAGTACAAGGACTTACTTTTCTTCTAAATATTTTTAAATGTCTTTTATGACAAACAAGAAAACAAACATGCTCATTCATGTGTAATTTTACAAAAGGGTGAATGCAGTTGGAATTGTAATGAAAACCATATTTATAGAATAAGTAAATAAAGCGAGTTTGCTTTTTTTTTTTTTGATGAAGCAATATGAGGGACAACTCAGGGAATATGTTCTTACAAAGACAAAGTGTCATGTCAGAGGACACCATAATCTCATTACTCTGCGTGGGGTTGGGTTGGGGGGACTCAGTAGAGATATGTGAGCACCTCCAAATTCTATCTCCTTCTAAGCCAGTATAAGGCTATTTGGCTGCGATTGGAATAGGAACCACATTTTAGGGAGGAGTGGAAGAGTTCATTTTGTCTTTTAACTATTGTTTGTTTTCTAGCCTGCAAAAATGGTGTCCCTCTAGATTTCTTTGGAGATGTGCTTGCATACCCTGGAAGGTGGATATTGTAAACCTTGCTCAGTTCTGCTGGGGCTTCTTTTCCAAACTGTTCTAGAAGGGCTCAGTTATTCACATCTCTAGACCTCCAGTGGAGCCCAGGTTTTAATTTCAAGACATGACTAGAGATCACAAAATTAATTTTCTTTATTACTAAGTCCTAAAATGTTAAGTGAACATTGTCTCTGCTCTGAAGGATAACTGTAAACTGATAGTTCTCATCTTACACTTGTGGTTTTGTTTTAACGTAATATTTCTCTCCAAAAAAATCCAAGGCAACATCTTCTTGTACTATACACTTAAAAATTTATTTTCTACATCCAAAGGCTGAGGAAACCCCATTAATGAGTCAGGTTTAGATAGCTTGCTGGAAGAGAAGGATAGTCATTAAAGCCTTCCATGGGTGCTAATGTGCAAATAGGCCAGTAAATTATTCCTGTTCTCATCTCTGTAATTTAAATGAGCAGTAGTTTGAGTATTAGTGCTCAAATGTATTTATTTTAGTATTAAAAAACAGGAAATTTCCTAAGGGTTCACTGCATATATAAATCCTGTTGATTTGTGAATCTGAGGTTTTCACTGATTTTCTAAGCAGTGGTAACCCAGCTGACTTTAATTCTACTGTTTATTGCACTGCATTGTAAGCTAGAATGGAGTTAGCTGATTTTAATTTCATGCTTCTGATTGGAAGTTGCATCGTAGAAGTGAACTCAGCATAACAGGTAAATAAATTTGACCAAGAAATTAAGTGCACCTTTCCAATACGAATAAAGCAACGTGAGTGTCTTCTGTGCAGTGCATGGGCATCTGCGACAGCTAAAAATGAGCCCTCTGTTTCTTAGTGCCCTAGCATCTAATTTTAACAAAACCTGAAAGAGAAGTTCAGAAAGCTGGTAGTGCTGCACTGCAAATCAGTAAGGACCAATCCATCTGGGCTTGCACTGCAGCGAGACCACTGAGAAGTTTCAAAAGAAATAGGAGGATCTTCTACAGAATGTTCTTTCCATAAAGTACTGGTAAAAAATCACTATGCAACAACATCTGATGAATAATTCTAGAAGTAGCAATTTTTTGGAAGTTTGAAAGATGACCTTGTGTTTTTAAACTCATCTGTAACTGTCCTGCTCTTTCTACTTTTTTTCAGTCTTTGTATTTTTTTCTTTCTCCTCTTAACCCTTGATTTAGTCCTTTTTTTCCTTTCAGAGTTACTTTCTCTTTTGATGTAAAGGAGAGAGATCCTATCAAATGGGTCATAATCAGAGACTATAATTTAATGAGGAATAGTTTGAGTATTAAAGTATATTAAAGAAAATGGTGAAACCTGGTTTATGCAACAAAGCATATTTTCATTTATTTTGTGTTCTGGATTACCTTGAATGTTTTCATGCATTTCTTTTGAAAACCTGGCTATCTGACTTTTAAGTTTTCTCAATGTTTTCCCTGCCAAAGATCAGTAATTTACTTCAAATCAATGAATTGAAAATGTTTGTTTCTGGACTGAACTACCTTGTATATGTTAATGATCTCTGCATTTTAATTGTAAGAGGTTTTTTTGTTTGTTTTGTCCTCAAGTAAGGAGGAAGGAGTTGGCTCTTTAAATCTATAACACAATTAATTAAGCCTATAAACAAACAATTGTTTATAGGCTAAACAGAGAACTGGAGGCAAGGTATAAAGCCAAAGCCACAATGGAGTGTGAGTTGGGGAACCGGAAGAGATTTAGGCTTAGTGGATGGAAACATAGGAGGTGGCCTGGAAGAACTAAAGATAAGGTGCAAACATTTCTAGCATGTTTGAGAGAGTTGGATTCCTTTAAAGGTTCTAGAACAGGCTGGAAACTAGAGTTTTCAAATCCTTTTTACTCACAAAACCCTTTCATTAAATAAAACCAACAGAATCTCAATGTGTTAAACAGGTGAAAACAGTTGTGGTGAAGGAGAAAACTATTCTCTTGGTCTCATGTGGGGCAGGGTCTGAGTGAACCTCTGTCTTTGCAGAGCGCAATTTGAAAACCACTGTGTTAGCCATATGTTCTGGATTTGTTTCAGAAAGCATAGTTAATATGACTAATTTTGTTTGTCACTTATTGGCAAGTCCTTTAGCCATGTGAGATTAAACACTAGGGGGAGGTCTTGATGCTACACTGGGGAGGGAATCTTAGTCGGAGAACATACCTGACTCAAAGTGCAGTGCGTGTTCCTGAATGGTACATCACGGTTAACAGAAGAGAAAGCTCAGGGAATGTGATCACATCTAAATCCATATAGCCTTCCTTTCTCAAGGCAATAGTTAAGGTCCATAATATTTTTGGAGGTAGAGCTCACTAGCTATTCCCATTGCCTGGGATCGTCCCCCTCCTGTCCTTTGCAAGATTGCTGTTTCTTGTTATTTAAGTGTTGGTTCACAGATCACCTCAATAAATGGTCTTTCCTGATTGCTCTATCTACCTTAGGCCTTCTTCTTAATAGGTATCTCCTTAATACATTTTATTAATCTCCATCATAACACCCTGTTCAGTTTTAAAGACTTTAGGAAGAATTTTAGCTTGCTTAGTTTTGATGTTGCTCACTAGAAGGTAATCTCTGTGATAGCAGGAACCATTCTTATAACTTTAATATCTGGTAGGTACAGTACCTGGCACCCGATAGATATTCAATACATGTTTGTGTAGTGAATGAATGATATATATTATATAAGAGGTGTAAAACACAAGAGAGGCCACTAGAGGATTCAGTGGGAACATTTCTTTTAGGTAGTTTCCCAGAGCAGTGAATTTTAATATTTAAAAATTTTATTAAAGAAAATGGTGAAACCTGGTTTATGCAATAACACGTTAATGATAAATAAGTCAATACTAGTAAAGCAGAGTGTCCATATAGGTTTTAAATCAATAATCCATAGTAAAGGAGATAGAAAATATTAAGAAAAACAAGAAACAAGATAATAAGCCTAGGAGGTTGAGATTTAAGGATATATATTTTCCTTCTCTTGTTATTATAACCAAGTCACATTAAAATTTATGACATATCTATTCACCCCGGAGGTAGTATTATTTTGTATTACTCATTTTCTGGCATGACACTTGATTATACTTGGTAGTAAATGAGGCCCTTCTAAATGATAATACCTGGAGCCCTAGCAGTCTCCTGTGGATCCCCACAAGTCCTGACATGGAGGACTTTGTGAGTGGGACACAATGCTGTGTAGAGAGGGTACAGAGCACCATGATGGTGACCCATAGATAACACAGGTGTTGAACCTAAGAAAAATGGTTTCTATAGGCACAGGACACTTAAAAGAAAGTGGTAAGTGCTGACCTACTTGTTTTATGGTGGTAGAGTTTGTTCATATTTCAAGCTCTAAAGACTTAAAGGAACAAGACTTAATTCCCACCAGGTGAATTCCTAAGGTTGCAAGGAGGATGGGAAGAGAAACTAATAGCTGTGGAGTGCCTGCTAGGTCTGTGTTAAGCATTTTTATGCACATTAGCTTCTAAAAATTCCAGGTGGAGGCTTCAGTCTGGAAAAGATGATACTTGGTCCTCATATTCCTGGTGGTGAGGTACAGATTGTGGAAAAGATTCATTTTTCTGATTACCAGAACACCCTAGGTATAAATGATGTCCATGTATGACTTCTTACTAATAAAAAACAGGAATTAAAATTTTCGCTTAGCAAGATTTTGGTGTGAACCCTGAGTTAACATTTCAATTAGATGCTTTTTTCCATTATTGTGAAGAGTATTGGGAAAATGAATCATGACAACAAACTATATCTGCTCATGATTCTACTTTTTTCTTACCTGATAAGTGCTGTAATTGTATTTCCTCCAGTTTCATTTATTAGATGGCTATTGTTAAACTAGGTATGGGTTATTTACTTTGGTAAATATGAGTGTTCTGAGTAGTTTATCTCCATTGTGTACTGAAAACAAAATTAAGTATTATGTATATGTTTTAAATTATACTCATGCAAGCAAATTGTTAATGATTAAGTGATGTTTGAAAATGTCTAATTTACAATGAAAGAATCCAAATTATAGAATTTACAAAATGTGGTCTGGAATGCAGGCTTATAAAATCAGTCTCTAATAGCAAAGTTAATAAGGGTATTGTAAATGTAACATTGCATTTGATTGAATGACTATGGAATATTGGCATTTGAGTTATTTAAATGAAAATACTCAATATTTGGCTATCCTGTAAAGAACCAGTTTCTCCTAATCTATTCTCCTTGAGAGTAAGGGGCCCATGGATATAGCCTTTTCCCTGTCTTCACTGCCCCCTTCTCTTCCAAAAATTCCTACAAGCCCCAAGTTCTTATATGGGCTGTGTGAATGCTTAAAAGTGAATCAAATTTCCTGTTTTTCATATTCGAAATGCTGTGGCACCCCTTAAGTCCCTTGAATGTCACACCTGTTTTATGACAGGAGACACAACAAGGAATCCTAGTACCAAGGCAATATCAGTCGTGCAGGCCCTTAGTGAGGTCCTACTGTCCCCTAGGACAGTGGGCCTAGTCCAGGCCAGGGGAGTATCTCTTATCCAGGAATCTGTTCCTATCTTTTATCAGTGCCTCATGACATTGGAAAAAAAGTATCTTTTTCTCCATAAAACCCTCCTCTCTGCATTCAATTTGCACAGGAATGTACTGAGACACAGAGGTCTAAGAAGTACCTTCCCTGGAATCATCTGTTAAGTCAAAATGACCCCACGGTCTCCTTTCCTGGCAAGCCAGGATATGCTCCATTTGGAAATGTTCCCTCTGGTGTTCTCTAGTACTCTTCTCTCCAGTTACACCTTCTTCTGCTATTTCTCCAAGATGCCAAATCTAGAATTCTCCCAAATTTTAGGCTTTTATGAACAATATATGCAAAGGAGTGAAAAACCAGGCTGATATTTTGAGCCAAATCTCTTTTCTGCTCTAATGTAGAATTTGGTTCATCCTAAAGCTGTCTTGAACTCTCATTTCTTGCTCACTGAGACTGCTTTGCCAACTGTCTTTTTTCCTGACACTAGAATATCCTTGGCCTAGGAGGTGGGTAGGATAGACTCTTCCAATCTAATCCAGCTCTGCTGAGACCTAGGTTGGGTTGTATATTGTGCCGTGCAGCAGAGCAGGTTCCAGTGAAAAATCCATTAAGTTCAGCCTTGTGTATTGATTTTTTAAAAGCCTGTTCCATTTCTTTTAGATCCTGAGAATGTGAACAAGTGATTATATTCAGTGCTGCATTAACTTGCTTGTACTTGTTTTCAAATGAACCATTATGACACAAATTACCTTGAAATGTAATAGTACCAGGTCAGAATGTTAGTATCTTTTTGGAGGCTGTCATCAATTATATGTACGGATTACAGTCTGAATAAAGGTCATTCCTACTCACTAATTCTGCCAGATTTCCCAGTTGGGGAGCACCTGCTTTAAAATGCAGGTTAATTTAAGGAAAAAACACCCTCCTACAAACTCATCGTTGAGGTGGGAGCTATTTGCATGAATATATTTATTTGTTCATGAATTTTCTACAGCACAGGAAGAGTGATTGAAGTTTTCCTTCTCCTTAATGCATAAATTTAGCTTTATTAGCTGTTACATGCATCTTGGTTTTTAGTTGGAATAACTCAGAGGGTCTTGATTTCTCGATCTCAAAAATTGGGCCCCTTTGGTTAATCTGTCTAAAGCGATTATCTGCCTTTGGGGCATTCGGAGACTTTTTAGGTCAGCACACTAAATCTCACCAGAGCACGCCTTTTACACCCCCATTAATGCTATTTTATTTATAGTTTTTATAAATTAAGGTATTTGATAAAGTTAATTTAAAGGAGGAAGTCATTATCTAAGGAAGAAACATGGAAGGGGAAGATAACAAAAATAAAGAACTGGTTTAAATTAGAGAGGGTCAGAATGAAAGTGGATATTCAGATCCAAATTAGGATTGGGATGGCTCTTTGGTGGTAGAGAATAGAATAAGACAGATATTGCTTTGCGAAGTCTCTGAGTATTGGGCTTAATGTAGAGTGGCCCTGGGAAAAGGAAACTAGTATGTAGGTACCTACCATGCACCAGATGCTTTTGTGTACATCATCTCCTTTGAAGACATGAAGAGCCTCACACAGCCAGAGAGTAGGATCATAGAGAAGAGCACACCAGCTAAGAATCAGACAGAAAATAGGCAGAATGAGAACACATTTCTCAGAAAGCCCTGCATAGATTGGAAGCTTCAGACACAGCTACAATATAATTGGCTTAATGATCACAGAGAAGACATCAGGCCCAGGAATGGGGTGATCCTTGAAGTGGGAGACAAAAAGTTGCAGAATCAAAGAAATAGCCTGAAGTAGAAAAATGCTGGACTCTATAGCTACATTGTTTTTTTTTTTTTTTTTTTTAAAAAAAAAAACATTGTTTGTACCCCAAATATGAGAAGCTACCAGATTGACTGAGATTCCTCCAGGCTTCATTATGATTTATGCTCCATGGTTCCTAAGTTCTTATTTAGGGAACAGTGCTTTGCTGTGTATATTTGTTTATGTGAGAGTAATGGGATGGAGGGTGTAGAAAGCCAGTGAGAAGAGAATGCTCTAATTTTTCTTTCTTTCATTTTGAAAGTCTTTGAAAGCCAAGGAAGAGAGGGAATTTGCATTCCAATTTAGCAGTCACCCCATTACTGGGCCTAATGTCTTCTCTGTGGTCATTAAGCCATTTATGTTGTGGTTGTGTCTGAAGTTTCCAATCTATCCAAGGCAATCTAAGAAATTTTGAGGCCGGGCACAGTGGCTCATGCCTGTAATCCCAGCACTTTGGGAGGCCAAGGCGGGCTGATCACAAGGTCAGGAGTTCGAGACCAGCCTGGCCAACATAGTGAAACCTCCTCTCTACCAAAAAAAAAAAAAAAAGAAAAAAAATAGCAGGGCATGGTGGCGCCTTCCTGTAGTCCCAGCTACTTGGGAGGCTGAGGCAGGAGAATCGCTTGAACCCAGGAGGTGGAGGTTGTGGTGAGCTGAGACAGCGCCACTGCACTTCAGCCTGGGCAACAGTGAGAGACTCCGTCTCAAAAAACAAAAACAAAAACAAAAAACAAAACAAAACAAAACAAAAAAAACTTGGAAAGCACAAGCCCAACACTCTGAGACTCCCCAAAAGCAATATTTGTTTTATTCTCTACTACCTAACAGCCCCTAAAATTTTAATCTGGATCTGAATATAGACTTTCATTCTGATCCTTTGTAACTCTGCAGACATTCCTAAAAGGAAGGTCAGTGACTGTAATCTCTCTGACATCTTGTAGTTGAGTTTCTGAATTCCTTCTCACTTCCAGGGGAGCCAGTACCTAAGGGCTGGAAGGTTCAGCCCTTTCCTAGTGTGATATTGCAGACTGTGCAAATGCTTGTCCTGAACCTAAAATGTCACAGGTTTATATTCGTTATGTGATTTGTTCAGCATGTTTCTGACGCAGAAGGTGCCTTGCTCATTCCGAAACTATTTTGTCATTGATGAAACTCGTAGTCAGATAAAAATCAATATAAAGATGAGATGTAGTATGTCTACCTCATTATTTTAAAAAGAGGCCAATTCTTGTTCAGGATATAGTTTCTGAGGTTGCCTGAAGGAATCTGAAGTTTAAGTTTAGTATTAATCACACTGTCTGCCAATGAGCCCAACTGGCCTTGTATTTCAGTGCTGGAAACAAAGGCAAAAAAACGTCAGCTCTAGACTTGGAAGCAGAAGTTCCAAAAGAGTCCCATTACCGTTTTATTTTTTCCCTTGGAAAGAAATAGGTTTCCAAGGAGAGACAGCCCAAAAAATAGTATCTCAAAGTACGACTTCTCCAAACCTTCTTTGGGTTTCCAGTTTGGCATAGAAACCCTGGTACTGTTGCAGGCTGTGTAGGTTACACAAGTTCAGCCTGAACCTGTATTCTACAGCAGAAATCTCCAAACAGGTGCCAACTGGAGGTAGTTCCCATTTTCCAGAGGCCTCATGACCCCTGGAGTGCAGGGAGTGGGGGCTGGAGATACTGAGAGTGAAGACCCTGAATGGTCAGGCAGTATTGTTGAAAGGGCAGGAGCATTGAAGAGCCCAGAGGCAAGGAAGGCAGTGAGGGGTTCCTGGAGCCATTTAGAAGAGAGTTGATGAGAGTCTCACCTAGAAGAGGTTGAGTGGGGATGAGAAAGAGAAGGAATATTTGAGAAAGGTTTCAAAGGCAACTCTCTAGTGCAGCCATGTCTCTTGAATTTTGTAGTGTCACTCTCCCTATTGGGTGTTGTTGACTGTGATCTTCAAATGTGAGGGTGAGAAAGCTTAGGATGGAAGCCCAGAAAGTAGGCACAACCTCACTCTAGTCATACAGCCCCGACCACTGTGACCACAAGCACAGTTTATTTACAGCTCCAAACTTCTTAACATTCAGCTCTCTCCTGCGTTCTCTTCATTCTCCACATTCCCAAGGAAGCCGTGTGTTCTGGCTTGAACTACCAAAATGTATAAATAATTGTGATTAACTAGGCCATAGTTTGATTAATTTTTTGTTTTGCTTTTAAATCAACCCTCCTCCCCCTAGGAGATACAGCAATGATATGAAATAAATGAAACCTGTGCTTATTACAATTCACCCTACATAAATCATCCTGCCTTTGGTGAATGGGTAAATAGCTACTTGGAGGCTGCAAATTGAATGTGTTCAAGTACATTAAGAAACAGAACCGAGTATGAAATGAAAGTATTCAAGCAAGAAATTTCAGGGTTTTTTTCTCCCTCTCCTGCTCTCAAATATTTTCTGTGCTAGGGACTTGCCTGGGAGTCAGGAGGAGCAGGTTCTATAGTGCAAGGCTGAGTGTGAATGTGCCAGGCATCAGAAGCTGGCCTGGGGACCTTAAGCATCGTCCTTAGGATAAGAGAAGATGTGATAATTATCACACAGGGCTGGGTCTGAGTGGAATAAGCAGTGGACCAAAGGTAGTAGGTCTCTAGGCAGAATCTTTTCCAACAGTGGTTTCAAACCTGGCTACCTGGCCAAATTTTCCAAGAGTTTAATTATAGATCTATGAGCCAAACCTGAGATTTGAATCAGAATTTTTGAGACTGGGCCTTGGAAATTTACATTCTAAAAAAGCTCAAGTGACTGGGAGACATGATCAGGTTCATATAGTTCACTTCTGGTAGCTGGGGCTTAGAATGAAAGAAACTAAGATACGATGCTGGGTGCGGTGGCTCACACCTGTAATCCCAGCACTTTGGGAGGCCAAGGCAGCTGGATCACCTGAGGTCAGGAATTCAAGATCAGCCTGGCCAACACGGTGAAATCCTGTGTCTACTAAAAATACAAAAAATTAGCTGGGTACTGTGGCAGGCACCTGTAATCCCAGCTACTCGGGAGGCTGAGGCAGGAGAATCGCTTGAACCCGGGAGGCAGAGGTTGCAGTTAGCCAAGATCACAACATTGCACTGCAGCCTGGGCAACAAGAATGAAACTGTCACAAAAAAAAAAAAAAAGGCGGGGGGCGGGGAAAGAAACTAAGGTACGAGGTCAAGTCTCCCAACAATTGCAACCTTAGAGAAGTACCTCCAGGTTTCATTTCTTTCTTATAAAATATGAGTCTCCCAGGTCCCTCTAGGCTCTAAAAAATGTTATGTTTCAATAAAGGAGCATCTTGACATGGTTCCAACTGTTAGTTTTGTTTTGCGTGCCTTTGCATTTAGAAATTCTCTCACAAAGCTAACCTTTATGTAGGTGGAGTTTGTGGCTGACTGTAGAGTTCATTGAAAGGATTCTGAGGAGGTTTTTCTTCCCCAGAACATCTTCCACACCAACCTGCTTTGAGTTTCAGAAATTTGTCCATTAGAGGAACGGATTAAGGTGAGGTATCTTTATTAACTCATAGATCCCCTTTTTAACTGGTTATTACATTGCATTAGTGAGTTAATAATGGCCTAATAGAAGATATTTTAGCATTTCTCAGCCACTTTTCCTTTTAGGATACCCATGGCTCAGGGTGTTTGCAGGTGCCTCACCCTCACAGAGACATACTTAGGGCTCTGGGCAAAATCCAGCTGTAACCCTGCTGTTTCCTGCTACTTAGAAAGCATCTCAAAAGGCAGATCGCAAGAGTGGAATAGAATAACCTAAATCTGCTGAAGTTTTACAAAAATGAAATTATAACTAACTCTCCGAATTTGATATGAGTAAAAAATTTACTCGTGATGCAGCTTTTCTGATTGTGACTGTATTAATTTGCTAGGGCTGCCATAACAAAGCACTGCAAATGGGCTGCTCACACAACAAACGTTGATTGTCTCAGAATTCTGGAAGCTAGAAAGTCCGAAATCAAGGTGTCGACAGGGTTGGTTTATTTCGAGGGCTATGAGGGAGGGATCTGTTCGTGTCCCCTCTTCTTGGCTTGTAGATGGCTGGCTTCTTCCTATGTTTCTTCACATTGTCTTCCCTCTAGGCATGTCTGTCTTTATCCAAATTTACTGTTTTTATGAGGACACCAATCATATTGCATTAGGGCCCACTCCATGGAACTCATTTTAACGTGGTCATCTGCAAAGACCTTTTTTCCAAATAAGGTCACATTCACAAGGTACTGGGGAGTAGAACCTCAACATCTTTTGTGGAGATGTAATTCAACCCATAACGTGACATTTTATTGTGGCACTGATGATGAAAAACTAATAATTTATGAGTAGAATTAAGATCCTTAGAAAATGAATAAAATTATAGACAAGTTTTTCTGGTGTGAACTGGAGAGACTAAAGATGGAGCAGGAACTGCCAGGGGTAGGACCAGTCCAGATTGAAAGGTCTTGACCTGCCAACAGAAAGTGATTGGGACTGAATTATGATGGGAAGTGTTGCCATATCCGGGAAGACTACTATTGCATTTGGAGATAGGGACTTTAAAAAGGTAATTAAATTAAAATGAGTTCATTAAATTGGGCCCTAATACAATATAACTGATCCTTATAAGAAGAAATTTGGGTACAGACACATACATACAAAGGAAATAAAATGTAAAAACATAAGAGGGACACCAAATACAAACTGAGCCTTCTTAATGAAATAATGGAAGAATGCTCCTGCAGCTAAGTGTGGGCAGAATAAGCTTATTACAGTCAGTGTTGGAGTCAGCAGCTGTTTTGTATCTGTTCTCATGAATGTTTCATAAGCAAAAAAGAGTTGCATCAAATTTTTGATGAACAACCTTTTTACTGTTATAATAAAATAATCACGTCATTAATAAAACCAATAATTTATCTCAAGCCTGTTTTACTTTGGTAAATATTTAGCTTGTACAGTTGTACAGCACATATATTGCATGCTGACATATATTTTGAAATCAATACCAGAAATTGTCTGAAGAATGGGGGGTATTTGGTAGTATTTTGAGAATAAATAATGGTGTGCTACAACCTACTTGCATTGCCAGGAGGCAATTGTGTTCATCTTTTCCTAGCTCCATGATCACGTTAGTATCTTGAAATTGGTTAAGGTGGGAAAATTTACACTATGGCAATTGGCAAATAACAAAAATTCAAACCATTTTTTGGGAGCTGGTTGTTAGACATTCACCAGAACACCTTCAGAAATAAACTGTATTTGTAAACAAATTAATGTACTCTGGTGTTGCGGGCATTTACAAGAAAATCTGTCTTTCCTGATGAAGAAAAATAGCTGATTCTTGTTACCAGGCTTTAGACTAATTTGTGAAGATAAATTTTAGAGCCAGTTTAGAAAACAGATGAAATGAATTTGAGCTGCAATTTAGTAATGGCTTCTAAAGCTGTTGAGCAAATTGCTGAAGTAATTTTGGTATGTGAAACATATTCACTAAGGAGAGTGAAAATTCAAACTCCTTGCCTCCCTGACAGAAGGATGATTAATAGCAGAACTAGAAGGATCAGCATTTTCATGGAAAACTCTAGAAATCAGAGAGTTCCAAAGCTGTCATTAGTTTAGTTTTAAGGTTTTATAAGGAAAAAAACCAATGGCGAATTAAACATTTGTTAATTCAACCTGTATTATTTTATGAGTAGCTGTGTTATATGTACTTAAGTGAAGACAAGTGAGCTTAGAACTTAGAACCTAGAGTGTTTCATGTATGGTGCCTTCTTTCTGTTGATTTGCATTTCCACCCCTGGGAAATGCTAAAGAGGACTAAGGACACCATTGAAATGTCACTCTTTCTGAATGAGGGAGATGGCAGTGCTTCTCAAACTTTAATGTGTTTACAGAACCCCTGGGGAGACTTCCTGAAACTTAGATTCTCATGAAGTCTGGGGTTGGGGGGCTGGGTGGCACCTCTGCTGATGAGCAGTTGGTAGACCACTCCCTGAGGAAGGAGCTAGAATCCTTCTGAGGTGCAAGTGTGGAGATGCTCCTCAGCCAGTGTGATCCTCCCTCTCCCCAACCTTCCCCTCAGCAACAACCAGCAACATGTGATTTAAAAGTTTCCCTACTTTTATTCTTTTATACTTCCTTTCAGTTTAGATTTCTTTAGTGGTTGGGGGTAACAGTATTCTCCCTTAAAAATTCCTATGTGGGTCATTTCTTCTTAACACTTAAAACCGTTTCTCTCTCTCTCTGTCTCTCTCTCTCTCTCACTCTGTCTCTCTGTCTGTCTCTGTCTAGCTTGAGACTTACTGGGATTTCTGTAATTCTGCACTGCTTCCAGTAGAGGTCATTGCCTTGTTATAGAAATATTTCCTTTGTAAGAGATAGATCAATGGCTGGGATGACTGCATTTTGTGGGGGAGTCAGTGAGTCAGCCCGAGGGACTAGTTATCTCCAAGGCCACTGGTTTGCCCATAATAGCACCTCCATTTAAAAGTTGGAGACCCTCCACCTTCTTGTTAGTTAATCTAAATACAAAAAATTGGCAGACTTTTCCAATTACCTGGAACAAATGAAGGAAAAACCTACTGAAGCATGGCCAAAGTGCTCAGATGCTTTAGTGCGGTATGTTAATTTGCTAGGGCTGCTGTAATAAGGTAGTACAGACTGGGGAGCTTAAACAACTGAAATGTATTTGTTCACAGTTCTGGAGAATAGAAGTCCCAGGTTAAGGCATCAGCAGGGCTGGTTCCTTCTGAGGGCCATGAGGGAAAGATGCAGGCCTGTTCCTGTCCTCTCTTTTTGGCTTATAAATGGGTGTTTTCACATTGTCTTTCACTGGTATGAGTGTGTCTGTGCCCATATTTCCTTTTCTTAGAAGGATCAGTTATACTGGATTAAGGTCCAATTTAATCAACTCGTGTTAATTTAATTACCTCTTTAAAGTATCTATCTCCAAATGCAAGTACATTTTGAGGTTTTAGGGGTTAGAACTTCAACAAATGAATTTTTTGGTGGGAGACACAATTCCATAAATAAGCAAACTGTCCTAAGAGAAGAGGACTTCTTGGATGCACATAGCTTTGTCTACAGCTATAATTCACTTGTAAAATTTAAGTCAAAGCTTTACCTTTTCCTTCCATAAACTGAGTACATCTGGAAAAACGGAAGTAAAATAAAAATCAGCTTGCTTTACTTATCTTAAGTAATTGTTCATTTTCTTGTAGGTACTTCATATTGAAGGCTGGTCTAGGAGGAAAGACCTAGGGGAAGGAAACTCCAAAGTCAGAGATAAGTTGTAAAGCTTCTGGTTATATTTTCCAGATTCATTATCTTTCAGATTTCCTTTCCACCACTACTTCTTTCTGTCACAATTCCTTTGTTCTTTCAGGTCTGCTAAGTTGCTTTCTTGAAGTCTTTCCAGATCACATGAACTGAAAGTTAGTTTCTGTCCTCTGAATTCATTAATTTATTCTGAAAACTCACTCCAAAGCACCCATTCTCTTTGGAATACTCCGGGAATATGAACTTGAGTATGTCAGTTCCTTGTCCCCATTAGCTTATTACAGTAGAATAGAAATGTTTGTAAGGAATGTGTGGCTGGGCTTGGATAGAGACTTCTGGGAGAATCAGGAGATGTTTGATCTGTCATTCATTTGGAATGTATTTGTAAGCCTTAACAGTGCTCTCCTTACCGACTCATGAATTGTTGAATTGTAATCTTTGTATTTCTTGTATGGCAGTGTACATTGTAGGTATTCAACTAATGCTTTTCAAAGCATGAATAAAATCAGGCCTAGTACTCTTACTCTAGAATAAATGTTAAGGTCCTGTTCTATAAGGTGGGACTACTTGCCTAATCTCCTCACAGTCTGTGTTCAACAGGGCCCACACAGGCCTTATTACTATAAATCGTACTCCCAGGGGGGCTTTGTGAGAACAACAAAAAGATCTGTTGCAAATAATTGAACACAAGTTATAGGCTTAGAATTATATAAATATATTATATAGTTATTTTATAGATTCAACAACTGAAACATAGAGTGAGGTTTTGAGATTAGCATTTTACTTCCTCCTTTCTAAGGAAACACTGAAAGAAAACTTGAGCCAGCTTCTGGCTAAGACAACTGTCTGTCTTAGTCTGCTTCAAATTTTGGGGGTTCTTGCATGAACTTTCTTCCAACTCTTCTACCCTATTCTATTGGTGTTAGAATGGTGACATTTCCTCACAGTGGAGCCCTTTTAAAATTATAATGAAGACTCTAAATTTGCTTTGGGTCATTTTGAGTGCACTGACTTCATTAGTTGCAGCAGCAGAAGGATTCCTAATACTCCCATCTAGGAGCCATTGAAAATTTAATTTGGAAAAGTTTTTTTCCTCATTTTGGCATCTTGCACTATTACATTTCCTGTTGAGTATTCTGATGGCTGCATTTAAAAATAATTTGGTTTGCTTTAGAGGTTGAAGAGTCTGTCAATTTGATCTAAAATGAAATACAACCGTCACAGCCAAGAACCATGAATATCAAAACATCCTGTCTGGTTTTAGCCACTTGAGGAAATTACTATTTAACCAAATATTGAAGCAGTTAAACAGTAATTTACAAGGCCATTGTTCTCTGTTGCTGGAGACCTAAATTTTAAGGGCAGCTGCCACATCTTGAATGGAGACTGATGAACAGAAAAGAGTTCAAGAGACTTTCTCCAGTTCTGCTCTTCTGCTCGACTTCATGTCCCCTGGACTGTTTTCTTCCTCTTACTAACCCCCTACCACTGAAGAGAATGGGTTTGAGTATTCTTTTATTTTTCCTGATGTCTTTTTCACACGAATACTCTTAGCTTTGTGGTAACATGATGGAGTGAATTCTAGGTTTGAGAATTTTTTTTTCAGAGCCACATCAAAAATTCCCAGTAGAAAATGTGAGCAGCTGTGAAAGCCTCATAACTAGAATATCCAACTTGGACACAGGATGAGCTAAAACAGAATTGTCAAATCATTCCTGGGTGCCCTTTTCTTATAAGATAGTTATCATCCTGTTCAATATTTGGGCAAACTGACTATTCTATAGGCTCCTGAAATCTAAAATAGAAATTAGTTAGGTGTAGATGATTAAATGCGGTACTTTACTTTTCTGAGTAAAGATATTGCCCTAGTGCATTCTCTCTCTGCATGTTTGTGCTTGGGCTCCTTATGTCCCAGCAATATTTTGGCACAGGTTAAAAGTTTGGATTAAAATGGGACATGGTATAGGAGGTAGTCATACAGTTTATTCGCCAGTTTAGCACCAACTGCATCTGTCTCCCTGGTGAGAACACATTCTGTGTTTCCTTTAATCTCTTTTACAAGTGATGACAGCATATATTAACAGAGGGCTAGAATAAATCACTGGGTTTAAGTTAATGATCATCTAATAATAAGATGTGATAGGATTATATTAGAATTGCAGAATTGGGCTATTTATTAAGAGTGGCATGCTATCAAATTATAAGCCTCAGAGGACATAGAAGTAATTATAATCTTCTAGAAATGCAAAAAGTTAGCTTTTTGAAAGTCTATTTTATTATTTTGCTATAAATCATGGCCAGATAAGGTTAACTCTGAAAAATGTCGGATAAGTGAAAAAATAAATTTTATTAGCATTTAAATGAGACCTCATCTAATACTTTCTGGTAATTTTTAGAGGAATTCCACATTTTTGATACCTTTCTTATGCATAAAAGTGTTAAAACCTGATAACATAGAAATTAAGATGCTTTTTAAAAGTTTGATTTAGTGGTATAAAATATTACTAGCTGCAATTGTATTACATTGTGTAATTGCTCATTACAAAGCTTGCTGTCAAATATATATTAGCTAGAGGAGTTATATTATCCATCTGTGATGACTTGGAAGAAATGGCAGAGTGATCAGAAAGCTGAACACAGGAACTTAGAACTTGGAATTTGAATCTCAACTGGACTCTTTATCTGAATACTTATAGAACTTCCTTTACAGAATGAACCAAATCATTGCTTTTATACTGTTAAGTAACTTTTCTGAAAGTTCTTTGAGCCCCAGATGAAAGACCCTTATCTACTTCATTGTCTTCCATCATCTCCTACCTTGCTGCCCAGCATCTCATTTTTTGACTATCTGCAATTTTTATTTCTTGGCTTATTTATCAGAGCATCTAAATTTAGCTCCCATCAGTCTCCTTCCTTTCTCAAAAAATTCTGGAATGATGTTCTATCTTGATTACTTTCATTTATTTGTAATCTTTCAACCCATTGCATCTCAGCATCAACTCCTATCATTTTACCCAAACTATTCCTAATTGCTGGATCTGGCAGTCTTTTTTTTTTTTTTTTTTTTTTTTTTTTTTCTTTTTTTTCTTGGTCATTGTCTTCTTAAACATGTGAACTTGATGCAATGAATCCTCCCTTTTTTTCTTGAATCTCTCTTGGCTTCTGCTCTTTAGTAATCTTGTTATTAGGGATATGCCATTTGCTCACTTTAGATTGTAGGTTAAATAACACTTCCTCAGTTTTAGCCATAATTTTAGGACTACTGGAGAAACTCCCATCCTATATCTGCTTACCCAGATATTTAAGTCTGGTAAATCTACAATTATTATGTGACTAGTCCAGTTCACCAGCCTTCCCAAATCCTATGTCTTAAATTGAATAAATACCTTCAGTGCTTATGTAAGTCTGATATGATCACTCAGCAGTATAAAGAATCAAAGAATAATACCTTTGGTTCCCTCTTTTGGGCATAACATCATATTACTTAAATTAAAGATGTGGTTGGAGGCTGGCCTCGAATATAAAGTGCTGTCCTGGACCTGCAGACCAGCTTGTTGGAGGTCACCCCCTGCTCCAACAGCATCTGCGTCTATGAACCTTGGGAACTGAAAGATTTCAACACATTCCTAAGGACTCAAAGCATTAACTAGTTCCTCAAGGTGAAGGGACACAACTTACACATCAACTACTCTCTTTTATGAAAGTGTAATTACTGTAATTATTAAACACTGACAAAATGCAGGAATCATTGCAATGTACTGACAGAGGATAATAAGCACTTGCTGCCACTCCCAGAGCTCAGCTTCAATTTTTGAACCCTTTGAAGTTAGTGTAGGGCTACACAATGCTAACTTTGCTTCCCTCTTAACCTTACAGGGGCCATTCAGGGTAAAGAGACTGCAGCTAATGGTGTCCCAGGAATAGGAACTGAATAGGTTAAGAAAGATCCCACACATGATATGCAAATAATAAATTGCATCAATTGATGCAATTGAGTCAACATGAATAAACAGCTTTGCAGCCCAGGAAAATTTTTTAAAAAGATCTAGAGGAAGCAATAGTCATTGTAAACTTGGCCTCAGCCTACCTTTCATGATTAACATGACCAAGTAAGTTGAAGAATGAGGAATGTCATTCTGGGTTTCTTGCTAGATAAAATTAAAGCATATAATTTGTCCATTCTAATAGGGCATAGTCTCCTTATTACATAATTTTATCTAGAGATGGGCAGTAAGATCCTTCATGATTAAAAAGTTATACCAAAATAAGTGGGGAAGTAGAATTCTTGATACCTGCAAATACAAATGAAATGGGCCTACTTTCCCTGCTTACCAATGGGACTCTGTGTCTCCCTCAAAGTATAACAACAGTACCTGGAAGCACTTTGAATTTTCTTATCTGCTCTACTTACAGTGGTGGCCCAGAAGGCATTCCAAGAAACATTACACTAATCAGATTCAAAGAGAGTTATTTTTGCCTAAATGTATAACTAGCATAGATGACTGACAAGATAGACTCATTTTCAAGGATCCCAGATGTATTAGTTATTATTGCTATAAAATCATCTTTGGCCAAGTAGCATAAAACAACACTTTATTACGCTCATGAATTCTGTGGGACAGGAATTCAGAAAGGGTGCTTTGGTGATAGTTTGTCTCTATTTCATGATATCTGGATCCTTAGTTGGGAATATTCAAAGATGTGGGGTGACTCAATAGCTGGGGGCTGAAATAATCTGAAGGCTCATTTATTCATATGTCTGGCACCTGGGCTGGGGAGATTCAGAGGCTATGATTGCTGACTGTATAACTCCATGTTGCCTCACCAAGTGGCCTGGCTTCCTCACAGCACAGCAGCTTCAGGGTAATCAGACTTCTTACATGGCAAGTATCCCAGCAAGGAAGGTGGAAGTGACATCACCTTTTATTACTGAGTCTCTGAAGTCACATGAGTCACTTCTACCACACTCTGAGTCACAGGAATACACAGATTCAAGACTGAGGTTATAGACCCCCACCTCTTGATTAGAGACTATATTGTATGGAAATAGGTGAAATGGGATATGTTGCTGTGAACATCTTTGAAAAATGCAATTTGCAATGCTGGGACTAAGCTTATCTAAACTACCTACCCAGATGAGCTCAGGGGTTGGCCTATGCACAAAATTAAATTGATTCCCCAGTTAGCGCAGGGTTTAAGTACAAAGTCTCCTGGCAACAATCTCCAAGGGTAGTATCTTCAAGAATAGGCAAGAATTTCCAGTCTTTCCCGTGCACAGCAATAAATGAAGCACCCCACATTCTCTCCTCCAGTATTCGGGGCAGTCACCTCCCCTTTATTGTGATATGCTCATCAATCAGCCCCATCCTTCTTTCCTGGATGGAAATCCTGAAGAAGATTTAGAGGAGAGAGATGAAAATTGGTTTTATGCTCTGCAAGGAGGGCCTATTTCCTTCCCTCATTGTAGAGTTGGGGAATGAAGTAATTTTCCATCTCTGAAGCAGCAGTGAGCAGGGCTGTAATAGAATCATGGTAAAAATGGATGTATCTGCAAGAAGGGGAGATGGACACCTTTCCTCCTGACTTGAATGCTTGCTAGGTTGCAGAACTTATAAGGCCACTTTTATGGCATTGCTGGAGGAAAGTGTTTTGAAAGCATTCTTGGGAGAGCCTTTTGGGACCTGAGAACATCTCTCATTGTTAAAAGTAGGGGATTGCTTCACATGTATTCCCTGAATTTTTAGTATAGATGCGAATCTAGAAACTAATGTCAGATTTCTGCAGAGGCAAGGCTTTTGGAATAGTCCATGCCAAACAGTTCTGAAGGGAATATGGCAGTGAAGTCCTCGGTGGAATATGGGAGAATAATCACCACATCCTTGCTCTCTGCAGTCTTGAGAAAGACGTGAGAGGGAATCAACATTGCTGTGGCTCTCCGTGAAAGAGAACTGTGGTGGATCCTTAGGTTGATGTCCATCACGTGAGAAATATTTCCTTTCTGCCCTTGCTGGTGGTGGATGGGTTTGAAAGCCCAGAAAGGCCTAGAATAGCAAGAGAAGAGAAAGAGGAAGGAAATATGTAAACAGGAGAATGGGAAATGTGTGAAATGAGACCCTACTCAAAAGCAACTTCACCCATAGGTAGGCCTTGTTGATCCCTAATGAGGGAAAGAACAGGTGTTGAAAAAAAATAGGAATGAAGTTTTGAAATAAACTGTACCAAATTTTTTCATATACAAGACTCTAGCATACTAAAATAAGGCTTTATAACCAAAAGTGACAGAAAAGTTAAGGAATCTGGCCAAGGAGCCATTAAAGAATCTACTATGTAATGGGAAAGGGATTTATCACAGCACAACTGGAAGTCAGTTATTGGAAAAATAATTATTACTTGTTTAAACCCTAAAATACTGAGACTCCTCAATAAACTGGCTTCAAACTTCTTGACTCTTTAAAACTTCATATACATTTATTATTGGCAATAATACTATCTGCATAGCACACATTTCCCTGAACAAATGAAAATTATTTTAATCTTAGAGGATTTTGGCCTTAAATTTTAAGTAGTCTACAGGCCTAAAGCAATGTCAGTCCTAAAACACTTAAGATTGATGTTCAAATGGAAGCCTGGGCTCCTGCGACTATCAGCCTGGGGATGCCAAGGTCTTATCAACCTTAGGGAAGTCCCAGACAGTTAACAATTTAACTAATGCCACATATTAACAGCTGAGAACCTGAAAAAACAGCGGAGTTGAGCTTTTTTTAGAAGAGTAAAATATTTGGTCTACCTTCATTTTTCAGAGCTTCAGACACCTCTGTGGCCCTCCTCCTCTGAAGGAGGCAAAGGACAACAGCCTAAATTACTGGTATCTGCCATTTGCACCATCAGATGTCAGTCTCCATCCAGAACTTCCATATGTGCAATTCTCTGAGGTGGTACTTAGTGAGCCTCTTCCTTTCAGATGGTCTTAGATTTTGGTGTCCTGCTTACATGGTTACTGATTTTGTTTAAGATCATATAATGCCCCTGCTCTTAATTACCACTCTCTTCGGGTAGAGAGAAAGGCCATCATTCATTTGCATTCAGAATGGCTGGGAAATCTGTTAGAAAATGGAACTGCTCTTCTCCTCTCAGGTAGATATTTTTTCCTTTGGCTAGGAAAAAAAATGTAGTAGTTTTATGCCTATCTTGGCTGAGATTCCCCACAACTGTATATGGGGTCTATAATGGACCTTCTCATAGAAAAATGAAAATAGGACTTATTAGATGTATCATTAGCACTCTACAAACTAGAAAGTATTAAAAGATTGACTTTAGAATTGTGAGGGAAGTGTAGAGTTTAGTTAATAATATTGTACCAAGTCACTTTCTTTGTTTTGACAAATGTATCATGGTAATGTAACATTAACAATGGAGGAAGCTGAAAAAGCGGGATATGATAACTCTCTGTTCTATTTTTGCAACTTTTCTGTAAATCTAAAATTATTCCAAAATAAAAAGATTGTTTAAAAAATTGTGAGGGAAAGTAATTTTTAACTAATATTCTGAGGTCAGCCAAACTGTCAAATAAGCATAAAGGCAAAATCAATATATATTCATGTATTCATTCATGCATTGAGCAAATATTCATTGAGTATCACTAAATGCCAGGTAATGTTTTAATTGTAAATACGCTGGTGAACAGACAAAAATCTCTGGCCTCACTGAGCTTAAATTCTAGTGGGGGAGCTGATCAACAAGAAAAACATACAGCATGATAGAAGATGCTATGGATGGAAACAAGGCAGGGTAGGAGATTTGGCAATGTTGGAGGATTGCAGTCATCATGAGGAAAGTCAGAGTTGGCTTTACTGAGCTGACATTTAACAAAGACATAAAAAAAACCAGAGAGTGAACTCTGTAGGTAGTTGGGAAAAGAGAATTCTAAGCAAAATGAGCAGCAAGTCAGCCCTGCATCTGTTTAAGAAGTTGCAAGGAGGCTGGAGAAGAGTGGTAAAGGGAAAAATCCACAGCAAAAATGAGGTCAGGAAGATAATCGTGAAGGGAACCTCATTTAGAGTCTCATAGGTCTTTGTAAGGACTTTGGTGCTAACACTACATGAGCTGTCCTTGATACAACACTCAAAGTATGAATCAGGAAAAAAATTGGACTTTATCAAAATTAAAAACTGGACTTTATCAAAATTAAAACTTCTTTTCAAAAGACAAGTTAAAAGAATGTCAAATCACAGACAGCGACAATAAATTTGCAAATCATGTATCTGATGATGGATTTGTATCTAGAATATGCAAAGAACTCTAAAATCTCAATAATAACAGGACAACTACCCATTGAAAACATGGCCAAAAGGTTTGAATAGACACTTTTACTAAAGACATAAACACAAGGCAAATACGCACATGAAAAGATGTTAGACATCATATGCATCAGGCAATGCAATATAATAAATACCATTCTCTCTGTATGAGATACCACTATGTAACTATTAGAATGTCTAAAATTTAAAAATACCATGCAAAGTGTTGAGGGGATGTGGAGCAGCTGGAACTCTCACAGGCCACTGTGGGAAGATAAAGTGAGATATCACGCGTTGAAACTTACTGGCAGTTATTAAAAATGTTAAACATTTTGCCAACCTTATGAAACAGCAATTCCACTGCCGGATGTTTACCCAAGAGAAATTAAAGCATATATCAATGCAAAGACTTGCACATGAAGGTTCACAGCTGCTTATTTGCCATGCCAAAAACTGAAAACAATCAAAATGACCATTGATAGGGAACTATTGGGATATGTAAAACATAGATGAATATTAAAATAATTATGCTGAATAAAAGAATACAAACAAATGTACTGTATGTTATGGATTATATACTGTATCTTCCTGATATGTTTAAGTCCTAACCTGTAAACATGACTTTATTTAGAAGTAGGGCCTTTACAGATGTCATTAGTTAAAACAATCCCCCTTGATATATACAGAAGAGCCACAAGGATTTTGAGAATGTTATGCCAACTGAAAACATTGCCAGCTTGAACCAAAGAGACAGAGATGGGATGAAATAATGGAGGGATGTCAGACTTGTGGGATTTTACGGGTAGGAAATAGGCCTATAAAGCCACTTGCCTGCAAATGTGTTATTCTTCAAGAAAAGGGAAGAATGCCTCTGAGGGTGGCTCAAAAGTTGGTAGGACTAACAGGGCTCTGTGGATACAGAGGACAGGGCTAACAGTGGGCACAGAGGGAGGAGCATCAAGCCACAAAGGATTATTTTCATGCGTTGAAACCTACTGGAATTTGCCTCACTGGGTTTGAGACATGTTTGGGAAGCACCATGACTCCTTTTAATCTCTTCCTTTTGGAATGGGAATGTCTATCCTATGCCTGTCCCATTATTGTATTTTGGAAGCAGATAACTTATTCTCTAGTTTCACAGGTTCACAAATGAAGAATAATTTTTTTCCCAGAATGGGCCACACTCAGAATCTCACCATACCTGATTTAGATAATTGAGAAGACGAGAATTGGGACTTCTTCAGTTGATATTTAGATGAGATTTTGAACTTAGAGTTGATGCTGAAATGGGTTAAGACTTTGGGAAATGTTGGGATAGGGTGAATGTATCTTGCTGTTGAGAGCAATATGAATTTCAAGGGGCCAGAGGGCAGAATATTGTGGATTAAATAGTGTCTTCCCCCAAAATATGTTAAGTCAAAGTCCCAACCCCTTTACCTCTGAATATGACTTTGTTTGGAGGTTTTGAAGATGTAATAGAAATAAAGTCATACTGGATTACTCAGTGACTGGTATCCTTATAAAAAGGAGAGAGAGAAGACATTTAAAGACATCAAGGAGATACAGGGAAGAAGTCCATGTGAAGACAGAGACAGACATTGGAGTTATGCTGCCACAAGCCAAGCAATGCCAAAGACTGTCGGAAACCATCAGAAGCTAGAAAAGGCAAGGAGGAAGTCTTCCCTAGAGGCTTTGGAAGGAGACTGGTCTTGTTGACACCATGATTTCAGAATTCTAGACCTTAGAACTTTAAGTGAACACATTTCTGTTGTTTCAAGCCACCTGGCCTGTTGTAATTTGCTGTGACAGCCCCAGGAAACTAATACAATATAGGATTCCATTTCTATAAAATTCTAGAAAATACAAACTAATATCTAGTGACAGAAATTGGATCAGAAATTAGAAATTAGAATTTCTTGCTGGAAATTCGGGTGAGTGGTTGGAGACAGGAGGAAGGTGGAAAGGATTATGAAGGGACACTAGAGAACTTTTGGGGGTGATGGATACATTCATTGTCTTGATTGTGGGTGATGGTTTTCTGGTATATAAATATATCAAAACTTGGCCAAGTGTACATTTTCAATGTGTGCATTTATTGTATGTCAATTATACATCAATAAAGCTAGTAAGAAGTCATTTCTGGAGAGTAGAATTTGGTTTGGAATAAAGTGAGGGCTGCTGAAATAATTACATAGAATCTACTTTCCTTTTTTAAAAAAAATCAATGTTGCACTTACTGTTTTCCTGAGAAATAGAAAACATACTTCATTAAATTCCTGGAAATATGCTCTTAAGTGGGCTTAAATGACATGGCATTAATCTCCCCTAGGCAATTTTGCCACTGTCAACTTTTGACACTTTAATCCCAACATGTTGTTTTAGGTTGGGTTCTACACTTTTTCTGTCAAGCTAAGTAATTGGAAGTCCATTCAGAATTGTATTTGCATTATTTGTTTCACTTTCTCTGAGAAACATTTTCCAATGTACAATTATATTCTTAGGTATAATTCAGTTAGTAGAAATTTTGTCCTTACAGATGTCTGCATAATGATAGCTGTTTTATTCTTCTGAAGGGCAGATGAAGTTCCTAGGTTTCTAAAAAGCTAGGAGGTGGGAATAAAAGTTTATTCCTTGATACAGGTCTGAGAATGCTGGATCACATATATTCATTAGTACCCTTTGTAAAAAATCTTATGTGATTTGATGAGTTAAGATTGGTGAAAGGGAGGGCAAAAGGAATTAAAG
Source organism: Homo sapiens (assembly GCF_000001405.40). Lineage (NCBI taxonomy): Eukaryota > Metazoa > Chordata > Mammalia > Primates > Hominidae > Homo > Homo sapiens. Next base: position 63,137,967 of record NC_000005.10, read on the forward strand.
CTTTTGTAGTATTTTGCATTGTTGAACATTTTTTACTTAAAATCTTTAATGATGGAAGTTTTCCCTAGTTCTTCTCCTATTTCTCTGGCTGTTCATTTCTAGTTCCTTTTTGTGTTCTTCTTTGTGTTGTTTGGTTTTCTTTTAACCACTCCTCTGTATTTTCTTTTTGGATGACCTCATCCAAATCAATGGTTTCAAGCAGTCCAGTCTCTGTTGCCACTCACATTTAGGCAGATCTTCACATTTGTATGCCCCGCTGCCCAAAGGGTGCCTCCATTCCATGTCTTCCTCCATGTAATGAGATGTACCCTATCCTCCTAGTGTCCACTCCATAAACCTAAACATCTTCCATCTTTCTACTTCTCCTTTCTGTACGGGCAATACTTTCCAAGTCTTTTACCTTGCTCTACTTTAATACCTCTTGTATTTCTCCCTTTCTTTCCAGACGTACCAATTCCACTGTATTTTAATTATGCATCACAAATGTAGATTGCTACCTATAATCTAATTTTCCTCTACATATTTCATAAAAATATCTTTTCAAAGTATCTTTTCAAGAAATACAAACTCCTTGAAATATTCCTCATAATGTTCCTGAGACTGTTCAAAGTTGTTTTTTAGCTTAGCGCGTAAGATAAAGCCCCAACCACACATTTAGCCATTTTTCTTTTTGTTATATATTTTTTAAAATACAATTTTATCAGGTTAAGATAGTTCTCTTCTTTTACTAGCTTGATAAGTATTTTCTGGTCTGTACAATGAATTGTTTATCATAAAGGGGTGATAAATTTTATTGAATTATTTTTTCTTCATTAATAATGGGATTCTATTTTCTCTTTTAATGTTAATGTGGTAAATTAAATTAATTGATTTTTTAAAAATGTTTAACTTGCAGTCCTGAGTAAAAAAACAACTTTTTTTTTGTTTATGATGTATTATATTTTGTTTATGATGTGTTTTTTGTGTAATGCCTATTTGGCTTGTTGATTTTTATTTATTTTGAGTATGTATTCATGAGTCTATTATCAGTCTATCAATCTGTTATTTTCACTTCTCATAGTGTATTTATCTGGTTGTAAAATCCAGTCAGTTTCATAAATAACTGCATGATTTGGGGATCTTTTTTGTCCTCTCTGGAAAAGGCTTATAAATTTGAATTATCTGTTGTTTGAAAGTTTGGTGGAGCTCACCTGTTAGACTGCCTAGGTCTGGAATTTTTTTTTATGGGAATATGTTTTTAACTTCGTATTCAAATTAGGAAATGATTACAGCAATAATAAAGCTTTCTATTTTTTCTTGAGCTGATTTTTAAAAGTTATCTCTTTTTTGGAGTTTGACACCTCATCTAATTTTCTGTGATTAATGGTTTATTACATTAATAGAATCCTCTTATATTAAAATTCTTGCTTTATCTGTAATTAGCCTTCTTCTAATTCCAAATGCTGTTGAATTTGTGCCTTCCTTTTTATCTTGATAACTCTCACCAGTTTTATCTTTTATTCATCGTTTTAATAGTTCCAATATACCTTTTAAAATCTATGTTTTATCTTTGTTTTATATTCCATTAATACTAATTTTGTTCTTATCTTTGTTTTGTCTTTCTATTTATGTTGGCTTTCTTGTTATTTTCCTTATGATTGAAGTTCAATGCTTAGTTTTGTAATCTTACTCTGTTAATATTTATTTTTAAAGTTAACAAATTTGGGCTTATTTTTGTATTTTATTTTATTGTTTCTACTTTTCTTACTTTATTTTGGGTCTTGTTTTTCTCCTTTCTTGCTTTTTTAACTTGATTGTTTTTTCTTTTTTCCATTCTATTTATTTTTCCTTCTACAGGTTTGCAAATTATACATAATATTTCCATACTTTAGTGGTTTACACAGAAACCACTACACTAAGCTCAACTTAAGTACAAAGTTATAAAATAATAATAATGAAAAATAGAACTTGAGTCGTTGATTCATATGTAATGAGAGAACAATAGAAATAACTATGGCAATAAATTAATAACAGAAGAAAATGGAAAATATTCTAGAAAAATATAATTTATCAACTATAAGTTAACATATTCTTCATATATTTATAAACATTAAAAATTAAACCATGATTAAAATTTACATATCAAAATATCAACAAGATCAGACAATTTTCTGAAACCTCCATGTTTTCTGTCATATGCATACTATTCTTGAGAATTAAATATAGGAAAACTTTTCCAACATATTTTATTATGTTGGTATAATCTTAATATACAAAATTAGATAAACGCAGTTAAAGAAAAGAAAATTGTAGGCTAATTTAGCTTATAAACATAGATGTTAATATTCTTAAAAACTGAGCACACATTAAAAGCAGCAATATATGAATAACATAAAACAATATGACCAAGTAAGATTTAACCCAGGAATATAAAAAAGATAAAAGGAGAAGGAACAGATAACAATAACAATAGGTGCAGAAAAAAACTTTTGCAATTTAGCAGCAATTCATGATGAAAAAATTCATAGTGCATTAGGGATAGAAAAGAATTTCTTTACCTGACAAAAGGTACCACCAATAATCTATAGGGTACTTATATAATGAAGTAAAATATAAGCATTGCCTTTAAAATGAGGAACCAGACAATTCCCTCTGAGATAATGCTTTCTATTTTATGTTTTACTAAAGTTGTTAGACACTAGTTCTTTTTGGATCTTTCTCAGCTCATTTTTTGAGTGAAGTATGTTGAATTTGTCCTCTAATAGTTTTCTCAAGAAAGACTCATGAGAATAATATTCCTTGTTCTCTCAAAAGCTCAAAATGTTTAATCTGAAGCCTTTATAACTGGCCGTATAGAACTCGGATGGATGTAAGACTTTTATCTTTTCTTCCCCCTTGAGTACTATTTAGGTATTCTGTTGTCTTTTGGCGCAGCTTGCTGTAGTGAAGAAATATGATGCTGAAGTGATCTTAGTTTCTTTATAAATGATTCATTTTTTTTTGGTCTGGATATTTAACGATTCCTTCTTTATCTTTAAACTCCAATTATTTTTACTAGTGTGTTCATTGGTTGAGACTATTTTGGCTTTTTTTTGTTTGTTTGTTTTTGTAAACGGAACGCTCTTTCAGTAACTTTTTTTTTTCCAGGATCACTTTCTTAAATTATATTTTTATACTTTTGTTCAGTTTCATTTTTTTCAAAGACACCAGCTATCTGCATATTGGATCTCCTTTGCTTATTTCCATCTTTCTCTAATTTTTAAGTTTATATAATTTCATTTCTTTTTGCTTACTCTTATTCTGTCTTCTCTTGCTTATTATCTTTCCTGGGGCAATCTTTGTTACTTAGTCTTCTTTTCTAAAATGGTTTGGTATTTTCTATTTCAAAACAATTCCGCCAGTTCCCATCTTATATTCTGTAGTTGTCTTGTCCTCAGTCACCTGTTGTGTGCAGTATTTTTCGTAAGTTTACATATTTCTTCCTGCTGAAACTTTAGCTTATACATTTTTATATCTAAGTTCATTTTTTAATTTTAGAATCGTTTTACATTTACAGGAAAGTTGCAAAGAGAATACAGAGAGTTATTGTATATCCTGAACCCAATTCCCCCTATTGTTAGTATCTTATTATTATGGTATATAGATCACAGCTAATAAACAAATATTGATGCATTGTTATTAAATAAACATGATACTTTATTCAGATTCATTAGTTTTTTTTCTACTATTTTTTTTTCTGTCTCAGGATCCTATCCAGGCTGTCATATTACATTTAGTGACCACATCTCTTTCAGCTCCTCTAGACTGTGACAGTTTCTCATTGGGGTGGTTAGTTTTCTGTGTCAATTTTGGCTAGGTCCCCAGTTATTCTATTAAACACTAATCTTTGTGTTGCTATGAAGGTATTTTGTAGATGTGGTTAACATATACAGTCACTTGGCTTTAAGTAAAGATTATACTTTCTGATATTGGTGGGCCTCATGCAACAAGTTGAAAGGCCTTAAGAGCAGAACTGAGGTTTTCCTGGGGAAGAAATTCCACCTGTGGACTGCACTGTCAGCTCCTGCTCAAGGAATTCCAGCTTGTTGGCCTGCCCTGCAGATTTCAGACTGTCCAGTCCCCAGAATCACATAAAACAGTTTCTTTAAATTTCTGTTTTTCTCTCTCCTATTGGTTCTGTTTCTGTAGTAGAACCCTGACTTATACACTTAGACTTTGTTTTCAATGGCATTGACAGTTTTGAGAGGTAATGATAAGGTATTCTGTAGACTATCTCTCAGTCAAGTTTTTCTGATGTTTGGACAGAAGTTAGGGGTTTTTGAGAGGAAGACCACTGAAAGGAAAGCTATTTTAAACATATACAGAAGTCTCCCTTTATCCACAGGGGGTACATTCCAAGACTCCCCCCAGTGGATGGCTGAAATTGCCAATAGTACTGAACCCTCTATATACACTATATTTTTTCCTATACATATCTCACTACTCTTGTGCTTTGGGGCCATTCGTAAGTAAAATAAGGGTGACTTGAACTCAAGCACTGTGATATTGCAACAATTGATCTGATAACCGAGCCAGTTACTAAATGGTTAACAGGCAGGAAGGGTCTACTGCTTTGTTCTGCTGGATAAAGGGATGATTCACACCCTGAACAGGACAGTAGGATAAAATGAGATTTCATCACACTACTCAGAATGGCGTGTAATTTAAAATTTATAAATTGTGTATTTGTGGAATTTTTCATTTAATGTTATTGGACTATCGTTGACTGCAGGTGACATGTAAAGTGAAACTGCAGATAAGAGGGGGACTACTGTAATATCAAGAGTACATACCCTCAATGGTTAAGATGGTAAATGTTATATATATCTTATCAAAATAAAAAATTGAAAACAAAATATGTGCTATCAGCATGACATATGACTTCCTATTTATGATCCTAACATTGATCACCTAGCTAGGATAATGCTTGCCAGTTTTCTCCACTGTAAAGTTACTTTTCCCATACTGCTCTTTGGAAGCAAGTCATCGAGTATAGCCCATTATCTAGGGGTAGGGAGTTATTCTCCACTTCCTTGAGTGGGGAATATCAGCTTACATTATTTGGCATGATGTTGAGCATCTTTTCATATACTTTGCCATTTGTATGTTTCTTTGGTGAGGTATCTGTTCAGATCTTTTGCCCATTTTGGAGAATTGTTCCTTATCTTATTGTTGAGTTTTAAGAGTTTGTTGTATATCTGGATATACATTCTTTATAAGATACATGATTTGCAAATGTTAAGTAGGTGGCTTATCTTCTAATTCTCTCAACAGTGTTTTCTGCAGAGCAAAAGTTTTTAATAAAGCCCAACTGATTATTTTTTTTCTGTCATGGATCATGTTTTTGATATGTGATATGTGAAAACTTATCACCAAATCCAAGGTCCTTCAGATTTTCTCCTTTCTTCTAGATGTTTATAGTTTTGCCTTTGTCATTTAAATATATGATCCATTTTGAGTTAATTTTTATGTAAAGTGTGAGGTCTGTGTTAAGGTTCATTTTTTTTGGTAGTGAATGTCCAATTTTTCCACCACCATATGCTGAAAAGTTTATCCTGTTTCCATTAAATTACTTCTGCATCTTTGTCAAAAATCAGTTGACTCTATTAGCATGGGTGATATATGGGCTTGCTATTCTATCTCATTAATATGTGTGCTTATTCTTTTGCCAATACCAAGCTACCTTGATTATTATAGCTTTACATTAAATCTTGAAAATAGGTAATGTGAATCTTTCAGCTTTTATCTTTTTTTCCAGAATTGTGCTGGTTATTCTAGTACTTTTGCCTTTCCATATAAATTCTAGAATCTGTTTGTTAATATCTACAAAAAGAGCTAGCCTGGATTTTGATTGGGATTGCATTGTATCTATAGACCAAATTGGAAATAATTAACATTTTAACAATATTAAGTCTTCCAATTAATGGATATTGACTGATTATCTTTACATTTATTTAGATCTTTGATTTCTTTTATCATGTTATAGTTTTCCACATGCAGACTCTGTAAAAATTTTGCTGGATTTATATTAAATTACTTCATAAAAAATGAAATTCTTTCAAGATATTTATTAATAACACATTCTTCCACTCTTTAACAGTCTTCATCATTTTGTTTTAAAGATTAAACTTATTTCAAAAGTAGTCATGTAAACCAATTATACTTAAATAACGCTTTTATAAAGAATCTCTTAAATCTTATGTGTCTTCTTTCTTGGGAAAAGAGTAGCATTGCTATAATAGCATTGTTTTCTTATTCTTTCTAAAATTAGCTGTTTTCAGGATTAATAGTTATTTTAAAATCTTGATTTTTACAAGTTTGTTAAGATAGAAATATGAGACTTTAAAATTTGTTTTCAGTTTCAAATGGATTATTTTATACCAAAAATCATTTGTTAACAAGTGTTCTTATAATAAAGATTCTAAAAGTAATCTTTAGCTCACAAATGAACTTTGTACTTAAAGATTTTAAAAAATTTTAATGACATTTATATAATAAATATTAACTTTAATCCCTAAGTTTTCTATCACTGAAATATATGCTTTCTTTATTCTTGGACATCTTAGATCATCTGATGTTGAAAGCTCCCCTGAACTGGATTTCCTGGAGGAAAAGCCTGTGACCATGGGCACGTAGGGAGTGTCCTCCTATGGCTGTGGGCCCCAACACCCCTCACTTTCAAGCTTGTCCATACCCAGTCTCCAGCAATTTGTCAAAAACACCTTTTGGTTTTCATACCAGCTTATGACATCTAGCAGCTTCTGTTTCAAATAAATGTATATCGGGAGCTATATTCCTCTGGCTGTACCCAGCTCTCCACATTTCAGGGTGGTGATTTGCTCTGCAACCTTGGTTCTCTGACGGGTTCAAGAAAAGTCCTTGATTTTTAAGTTTCTCCAGTTTTTTGTTCTTCTTGTAAATACAGAGTAACGTATTAAAAGCTCTTAACATCTCAGAGCTGAAACTACAAGCCTGGTTTATACTTTTTAACTGCTTTGCAGTTCCATTTTTCCAGTGAGTTTTCATCATCTGTTAAATGGTTGTACTGTTCATTTCCCTTTTTATTCTGACGATATCGAGCACAATCTATTTTTGTTGTTACTCAAAGTTGATTGACTTGACTTTTCTTAGACTATTAGCATGAAGTTCCCGTGGGAGATGGTGGCGGGAGAAGCCTGGGTAGTTTTACAAACCTCTTAGCTCAGAGTTCCTTTAGTTGCTGTAACTATAGTCTATTTCCACAGAATATGGTTCTCCTGTATGTTGGGGCTTCTCTGAATCTCAGAATATCATCTGGTTCAGGAGAAGTTCCAGGGTCACTCCTGGGACTGCCAAGTTTCTTCACAGGCTGGCTGAGAGACAACTATCATCCAGGGACTTCTGCTTGCCAGGCGGCTGAGTCATTTTTAAGAGTATTTTCTGAGATCTGCTCCATTGTGGTTGCCCTGGGTACTTGCTGGAACTTTTTTCTTTACTTTCCACAAAAAAGTAGAGTTGCATCTCAGCCCCCTCAAGTCAGTTTGGTCACTGGGGCCTTTTTTTTTGCCCCGGAAAGTGAGTATTTGCTAAATCACTGTTATAATAGGAATGCCCTAGACATCCTGTCTCCCCCTGTTGCACCGTCACAGCTTCTTATGGCCTGGCTTGGATTTTGGTATCATTACATATATTTTAGAGATTGCTGATTTTTTCTGAGTCTAGTTTCCCTGAAAACGAGAGAATGAGAGAGTGAGAAAGAGAGAAATAGGAAATGCACTTTATTCTTTTTGGTTTCCTGAAGCAGAAACCAAAAGATTCAGAATAAAGCTACTTCCATATTTCTATCAATATGTTTATTTAAAACCCCTTCAAATCAGACATTATTTTAAGTTTGATAAAATAAGTATTTGTTTACATTTACCAATGTATATACTTATTGTTCCTTCTTTCATCTTAGACTCTTTTTTGGACTCATTTTGCTTAAAGTATTGGCTTTATAATTTTCTTTACTTAGTTTCTATTGGAAGTAAATTCTCAGAAATTATGAAAGATAATTTTCTTAATATAAAAAATTTACAAAAATTCTTAAAGTAAACTCTACACTTAGTGTTGAAATATTGAACACATGTGCTCTGAGTTTTGGAACATAACAAGAGGTTACCTCATTGTTTCACCAGTTCCATTCAACATTGTTCTTCGATGTCTTAGAGAAATAGGGCAATAAAATTAAATATATACAAGATGCAAGCCTTAAAAAGAGAAGAGTAAAGCTGTTATTATTCATAGATCATACAGTGCTGTACACGGAAAATTCAAAGGAATCTATAAACAGAACTGATAAGCAAAATTTGCAAGGCAGCTGGATAAAAGTAAATATACAAAAATCAATTTTGTTTGTATATACTAGCATCAAATACCAGAAAATGAAGTTTATGATATTATAAAGAATTAAATAGCTCAGAATAAGTCAAAGGAAGATTATACAAGACCTCAATATGAAAAACTACAAAACTTTGCTGAGAGAAATTAATAAGACTTAAATAAATAGACAAGTTCTCTGTGTTCATGGATCATAGTACTCAACATTGCTGACAGTTTGATTTTATATAAATTGTCCCACAGGCTCAGTGCAATCTCAATCTAAATTCAAGGTTACATTTTGTTGGAAATTGACAAGTTGGTACTATCCTTTACATGAAAATGAAAAGGACCTCAAATAGCCAATAACATCTTGAAGATGAACAAAGTGGGAAGACTCAAACTATGAGGTATTAAGACTTACTATAAAGCTATAGTATTAAGACAGTGTGATACTGGTGAAAGAATAGAAAAATGCAACAATGGAAAAAAAGTAGTCTAGAAACAGTCACATCCAAATGGTTTAACAGATTTACAATGAAGGCATTACTGCTATTGAGTGGGGGTAACATGGTATTTTCAATAAATTATACTAAGTCAATTGAATATATATGATAAAAATGAACCATGACTCTTCATGCCACACACAAAAATTTATTTAGAATGGCAATAACTTAGAGATCTCATTGTGACAGATAAAACAACAAAGATTTTAGAATATAACATGAGAGGAGATTTTAATCACTTTGGGACAGACAAATATCTCAACAGAGCAAAATACAAAACCATAAAAAGATTGGTATCGAACTATACTGAAATTAAAAACTTTTGTACACCAAATAATACCATTAGGAGAATGAAAAGGCAACCTACACAGTGGGAGAAGATATTTTCAGAATATGAATCCAACAAATAATTCTTATATCTAGAATTTGTAAAGAACTTATACAAGCCATCAAAAAGAAAAGAGATGATCTGATACAACAAAAAAGATAGCAGGAGCTATCTTTTATTTAAATATGAATAAACATGAAAATATAAGCAAATTCATCGACCAATAGCAGAATAATAATCAAAACCAGAATGAGATATCACAACAACCAAGTTTGCTTAAATAAAAAAGATAAAAAATACTAAGTTTTGACTAGGATGGGGAGAAATTGGAATTCTCCTATACTGTTGATGGGAGTATAAATCAGTGTAACCATTTTGTAAGACTGGCAGTGTTTACTAAAACTGATATATGCATTCCTATGATACTGCAATTACACTTATAGATATATACCCTATAGAAATAGGTGGATATTTTCATCAAAAGACATGCACAAGAAATTTCAGAGCAGAACTTTTTGTGGAGGCTGAAAAATGGGAACTACCCAAATGCCCTTTGAGTATAGAATGAATAAATAAATAGTGGTATGGAATGGATACATTTTGGAATTCTATACCACATTGAGGTTCAATCATCAACAATAAAAAAAGCTATATAGCAAAGATGTACCCTATGACTAATTTATATCGATACAAAACTAGGCAAAACTAATCTGTGCTATTTTAAGTCAGATGGTGCTTATCCTGGGATGAATTGGGTTCGAGTAGTGACAGGAAGAGAGCATAAGGATGGCTTCTGGAATGTGTGTAATATTCTGTATCTTGTTCTGTGTGCTATTTACATGAGTTTGTTCAGTTTGTAAAAATTCATTGAGCTGATGCTTATGATTTGTATACTTTACTATATTTATTATTCTCCATATAATTTCCAAAAAATCCCTTTGTGATAATCTACAAAATGTCTGTGTTGTTTGAAGGGCTTTTCAACCTACCTCCTCTGATGTGTCACAAAAAGCTGTAACAATCTTTGGGCTTCTTTCTCTATGTATTGCTTATTCTAGCTCTTTGGGACAAAGAACAAAATAAACTAGTGGTTTCTAAACTTGACTGTGCATCAGAAAGACCTTGGAGAGCTTTAGCAAAATTTAGATTTGCACTCTTGGGTAGAACTAGGGAATCTATAACTAAAAAAAAATTCTCCAAGTAAATTTCATGCACAGACAGGTTTGGAACCTTAAAGTTAAACTACTTTAAAGAGTCTCAGAGGAATTCAGGCATAATGTTAGTTTATAATTCCACGGGTACAAGTCATTTTGATAAAATTCTGACCTTGGTTATTTCATGCCTGTGTACTGATTGGACTCTATGGAATCCATATTAAATAGATAAAACTTAACTTGTTTTGATAGCACCACCCTAACAACTCAGAACCTTCTTTTAGAAAAAAATTCAAATTATAATTAAATTAAATTGCATAATTATAATTTCAAATTATAATTAAATTAAATTGCATAATTATAATTTCAAATTATAATTAAATTGCATAATTAAATTTCTCTAAGTCATGGTTTCTATATCTGTAATTGGAGGATAATACCTATCTCATATAGTTGTTATACAGATTAAATGGATATTAAAGCATTTAGCATAGCATAATGTCTGGCATATAATAAATTTTTGAATGAATTTTAAGGATCTCCATAAAAGTAAAAATGACATTTCTTAGTTAATTTGGAATTCTGCTTTTTTCATAGTAGTTAAATTGAAATACCAAGTTGATACAACTGCCCACTGGCATTAGGCATATTTTAGAGCTGTTTGTTTCAGCTCTGGTAATGAATTTGCACTCATCAGCCATGATCTCTTCAAGCTCCTAGTTTCCATTATCTTCATCCTTTTGTAAAATTACTGGCCAGTGTTAGGAGAGAATCCAGAGTACATGACCATGAGCAAACCAGCTTCTTCAAGTGCAAAATTAAATCTTCCCACTTTTTCTTAGCATCATGATTTAACCAATGAGCCAACCAGCCACAGGGAATTTAACAACCATGTAATTGGTATGAAATGCTCCACTAACTCAGAAGACCATTTTGGTCACATCTCCTTAATTTTTCAATTAATCACTTCAGTACCCAACTTTCTTATTTATCAGGAAACCAAGAATCTCCCTCTTGGGGTTTCCCTTTGCCTTTATTTTGTACAGAACTTCAGCATTGGACAGAGCAACAAAGCAGCTCATAGTTTTGCTCCAGTAAGAGAGAATCCTGGGGCCTTACCAGTCCCCTGCCATGATGTCTATTGCCACATAGTGTGAGTTTTGAGTTTTGTCCTGTTCCGTCAGAGAATTAGTATGGAATCACTGATGTCAAGAGTTCTATGTGACCCAGATTCCTGCAGAGGCTACTGTGGTTCTTTGATGTTGGACAATCCTTTAGTGCTGAGCTTGACTAAGAATACCCCAAATTGTCTGATTTTTAGTGTCAATATATTTCAGCCCATTGTAAGCTATTTACCATTGTTCCAGGTAGTTAGCTCCAGAAGTTCTGAGACAGAATCACTTGTGGTATGTCTGTCACTATATAGAACCCAAACCACTATTCTGTTTTCCTACGTAAGTATCAACTCTTAACTCCAAAACACCTAATGTCTCTTTTTCACAGAGTATGGTGCTACTTGTTCAGCCTTCTAAAAAAGACTAACTTCCATGACTTTAGTCTTGGAAGGGTTTCATCTCTATACTTCTTGTATTCAACCTTCAAGAGCCATGGAACTCAAGGAGAAGAAATGTTCCTCTGAGTCATCTGACTTCATGCTCTAAGGCTTGCCTTCCACATGCTAATTTTCTGCTTCTGCATCTATCTCTTCTCACTATGATAGACAGTGGAGATAGTCTCTTCCTCCCAAGTAAACCACATTATCTACCCAGAGGATAATGTCTTTGTTCTTTGCATGGTACACGTAGAATGTAATTCTCTATTACCAGTACAGTGTTATTTGGAATTTTTGGTTTAAATTACACAATCTATGGGAGAGCCTCTACACTACAGTTAGGTTGAGCATTGCTTGGTTTAGATACTTGATCTTTGGATTATGCTGTATTAATTTTTTAGAAATATAAATTCTTAGGTCCCATCCCAGATCTACTGAATTAGAAACTTTGAGTGTATATTCCAGTAATGTATTTCAACAAGCCCTCTGGGTGATCGTGATTAAAGCTACAGTTTGGGAACAACTAGTCTAGACAGAAACATACTTTATAATTGTTTCTCCAGTGGGAGGTAAAGAGCTGACTCTATGTATTTGCTGTTGTCTTCTGACTGTCAGCAATTCTTCAAACGCAAATATACATATATGTTGCCTTTGGAATAAACAATAGCTCATAGAAAACAGTGTAGTATAAACAGGGCTTTGGAGCTTTTTAAAAATCTGTACCTATTGGTGGTTCTGAGTTGGAGGGTCTTGCGATGCCCTATCTGAAATATACAGGAGGCAGTAAAAAGGCTTGGGGAGCTGACTGCTCTGTTGTTCCTTAGATCCTGACATCTCTAGGCAGTCTGATTTTTTTCTTTTTGGTTTTCAGCATCTTTCTATGTTTATTTGTTTTGCTATGTCCAGGGTTTTTTGTTGTAAGAGGACAGACCTGGGAGGAATGAACTTACTTCATCTTGGCAGAACTGGGAGTGCTGTGATGCTTTTTATAATCAAATCATCATAGACTTGTGGTAGTGTTTCATATCTTTTCTTATTTTAGATTTATTTTTGTTACATATTTGAAGAAAAATGTTGGATTAGAAATGGATATTTTGACCTATATTGAGATAATCTGAATTCAGATATAGTATGTAGTATTAATAGGCAATGAAATGGTTAAACTTTTTTTTTTTTCCCCAAGACTTTGTTACTTTTACTCCATGGTCTGTTGTCATGTCGCACCTGGGGAAGTGTATCATGAGAGCAGAACAAGAAGAGCATCATAAAAAAAATAGTGATAGCAGCATTTCCTTTCATCTGGATGACAAACTCATGGCAAGGCTACACACCTTATGTACCTATAGAACTCATAAACAGGAAAATAAAATTTTTAAAATTCTTGGAAACACAATTTGGCAATGCAGGATGCCCTTGCCACTTTCACCATTCTGATGAATGAGAAAGATCTTGGTGAGCACTTTCATACTCTCAGGTCTTGGTTTCTACCTTAGTTGCAATACCTAGCATTCAGAAAGGAAGAGATTTTACCTGCATCTGATCAGTGCTAAAAAGGAACAGATATCACAGTTCAGTTAGTGTGTAGTAGTTTCATGAGAAGCTATTTAAATTCATAGAAAAATAGCTTCACCTGGTCTCCAAGACCATTCAGTCATTTGCTAGAAGGACTCACAGACTCAAAAAAGCTGTTATGCTCATGATTTATTAAAGTCATGACTTACTAGAGTGAAAGGATACTTATTAAAATAAGCAACAGAAAAAAGCACATAAGGCAAAGTCCAGGGAACACCAAATACCACCTGCTGATTGACTTTTTCAGTGAAGTCATATGGACAAATTTAATTTTTCAGCAATGTTGACTGACAACATGCACAGACTATTACCAACCTGGGAGGCTCACCTGAGCTTTGGTGTCCAGGGTTTTGGTTGCGGCTCAGTCACACAGGCAAAGTTGAGCGTCTGCATGGCTGACCTTAGTCTTTAGCCCCTTCCGAGGTCAAGTTGGTGTTGCATGGCCCAAGGCCTCACCATAAGCCACATCATTAGTATACATTATCTGGAGTGGCTCAAGGCCTCCAGGAAAACAGAGACACCCTTACCAGGCAAAATATTCCAAGGGCATAGAGGTTACCTTCCAGGAGATGGGTGAGGGACAAACTTTTCTTTGTTATGTAGATGTACTTCTAATAAATTTAAAAAAATGGCTATAACAAATCCTTTAGCAAGTCATTTGGTTTCCAATTCTTTTCTTTTGAATAATTGTGAACTGATAAATCATTAAAACTGTTTCGGATGACAGATTAGTGTGTAATTTGCAGTATAAAATTCCTCTGATTTACTTTAATTTTTAGGTACATAAAGTTTTTCAGCACTTTTCTACCAAAAAAATAGAATAGAACTGATCTTGAAACTGTTTTGTCCTGGTAGTAGATGATACTCACCAATGGATAGAATACATAAGCTAAATTTTAAAGGCTCATTTATCACATAAAAATGCATTTCCAATACAATTTTAATTTTAAATGCATTAAATTTTAACCCTTAGAATTTTATAGTAACATAACAAAATAAATTTTAATTATAAATAAACATTATAGAATCATTAATAAAATATTTTCAGGTATAAAATGATAGGGATTAAATGATGTGTTGAAAGTGGAATGGAAATATAAATTCAAGTAGAAAAAATAATTAAAATCTCTGAAAGTTTGTTTATATAATTTTTAAATGAATAATAGTGAGTATTGTGATGCTATTTACATTCTATTTGTACAGTTAAAAGAGGTACATAGCAATTTTATTTAAAAATATAAATATTTATAATATGCTATAAAGGACTGTTGGGAGACCATTCTCCATAAATCTCTCAAATTTCTACATGTCTAGGCACTATTAGCCAAATGTTCCAAGACTCTCTTTTTAGGAAGGCTCACATAAATAGATTGCCTTGGAAAGATAGAGAAGCGACTCCCTCTGGAGCAAATTTACTTATATTCCTAACATTAAAGATAGAGATACTTCCTTCCTTTTCACAGAAAGATTTGCTTGTATTTCAGGGAAAAAGGAATAATGCATCTCTCCAGTGGAGAGGATAGGCACATTTTCTAAAAGCCCCTATCTAACATCAGCCTCTCAGTCTCAGGGTTCTCCTATAATGTATCCCCACCATGTGTGCAGGCAATATCTGACCTCATGACACCACCCCGTGGAAAATGGAGCTTGGGGAAAAATGGTGCCAAGATGTTATTACTGCTGAAAGTAATAACTGTCTAAATCCATCTGGACTCATTGCTTTCCTATCAACTGAATCTGTGGAAGTGTGGAAGACAACTTTGCAGCTGCCACCATGGTACTACTGCTTAGGTACTGCTTGACAGTAAATGACACATTTCTCAAATATTTAAACATATAAAACAATTTAAATGTGAACTTAAAAATCAAATGCAAAACAAAGACTGTTTTCTATATCTTTAGCCCCTATAATTGTGCCTGGCAGATATTGGGCACTAAAATATTTGTTAAAAGAATAAATAGAAGAATAAATGATTAAATCAGTGGCTATAGGATTTTCTGATTCATTTTTGCCTCCAAAATGCCATGGACTGGGTAGCATATTAAATATCTCGATTATATCTAAGTGGAAGAGGATATTTAAGAATTAAATTTCAGATTTTTATTCATTCCTTTAACAATGTTTTTTGAATACCTGCTCTGTGTTGATTATTTACTAGGTACTGGAAAGCAAAAGTGATTAAGAAACAGTTATTTCCTTCAAGGAAGCCTAGTGGAAAATGCACAAATATAATGCAACATTATAATTGTTAAAATGGAGTCATATGCAAAATGTCAGGTGACTCCAAAGGTTATAATGCCTAATTTGCCTGAGGGACTAGGGAGACTTTCCAAAGGAAGTGAGGTTTCCAGCTCACTCTTGAATTATAGGTAGAAGTTTGTTAGGGGGTGTGTGCTGGTTAGAGGGAGCAAAGGAGTGAGACATTTGGGGACATTAGTAAAGATGGGGCCTAGGTTTTAGTATAGTTTACTTTTAAATAAATAATCTTCAATATATTAGAAATAGTTATGACTACAGCAATAATAATAACAATATGATAAGGATTGACTTAAAACCTGCAACTTTCAAAATAATCATTGTCCTTGTTTTTTTGATAATTCAGTTTTGATAAACCATTGAAGAGATCAACCTTCAAGACTTGGGTTTGAAAGCTCATATTTCACAAACTGGGTGTGTTAATGGCATTCCCAATGTCACTTTTTGCCTCTTGAGAATTCCTGCAGGGGAATTCCGGCTTCTTTGGAAGCAGCTTAGAGTTAACAAGCAGCCACCCAAGAGAAATAGATTATAAGTCAAAGGCAGACACTTTGGTAAAGCCAAAATGAATGAGTAGCTGTAAGCTAAAGACTGTCATCCCTGTAATTCCACCTCGATTGTTATATCTGGCTTTTTGAGCTGCTGTTTACCTAAAACAGTCAGCTAAGTGAGACTTTATAACTCAAAAGTAAATTCTTTGAAAATTGAAGAACCTGAGGCCAAGAAATCTTACCTTAGCAAACTTCTGGGTGGGGGCTGGGTTTTGTTAGAATAGCATTTTTTATAACATTTTTCAAGGGCTCAGTAATGTAATTCTACCTAGCATTTAACTTTGATTTTCTGCAAATACTTTAAGGTTGCTGATTTGTTTTAAAATAAGAGTTTAACATAACAGTCACTCTGATGGCTAATACTGAGTGTCAACTCGATTAGATTGAAGGTTGTGAAGTATTGATCCTGGGTGTGTCTGTGAGAATGTTGCCAAAGGAGATTAACATTTGAGTCAGTGGACTGGGGAAGGCAGACCGGCCCTTAATCTGGTGGGAACAATCTAATCAGCTGCCAGCGAATATAAAGCAGGCAGAAAAACGTGAAGAGGTGAGACTGGCCTATCCTCCCAGCCTACATCTTTCTCCTGTGCTAGAGGCTTCCTGCCCTCAAACATCGGACTCCCAAGTTCTTCAGTTTTGAAACTCGGACTGGCTCTCCTTGCTCCAAGCTTGCAGACAGCCTACTGTGGGACCTTGTGATCATGTAAGTTAATATTTAATAAACTCCTCTCTCTATATATATTACATCAGTCAAGAGACATTTTAGGGAGCTGTAACAAAGGAACAAAATTAAACAAGATCCGAATTATCTTTTCTTGTACCCTAAGTGGTGTATTTTTGCCTCTCTCCTGTATGACAGTATGTATAATTTTGTCGGGTGCCAGGAACTAGAAAATCTCCCCTCTGTTGACAGATATAGTTTACCTGGAAAAGAGAATGTCAGTGATTCAAAGGGCATGAGCTCTCGCTGGCTCTCGTCTTCATTATGAGTTCTCCCTTGGGCAAAAGGTATAAAAGAGCACATCACTTACATACCTGAACCATAATGAAATTGCATGTTTTGAAAAGGTCAGAATGCATATATCAGAAACCTATATTAGTCAGGGTTCCCTCAAGTGACAGAACTATATATCCTATTAGTTTTGTCCCTCTAGGGAACCCTGACTAATATAGTCACACATTCTGTCATTCTGACGTTTCAAAACATGCAATGTCATTATGGTTCAGGTATGTAAGTGATGTGCTCTTTTATACCTTTTGCCCAAGGGAGAACTCATAATGAAGACGAGAGCCAGCTAGAGCTCATGCCTTTTGAATCACTGACATTCTCTTTTCCAGGTAAACTATACCTGTCAGCAGAGGGGAGATTTTCTAGTTCCTGGCACCTGACAAAATTACACATAATGTCATACAGGATAGAGGCAAAAACACACCACTTAGGGTATAAGAAAAGATAATTAGGATCTTGTTTAATTTTGTTCCTTTGCTACAGCTCCCTAAAATCTCTCTTGACAGATGTAATTGACACTGCTCATCAAGGCCCATCTTTTGACATTTAATCATGCACTGTCCTGTAACAGTTCATACATATTTTATGGTTGTGTATCTTGTCTCTATAATTAAGTCATAAGCCTTATGAGGAAAAGGACTCTGCCTTCTACCTCTTTTTAAATTTTTTGTTTATTATTATTATTATTATTATTATTATTATTATTTGAGACGGAGTCTTGCTCTGTCACCCAGGCTGGAGTTCAGTGGTGCGATCTCGGCTTACTGCAACCTCCTCCTTCTGGGTTCAAGCTCTGCCTCAGCCTCCCAAGTAGCTGGGACTACGGGTGCGTGCCACCATGCCCGGCTGCTTTTTGTATGTTTAGTACCAGCTACTTTTTTGTATGTTTAGTAGAGGTGGGGTTTCACCATATTAGCCAGGATGGTCTTGATCTCCTGACCTCACAATCTGCCCGCCTCAGCTTCCCAAAGTGCTGGGATTACAGGCCTGAGCCACCGTGCCCGGCCCTTCTACCTCTTGGTATCCTCTCTGGCCCTTAATGTATTAGCAGTTTTCAGCATAATATAGGTATTCCATACATTTTTATTTGATGAAGCTCACTTGAATTGTCTCCTCCTCTGTAAGGATGCATGGGAGCAGCAGCACTGTGGGAGTGTTCTAACCAGAGGATGCTAATAACTGGCCATGCCTAGGAAACCATTTGAATTCCCTCTCCATTTCTTCCTCCTTCTCTGCCCTCCACCTTTCAGTGTAGCTACACACTATGCTATGTTTCTTTATTTATCTTACCGTGTAAGCCAGGGACATAATCTGGGTCAGGAGGAGATGTCTTCAAGTTATCAAGTGTGAGTTGTACTAATAAGATGTCACCATATTCAGCTAAAGATGCATGTTTTATGAGAAACACACATGCATACTCTCCTTTCAGTTCCCATTTAGCTTTTACCTTGAGTTCTCCTCCCTGAATGGGGTTTGACATTTGGGAAACGAGGTTGGAAAAATTAGGCTTCAGAAGAACAATGGACACAGAGAAATGATCTGCCCAGTTTCCAGGGAAAAAGAGTTGGGATGTCTGCAAACAATTCCAAATGTATTTTGGGAGGAATGATATTAAAGAGGTGTTACCCTCCTCTCGTCTGGCCCTCTAGCCTTTGCAGCACCAACTCACCCAGTGCTCTTGGGCTTAACTGCTGCCCACAGGGAAGTCCTACAAAGTCATAGCCTCTTTGGCAAGGAATTCACTTCAGAATTTACTCTATCAAATATTTCAGAAAATGACTACCTCTGCTCAGGCTAGCAGGACCTACTAGAGGTCTGTTACTAGGCTCCACTTAACTTTGAAACCAGTGAGAACAAAATATTACAGGGTATTATGGGCTTTATTTTTACCCCCACCAGAGTGTGGTCTAGAATGTCCGGAAAACATCCAGTGGAGGAGCAGAGCCCTAGCAGGTGATGAGCCTGGATCTATAGTCTCCATTCCCCTTGCATGTGATGGACATGCTTCCAGAGCCATGCAACTAGCTTCTACTCTAGGTCTTAGCTAATGGGACTTGATCATGTCCTTAGAACTCCAGTCTGTAGGATTAGAGCCCCCAACTCCTTTGCCTTTCCCAGTAGGGCTCTCCTTGAATGGAGCTTGATTTCTGGTCTCCACCTGACTTGACCACCTTTGTCATTAAGATGTCTATGTCCCCATACAATGCCTGATACATGATTCTACCACTTGTTTATCAATATTTAGCTCAGTCTCAGTTTTCTTGTACTATCTGAGACTTTATAACTTGGACTAGTGTCTTCTCTCTCCAGTTATTTCATCCTTAGCCTCAATCTTACACTTGCTTCTGCTTTCTCCCACCTCTTTGACAGGATGTCACAGCACTCTTTGTGCCCAAGCCTGCTTCATATATGATTGTTGTACAAGAAATGTTTTGCATTCAACTCATATTCCTACCCAGATCTAGGAAAGTAAGTCAATGGTCTTTAGAGTGAAGTGGTTTGTTGATGTGCTGAAGGACACTTGAAAATGCAGGAGAACCAAGGGTAAGCCATGTATCCTCAGAGTCCTACTGGATTTTAAAAAATTTATAAAATGTAAATATACTCAGTTTTGACCTTATGAGCAAATCTAAATCAGCTTCCTGAGAAAAGTTTTGTCTTGACTTATGCCTCATTATTTGACTCATGTAGCTTATTTCCTTGTAGGCATAGGATGGCTTCCACTTGGGCAAGAAGTCAAGTCGTATTCTTCATTTGTTGTTAAAATAATTTTGCTTTCTTTTTTAGAGTAATTTCAGGTTTACAGAAAAATCGAACAGAAATTTTCCCCACACTCTCTCCCTCCCACCTATTTTGACATCTTGCGTTAGTGTGGCATATTTGTTACAGTTGATGAATCATTATTGATACATTATTTTAAACAAAGGCCATTGTTTACATTAGGGTTCACTGTGTTGTACAGTGCCATGGATTTTAATAAGTGCATAATGTTGCATATCCATCATTACAGTATCATACATAATAGTTTTACTACCCCAAAAATCCCCTGTGCTTCACTTATCCATTCTTCCAGTCCTTCTGCCAAGCCCCTGGCAACCACTAACCTTTTTTACTCTCTCTGAAATTTTTTCTTTTCCATATCATATAGTTAGATTTGTACAGTATGAACCCTTTCAGACTGGCATCTTTAACTTAGAAATATGCATTTAAGATTCCTCCACGTCTTTTCATGGAGTCATAATTCATTTCTTTTTATTGCTGAATAATATTCCACTGTATTGCTATAACACAATTTGTTTATGCATTCACCTTTTGAAGGAAATCTTAGTTGCTTCCAAGTTTTGGCAGTTACAAATAAAGCTGCTATAAACATCCAGTGCAAGTTTTTGTGTTGTCATACATTCTTAACTCAACTGGCTAAACACCAGGGAACACGATTGCTAGACTGTATGGTGAAACTACATATAACTTTGTAGAAACTGCCAGACATTCTTCCAAAGTGGCTGTGCCATTTTGCATTCTGTTCAATAATGAATGAGAGTTACTGTTGTTCCACATCCTCATCAGCATTTAGTGTTGTCTGTGATCTAGATTTTGGCCATACTAATAGGTGTGTAGTGATAACTCATTGTGATTTTAATTTGCACTTCTCTAATGACATATGATGTTGGGCATCTTTTCATATGCTTATTTGCCATCTGTATGTCTTCTTTGGTGAGATGTCTGTTCAGATCTTTTGCCCATTTTTAAAACTGGATTGTTTGTTTTTCTTACTGTTGAGTTTTAATAGTTTTTATATTCTGAATTAAGTCCTTTATTAGATATGTGTTTTGCGAGTATCTTTTCCCAGCCTGCTACCTGTCTTTTAAATTTTTTAACACTGTCTTTCACAGAGTAAAAAAAAAAATAAATAAAGTTCAACTCGTCATTTTTTTTTCATAGATGATATTTTTGGTGTTGTATCTGAAAAACTCATTGTCAAACCACAGGTCATCTAGATTTTCTCATATTTAATCTTCTACAAGTTTTATAGTTTTGTGTTTTACATTTAGGTCTATGATCCATTTTGAATTTTCATGAAAGGTGTAAGTTTTGTGTTTAGATTCATTTTTTTTTTTTTGGCAATAGGATGTTCAATTGTTCTAGCACCACCTGTTGAAAAGACAGTCCTTTGTCCATTGAATTGTCTTTGCTACTTTGTCAAAGATCAGTTGACTATATTTGTTTGGGTCTATTCCTAGGCCGTCTATTTTGTTCATGACCCATTTGTCTATTCTTTTACCCTACCACACTGTCTTGATTACTGTAGCTTTACAGTAAGTCTTGTAGTCAGTCCTATGACCTTGTTCTTCTCTTTCAATATTGTGTTAGCCTCTCTGGGTCTTTTGCCTTTCACAAAAGCTTTAGAATCAGTTTGTTGATATCTACAAAATGACTTTATAGCATTTTTATTGGGATTGTGTTTATAGATCAAGTTGGGAAGATCTGACATCTTAAACAATATTGAGTCTTCTTATTATCCATGAACATGCAATGTGTCTATAATTATATAGACTTTTTTAAATTTCTTCATCAAAGTTTTATAGTTTTATAGTTTATATAGTTTCTCATGTATATCTTGTACATAATTTTTTAAAAGATTTATGCCTAACCACTTTTTTGGTGCTAATGTAAATGATGTTTTTAATAACAAATTACTATTATTGATTGATGGTATATAGGAGAGTAATTAACTTAGATTTTTCACTTTTTATAATATGCTAGCTTTATTACTTATACATCTGATTTCCAAGGCAATGTTGCTCTCCTATAATCAAAGCATGAAAATTTGTTATTCAAGGACTCAATGAGGACTAAACCTTAATTTGATTACTTATGAGCGTCTTAAAAATTCTAGCTTAGGCAACTTGGGAAGGAGTAAAATCATTTCTAGATTCTCTGCTCTGAGAATGAAAACTTTCTATATTCTAAACTCAAAAAAGGAAAAGATTTGCTGGGTTTTTTTGGCTTTAATCTATTCTAATCAATCCCTGATAACTTGCTTTTATAACCATGCTTCTGAAAACTACCCAGTTGGTGACAGTGCCACATTTCTGAAGGTCAGCCAATCAGCAATAGTGAGTGACTTTTAGAGACACTTGTGCGTCTAAAGAGATACTTCTACTTTTAGAGACACTTCCATGGATAAAGATCAACCAACTCCAAATCACTCCCTCTTCTGAAAGTCCATCAATTCCTGAACCCCAGTTTCCCCAAAACCCTGTAAAAAAATCAGCAATTTGTATTGATTGGTGATGACATGCTGTCTTTGTCCACTCAGGTTGCTATAACAAACGACAGTAAACTGGGTGGCTTTTAAACAATAGATATTTATTTCTCATAGTTCTACAGGCTGCAAGTCTAAGATCAAGGTACCTGGAGACGTGGTATCTGGTGAGGGCTGCTCTCTGGTTCATAGGTGGCGCATTCTCACCATGTCCTCACATGGTAAAAGGAGCAAACAAGCTTCTGTGGGCCTCTTTTATGAGGGCCCTAATCTCATTTGTGAGAACTCCACTCTCATGACCTAGTCACCCCCAAAGGTCCCACTTACTAGCATCACACTGGAGATTATGTTTCAATAAATGGATTTGGTGGAAATGGGGGGATAAACATTCAGCCCATAGCACATGCCTACTCATAAAGAGTTCTGTTGCTTACCAATCATCCATAGAGCAATTTGTTCCAAACATCAAGAGGTGGACTTTTCCTTTCAGAGGTTTTATTCCTGTTATCAGTTAGGCCCCCAAATATAGCATTGGTGAAATGCAACATTTTAGAGCCAAGTAGAAACTCCCAACAGATGAGAACTCACGAACACAAAAAAGGGAGCTGCAGACACTGGCGTCTTCTTGAAAGCGGAGGATGGGAGGCAGGAAAGGAGCAGAAAAAATAACTTTGGAGGACTAGGCTTAGTACCGGGGTGACGAAATAATTTTCACAACAAACCCCTGTGACACGAGTTGACCTATATAACAAACCTGCACATGTACCCCTGAACCTAAAATAAAACTAAAAAAAAAAAAAAAGAAACTCTTCACAGAACTATGATTTTATTATTCTCTTGGAATTTTTTGTGACTGTTCTTACAGATATGTATAGAACCTAATCACATAAATTTGGTTTATGTATGGTAAAACAGCTACTTAATTCATTGTTCAATAACTAGTTAATGTTATTTGTCTAATGTAACTTTTATAAATTCCCCTTAGAGTTTGGTGCTAAGTAAAACTGTCCCTCCTGAGCAAATAAGTTTTTTTCCTATAGATGTCATGAATCTGAGTGCCACACTTTATATTCTGTTTTAATACTTATTTCTAACCTTAAGATTATGTTCTTAACCACAAATGGTACAGGGCTTTCATTTATTTTTCAGTTTTTTTGTCATTATAATCCTTGTCATAAAGGTTTTATTGCATATGACTTTTGCTTAACCTGCCTTAAAAATCCATTTTGGGGGACTAAGTATGGAAAAAATTTGTAATACACTTTTCCTGAGAAACATTATAATAATGCTGTAATATTTGCACAGTTATCACTGTAAGAACTTTCACCTTTAAGAATTATACTTCTTCACTTTGTTTCTCTAATCTCTAGAATTTGGCAGCTATATGTTTTGGCATTTATATTTTAATGAGGTCAGTCAGCTGAAGTTATATTTTCACAAATAATTTCAAACATTGATATTCCTTGGGGCAAAACAGTATGTAATAGTTATTAATTTTCAGCATAAATGAAAGGTCAAGGTCACCACAATAGTTAATTGGCCAACTACACAATCGTTTTTGGAAATAATTTAACTTTAATAGCAATATTGTGCTACAATGAAAGGCAACATCTTAATATTGTTGCTGACAATGAGAATCAAATTATTTATAAATATTTACTTCCCTTCTCTATTCAGCAAAGTAACGTATTAGTAAGTCAAAGCATTCTATCCAGAAGATTAGTTTTTACAATGTATATAACAATGAATCCATCACAAATATCAGACAGATTTTGAGTGTGATATAAAATAAACTTTCCTCCCTTCCATTGCAAGCTGTCCCACTATTCACACATCCAGCAACTTGCATCAGGGAAGTGGAAACTAATTTATGTGGACAGTTGTTACTGTTATTATGGATGATTTTTTTGCTTTCCTATAACCAGTGCTGGTCCTATTAAGAGATAAAATAAGTCATGGTACCCATGGTGTGGCTTAAGGAGGTGATAAGAAGGGCAAATTCAATTTATATTTCTCCCCCTCTTCCTTAGATGCAATTGCTTGAAATTCCGTCCTTATAGTGGTTGTGGAGAGGGGTACAGTAGAAGGGAGATGTGGGCAAATTCCTCCAAATTCAAATGAAGTGGAATAAAAGATGGGACAAAGCCTACATCATTAAGATCAATTATTCTTTTACCCAGGGAGATTAGTAGATACTCCTGGGAGAGATAACACAATACATTCTTATTTCCTGAGGATGATTAAATTACTAGGTCTTCTCTGAGGAATGGGATAAGTAACCTTAGGTGCTTGGGAGTGGGGAGGACACTCTGGGGGGATTGAGAAACTGAATTTAGGAACAGCATGCAGAAACACAGCAGTGTTAAGAAGCAGGAACTAATTGAAAGAATACAGGATGTAATCATTTTTTTTCAGATCACCTGTCATATTTTTTTTTAACTTTTAAGTTCTGGGGTAAATTTGCAGGTTCGTTATATAGGTAAACGTGTATCATGAGGGATTGTTGTACAGATTATTTCATCACCCAGGTATCAACCTAGTACCCATTAGTTATTTTTCCTGATCCTTTCCCTCCTCCCACGTTCCACCCTCCAATGGGCCCCAGTGTGTTTTGTTCCCCTCTATGTGTCCATGTGTTCTCATCATTTAGCTCCTACTTATAAGTGAGGCCATGCAGTATTTGGTTTTCTGTTTCTGCATTAGTTTGCTAAGGATAATGGCTTCCAGCTTCATCCATGTTCCTTCAAAGGACATGATCTCATTCTTTTTTATGGATGCATAGTGTTCCATGCTGTATATGTACCACATTTTCCTTATCCAGTTTATCTTTGATGGGCATTTAGGTTGATTCCATGTCCTTGCTATTGTGAATTGTGCTGGAATGAACATATGCATGCATGTGTCTTCATAAGAGAATGATTTATATTCCCTTGTTTATAATCCCAGTAATGGGATTTCTGGGTTGACCCAGGCTGTAATCTTGAAACTGTATTCTATCCCTGACTTGGTTCCTGGTTCGTAGTGACTTTAGGTTATTTCTAGTTTCAGCAACCTGTAATCATGGGAAGGAAGGAGAAAGGGAGTCCCATTTTTTGGCCTACTTCCTGATTCTATTCCTGAATGACCTTGTCTTTTAGGAATATATGGTTAAGCTATTTTAAAATGCCAACATGGCTACAGATAACATACTGGAGGAGAAGCCATCTTTTTTTTAAGGAAAGAGAGGAAAATTTTTATAAAATAAAGTAGTTCTGATTTTCACTGAAAGTGCTACCTGTTCCTGAAACCACTGGACTGGAAGCTAGGGGCCATCTATTTTTGTCTTGTCTTCTCTGCTGATTATCCTAGTGGCTGAAGATATCACTGACATTCTTCTCATTGCATATTCAGAGGTTTTCCTAGGCTAAGGCCAAGAGAGGCCAATGTCCCTGGGCCTGCTTCTAAGACTCTTTCCATGAGCATCAGGAGAACTACCACTGGGGTTGAAGGAATTGGCTCTATAATAGGGCAACTAAAAATAATTTCATGTTTTTATTTTATTTTAGTATTTTTATGTCCAGACAATTTATTAGACTTTCTTTATCTAAACCAAAGCAAAGCAGGTAAAATTGTCCTTTTATCTCTCCAAGGCTGTTTTTGGCTCTTTATTTTCCTATTTAAAATAACCTCTCACGTCTATTGTAACCACCTATATTACACAGGACCTACTTACCGTGATATCCCTACTTATACTCTCCATATTTAAATTTACATTTATTAGGGCTTTGTAATTACTAATCTCCAAATTATCACATCATTAGCAGCAGCAGTACCACTAGCAGCATAACAACTGTCATTTATTTAGTAATAACCGTGTGTCAGACCCAAGGCTAAAGACTTTCATTTTATATCATTTAACAGTGACATGTCCTATGATAGGTAATATTATCCTCATTTCACAGATGGGAAAACTGAAGCTGAAAGTCTCAGTATTTTGCACTAGGTCACACAGATAACAAGTGACAAGAGTGCAACCTCATGACACTATGCTTTGCAAATAAGGGCACTGAGGCGAAGAGAGACCAGAATCAATGTTCTGGACACAGTAAGTGACAAATTTGAAATCAGGTCTGTCTGACTAGTTAAAGAACATGTTCTTTCTATTATATATTTTCCATGCAATTTTTTTTCCTCACACCTTCTGAGGTTTAGGAAAAGGAAATAAAATTTGTGAATTA
Source organism: Homo sapiens (assembly GCF_000001405.40). NCBI lineage: Eukaryota > Metazoa > Chordata > Mammalia > Primates > Hominidae > Homo > Homo sapiens. The sequence goes on from NC_000005.10 coordinate 63,164,734, forward strand.
ATGTGTTTTGAATTATTATGGAAGATTCCCATTATAGGAATAGGCATAATTCTATCTCCAAGTCCCCATTTTTAGAAGAGACATCTCAGATATGTGCTGCTGGCTTGGCAGTGGTCTCAGGCATGTGTGGCCTGGTGATTTCTTTGCAGAACTGTCCACTTAAAAATCTCTGTTGCAAACATGGGCATATGAGATAATGCAAAGGTACTCTTACTTCGGACAGAAGCAGCTAATCACAGCTTGTTCCAGAAATCAATGTTATTGACAGATTGAGAAATTGTGAAATGAGTTTTACTGGAAAGTGTTGCAAGATCTTTATTTGACCAACTCCTAAACTCACATTTGGCTGAGTCCTGGTGGCTCAGGGAAGGAAGACAAAGAGAAAAGGGCAGACAACAGAAAGCGGCTTTTCTTTCACTGCTTTCAGCTGGAAACGTGTTAGTGCCCACGCCTGTGGTCTTGCAGGTTTGCACTCTCTTCTTTCAATGACTTTCCTGTCAAAGCTGCTTTGTTTTCAACTTAACATAATGGAACGCCAACCTAATACTTTGCCAAGCTCTCATTGATCCTTAGTGTGGAATAAATGTGAATACTGCCTCATTAATCCTCTCTCTGGTCCTTGGGGAGAAGTGGCAAGCAATATCCCATCCATTTTGCAGTGGAAGAAAGAAAGGCAAAGTAAATTGCTCACTTTACATCTGTTCCCCAGCCTTCTGGACATTTCCATCTGGATATCTTGCGGGCTTGTCAAACCCAACTTACTCCAAATTGAATGCATTCTATTCCTTCTTACAAAATATATTCCTTTCTGAGAATTGTGTCTTGGCTAATGGCACTGCCATCCACACAACTATCCTGGTAGAAGCCTCTGAGTCATCTTTGATTTCTCTCACTTTCCATATTCATTCAGTCAGGAAGTTTGTTTCCTTTTCCTCTGAAAGAGTACTCAAATCCATCCTTTGTCTCCACCTCTCCACACCATCTCTCTCGGTTCATTGTCTCATCAGCCCTCATCCAGATTAGTGGAAAAAGATTCTTACTTATATCTCCAATTCTGGTTCTGTAATTTGTCCTGTATATTGTCTTCAAATTAATCTTCCTATAAAACTGAGGTGCATTATTTCCTTCCCTGCTCAAAAAGCATTGATGTCCCCACAAGGCCAAAAAACTAGAGTCCTGATTCTTCTCAAAACAATGAGATCTTTTACAACTGGGCAGAATGCCCCTCTAAGAACTCTCTCCTGACTAGCCGCAAGGGCCAACTTGTTATTTCCCAAGTGTTTGTCCAGTGTTCATGCAGGGCTTGCCTTTATTACAGCTTATTTGTTACACAAATTTCTAGTCATTCTTTAAGACCCAGTTCTTATGCCACACCTTATTTGTTATCTTTCGGCTCATTTGTCTGCCTACTTTCTTAATTAATCATTCTTTTCGGCTTTTATAACAATTTGTTATCATTATCACAACCTGTTTTGTAGTTAGGTATCAATATTTCCCCCAAATAATTTATAAGTTCCTTAAGGAAAAATTCTGTATTTATCTATGAATTGTTAGCATGGTGCTGGGTACTTCTTAGATGCAAAATAAATGACATTAAGCAATTTATAGATAATAGCTTTTTTTAAGGAATAAGTTTTATCACATTTAATTCCCACACTAACCCTGTAAGGCAAATAATTATTACTGATCCCTAATTTACAGGTGAACCACATTGAAGTCTAAGGAATTTTAAAAACATTTCTATGACCTAACATCAGAGCCAGGACTTAAACCCAGAAACGCAGTCAGCTAGCTCTCTAATTGTAAACCTTGAATCTAGTTCACTGTGTTAAACTGCACATAAACAGAAGGAAGTTTGGAAATTTGACCTCACACAATGCCTGATTTTGATAAAACAAACTTTTCTGGTTACTAGAACATGCTAAATGTTGTTCCCATTGAGGGATTATCAATGTTCAAAGGATAAGCCACTATTAACGATTATTTTCTGCATCTGATGGTAAGAACACAAACTTGTCAGGAGCAAGGATTGTGTCATGTTCATATATGGAGCCAATGTAGCACCTATAAGGCCTTGAATGTAAACGATGTTTAGGAATTATTGATTGCATAATGGAATCTAGTCAGAGGAATTTTGGTATCTTTGGCCATTTTCTCTTCTAAGCCCCAACCTTCACAATATGTTGCCAAGTTTTCATAGAAAAAAAAAATGTATACAACTTGGTTGATTTCTAAGATAAGCCCATCCTGTGACTGGACAAGAAGCATGGAAAGGCTTTTCCTTCCCCAGATTTTCTTCCCCACTGACTGAAAATTCTCTTGTTAAAGTCATTAGTTTGTAGCCGCAAACATGGACCTCTCTCCCAGGAGGTCTTGGAGCAGACATATTTGCATTGCCCACATTTGCTTCTTAGCCGTCTTATCAGTCTAAGTATCACTTGTTTTACCTACAGCTAGTCCAAGCTATTATCCTTAATTATTTGTGCTGGATTGGCCAAGATTGCTTAGTGAAAAGACTGATTGCAGCCTCATTGGTTTTCAAATGCTTTGGCTTCTGAATAAAGGTAGGTAGAAGGACAGAGGAGAGGTTGGCAAGTTATAGCCCTACTTTGGTAGGGATGCTCAATGTGCACTCAAGCCAATGGATCCTATTAGGGTCTACCTTTCCATTATGTTAATTCCTGACATACCTCCAACATCCAGTAGTGACCCTTACATTGTCTAGTATTCTCCATCCCTCACTCAATTCTTATGTTCCGTGTTACTCACTTCCCATGCCATCTACATGGAAATTCTGTCTATTAATTTAAGAATGTCCAGCTTTGATCCCATATATATGATGCATTCTATGATTCTACCCTATAAATTCTTACTGAAACTTGTAGTGATAATAATCGATACTTAAGCACCAGGCAGTTTAAGTTCTTTAAAGAATGTTGTAGATTAATTGCAAAAACAGCTTCAATTCTTCAATATCCCCTACCCTCTCCAGGTATCCATACCTATTTATCCACCAAGGGGTGAAATTTATTTCTCTGTCTCTTGAATCTAGACTGAACTTGTATTTTACTTTGGTCAATAGAATGTGGTAAAGTTGATAACGTATCAGTTCTGAGCCTAGGCCTCAAGAGGCCTTGTGTATCTTCACTCTCTATCTTGAAACCCTTCCATTATGGGATTAAGCTTTGACTACCTGCTGAAGAATGAAATCCATGTGGAGGAGAGTCCAGCTGTCCCTCTTAAGATCTTCCCAGGTTAGTTTATACCAGCTGTACCGAAACATGCAATAGAATTGCCTGTCTGATCCACAATTGACTGAAGATGCAAAAGTGAGCCCAGCTAAGACCAATGGAAACACCTAGATATCCCATAGACTCAAACGATAAGATGCTCGTTTTTTTAAGCCACTGTATTTTGGATGGGGTGTTTCTAAGCAAGAGCTAACTCACACAGTATATTACTTAATTTAAGCCTCCTTGTACAATGATGTAAATACCATTAATATTCCTACTTACTGGCTGAGGAAATTTAGGGTTGCAAGATTAGGTTACTCATTTAAATTCTCACAGTGAGTAAGTGATAGGGGCAGGATTTGAGCCAAGATAGTCTTAGCTAGACTACAGAGTTTACATGCTTATATATTACGTTACCCAGTTTCTCTTCAGGAGCATGTAATTCACAACTTAATCCATGGGATCAATCATTAAATCTTTAGGGGAAATAATTTAGCTTATTCCCCTTAATTTCTCCATGAGGAGATGAAGACCCAGAGTTTTCTGTTTGGCCCAAGGTCACAAAGTTAAACCATAGTCTGGGTTTTTGGATTGTGTCTTAATACTCTTGATTGACTTATCTATCTTGGTCAAGAGCATTCATTTTTCTGCTGGATGACTGCAAGCTTCTTGAGGTGTAATACTTTATGTCCATCGTGGTGCCTAGCACAGTGCTGAATACGCAGAAGGTTTAGAACATATTTATTAATTGACTGTTTGGCTGAATCTGTTTATTTCTGATGTCATGGTCACTTGGGCATCAGGCATAGTGGACATGGCCAGCAACACCACCACTGGGGAAGGCTGCCAGCCAGACTTTAGTGCCATTACGAGAACTGTCTGCTCAGGCCTACACCCAAATAGAAATTCTCATTCTCTGGAATTGCTGTATTTTTCTCCTAAAAGGCACAACATCTATTGTTTACTGAATTATCAGGAATGTTTCTGTTGATATACTTAATGAAGGAAAAATAAAACCCCACATTTGGGTTTGGGAGGATAGAACTTTTCCTTCTATGAGGAAAGACCTAAGTTCGAGACTTGACTTTCTCACAGTCTGTGCTAAGATTGTCCTTCAAGCACTGAAACAGATTTAAGTAAAAAATGATTTGAGTAAATACAAGTAGCATAAAATTCAACCTGGATTCTTAAAATTTGACTATTTTTGTCTGCACTCTCTGCGAGCCTGGGGATTCAGCTTTGTGATGGAATAAGTTAAACAGATGATATGAAGAGGAGACATGCTCTGGGGAAACAAGCCTTAAATATGCATTTCTTTTCTTTTTCTTCACCTTATCCTTTACAAAATAACAAAGCAAAGAAGATTAGAGCTTTTCTTTCTATTATACAACACTTCCTCCATGAAATCTCACAGAAAGCACTCCTAGTCACTCTACAGTATAACCAAATATTTTTAATATACTTAGGGAAAAAACCCAAACCTGCTTTTTTCACATTTGCTTCTTTCTTTTGATCTGCTTCTATTTGCTGCTGTACTGTATAATATGGATGACTTAATGGCCAAGTTTTAGAGATTAGAGAGTGGAATCTAGTCAGATGATAAGATGATAGTAGAGTCTGATTTAATTTTAGGCCAAAGACATGCAAATTTTATCTTGTTTTCTTATTTGTATTTAGGAAAGTTTTAGTAGTTTAAAATACCCTTAATAATCTGAAAATGGGAATTTTTTTTTAAAAAAAGAGATAGTGTTAAACATCCAAATTTTAAATTGTTAAGATTTCAGAATAGCATAGAAGAAAGTGCTGTAGTAAACAATAAGATGGGGATGGGTAATCTAATTCCTTTTATTAGAATTCACTACAGACCGCACTTTCTTAACAGCAATGTGTTTACTTTACTAAAATGGGCTCTTTCCGTGCCTTTTATTGCTGTCCTGCCAACGGGAATCACACCAAGGCTCTGATTAGAGATCTCATACTGGCTGACATAAATAAGTGAAACTGAACCTCATTAAAATTCTCCTTCTCATTAAAGAAGAAAGTGGTTCAAATGTCGTTCTACTGTCATTGTTTTGGGTAAACAAATATAAAGGTGCTATTCTAATGAGTCGGGAACATAGTTAAAATTTTAGAGTCACACCAAATTCTGCAGCATCCTGGTTGGCTAGAAGAATGTCTGTGTCTCTGTGCATGTCTGTGTGTATGTCTTGTGTATGAATGTGTGGTGCTGAGAAGTCAACAAGGGAAGGAAAGAAAAAGACTTTTCTTCCTGCAATCTTTCTTTTTTTTTTTTCCCCACTGTTCCTAAGGTGATGATAAGTGGACAGAAGCTCTGGTGCTAGTAATTCACTGCAATCCTCCTGTACAGGGTTACCTAAAACTGTGTTTCACCTTTAGCTTCTCAGCTGTTGAGAAAAGGAATTGTTATTCTAAAAGATTACACTTAGAAAAAGATGGTGACAAAGCTGTTAGGTATAAGTAATCATAATAAAAAAGTACAATTAGTCAAACCACATATAGGAATTTTACAAAAATTCCCCAGCTGTAAAACGTAAAATTTTAGAATCTTGTGGTGGGGAAATCAGAGCATAAATACCCTGTGTTTACTCGAGAAATCCATTCATTGACCACTGAAAAGTCTGTTGTATCCTCCTGTGGACATGGGAGGGCCTCAAGTCAATACTAGCTGCTGGCCAGAGACTCAAGTTCCCTACCATATGGATCTCTTCATAGGGAAGCTCACATGGCAGCTTGCTTCCCCCAAACTGAGGGAAAGAGAAAAAAGAGAGAGAGAGCACGCGAGAGCACAAGCACAAGATGTTAGCCGGATTCTTTGTAACCTGATTTGAGAAGGGCCATCTCATGACCTTTGTTGTAGCCTATTCATTAAAAATGGGTCACTAGGTCTAGCCCGCACTCAAAAGGAGCAAATTTCATAAGGGGGCCTCTGTGGAGGCTTTTTACCACAAATTGTTTAATTTGTAAAATTGGAATTCAGCAGCTACTGGGCATTTGTCTAAAACTTTTACACATCTGTCTTAATAAAATATTGACATTTTAGTGCTCTTCCTTTATATGATACTATGTTTGTCCTTTCATTAACTATTTTGTTTTCTTAGATATTTAAGTCTTGATTCATCAATATAGGAATGTTAATAAAAATTTTTACTATTACACAGGAATTATGCTTCTGTTGTTTTAAAAGCCAAGTTATTTATAGCCTGTAATAACTAATAAATTACTCAGATTATAAAAAAGATGTAAATGGATCACTTAATTTTATAATGCAAATATAATTTCAGTACCAATTCTTAATAAAGATAAGAAAATAAAACTATAAACAAATTTAACATACACATACAGAAAAAATCCTGAATGGTAAATCAAATCCAGTAGTGTTAAAAGAGCAATGCATTAATTACTACAGATATATATACATTTTTTAACAATAGGAAATCTATCAACATAATTACATTGGTAATTGTAAAAAGAAAACCTTTATGTTCATACAAATATTTGAAGAAAGATTTCATAAACTTCAAAAACATTTTTGATCTAACGTGAAATAAGAATAAGGGAAAATAAATAAAATACATGTTTTTGCCACATACTAAAAATAAATATTATATAAAATATTAAAGCAATTTTCACTAAAATAAAAAATAAGACATCTACCAGCAGCATTATTTAATGTTGTTTTGAAATCATAGTCAATGCAATAAGTCCCCACAATAACATGCATTATAATGCTGAACAATTAAACTAATAATACCTTAGAAATATTTGACACTTTATTAAATTAGTGTAATTAATTATAGGCCAAGGAAAGTGGCTGAATATAGGCTAAATACATGATAATCTATTGCTTTCTTTTAAATTTGCAAAAAACTCACATTTGTCATGAAGGAAAAACATATGAGAGAGAAATTGAAAAGGCAAATTTCTATTTAAAATACATAATAAAATATCATTCAAGGATGTAAAACATGATAAAAACCAAATTAAGTAATATGATATATATTTAAATGGGAAGACATAATATAAAAATGTTAGTGCTTCCAAATTTACATCAATCTTAGTGCAATACCAGTCAGACTCAAAGTAGAGTTTAATTTTGGAACTGGGTAAATCTGTTTAAAAATTTTAAATTGAATAATAAATATCTAAGAATAACCAAGAATATTTTATAAACAGAATGACCAATGTGGGTTTGTCCTACCAGATGTTAAAATACATAGTCAAGTCACTGTAATAAAATATATGCTTTTGGTATTGGATTGGACACATAGACTGTTGGGGAAGAACAGAGCTTACAAATAAAGAATAGTTGGGAACTTAATATAAGACAATAGTATTCTTTCAATATATTATAATGTAATTATTTAGTAGATGATACTAACACATTTGATTTTCTATCCATAAGAAAAGAAATTTGAATGACTGTTGCACATTATTTACAAAATACATATTTCTGACAGGTTAAATATCTAAATGTGAAAAAACTGAAAATAGAGGAGACTCTTTCTATAACTTTATGGCAGGAAAGATAAAAAAGCCATCAATCAGAGACAAAAAATTTTACAACATAAATATTTGTAGAAATTGTAGGGTGGAAACTACCATAAGAAAGTAAAAATGCCAATGACAGAGAAGGAAAAATACTTGCAATTAGATGAAACAGGGTTACTATCACTAATATACAGGGGTTCTACAATTTGATAAGAAAAAGAGAACAAATAGAATTAAAAATGGGCAAAAGCTTTTTATAGAAACTTTCAAATATCAAATAAACATTGAGAAGATGACCAAACTTATTAGAAATCAGCAAGTACAAATTAAAGCAGATATAAAGTGTTTTTTTTTGTTGTTTTTACCAACAACAGTGACAAAAACGGAAAACTATATTGTAATTTCCCAAACTGGTGATTGTATAGGAAAATTGTCTCAATTATACATTGCATGGAAAAACATGACTCTTTTGCAGATTGGTTTAGGATTATCTGTAATACAATAGATGTCTTTTGTGTATATATATATATGTATGTTATATATATATAAAACATATATATATACACACAATATCTATTTTCTATCTGCTTTTCTATCTATCCATCTATCTGTCATTATCTTTAGCTACTAGAAGTAAATAGTACATAAATACTAGGCAGCTATTAATATGCAGTGACATATCTGTACATTTACATTGAAGAATGATCATGATATAATGTGAAGTGAGAGCTCCATGAATGCAGAGATCTTGTCTGTAGTGTACACAGTTATATCCTCACTGCTTGGAGTACATAATATGCCTAATTAATAATTGTTGAATGAACTTATAAATGGATTTTGTAATTTTGTAAAAAAAAATGTTCAATGGGCATGGATAAAGCTGGAACGAATTTGTGTGTGTACGTGTGTGTATGCGTTATATATACACCCATCAGCATGTTAACATTGATTAAATCAAGAGGGTGGTGTTGAAGAGGGTAAAGGGGAGGGAAGATTATTAAATTTTTCTTCATACATACATTCTCCCTACATTTTCCTATGAGAGCATTTTAGCCTTGTAATTAGTAAACATAATAGAGGAATAATTTTAAAAATGTTTACCAATAAACATCGAGAGGAGAAAATGCTTAAGGTAGATTATAAAAATGTTGGTAGAGGATTTCAACTATGTAAGATAAAAATATAACTGGTTAAAAGAGAAATAACTAAAATATTGGCAATGGTTACTAAGAGGGTGCTTATGGATTTTATTTCATTATACTTTTCTGCATATTTAAATTTTTCTGCTGTCTTATTTTTAAATAAAATTGTTATAGACATAATTTCACCTCCTTTGCCTGAGAAAACCACTTATTGTTAAGTGAGAGTATATTCTTCTTATGTGCATTAATATATTTTAACATATTTTAAACCAATACGTTTAAACATATAGTAACTTCGTGTGTGTGTCAAAGATATCATTTTACATACATCTTTCTGTAACTCGCTTTTATAATAGTAAAATAATATATTCTTTAAAATAGTATTCCATTTTATTACACATTTTTATCTCCTGTTAATACTCTTAGAATTACAATGCTTTGGCTGGGCGGGGTGGCTCACGCCTGTGAGGCAGGGGCGGGCAGATCACGAGGTCAAGAGATTGAGACCATCCTGGCCAATATAGTAAAACCCCATCTCTCCTAAAAATACAAAAATTAGCTGGGCGTGGTGGCCCATGCCTGTCGTCCCAGCTACTCAGGAGGCTGAGGCAGGAGAATCACTTGAACACAGGAGGCAGAGGTTGCAGTGAGCCAAGATCAGGCCATTGCAGTCCAGTGTGGTGACAGAGTGAGACTCCGTCTCAAAAAAGAAAAAAAAAAAAGAATTCCAATGCTTTATTGATAATAATTGCTACCATTTGCTTAGGGATTACTAATGTGTCTATCACTGGGCTAAATGCTATTTAATCATCATATAATCTAATATGAATCAGAAAATAATCTGATCAGTATTTTTTCTAATACCAAGTTTGAAGAAGAGTTGAGATTCAATAAGAATTCAATACTCAAAGGAGGAAACAGTGAAAAAAAATAGGTTTGTCTCCTGATTACAAATATCTTCTAATTCTTAGCTTTGCCCTGAGAAGTTTCAAGCTATAGTAAGATTCTAGACTCAATTGGAATGCTTTGCTTCTTAATTTTCTTTCTTTATTGAAATTCTCTCTGTATTCCTGGCTATGGAATTTACCATGCTATTTTATGCATGCTTATGTTGTCCTCAGAGCTGTTATCTAGTGATTATATACACATATAAACTTTTTCCTCAATAGACTAAGCAATTCATTAAAGATACAGCAAGTTTGCAGTAACTACTATTAACTGATTTGAACTGAAATGAATTCTAGTTGTTTACCCCTTCTGGGAAGGGCAGTCCTGTGAGATGAGAACCCTGTGAATCTAAATAGGGTGCTTATTCTTGTGGACAATAAAAGAATCGAGACCGCCTGTAATCCCAGCACTTTGGGAGGCCGAGGCGGGCGGATCACGAGGTCAGGAGATTGAGACCATCCTGGCTAACACGGTGAAACCCCGTCTCTACTAAAAATACAAAAAATTAGCCGGGCGTGGTGGCGGGCGCCTGTAGTCCCAGCTACTCGGGAGGCTGAGGCAGGTGAATGGCGTGAACCCGGGAGGCGGAGCTTGCAGTGAGCCGAGATCGCGCCACTGCACTCCAGCCTGGGCGACAGAGCGAGACTCCGTCTCAAAAAAAAAAAAAAAAAAAAAAAAAGAATCGAGACCATAGATTTTCAGTTGACCAAATGTTAGTTAATAACTTTGAGCATGTGGAATAAGGCTTAGTTATAAATGCTGTGCAACTATTAGGTTGATGTAAAAGTAATTGCTATTTATGCCATTTAATGGCAAATTGTTGATCATTAATCGCTGATCTAAATTGCAGTCTCCAAGCATTTGTAAAAATCATCTTGCTCTTAACAGCCCTTGGAAATGGACCTAACAATCCTTTCATCCTACAATAAAATGAGGTGTCCTAAAATGGAACAGGCTATCTTAGGGTGCAATGAATTTCCTTTAATTACAGGTATTTAGGTAGAAGTTAAGCATTAGGTATTCATACTTAGCACTAAGTATTAGTATTCTGCCATTTAATGGTAAAAACTGCATTAAATGGCAAAATCTGCAATTACTTTTGCACTAACCTAATAGGTTTCATAGATGAAATGTACAATCATACAAGTGTTAAATGAATGTTTTTATTGTTCAGTATTATGAGCACACCCACTATATTGCCTAGCTTCCACCTAAATACCTTCATGAGTCCAAGGGTAGCAAGGGTATTTCCAGTGCAGAGGCAATGGGCAGTGAGGCTTTTGGTTGTTACTCAGGGCTCCACCTCTGAGAAACATGGAGCCGCTCTTACGGGGGGTATTAAACTGGTCCTCACAGACTCTCCCAAGCCTGGAGACAGCAAGGGCAAGGGCTGCAAGACAGCAAAGGTGGCAACCTGCCCCTCTCACTGGGGGCTCTGTCCCAGGGAGTTGCAGAGCTGCTACTGGCTTTATAGCCAGGCGGTGGTTGGCTGGAGGCCCAGGCCCAGAGGACCCAACCAGTGAGGAAATATGGGAGTGGGCCAACACATTACAGTCTGGCCACTTCTCTGTAGGACTGCTGTGGCATGCTGGGCGTCTGCTTCTGCTTCAGTCCCTAGTCACCCCCAAGGCTGTGAAACAGCAAAGATGGCGGCCTACCCTTCTCTCTGGGAACCCCTTCCCAGGAAGGTACTGACCTGTTACCAGCCCAAACACACCTGTAGAAGGTGACTAGAGATCCCAGTTGGAAGGTCCCAACTAGTGAGGAGGAATGGGATCAAGGACCTGCTTAAAATAGTAGTCTGGTCACTTTTTTGTAGGGCTGCTGTGCTGTGGGTCCACTCCAGCCCTCAGTCGCCTCAGAATCAGTCCCAAAGCCGGAAGGCAAGAGCAGCTAAGTCAGCAAACAGCAAAAGTGGCTGCCCACCCCTCCCTCTGGGAGCTCCATCTCAGATCGGTGTAAGGCTGGTAGCCATGGCTGGTAGAGTTCCAAGCCAGTGGATCTTATCCTGCCAGGTCTGTGAAAGTGAGGCCTGCAGCCTGTCGCTGCTCAGACCCCTGAATTCAGTCCTTTTCTCAAGGGTATATACAGGGGTCTAACTTCCCACTTTTCCAGAGTTGCAGCTGCTTTTGCCTGGAAGCCTGGTCATCTAAGGCTCCCAGGGCTCTGTGTGTGTCTGAGTGGCTGTTCTTCTGAGACTCCATGTAGCTCTGCATGTCAGACCGAAGGCCCAGGTGGAGTGAGTTCCCAAGGGGATCTCCTGATCCTAGGGTTGCAAAGATCTGTGAGAGAAGTGTGGGTTCACTCACTGCTTCCCTGGGTAGGGGAGTTTTCCCTGGTTCTGTGAGGTTAGCTCCTGGGACAGTCATCTTGCCTTGCTTTTCTCCATTCTCCATGGGTTGAGTTGTTTCCTTGATTAGTCCCAATGAGTGTACCTGGATGCTTCAATTGAAGGTCCTGTATTTACTAACCCCTTTCATTCTTCTCCGTGAGAGCGACATACACTAGCTACTTCTAGTTGGTCATCTTGGCCACCACTGACAAATAGACTTTGAAGAAAATATTGAAAAGACTAGAGTTATTTGGCTCCAGACAAAGCAAGATTGAAGGGAGACAAAGACAGTCTTTAGATATTCACAATCCCTTAGCCACGTCTCCCACAAAACACTAAAAAACAAATATTTTATAATTCATTTGGTAGGAAAAACCTGACCTAAACTAAGGTGGCACTATTTATAGTCTCTATCCCACCTAATATAAATATTTATGTTTTATAGAAAAAAAAACTAGTGCATTTGATCCTGAAACATTGCTCCAGACCCTTTTGGAGACATTGAGTAATATAGAATATATGAACCATATTCCCTTTCCAGAGTTCGAAAGTTTGATAAAGTGTGAATTTTGAAACCCATTTGTCCCCAAGGATTGTAGACTGTAGTTGATTATTTCTGTGTTTAGCTTTTGTGAGGATAATCCCTTTTGCTAATGTGCCTTCTATTTCCATAAGTTTGAGATACATTGCTATTGCAAAATGGTAATTTTTAAAAGCAAATATCAGTCAGAGATTCCTCTGGAAATAATTAGAAATAACTACCTGGATGGAGAAAGGACCATTTATTTCAGCTAATAAATTAAGAACTAGGTGCAACAGGTAGGGTATAAGAAATAGAAGCTCAGTGGGATATTTCAAGAGCAGTGGTTCTAACCCAGTTTTGAATTATGGACCTTTTGGGAAATCTGATGCAAATTAAAGTTGCAAATGAATACAAGATTATGCACATATTTTCATAGTGTTCAAGATTCCTTAAACTCATATGATTAATAATTTCTGCTCTGGAAACTGATTGAATGGGTATAGGGTCAACCAAGTGAATAGGTTCCTATAGTAAGACACAGGTCAGTACCTTAGAGGTTTTGATTTTAGGAGAAATGGGATATAAACATCCCCTCTTTCCTCACATAGCTTAGAACAAAAGGAGAAAAAAGCAACAATAGCAGGCCTTCCCTTGAAGAGCACCACTTTCCCTGCTAAACTCATTACATGGTGATTTTTCCAGGCAGAAAGACATGAGGCAGAGAATTTGGAAGGGCTAAGTTGAATTTCTTCCTTTAGCTCACCAACCCATGAAATCACATCCTCCTCCAATGGAAGAGATAAAGAGGGACAGGAGAGAGTCAGATTGTTCCCTCCTGGTCAGTAGTATACATATTGTTTCTGTCCCTATGGAATGTGAGGAATAAAGAATAAGTGTTGACACTAACAAGACGCAGGGCTATTTTTGAGTTTCACCCCAATATTAGCCAACAACAGGCAGAAAAGCCAAACCTTTGTGAAAGACAGAGTGGGCTACAGTATCTACACACTAAGCATTGCTAAATCTAGGTTGTACATTTTTCATGCAGGGTGGAGAAGAGAATGGTACACAGAAAAAGTGTCATTCAGAAAACTGTGATTGGGAAAAAGGTATATTAGACTAAAAAGTTGGGGAGACAGATACTTGAGAGCTTAGTATCTCTTTCCCATGAGGATTGGCCCTTTCAGGACCATTAGAAGGAATTTCAGGAAAGGCCTCCTGACCTTCATTTTGCACAGAATGTATGAATGAAGAATTCATCATCACCCTTGAAATAACTACTCTCTTTTTACTTAGTCTCTGCTGGTCTAGGGAGCTTTCTCTCAGTTGTTAATCTTAATTTAGGGCCAAATTAGACGTTATGTTTTTTTGCACTGTCTTTAAAAAAACATTACATTCCTCTCCTTCTTTAACATTATTCCTTACACCACCATACACAGATAACTAAGTTTAACTGCTTGGGTGTATTCTTTCTTAAATTTCTCCCTGTTCATATCATCATTAATAAACTTGAGTAAAAGGACTGTGTACCATTGCTTTAAAAAACCGGAATAACATACTTCTTTGCATCTTGCTTATATCATTAAAAAATGTAGTAATCCCACTAAGTAACCTAGTACAGACCTAATATTCTTTTTCCAGCTTTTGCCACGTTCCATGGTAGAAATGTGACTACAATTTATTTAATACTCTATTGGTGAGCATTCTCTTTATTTCCAGTAATTTTGCTCTATAAACAATTATTCTTTATCTGTATACATTCGTTAAAAAACTGGCATTTCTATTTCTATAGATTTACAAAAGTTGGCCTGCTAAGTTCAAAGGATATATCTGTTTTTGTTAATATTTACCTATGTTTTGTTATACTTAAAAATGATTTATAGGTTAATTTTTTCTTAATTAGCAGGAATTCCCAAGTGAAATATCATACTTAATAAATTAGATGATTTTAATCACAATTAAATCACTTTGAGAGCTAAATTATAAACATTTCAAAAATATTGGTACAGTCTAAGCTATATTGAAAGTTGAAGTTGGGTGCATTTTACCCCGGTTTAACTTTCTTTTTCATACTGAGATATACTTTAATACTATAAATGCACATATTGATATATGTGTTTACTATACTATAAATGCACATTGATATGTGCATATGTCATACTATAGATGCACATATTTGTATACTATAAATGCACATGTTGATATGTGTATATGTTAATGACAAATAGTAATTAATACAAATATTAATGAAACAAATTTTGACATATACAGAAGTATATGTGTCTACATACCATACAGATATAGTCCATTTTCTTCATGCAAAAAAAGTTCCCCATGTAATGAGAAGTGAGAGACTGCTAGCTGGAGGGGTCATTGAATCATGGGGAATTTTATCCTTTTAAGATAAATTTAAGACTGGTTAAGGGCTAATTATAAGTCAAGAATAGAGGGATAGGCCAGGCACATTGGCTTACGCCTGTAGTCCTAGCACTTTGGGAGGCTGAGGCGGGCAGATTGCCTGAATTCAGGAGTTCGAGACCAGCCTGGGCAACACGGTGAAACCCCGTCTGTACTAAAATACAAAAAATTAGCTGGGCTTGGTGGCATGTGCTTGTAGTCCCAGCTAATCGGGAGGCTGAGGCAGGAGAATTGCTAGGGCCGGGTGCAGTGGCTCACCCCTGTAACTCCAGCACTTTGGGAGTTGGAGGTGGGTGGATTACATGAGGTCAGGAGCTGGAGACCAGCCTGGCCAACATGGCAAAACCCCATCTCTACTAAAAATACAAATATTAGCCAGGCATGGTGTTGCACACCTGTAGTCCCAGCTACTCAGGAGTCTGAGGTGGGAAAATCACTTGAGCCCAGGAGGCAGAGGTTGCAGTGAGCTGAGATTGCTCCACCGCACCCCAGCCTGGGTGACAGAGTGAGACTCCTTCTCAAAAATAAATAAATAAATAAATAAAATAAATAAATAAATACATAAATAAATAAATAAAATAGAGAAGGATAGGTTGCAAAGGTGGATGAGAGGGGAAATTTATTATGACAAATAACTGAGGAGATAGGGAGGGGCAGGATCTAGAGAGATTGGCCACAGAAAACAGAAGAACCTGTTCTCTTTTGACTAATGGAGGCAGTAGGTAAGAATATAGGTAAGTCTGTAGCTGGAGTGGCTAGAAGTTGAGGGAGTCCTATCTGATGGCCTTATTTTCTCCTGTGAAGCAGAAGGTAAGATTGTCTACTGAGAGGCATCAGACGGTGGTGGGTTAGGAAGTTAGAGAAGGGTAGCAGTTAATAATGGTTGTTGAAGAGAAGAGAGGGATGAACAGCACTGAGTTGCAAATGAGATTGAAGGTGAAGATTCTGTGGTGACATGAGCCTTCAGAGTGGTGTGATTTTCCCTGGGAACATTCAGCAGCCAGGGTTGGAATCAGAGTAGGCAGTCTAACTCATCTTGAGTTGAGTTACAGCTGTATGATTATAGCAGATTAAGATTCGCGGCAAATTCTTTGGTATGCACCCCATCTAGATGAGGTGACTATTGCTCCTTCCTTCAAATCTGGGTACATTCTATATGTGGTTTCACCACTAAACATCAGTGGAAGTGAGGTTGTGTCAGTTTCTTGACCGGGTGGTAAATTACTAGCAGTGTCTACTTCCTGTCCTTGAAATACACCTTTTGGGGGAAAGTCACTTGTTATGCAAGAAGTCTGCCATGCTGTGCATGCTGTGAGAAAGCCCAAGCCAGCCATGTGGACAAGTAACCTGAAAGAGATGTTCAAGCAGCCCATAGTTATCACAAACATCCCTTGGACCTAAAGAAGGAGGTAAAAACAGGACAGAGCTTATCAACAGAGAGTGGAAAAGAAAAGGCCTTACAGGTCTTGATGATATTTCCATTGGTGGCAAGCTGAAGAGGACCAGATGATCCCACAGACAACTCAGAATTTTATCCCCTCAAAAATCTGAGAATTTTATTCCCTCTGGGAGGAAATTTCCAGAAGACAAAGAATTATCTGTGGATATAAATACTAAGGAGGCTTAAGTTAACAAAGACATAAGATCTAACACTGAATAATTCTAGCTATTTAACTTTGCCTGTGGTCTTTTCAGTCAAGGATTTCACTTTGCCTATGGTCTTTTCAATCAAAGAAAACCTTCCTTGGGTTCAATAAACCAAATATACCTCATCACTATGGTAAAAACAAACAAACAACAAAATAAAATGCTCTGAGCAAACTCCTTCTAAGACATATTTCTACAAAGCACTTAGAAATGAACACTATGGTGGAGGCACACACAAGTGTGGAGGAAGCACCAGCAGCGGTAGCCTTGGGCCTTGTTTCCAGTGTGCCCAGGCAGCCAAGAAAGCTGCACTTTTGGATTCTGTTGATTAGAATAGATTCTCTTATCTGGAAGACCTGCCATCTGTGCTGTCACCATTGCTTGAGTTGACCAAAGAGTGGCCTTAGTCTGATCAACAACCACACCCAATTTTAATTTCTGCTTCTTAGATAATGTCTTTAAATCCTGTTTGTTTAGATTGACCCAATTCACAAATGCAAAGATGACAACATCTGTGGGAAGTAAGCATTTTCCCCTAAATACATAACAGGTTGAGTAAATATGTCCAATCAACCAAAAGCAGAATTTGCCAAAATTTTTTAATTTGATCTGGAAGGACATAAGGACAATCAAATCAGAAAATTAGTCCAGAATATGGACTTTGGAAAATATATTTTGCTCTACCTGGCAGGCTACATGGACCAAGCAGTCTGTTTGCCAAATCTTCCTTCATAATATTATTGAAGTAAATTATCATGTGATATTATTTTAAAACTGTATTTAACAACACTATGCTTAGGGCAGTGTGGAATACAAGAGTACAAGGAGGAAATGACATTGTTCCTGCCTTCAAATAATTGTGTGGCTGTATTTTAGACCCTATTCTGTGAATCTATGCTATTTCATTTGTATAATACTAGTGTGTTTTAAAAATTTTACCCCGAGTTCTATATGTGAATATTTAAGATGAGTTATAAACATTAAGGTTTTTATTTACAACCAGGTGTTATTACATATATAAGCTACAGAGATAGAGAAATAGGTAGATAGGTAGAGAAATAGACAGGTACTATATATTCTCTAGTCTTAAGATTCTGCTGACTGCAAAAGAGCTTTGTGAGCTATTCATTTTAAAATAAAGTGCATACTAGATATAGTTAATTTACTAAATATAGTTAAAAGACTTTCTTTATAAGTCCCAAGTTAGATTTTTAAAAGCAAAATGTCAGTTAGTTGACTTGTAAAAGTCCTTATTGCCTTGTAAATTGGAACAAAAACACCTTCCACATAGGGTTTGTGGTGAGAATTAAATACTACAATGTAAGTAGAATGACTGGGACCCAGAAAACACTTAGTAAATTATATCTTTGATCTGAACAGAGAATGTTTTTCAATGTGAAATATTTCTTAAACTTACTGAATATTTCTTAGGATATCATATTGGAAAAAAGATACAGTATCTTCACTTAGACATATTCATACAGTATCTTCACTTAGACATATTCGTACAGTATCTTCACTTAGACATATTCATACAGTATCTTCACTTAGACATATTCATAATTTTCACCATGTTCTTCATTCAACCCCTACCATTCCCTGCATAGGAAGCACCGTCTGAATTGAGGTTCCCATACAATCTTTTGATCACAGTGGTTTCTCTCGAGGCTGCACCTGCAATGCAGGTACTCAGTGCTGATGCTTTTCCAGCCTTCATAGCTCAGAAAATGTTTTTTGAAACCAGATCTTTTATATAATATGTGTTTTTTAGAATAAGTCCTTTAAAGGATAACAGAAAAATGCTTCTCATATATATACTGCACATAAACCAAGAACAGATTCATACACTTTGTATGTGTGAAGTTGAGTCTCTGGCACCACAAACAGAATGGTAGTCATTGCTCACTCACACTGAATGCCAGTGACATTGTGTTATGTCTAGCAGTACCCTTTGAAAATCAATCCTATGGCTCTTTCTACTTTTTTTCTGCACAAAACATCCATTAATTTTACACTGTTTTACTATCTTCTTGTCAATAGGGTGACTGAAATTTGCATTTTCTAGAAAGGGTGCAACTTTGAATGATGCTTATGTATTTTTAGTCTGTGTATGTTTGCCACAAAATTAATGGATTTGATACTGGAAAACATTCTGGGAAAAGATCAATTTGCCTGCTAGTGAGGGCACTGTGTTTTTTCTTAAAATGGTGTGTAAACTTCTGTGCCTTCATAATGCTGCTTGATAATGTTTCATACAGACAGTGCCAAACTGAAAAAGGACAAAATGGATTCCTCTACCAAATAAAATCAGATTTTCTGATATTCATCATTTCACTTTCTAGCTGTACTTTCCTTTTGTGCTTTTAGGGCTACCTGTAGGGAATTACTATAACTACAGTGTCACTAATCTCAGTATATTTAAAATTACTTTTTTTTCCCACTCTGAACTGCAGTAGTAATGCTGCTATTTCAATGAATCCTCTTTGAGACATTGACTCAGTTTTGTGAATTTGAGATATAATATAACATCATGGTGACAATGAAGCATGCAAATTAAAACACAAAATAATTAATATAGAACTGACATGATAAAAGCCTTTGGTCAAGATGAACCAGACCTCTAAAGATCTTGAAGTATCTAAAAATTGTTTAGAACTATAAATATTATAAATAACTTCATGGTATTTCTATAAAAAATAAAATTTAATTTTACATTTACATTTAAAAAATACAAGCAATTCTTTGCTATGCTTTTTCCTCCAAAACTGCCAACTTGACTGCTGATCCTTTGATAGGTCACCACATGGTCTAGGACCTCAACTGGAGGAAACTTCTGAGGTGCTGCTCTGTAATCCAGAAACACAGGAGACCAACTAATGTGGATCCTGTACACATTCAACTTTAGGAAACTGAGTATTGGTTGCTGCCTTTTACATGCTCTTAGTTTCACCAACTTTAGTGAGATCAGGGCCAAATCCGGGCCAGTATCTTGATAACATTCTTGATTGATAAGATTTGGCTCTGTGTCCCCACCAAAATCTCATGTCAAATTGCAATTCCCATGTGTCAGAAGAGGGACTTGGTCGGAGGTAATTGGATCATGGGGGTGGATTTCTCCTTTGCTGTTTTCATGACAGTGAGTGAGTTCTCATGAGATCTGATAGTTTAAAAGTGTAGCACTACCTCCATTGCTCTCTCTCTTTTGCCACCAGGTAAGACATGCTTGCTTTCTCTTTGTCTTCTGCCATGATTGTAAGATTCTTGAGGTCTCCTAGCCATGATTCCTGTTAAGCCAGCAAAACTGTGAGTCAATGAAATCTTTTTCAGTGACTCGGGTAGTTTTGAGTCTCAGGTAGTTCTTCATAGCAGTGTGAAAACAAATTAATACATAAAATTGGTAACAGGAGAGTGGAATACTATATAAAGATACCTGAAAATGTGGAAACAACTTTGGAACTGGGTAACTGGCAGAGGTTGGAAGAGTGTGGAGGGCTCAGAAGAAGACTGGAAGGTGTGGGAAAGTTTGGAACTTCCTAGAGACTTGTTTTTGACCTAGAGAATTTCCTAGAGAATGGTTTTGACCAAAATGCTGATAGTGATATGGACAATGAAGTCCAGGCTGAGGTGATCTTGAATGGAGATGAGGAACTTACTGGTAACTGGAGCAAAGGTCACTCTTGCTATGCTTTAGCAAAGACATGGGTGGCATTTTACCCCTGCCCTAGGGATCTGTGGAACTTTGAACTTGGGAAAGATGATTTAGGATATCTGGCAGAAGAAATTTCTAAGCAGCAAAGCATTCAAGATTTGACCTGGCTGTTTCTGGAAGCATACAGTCATATGAATTCACAAAGAGGTGATCTGAAATTGAAATTTGTGTTTAAAAGGGAAGCAGAGCCTAAAAGTTTGGAAAATTTATAGGCTAACCATGTTGTAGAAAAGAAAAACCCATTTTGGGGGGAAGCCATTCAAGCTTCTGGCTGAAGAAATTTGCATAAGTAAAGAGGAGGTGAATGTTAATTGCTAAGATAGTGGGGGAAATGTCTGCAGGGCATTTCAGAAATTTTCACAATAGCCCCTCCCATCATAGACCTGGAGGCCTAGAAGGGAATAATGGTTTCATGAGCTAGGTACAGGGTCCCGCTGCTCTATGCAGCCTCAGAACATGGCACCCTGAGTCCCAGCCACTCCAGCTTCAGCTGTGGCTGTTGCTTCAGAGGGTGCAAGCGTCAAGCCTTGGCAACTTCCATGTGGTGTTGGACCTGCAGGTGTACAGAAGGCAAGAGTTTGGGAACCTCTGCCTAGATTTCAGAGGATGTATGGAAACACCTGGATATCCAGGCAGAAGTCTGCTGCAGGGGTAGAGCCCTCATGGGGAACCTCGATTAGGGCAGTGCAGAGGGGAAATGTGGGGCTGGAGCCCCCACAGAGAGTCCCCACTGGGGCACTGCCTAGTGGAACTATGAGAAGAGGATCACCATCCACCAGACCTCAGAATGGTAGATCCACTCACAGCTTGCAATGATGCACCAGGAAAAGTGGCAGGCATTCAATGCCAGCCTGTGAAAGCAGCTGTGGGGCTGTACACTGCAGAGCCATGGGGGCAGAGCTGCCCAAGGGCTGGGGAGCCCATCTCTTGCATCAGTGTGCCCTGGGGTGGGGGTGAGAGGAGATTATTTTGGAGCTTTAAGATTTAATGACTGCCCTGCTGGGTTTTAAACTTGCATGGCACCTGTAGCCCCGTTGTTTTAGCCAATTCTCCCATTTGGGACATGAGATTTGGGAGGGCCCGGGGTGAAATGATATGGTCTAGCTCTGTGTCCCCACCGAAATCTCATGTCAAATTGTAATCCCCAAATGTCAGGGAAGGGACCTGGTAGGAGGTGACTGGATCATGGGGGTGGATTTCTTCCATGCTCTTCTCACGATAGTGAGTAAGTTCTCACAAGATCTGATCATTTGAAACTGTGGTGCTTTCCGCCTTGTGCTCTCTCTCATGTTCCACCATGGTAACACGTGCTTGCTTCCCCTTCACCTTCTGCCATGATCGTAAGTTTCCTGAGGCCTCCTAGCCATGCTTCCTATTAAGCCTGAAAAATTGTGAGTCAATGAAGGCTCTTTTCTTTGTAAATTACCCATTCTCAAGTAGTTCTTTATAGCAGTGTGAAAACAAACTAATACATTGGTACTATATATACTAGATAATATATGAAAGTGGGAACATTTTTTTTCCTTTGAGACTGAAAAAAATGTTTAAAATGCTGTTAACAGTTTTTGAAATAAAAAAAGTGTTTAAAAAATCACCTACTGTCCAAAATTCCTGATAAACCCTATTGATACTTTTTTTTTAAAAAAAGGCTTAAATGCTAATGTTTATATGATGTTTATCAAATATAAAGCAAAGTCGAGAGTTCCTAATCTTTCATTTTCAGCCTTTCTTGTGAGTGTGACCACAGTGAAGTTACTTATGCCTATCCATTTATTTTTCATGTATAAAAGGACAATATACAAACTATAGTGTATATTCATTCTTATTTAATAGTATAACATTGAGGATCTTTTTATGTCACACTTTAACAATTTTAATAGCCACACAGAATTTTACTGTCAGGGTCCTTGTTCCTTTTCTTCCCTCTCCTTCCCTTTCTTCCTTTCCTCCTTTCTCTTTTTCCACCCTTCTTTTCCTGTTTGTATTAGTAAGTTTTTGTGACACTATAAAGAGATACCTGAAGCTGGGTAGTTTATAAAGAAAGGAGGTTTAATTGGCTCATGGTTCTACAGGGTTTACAGGAAGGTTGGTGCCAGCATCTGCTTCTGGTGAGGCTTCAGGAAGCTTGCAATCATGGCAGAAGGTGAAGGGGAAGCCAGCATGTCACATGGGGAAAGCAGGAGCAAGGGAGAGAGTGGGGAAGTGCCTCACCCTTTTAAGCAAGCAAACTCAGGTGAACTCAAATGAGAGCTCACTGATCACCAAGGGGATGGCACCCAGCCATTTATAAGAGATCCACTCCCATGATCCAAATACCTCTCACCAGGCCCCACCTCCAACACTGGGAATTACATTTCAACATAAGATTAAGAGGGGACAAACATTTAAACTATATCACTGTTTTTTATCTCCCACCCTTTCCCCTTTGTTTTTGGAATAAGTGCACATAGGACTTGAGGCTTGGAATGGCATAAATGGAAAGTGCTTTTCCTTCCCATCCTCGTCTCTCCTCAGATATCACTCTTCTTTTCAGTTTCCAGAGATTGCAATAGACATATTCCAGTTACCAAACACACACACACACACACACACACACACACACACACACACACACACACACACACTAAATGAAATATCAATTTTATGTTTATGGATACTTTGCAGATACTGCAGAATTGCCTTTCATTGAGATATGGCAATGCTTGTTCTCTCATACAATTCCTAATGCTGTGTGACCAAACTTTTTTGTTTTTTTCAATCTGATGATTGAAAGATAGCACCTCATTACAAAGTGAATTCATACTTTCTAAACTATAAGTAAGATTAAGCATCTTTTTTAAAGTATTCATATCCACTTATATTTTCATTTCTATGATCTACTTGAAAACTTTTATTTCCTATTGTATTTTAGTCTTCTTTTAATAATTTCAAGGAATTCTACCCTTCATCTATCATGTGCGTTGAAATAACTTTGCTCCATTTACAATTGCCCTTTTGATTTATCTTTGTTGTATTGCATTAACTTTAATTTAGATATTTTCTCCTTTTAATAATCCTTCTAAATGATTGTTATGTGTATACAGGAAATATAGTGATTTAGTTTAATTACTTTCAAAATAAGTCACTTTCCAATACTTTGACTTTTAATGTTTTCAGAGTCACTTTACTCAAGAAGAGTCTATTAAAACAACATTATTTGGAGTTATGGTTTTCAATCCAATCTGGCTTTTTATTTATTTGCTTATGCATTATACTTATTGATATGACAGATATTTCTGGTTTCAGTTTATTACATTATTTTGCTTTTGCTTTCTGTTTGTAATGTTCCTTTTGTAATTTTATGTTTTACTATATAACACACACACATATATACAACTGTATATACAATGTATTGCTTGTATATATTCCTTTTGATAACTTTGTAGTTGTTACATCTATTTTTAGTTTTCCTAATGATAAAATATACACATATATAATTATATTGTATACTTAATTCTCCATTTATTTAGAAAAATCTGTTTTTCCACTAAGCGTAATTGCAAAATTACTATATTTCCTCACACCTCACCTGCCTTCCCTCTCCCCACTTTAAGCCACATCATCTTATTTTCATTTTGAATGAAATATCTGAGGATATACTTATGCCTCAATCACTTGATTTAAATAATGATTTTTGTCCTCAGGATGAGAAAGTAGGAAGACTTAACTAACCTCCTAACTCCACTCCACCTTTGTCAATATTTATATGAATATTTGCAATAGTTTTTAATGTTTTGGTTGTGTTCTTCATCTGTAATTTACCCAATTATTGTAGCCCTTATTTATCCCCTAACTACAGTAGTGTCTATGACACTTATTGTTGATTCTAGGAAATCTTTACTTTTTTGTTGGATTCACACTTTTTTTCTTCTTTCCTGACCTCTTCATCAAAGTAATGTTTTGTCTCTACTTTGTGTTGCTATTTTTTCATTCAATACTTGAACTCACTGCTTAAAAATTTGCCCACTTATGTCCTGAAGAAAGAACTTCACAATGGTCTTTTATTGGGTCTCTTTGTTTCCTTTCTTTCTTTCTTTTTTTGTCTAAGGCATTCAATAGACAACATCTTTCTTTCTTACCTAGTTCGGAAATAATTCAATAATAAAATGGAGAGTGAGGCATTTAGAATTCAAAATATCACTTTTTATTGATAAAAGTGAGAGGAAAATGAGACATATCTATTGGCAAGCACACTTTTAGTATAAAACCACCCAGTACCGTTACTCTGCAGCAGACCTTAGAACAGACCTACAGCATGGGGAAGGGATGAGAAATGTCCTCCTTACACAACTCACTTCTCAGTTGCCCATCTTCATTTTAAAACCTATCAATCTGACGAAGTCACTCCTCTTCCTCTAGGGAGTAACATGTGAGGGTGTGGAGAGAGCTAGGAACTTCCACCACAAAGAGAAGCATGAGGAGTGAAGGAGAAATGTTCCCCCAGCCCATTACTAATATTTGCCAAATCTTTTTCTTTCCTTTTTCTTTAGTAGTCTTATACATCTTGTACTTATTCTTTTGACTTATTGATCATCTTTGAATGAGCCAAGTTCTTCCTGAGATGAGCTAGCTGATAGTGAAGGAAAGGAGGAAAGAGTAAACTCAGAGGTAGATAGAAATCTGCCTGGCTTACAGGGAAGCCTCTTATTAGATTTTTCCTCTGCAGTGTATACGCTGCTAGCAAGTTTAGCCCTTCCTTTTCTTTTATTAATATTTTATTTATTTATTTATTTATTTATTTATTTATTTATTTATTTATTTATTTTTTGAGACAGAGTTTTGCTCTTTCGCCCAGGCTGGAGTGAAGTGGCACGATTTCGGCTCACTGTAACCTCGGTCCCCCAGATTCAAGTGATTCTCCTGCCTCAGCCTCCCGAGTAGCTGGGATTACAGAGGCCTGCCACCACACCCTGCTAACTTTTGTATTTTTAGTAGAGATGGGGTTTTACCATGTTGGCCAGGCTGGTCCCAAACTCTTGACCTCAGGTGATCCACCCACCTTGGCCTCCCAAATTGCTAGGATTACAAGCGTGAACCACCGCGCCCGGCATATTGCTGCAAGATTCTCGCTCAGAGTCTTCTCTGCCTTGTGTGTGGTGTGGTTATAAAGGTCTTCAGCATGACCCTCTGTGGCATTTAGTGTTGTTCCACACAAAGAGAAAGATCCTACAGCAGCCCATATGTCCTACTCTTGTTGCAGACGAGGAATTATTTTGTCAAGAGGTTATGAATTTTCCCTCATGCTTTGTCACTAACTTTGAAAAACTTACTAATCTGAGGGGTTTAGCAGGAGCTCTTCAGTCTCAGCCTCCCCTCTCAGTATCTCTCTCGTTCTGGCAAGTATTCAGTACAATTGGGAGTCATATCTATACACACGCAAAGTTAGAGTAATATTTGTTTGTTTATTTTATCAAAGATCTAGTTTATTTTCAGGTTTCTTACAGAAGCTTTTTTTTGAGCTTTTTCAAAATGGGAAAAGGGGAACGATGTAAAGCAGGCAAAGATGTATATTTTCCATCTCTAATAATCTGAAAACTTATTTTTTGGAATAAAAATACAATGCATGATTAAAGGATACCCACTTATAAGGGTAGAATTTCATACATATTTCATAGTTTTAAGGGTTCATTAAGACTTTAAAATCTCTATTTGGTATCAATTTTTCTCTTGCCAATCTGCGCTGTGTGTATGTGTGTGCATGTGTACATTGGTGGGTATTTATTTGTAAAAATGTATAAAGTATTTCAAAAGAAAGTGTGAAAAATAAAAGAAAAAAATCCTTACTAATCTTATTTATCTAACATTATTACTTTTCTATAGATAATATCTCACTTTTTAAGTAGTCTTCTACTGTTTTCTCAATCATTTTTTATGTGTTATGAGCATATGGTTTTGTATTCTTTTTATAAAACTTGTATTTTTAATGGCCAGAATAACTTAACATCTAGTAGATATAATATTAAATTCTTGGTTTCTTTTTACTTAAAAATTTCGATTCTTTAAAACTTTTGCACTACAAATAAACTTATAATAGAAAACTTTTGTCTTATCACTGCAAAGCTTGACCACTGGCTTTTCTGGAGTCTGGCTTGGGTCGGGAGAGATACCTGGCCAATGAAACAAATTAGCAATGACTGGTTGTCCACCAAACATTGATACTTCCATTTTGTAATGTGGAGTTGCTGCTGCAAAGTTGCTGTCTGGCTAGGAATTCCGTTTCTCAACCTCTCCTCCTTCTCCTTGTATCTAGATGGTATAATGAGACTACTTCATGGAACTGTTATATGAGAATAACTACTGTGTGTTACTTAAGGCTGTGTGCTTAAGAAGTGAGGGAAGCTTTCCATTCTTTGTCCCTTCCCTCCTCTTTCGGATGGATTTCTACTTGCAAAACAACTTTCAAGGCTACATGTAAGCAAAGTGAAACCTCCGTAAGACTGGGCTGCTGAATAATTGTGGGGAACAGAGGTTGCCCTCTCTCAAGCCTGTTCTCTGTTGTGTGGACTTTATGTAAATAAGAAATAATACAAATTTGTAATGTTAAGGATGTTCGTGTCATAGTTTTCTTTTCCTGGATATATAAGAAGAGTGAATTTCCAAGCCTGCATGTGATTAGATTGGGACCAAGTGACTAAGCAATAAAAGGAATTTTGATGAGCAAGAGTGATGTGTTGCATGAGGTCAGGACAATGCTTTCTGTGCTCTCCTTTCACACCTGTAGTTGGAAGAGAAGAATCCTCAATGATGGAGTTGCAAAATGGAAGTAGCCAGGCTGCTAAGTTAAATCTGAGAGAAAATCCACCAAGGAGAGCTGCATGAGATTTATCAGACCATAATGTGAAGAAAAAATAAATGTTTGTTGGGTTAAGCCACTGAGGTTTCAAGGTTTGACTGTTGCAGCTGTTGAAGTCACTGTCTTGACACACAGAGTTAACCAATATAATTGCCAAATGCAATGTGTGAAACTTGCTGAACTCATGATAATAAGACATTATCTTTTACTTCCTCTTGGTAGATTATTTCTCTAATTTCATTAAAGACACACACACATATGCACATATATATATATACACATAGACAGTATTAGTTTGTTTTGCATTACTATAAAGAAATATCTAAGACTGGGTATATAAAGAAAAAGGGTTTATTTGGCTCACATTTCTGCAGGCTGTACAGGCATTGCAACAGCATCTGCCTGGCTTCTGGTGAGGCCTCAGGAAGATTTTACTCATGGTGGAAAGTGAAGGAGGAGCAGGCATGTCACATGGTAAGAGACGGAACAAGAGAGATGCCAGGTTCTTTTAAACAACCAGTTCTTGGGTGAACTAACAGAGCAAGAACTTATTACCATGGGGAGGGCACCAAGCCATTCATGAGGGATCCATCACCATGACCCAAACACCTCCCACGTTCATTGGGGATCACATTTCAACATGAGATTTGGAGGGGGTAAACATCCAAACTATATCATACTCCAAGGAGTTGAAGAATGGAGAGTTTTTGAGTCATTCTTCAATTGCTTTGACATTATCCTCAAGCACAGAAACCACATTACGTTTGAAGAATGTGCACATACAATCAATGAATGTGTCAGGAAAAAAAGATGAACATCACAAATAGGTCACTGGAATAGTACTGTTGGTGTTCATACCTACTGGGTATAGAGATAAATTATAGACCATGTCTTTGTATGTATATGTGATTTAGTACACAAAGATACTTATTTTTGATACAATAATTGTGTAAGACCTGCAGGAGGGAAGATGGCAGGTTAAAGGCATTGATACCATACCTCTCCCACTTGGAAGGACAAAATAGGGTGAACAGATTCACATAGTAAACTGTATTTCAAGAATTGACACAGAATTGAACAGGAAAACCAAAGAAATCTATGGACTCTTTGAAGAAAGCAGGAGGCTGCTCCCTATTGGGTTGCTGCTTGCCCTGCACATGGAGACCCAGAGTACACACCTGCCGGACCCAGTCCCCTCATGGCTTTGCCCTGCTACCTGCTCTGGTTCTGGTAGCTTAACACAAAAGACAGTATATCTTGGGAGATACATGGCCCTGACCATTGCCTGAGAAACTAGGTACCCACCCTGGGCAACATAAGGTAAGTAAAAATCTCACTGCTACTACCATAGCTGGTGCTCTTTTGCAAGCACCACATCCTGACTGGAGGCCAACCAACTTAGTTCATTACAGTATATCCTGGAGAATAACACTGTGCCGAGGAAGGAGAAAATGGCTGTGTGATCTCAGATATCATTACTGCCTGAAGCAGTCTGGCTAACCAGGAGATCCTGAGTCTGTCCAGGTGATTAGTTCATTACTTTTATAACTGGTATTCAAGAAAGCCAACACACCAAGGTTATCAGTAACCAGGGAATTTCACAGGGTCTGTGTCACTCCCCTGCCACCCCCATTAGAGCTGGCACTGGCACCCACTTCTAGGAAACTTGAGGACAGGTCACATCACTGGATCCCTTACAGACATTTCCCAACACCAGCCTGGAGTGGATGGCTAGACTCAGAGGAGCAACAACACTCATAGCAGTATGGCTTCCAGGGATCCCCACTCCTAGTGGAAGAGTGAGTATACCATATCAAGGGAACACCTTGTGGAACAAAAGAATCTGGACAACAGGTCTTGAGCACCAGATCCTTCCATTGTGGAAAGCTTCTTTCAGCAGAGGCACAACATAAATGCTGGGTTCAGCAGGGAAAATCTTCAGCCCTATCCCAACAGTCAGCTAGCCCTGGTGCATGAGAAGGGACTTGGAAAAGAGGAAGTCTTTCTCCCCCTGCCCACTACCATAGACACAGCTGGGGCTTCTTCCATGGGAGTTTGGCATGGGTGCAACTATAGACAGCCTTTCTGGAACATGTTAGGGTGACTGCACCCCCGCAGCAGGAGCACCCTCTAGATTTAGGTTTGCGTGAGAGACAGAGTCACAATTCCTCTCTGTTTGGAACATCAACATTCCTGCAGATGAAAAGAGGTGTCTGTCTTATCTGAATAGCTGGAGTGCTGGGTCAGAAGTGTGTCTGAGAGGTGGATAACATTCCTGCTGACTTGGCAGGGGAGCTATGGTGGCTCCGACCTTTCCCCCAGATAAGACCTCTTAAAACTCATTGAGAGCTCCTCTAGCTGCCTCTATCAAGGCTAGGCCTTCATTTATTCACCTGCTTTAGCCACAGCAGGTTCCTACTGAGGGATACCTCTCCCACTGGCCTGAAGCCTGAACCATCAAACCAGTACATAAAATACTTGGGAAGAGAAATAAATAAGAAAGTGCATGCCATGGGAGAATGAGTTGTTTTAAGAGACTTCTACCATTCCAACACCACAAGAGATAGTGAACTTGTTCACACAGAGTACATTGCTACTACAACCAGCATATGAGAAAGCCATCATACAAAGACTCTCTATAACCAAAGAACTCTTACAGAGCCTTCTCCTTTGAAAGCACCAAGAACCAAATTAGGCTATAATTAGTTGTAAGCATTAAATTCTCATCCTTAGGGGCAAAAAAGAAATGTAAAAACAAAAGAAACAGAGTCAAATCAAACATAAATTTAAGAATAATTAGGAGAAATAGTCTATCCAAATGAAAAGGAACCAGAAAAATAACTCTGGTAATATAAAAAACAGGGTGCTATAACTCCAATAAGATCACATTAGCACTCCAGCCATGAACCCAAACTAAGATGAAATCTTTGAAATACCAGATAAAGAATTTAGAAGATCAATTATTAAGCTACTCAAGGAGATAGCAGGCAAAGGTGAAAACCATCATAAAGAAGTTTAAAAGCAGTTCAGGATATGAATGAAAAAATGTCTAGAGATAGATATCAAGAAAAACCAATCAGAACTTCTGGAAATAAGACACACTGAGGGAATTATAAAATGCAGTGGAAAGTTTTAACAATAGACTAAAATAAGTAGAAGAAAGAATTTCAGAGCTGGAAGACAAGGCTTTTGAATTAGCCAAAACAGAAAAAAAATAAATAAGAATCAAAAGAAACAAACAAAGACTCCAAGAAATATGGGATTATGTAAAATGGTCAAACCTAAGAATAACTGGTGACAAAGTGTGACTCCGTCTAAAAAAAAAAAAAAAAAAAACAGGCCCAGGACCAGATGGATTCACTGCTGAATTCTGCCAGATATTCAGAGAAGAACTGGTGTCAATCCCACTGAAACTGTTTGAAAAGATTAAGAAAAGAGTGCTCCCTAAATCATTCTATGAAGCTAGTATCACCCTCATACCAAAACCAGGAAAGGACACAAGAAAAAAAAAACTGTTGCGGGAAGTCAGGGACCCCAAATGGAGGGACCCGCTGAAGCCATTAATACTTTCATAATTTCTTATGCCTGTCTTTACTGCAGTCTCTAAACATGAATTGTAAAGATTTCATGGACACTTATCACTTCCCCAATCAATACCCTTGTGATTTCCTATGCCTGTCTTTACTTTAATGTCTTAAGCCTGTCAGCTGAGGAGGATGTATGTCGCCTCAGGACCATGTGATGATTGCATTAACTGCACAAATTGTACAGCATGTGTGTTTGAGCAATATGAAATGTGGGCACCTTGAAAAAAGAACTGGATAACAGCAATTGTTCAGGGAATAAGAGAGATAACCTTAAACTCTGACCACCGGTGAGCAGGGCGGAACAGAGCCATATTTCTCTTCTTTCAAAAAACTACACACCAATTTCTCTGATAAACATAGAAGCAAAACTTCTTAACAAAATATTAGCTAAGTGAATCCAAAAGCACATCAGAAAGATAATTCATCATGATCAAGTGGGTTTTATCCAAGGGATGCAGGGATGGTTTAACATATGCAAGTCAATAAATGTGGTAAGCCACATAAACAGAATTATAAACAAAAACCATATGATCATCTCAACAGATGCAGAAAAAGCATTTGACAAAACCCAGCACTGCTTTGTGATAAAAACTCTGAAAAAGCTAGGCATAGAAGGGACTACCTCAAAATATTAAAAGCCACATATGACAAACCGACAGCCAATATTATACTGAATTGGGAAAAGTTGAAAGCATATCTTCCAAGAACAAGCCAAGGATGCCCACTTTCACCACTCCTATTCAACATAGTTCTGGAAGCCCTAGCCACAGCAGTTAAGCATGAGAAATAAATAAAGGGAATCCAAAATGGAAAAGAGGAGGTCAAACTCTTGCTGTTTGCAAATGATATGATTGTATACCTAGAAAATCCTAAAGACTCCTCCAAAAGACTCTTAGATTTGATAAATTAATTCAGTTAAGTCTTAGGTTACAAAATCATTGTACACAAATCAGTAACACTGCTATACACCAACAATGACCAAGCTGAGAATCAAATAAAGAATTCAATCCCTTTTACAACAGCTGCAAAAAATAGTAATAATAAAATACCTAGGAATATACTTAACCAAGGAGGTAAAAGATCTCTATGAGAACTACACAACACTGCTGAAAGAAATCAGAGATAACACAAACAAATGAAAACATATATCATGCTCATGCATTGGAAGAATCAATATTGAGAAAAGGAACATACTACTCAAAGCAATCTAGAGATTTAATTCAATTCCCATCAAAATACCAACATCAGTTTTCACAGAATTAGAAAAAACAATCCTAAAATCCATATGGAATCAAAAAAGAGCCCAAATAGTCAACACAAACCTGAGCTAAAAGAAAAAATCTGGAGGCATCACATTACCAGATTTCAAATTATGCTATAAGGCTATAGTTACCAAAACAGAATCATACTGGTATAAAAGTAGGCACATAGACCAATGGAACATAATAGAGAATCCAGAAAAGAGGCCAAATATGTATAGCCAACTGATCTTCAACAAAGCATACAAAAACGTAAATTGGGGAATGGGCACCCTATTTAATAAATGGTCCTGGGAAAACTAGTAAGCCACATGTAGAAGAATGAAACTGTATCCCAATCTCTCACTATATACAAAAATCAACTCAAGATGGATCAAAGACTTAAATCTAAGACCTGAAACCATAAAAATTCTAGAAGACAACATTGGAAAAATTATTCTACATTTGCCTAGGCAAATAATTCATGACTAAGACCCCAAAAGCAAATGCAACAAGAACACAAATAAATAAATGGGACCTAATTAAACAAAAAAGCTTCTGCACAGCAAAATAAATAATAAACAGACAACCCACAGAATGGGTGAAAGTATTTGCAAACTACACATCCAGCAAAGGACTAGTATCCAGAATCTACAGAGAACGCAAATCACCAAGGGAAAACAACAACAACAACAACAACTAATCCCATTAAAAAGTTGGCAAAGGACATGAATGACATTTCTCAGAAGAAGATATACAAATGGCCAAGAAACATATAAAAATATGCTCAACATCACTAATCATCAGGGAAATGCATTTTTTTGTTTTTGTTTTTGAGACAGAGTCTCTGTCACCCAGGCTGGAGTGTAGTGGCATGATCTTGGCTCACTGCAACCTCCGCATCCCGGGTTCAAGTGATTCTCCTGCCTCAGCCTCCCAAGTAGTTTGGATTACAGGCATGTGCCACCACACCTGGCTAATTTTTGTATTTTTAGTAGAGATGGAGTTTCACGATGTTGGCCTGGCTGGTCTCGAACTCCTGACCTCAAGTGATCTGCCCACCTCCCAAAGTGTTGGGATTACGGGCGTGAGCCACTGCGCCTGGCAGGGAAATGTAATTTAAAACCACAATGAGATACCACTTTATTCCTTCAGAATGGCCATTATTAAAAAGTCAAAAAATAATAGATGTTGGCATGGATATCGGGAAAAGGGCACTTGTACATTGCTGGTGGGAATGTAAATGAATACACCCTCTGTATAAAACAGTATAGAGATTCCTTAAAGAGCTAAAAGTAGATCTACAATTAGATCCAGGAATCCCACTGTTGGGTATCCACCCAAAGGAAAAAGAGTCATTATATGAAAAAGATACTTGCACACATATGTTTATAGCAGGCAATTCACAATTGTAAAGATGTGGAACCAACCTAAGTGTCCATAGAATAATCTCTTCACATAGAATAATCTCTAATCTAATTATTCTATGTGAAGTAATTTTTCACATAGAATAATCTCTAATCTAATTATTTTATGTGAAGTAACACAGGAGTGGAAAACCAAAACCAATATGTTCTCACTTACAAGTAGGAGCTAAGCTATGAGTAAACAAAGGCATATAGACTGATATAATAGATTTTAGAGACTCAGAAGGGGGAGAGTGAGAGAGGGATAGGGATAAAAAAACCCCAATAAATTAGGTGCAATGTACACTACTTGGGTGTTGAGTGCACTAAAATCTCAGAATTCACCACTAATTCATCCATGTAACAAAAAACATTTGTAGCCTAAAAGCTATTGACATAAAACATTTAAAAACCTACACAAGGGCTACTATTCATTACTAGGGGAAAAGTATGTAAATATGAAGAATGGGTAAATATGTTCATTTATTCATTTGGGAGATTGTTTGCTGTTTGGCTGTAAACACAAGGTAAGTCTCCTGTGGTAGGTCCAGGTAAGATCTGCTGTATTCTATCCTTACAGACCACAAATGTCTTATAAAGTTACATTATGATTATACATGTGCAAAGCCCAGTTGTTACAAACTTATGGAAGTTTTGCAAGATAGCATTGATGGGGTTGATAGAAAACATGTCAGAAAACAAAATGTTACATCCTTGTATGCGACTTGCTAATGTCAGTCTTTCCAACTATACAAGGTAGTTAAGTAGGCTGTTCAGAGTTATGTGGTTGGGGACATATGAAACTTGGCATAGACAGGCAAAACCTCAGGGATCATACATGAGGAATTAAGTAGACTTGAAAAACTGTGCTCACGAAATTCCCCTATCTGCTATTTCCTAGTATAAATTTTTGAGAATAAATAATTTGTACTTATCACAGTAAACTAACACTTCCATTGTTTGTTTGTATGTGCATGTGTGTTAAAGTACTTATTTTTCATGTATATATATATTTTTATTATACTTTAAGTTCTAGGGTACATGTGCACAACGTGCAGGTTTGTTACCTATGTATACATGTGTCATGTTGGTGTGCCGCACCCATTAACTTGTCATTTACATTAGGTGTATATCCTAATGCTATCCCTCCCCCATCTTTAAGCTCTCTATCCATTTTTAGGCAGGATTATCCTTTCCCCATCTTGCTATTATTCATTGATAGCTGGGTTCTTAGAAGCAAACTACACATAAATGGATGGATCTTGTTGGCTCATAGGAGAAGTAAATCTGTGTCTTTCATCCTCTTTGGACCAGTGGGGAGGACATGTCCTGTTCTTCCCATGACAATGACAGAGGCACAAGAGGGAGCACTTCTTAACTGCTCAAGCACATTTCATGCTCTTGCTTGGCTTGTGTCTATTAACCAGTTGGCCAAAAAAAATCACATGACAAAACCAAAGCGAAAGGCTGGGAAATGCCACATGCACATCCAGGGCAGAAGGTATGGTCAGAAAAGACTTGAGAAGACCCAAACATTTCACCTCTGACTCATCCCTGGGTTCAGTGCAAGCAGGAATCAAAGGCTAAGGCAGGGTTGTAAATAGCCTAATTAAATATTGAAGGAGGGAACCAGTGTAGAGCAAATCTGCAAAAACTGGGAGAGCGTTTCTTTTTCTTTCTTTATTCCTTCTTTTCTTTTCCTTCTCCTCCACCTTCCCTCCACCTTCTACTTTTCTTCTCTGTCCTTTCAACTGGCTTCTGGCATTCTGGAGTTCAAGAAAATCTGTCAAAACAATAGCTAAATCCAAACTAAAGGGGCAGAGACTTCAGACTCCACATATTACAAAGAATACAGACTTCACAAAAAATAGTTTAGAAAAGTCATTAAACAAATAGCTAGTGCCTACAATAAACTACAAAAGGCTCTGAGGAAGGGGATGAATGAGATTTCTAGAATTGCCACATTATAATATTCAAAATGTCCATTTTTTTCAAGGGCATTAGGCTGAGCAAAAAAAGCCATTCTTAAATGGTCACATGCTGTATAACTCAATTTGTTAACCTTCTTAATGTCACAAAATTATAGAGATGGAGAACAAATTAATTGCTGGTAGGTGTTAGGGATGGTGGGGAGGAAGGGAATAGGTGTGTGCTACATCTCAGGGAAGCATCTGGAAGATCTTTCAGCTCTGTATCTTGATTGTGATGGTGGCAATATGAATCGACATACATGATAATGTGATGTGAAAATATACACACACATTAGACCAGTATCAGTTTTCTTGCTTTGATATTGTACTATCATTCTATAAGAAATAATCATTGGGACATGACAGGTGAAGAGTATATGGGAACTGTCTGTGCTATCTTTGCAACTTTCTGTGAATCCGTAATTAGTTCAAAATAAAAATAAATGTTTTTTAAAAATGGAAACTTAAAACATTATATTTTATAATTAGATATTAATGAGTTATAGGAAAGCTATTGATTTTGGGATTAACATCTATATCCAGCCTTTTAAAGAAATTTTAACTAGCACTGATTTGTTTTTTTCTTTTTCATTGTATAACCCATTACTTCAAAAAAGATAGTTTTTAACTTTTCCTTTCTGATATTAATCCCTGGTTAATTTCTCTTTTATTTTCTTGCTGAATTGTTTTGACATTAAGCGCGATAATGAAAAATAAAAGTAGTAGCAGACATTCTTGGGTTTTTTCCCCTGGTTTTAAAAAGAATTTCTTTTCATTTTCATACTTACCGCTAAGTATGATGCCTACTATAGGGATCTTCTAGATTCTCTTTATTTTGTTAAAAAAATTATTTCTATTCTTGATTATATTTGTGTTTACACCTTATATATACTATCTTTTGAAATTTTATATGTCGATATTTTATGTGGTCCATTTTATGTACTATGACTTTTAAGTCCTAAACTTCCTAAATAAGTTTCTAATGATAGTAGATTAGATATATTTGCCCATTAGTATTATTTTTTATGCTTTCTAAATTAAGGCAAAAGCACACAGAAGGGTAGGTTCAGAGTGATGAATAGGTAAATATGACTTTGTTTCCAAATCTGTCAAGGAAATTCCACATTGGTATCTTGTAGCTGTAATCAGGTTTATTTTATGAGAATCACATTAACTTTTCTAGCGTCTCCTGTGAAATAAAGAATCTGTTGTCTTGAGTTTTCAACCTATTTTTATTGCTAATTTAAGTAAATCAATTAAGATCTTGAGACCTTGGTTTGGCCTTGTATACAGTGGGGGACAATTTTACCTTTCTTTACCCATCTCATAGGGCTATTAGGAAAATAAAGTCATAATAGTAAGAAAAGGAAAGTTATTTATAGATAAAATATATTATTCTTGTTACTTTTATCATTATTAGATTAAATCTCAGAGAATGAGTAATTCTGGTTTTCAGTCTTGTTTATTCCTTTTATAGCTGAGTACACACAGTCTTTGAGGGTTTATGTCATTGTATAGATAACCAAACAAAAATGGATAATTTTTACTCAATTTAAATATATATGACCTCTGTCCCCATTGTTTCCCATCTTTCTGATATTATCTATTAGGCTACCTTGCTTTGGCCCTTCCAAGTGTCCTCTCAGAACCTTTTTGCATCTAATAAGTTTTCCAGAGATGAGTCACAAATTACATTGTCTAAGAGAGTCAGCTAACCTGATTTAAGACCTCATTGAGTCTTATATAGATATTATCTTCTATGATTAGCTCTCTTCATTAGTGCTGATAGCCTGTTCTGCTTGAACAGTTGCATAAGTTGGTTTCGCAACCTCAGCTGGTTAGAGTTGCTATAAAACTGAGTTTTTAGACGTTTATATTGATAACTTATATAGATGACACTTATATTGATGATTATATAAAACTCGGCTTGCTTTGATACTACCTAAAATTTATATACTATAGGGAGGCCTCTGGCCAGGGGAAATATTTTACTCTATTGACATTATCTCTTCTGTACTAGTGGTTCAACCCATATTTTTTATTTTTCTTTCAGTTCCATGCCAAAGTCAAGTTGCAATATACTGCTTAGTCCTGTCCCTCTGCCTCTTGAAAATACAAAAGAAAAATCATAACAATTTAAGCATTCTGTGTGATTTTATGCTTCTGTTGAGTGAAATGTTGGCATTCCTATATTTCCTGAAAGTATTTGCACTATTGATCTCATAACAGCTCCTCCAATGCTTACTAGCTTGTCCAAGGACTTGAGCCCTATGGATAGTATCTTCATGAGATTCAAATAATTAAAAGACAAAGAGGTCAATGATTGGTGCCAGGCTAGTGGTCAAGCTAAACCATTGGAATGAGAGTCTCTGAACCATATTAATGAAAGATCTGAAGTCAATTTCTGCTTAATAGGCAACAGATTAAATTGGAAAAAAATAAGAATAAATTCAGGGGAAAAAGGAGGGGGAGAAAAACCTTGTTTATTTCCATTGTAATTTATCAAGTTTTCTTTTTGTTAAAGCTGGGAAAAAGAACAATGACATGTAATTCTTTCTGGATATTGAATATTCAGAAAGAGATCATGTCTGAATGGCTAAAAGTCATTCCTGTGGAGATATTGTTCTCAGCAAATTAAGATCTGATTATGACAGCAATACCGTCTAGCGATACTGCTAGTAATATCCTGTTAGAAAATGTGTTAATCTGTACAACAGGCAACTTCTTGGTTTTGAAAAAAATATTTTTACTTTCCATCAATTTAAAAGACAAAAGATCTAGATACAAGAAATATGAATGTTATTTTGCTGTATGTTTGGAACTCAAATTCTTGGGAAATGTTTCATTTGAAGACGAAGAAGAGCTAGAAATTTCAATTTGATAACTCTTCATTCACATTGGGCCACCTAATCTCTCTGCTTCCCCTATTTGCCACTATCTGGCCCTGCCTTTCTTCCCAATGTTTGATAGTGAGAAAATTCTAGAAGCTATAATGGAAGCAGATGGAAGTGACTTATGCCTGTCAGGAGTGGTTGTGGAGGAAGAAGTACCCTCAGAGCCTTCTTTCACTGCACATTTAAAAAAATTGTTGTTGACTTTGTCCTTTATTAAAATGTATGTTTACCTTTTGAAACCGATAAAATCAGCCAGTTATTTATAGAATGCTTCTCAATTTGGATTTCTATAATGTTTCTCCAGGACTTTTTCTTTCATTTTTAGTTCATGTGTAATAATTGCACATATTTATGGGATACAAGGTGATATACTGATACATGCATGCAATGCGTAATGATCAAATCAGGGTAATTAAGATATTCATCATCTTAAACATTTGTCCTTTGTTTTGGGAACACTGAAAACCTTCTCTTCTAGGTGTTTGAAAATATACAAGGAATTGTTGTTATACTCACTATACAGTGCTATAGAACACTAGAACTTATTCTTCCTACCCAGCTGTAATTTTGTATCTATTAATGAACCTCTCCTATCTTTCCCTCCCCGCAACACTTCCCAGCGTCTAATACCATAATTTTCCTCTTTACTTCTGTAAGGTTAAATTTTTTTAGCTCCCTCATATGAGTGAGAACCTGTGACATTTATCTTTTTGTGTCTGACTTGTTTCACTTAACATAATGTCCTCTAGGCTTATCCATGTTGCTGTGAATGACAGGATTTCATTATTTTTTTCGTGGCTGAATAGTATTCTACTGTATCTTCTTTCAGAATGTCTTCTTTCTTTATGAAAAGATTTCTCTCTAATATAACATTGAAAGTGCCTTCACCATTGTGGATGCTTTAAAAATTGATAATTTAATTTTTGTTGGTTTTGACCTGGTTTCAATGAATGTACTCAGCACATTCAGCCTAATAATTGATTTAAATTAATATTTATCTTACACCCATGCTGGGATCCTTTATGTAATCTTGAATCATTTGATCCTTGTGCTTCTTGCTATTAAACCATCTGTTGTACCTTTGCTTTTCTTTTTCTCTTATGACTCTGCCTCCTTCCTTCTTACTTCATTCTATATCTTGTTTTTTTAAAAAATCCATCTTTCTCCTTTTTCTTAATTCAAGTTTATTTAGTTCCCCTCTTTCTCTTATTCTTGCACATCCTAGCGAGAACAAAATCTGTGAGAAGAGAGAGAAATATTTCTCTTCTAGATGAGAGAGAAAATTACATTTAAAAATTCCATTTTGCCTGCTGACCGAATCAGAGCCTCACTGTGAGAAAGAAATGGATGCTCAGGAAAGCAAGGTGCCTCTGGGATGTGAGAAAAGGTGGGTCATGAAAAGGCAAGTGCATTAGTTTGCTAGGACTGCTAGAACAAAGTACCACAGATTGGGCAGCTTAAGCAACAGAAATTTAGTTTCAGTTCTGGAAGCTAGAAGCCAAAAATCAAGATATTGGTTCTTCTGAGAGCTTTCTCCTTGGGATGAAGATGGCCATCCTCTCCTCCCCGTGTTTTCACATAATCTCCCTCTATGTGTATCTGTGTCTTATTCTCTTCTTCATATAAGTCACCGGTCAGATTGGACTAGAGCCCACTCCAATGGCCTTATGTAACCATAATTACCTTTTTAAGCACTATTTCCAAAGACATTTTAAGTCTTTGGGTTTTAGGGTTAGAACTTCAACACAAATTTTTTTGTTGGGGGTGCAATTCAGCAAGTTATACCAAAAATAAATTTGTTTTCTAGTATGTAAAGTGCTTTACTCATTTTTCCCCTGCAGCATGTGTATGAAGTCACATACACTTTTATATTAAGCTTTAATATCACTTCCTCAAAGCAATGAGTTTTCAAAGGCTAATACACACAGGTGGTGGTGGTGGTCGTGGGTAGAAGGAGAGCGATGGAGGAACCAGCAGTGTTGGGAAGTGGGGCATAGATTTGGTTCCTTCTCTGGGAAATAGAATTGGATCCAGAGTCTATGATGAAGCAGAACAAAAGCATTAATGAAATGTGTTTCCAGATGATTTCTGAACATGACTATGACTGTGAACATTGACTTGGCACTGTGTAATCCCACAGTGCAGATATTGCCACCTCAGTTGGCAAATACATATGTTGGAGAGATGGGAAGTAGCAAAAGACAGATTTCTATGTTGGGAAGTTCCTTTCCTGTGGAGATTTCAGAGCACTTGGAAGTGAAGAAGGAGGTGTCATTTGGCAACATGGGGCACTCTCCTTTCAAGTGCAGAAGCATTCTAGGAAGTTATCCTAAGTGTGGGCTTCTCTTAATGGCAGGAAAGCTTGTCATGCATGGAACAGCAAGCACAATTATCAAT
The DNA here is from genome assembly GCF_000001405.40 of Homo sapiens. Taxonomy (NCBI): domain Eukaryota; kingdom Metazoa; phylum Chordata; class Mammalia; order Primates; family Hominidae; genus Homo; species Homo sapiens. Next base: position 63,205,519 of record NC_000005.10, read on the forward strand.
TTAAACTCTTCTGGTGAGACATTATTCCTTAAGTGATTCCCAGTCTATAGCAGCCCTTATGCCAACAAAATCAGAGCCTCATTGTGAGAAAGAAATGGGTGCTCAGGAAAGCAAAGGTGGCTCTGGGATATGAGAAAAAGTGGGTCACCTTTCTGGCTCTCAGTAATGACTCAGTTTGAGGAATGCTTTCCCTGGAGTGTAGACTCATTTGTGAAAGTTTAAAAAGTGAGACATGGGGATGTGGAGCATTATGTTCCTAATTATGTTCACTCCTCCATTTTACTCTCTATCTTGTAAGTCTTGGAAAATGAAGAGGAGGTGGGGCAGGGTCAGGAAGACCAGCATGGGCACTTGGCACCAGAAATTTTTCTCTCACAGACCACCTTTGGAAAATTCATTTGCATATTTAACCTTTAGATAGCAATAGTTTTAAAGAACAGTGGTATTCAACCATGCCTATATACTAGGAAGAGGTGTGTTTGTGTGTGGATGCATGCACGTGTGTGTGTGTTAATATCAAGGCCTTATACCAGATATATTAAATCAGAATTGCTTGCAGTGGGGTCTGGGGATTGGTATTTTAATATCTGGAGAGGGAAAGCAGGACATCCTGAGTTGTCAAGTCATTAGCATTTGGAGGACAATTGCTGAGCACAGTGGGGAGCTCAACAAGCCCATCCTCGCAGCCTGACAATTTGCTGAAGGCATGAAAAATGTCAACTCAAATGAGGTTGCAGTCTACAAATTCCTTAGAATGATTGGTAAAGTCAGGCACATTGTAGAAAATAATATTGTTTTACCATTTATAGTTCACAAAGACCTTAATAAATTGTAGTAGCTGTTTTGCATTGTAGACATTATTTAGGCCAGTGGTTCTCAAATGTTAAGTGTGCATCAGAATCACCTGAAAGGCTTCCTAAAACCAGATTGCTGGACCCTAGCCCCAGAGTTCTGGATTGGGTAGGTTTTCAGTATAGCCCTGGAATTTGCATTTCTTATAAACTCCCAGGTGATGCTGATGGTACAGGCTTGGAACTACACTTTGAGAATACTGCTTTAATGAATCGCTTAGAAGAGGCATACTTTTAATAATATTTTGTTGTCAATTGGTTTAGTCATATCCACAACTAGTAAGATAATTTAAGTTCCTTCTTAATAGTTACAGATTATTAAAATAACATAGTTACAAAAACATGGGGAACTGGGGGCTGAGGACATGTGAGGCTTCGATGATCAAAAGGAATAGGATGTCCTTTATTCCAAAGTCCATTTGTAAGTCAGCTGTTCAGGGCATGAGGTATTTTTTTTTCCCCCAAGGGAGCATTGTCTTGAGTAGGGGCTGAGGATGCTCAGCTAATCTGTAAAGCCTATTCAATCAATAGAACTGGTGGTGTGCTGGTTCTTAAATTATGTGTGTCAGCTCATTGTAACTCAGTTTTATTACAGTTGGTTCTTTATCATTGCAGTGTGAAATTTAATTAATTTTTCACAGACTCTTGGGATTCACCTGAAGCAATGAACTCTCTGAACCCGAGGAGACTTACCTTGGTCTGCCCACAGCTCCTTATGGAGATATTTCAGGTTGTGGATAAAACCCAACTCCAAGTAGAAAATTCTCATGAAAGGGTTAAGTTAGAAGCAATTACCATTGAAATATATTTGCAACAAAATCTGTTTGGAGCCTCCTCCCTGCCTCCAAAATTGACTTTTCTTTTGAGGCTAACAGAAAAAGCAATATTTGTTTAGCTTCAATTGGAAAACCTGATATTGATATTGAATATTTGAGAACAGTCAACTGCAAACCCTTTTGGGAGAGGAAGGGTTGCGATTATTATTTCATTATCTTTTAAATTTTTACTAGTTATTTAAGTTCTCTATTTCTTTTTGTACTTGTGTTGGCTTTTTATAATTTTTAAATAATTTATCCATTTAATATTGGTCATCACCTTGATTAGAGTATAGTAGACTATAATACCTTTACTCTGTTTGAATCTGTTATGTCCAGCCAGGTTCCCTTTGTTCATTTTGTATTTTGCTTATTTGCATTTTGTCTCTTTCTGTCCTTAGCCAATGATGGCAGAGGTCCATTTTATTTCCATCTGGAATTCTTCTTTGATGTCTGAATTGTACAGAAGTATTTTTTTAAAAAATCAAATATTTGGGGGGTTCCTGTTGTTTCTATGTTATTTATTTCATATTTTGTTGCATTGTGGTCGAAGACCATGGTCTTAGAATATTGTCCTATGATTTTTTTTTGAGTCTTGCTTTGAGGGTTTGTAGTGGGTAGATTTTATACATGTTTCACATGTGTTTAGGGAGAATGTGTATTCTCTAATTGTTATTCTCTTTTTCCATCTTGCCCATAGATGAAGGATTTTGTGTGAGCATTAGATCATGCTTCGTAACTGCGATGGTTCAAACTTTTAGATCTCTATTTTTTCTAAAAAATCTAGTATTACTCGAAGGGTATCAATCACTTTTGCTATGATTGTCAATTTATCAACTACTCCCTGTAATTCTGTTAATTTTTTTTCATATATTTCACGGCTGTGGTTTTTCTCTTTGATACTACAATTTATTAAGGTATTTGTGAACAATAGATGCTAAAATAATATTATTTTCCACAATGTGCCTGACTTTACTTGCCATTCTAAGGAATATGTAGACTGCAACCTCATTTGAGTTGACATTTTTCATGCCTCCAGCAAATTGTCAGACTGAGAGGATATGCTTGCTGAGCTCCCCATCGTGCTCAGCAATTGTCCTCCAGATGCTAATGACAACTCAGAATGCTCTGTTCTCTCTCTCTAGATATTAATGAGGAGCTATATTAAAATATAACCTTATACTGTCTATAGCCCTACAAAAACCTGGAATTTACTTTTACCTCAATAGTTGTTGTTGTTGTTATTTTTCCTCTCTCTCCCCCAGGAACTTTGAGGCTGGACAAAAATGGGTTGGCCACTAAAACATAAGGTCATGGGAGTGTGTGGTATGTGAGATCCCTGCCCTGTGCCATGACCTGATTAAAGTCCACTGTGAGGCATGTCCTTCCAGGGAAGAAGAATCCTAGAACCTGCAGGGGCTTCACTTCTGCTGTTATCTAATGTGGACATGGTCTACCTAATAAGCTTCATGAGCACTGCAAATTGCAAAGAGAAATATTCTCTCTTTAATTTCCTGAAGTGGGGTTACCTCACATTCTTCAACCTCTGTAGACCAATGTTTTGGTTCTTTAAAATTGTAGTTACCTGTAGTTAAATTCCTGCTGCAGTGTTTCTGGAGTTATTCATCTGGGTATTAATCTGGAGTAATTTTTACTGCATGTATGAATCATACTATTTGGGGCCTATACATTTGTTGTTTTTTGTTTGTTTGTTTTACTGCTACTTAGTACAACGGAAGACATTTTAGGAGATTTTATGTACCAATTTAAATTTGGCAGGAAGTGAAAAACATGCTTACTTTGTATGTAAATATAGTTAAGATTCGCATAAAGAGATAATAAAATTTACCAGTTTTTGAGTATCTATTATGTGGTAGACATTGTGCTAAATATAAGGACAAATAAACAAAATGTTAGAGGCTTAATTTTCGCTGTTGAAAATAAGGGAAGAGACTCTCCTTAGAGCATTTACTTTAGAATATTTGTAATTATAAGTCTTTTCTCTGTCTCTTTGAAGTGTATATAAATCTTTTTAAAAGCTAAATAAGCCCCTTGAGAGCTCTAAGACCCCAGCATATCTTTCTCAAGGACCTAGGACCCATCTCTTTGGAAAGTAATAATTAAAGCACATAGCATCCCTATCTCCGTTTCTGTTGGAGAGTAGGAGCCTAGCTTTGGTGGCCCATTGCTCCAAGTTGCAGAACTACCTCCTGTCACAAAGATATGAGAAGATCATTTTTCCTTTGGATAAAGCTAATTAGCTGACACAGATGGCCACCCCAATTACCAGGTGAATTTAGGATGAACTATGTGTGACAAATGATGGTGTGAAATTCTCTCAAATGGGGACTAGATACTGTTTACCTTGAGAACATGGGGGCTGTATCTGCTTGACTAGATAAAAGCATGAGTTTTCTTTTTTTTTTTTTTTTTTTTTCCTTTTCTGTCTCTTAGTGGTTGCCTGTGATCTACACCACATTCTGGCTTAATGCTTATTCAATAATAAATTTTTGTTTCTATTCTACCTTAGTGGAAAGATTATCGGGTGGGCCGAAGATGTTTTTTCTTTTCTTTTTTATCTATTTTATTGTTTTGAGTCAAAATCTTGCTCTGTTACCCACGCTGGAGTGCAGTGGCACGATCTCGGCTCACCACAACCTCCACCTTCCGGGTACAAGCAATTCTCCTGCCTCAACCTCCCAAGTAGCTGGGACTACAGGCGTGTGCCACTGAGTCTGGCTAATTTTTTATATTTTTAGTAGAGATGGGGTTTCACCAGGTTGGCCAGACTGGTCTGGAACTCCTCACCTCAGGTGATCTGCCTGCCTCGGCCTCCCAAAGTGCTGGGATTACAGGCGTGAGCCACCGCGCCTGGCCAATTTTATTTTTAATTATATTTCTCCAACATATGTTTGCTCTATTTATATTTGCTGGATAGTTTTTGTATCAGTGTGTTGGAATAGATGGGTTGAGTTTAGAGAAGCTGACTTACCAAAGTCCTTACAACTTGTAAATGAAGAATAGGATTTGAGCCCAATTTTCTCTGGACCCACAGCCAGTGTTAATTTCATTCACACATTTCTCACAGATGGGCATATCACTTAATTATTTATTTATATGTTGCCATGTTATATTCATAAACATTGGCTTGTTATTGTTTTTGACAAGGCAATTACCAAGGTTTCCTTGTTAGCGTCATTCAATTGACTTAGGGGCCAAGTCTGAGCAGAGGCAAATCTCTTCATTTATACAGGAAGCACTAACTTTGTGCCGGTACTCCACAATTTCATTGTATTTGGTAGTGAATAATGTATTTATCTCTGGAAAAATGGCCTTAGGCCTTTTATTTAAAGTACCTAGAGCCCAGAGAAACCACAAACATTTGGATTATAGTATCTGTTAAACTAGTATCTTCTCTAAATTAAAACAAATGATTTCTTTCTCTTACCTGATCTAGCAATATAAACAAACCAAAATTGACTACCTGGTATTTTTTTTTCCTATTTGCCTTAAGTCCTGCATTAAATATTGTTATTCACTGAGAGTGCTTACAAAAATCAAATAGCATTTCCTGCCTAAAAAATCCTTGTAAAAACTAAACAGTAATGTTTATAGACATAACAATCGTAGGTTATACATTGATTTTAAATGACGTTAGCACCTACATCTTTTATATTTCTTTTCTGTTTCTCACTGCATTCTTCTTCTTATGAAACAAAACTCTTTTTCAAAGAAGGATATATGTTCTTAGCTTCATACAAATTCAGAATGTTGATGTGTTTGTGGCTTCTTGAAATTTTCAAAAATGTCCTACAAAAGAGATATCTCAAGTTGAAGCTAGCATTTTGCAGGTGGAGATGGAAAAGACATCATCTTATAAGGCACCTGTATTGGGTGAGGTCTTTGCAGGGGGCCCAGGCAAGGGAAGTTTTCTCTTAAACAAGAAGTGGGTATTTGCTGCTATGAACTTGGGCATTCATGTGTCTCAGGTTTCTTCAGGCAAGTGGACTTTTCCTAGGTATCAAGGTAGTTTTCCTAGGTATCACTTTCTCTGTTAGGGCCCTGGTTTTGGTGTAGGAATCCTGCAGAATATATTTCATCTTGTAAGTGTGCCACCTGTACTGTTGAACCCTGAGCCTAAGAGGGCCTTAAACGTAGCCATGAAGGCTTTCTGACTTTCCTAGTGTGCTTTGAACTGAGTTGTTTAGCCTGAGCCTGTCTTGTTTTTTGTTTTTTTCTTTTCAAGACTCTAAAAGCAGTTAAGGCAGCCAATTCTACAGAGCTCATAATTACCATTGACCCACAAACCTTTCAAGGGCTATCCCTACATCATAAGCCAGTGCTTCTCTGTCACCTACAACCTGTCCCAGTCCACCATGGGTTAGTGTTAGTCATTATAATGCTACTACAACCAGCAATTTTCACCACTTCCCCTACCGATGGCACTGGGGTCCTGACTGCCAACTGACTTGAAAATCATCCAGAATCATCGAGGATCCTAACTTGGGGACTTTCCCAGCCTGAAGATTTCCTGGCAAGGGTCACTTCTAGGATAATGGTTTTAGCCTGAACACCCCTAGAAGCAGAAGTTGAGACAAAGGCTGGCCTTGCAAATAGCTTATTTTGGAATGTGATTCTAGAGACTCACAGTTGGAGGCCTGAGATGAATAAATCAAGGCAGAAGGGAAAGTCTATTCAAAGTTGTATCATTGAACTTGTTACTGTTTTGGGAAACTAGGGCTCAGTTCTGTTGTGTACCTTTTGAAAAGCAGTGTAGATTTCACCTCAGAATTTTCCATTCAAAACATGAGCAAGGTTAATATTTATCCAAGCACTCCTGTATTAGTTTCTATTGCTGCCATAACAAATTCCCACAAACTAGCAGCTTAAAATAATAACATTTATTATCTAACAGTTTTCTAGGTCAGAAATCTGACATGGATCTTACTGAGCTAAAATCAAGCTGTTGGCAGGGCTGAATTCTTTTCAGGAGACACTACAGGAATCTATTTCCTTGCTCAAATTAGTTGCTGGCAGAATTAAGTTCTTGCTTTTTATTCTTTTCAGAATATCCATGTTTCTACCCTATATAACTTCCCTACAACTTGAAGAATTTTCTGTAGCAATTTTTGTTAGTGCAAATGTACTGGCAATAATTCTTCTTAGTTTTCTTTTACCTGAAAATGTCTTTGATTTGCCTTATTCTTAAAGGAAAATATCCTTAATATCTAGAATTCAGATAGCATCTTATTTCTGAGATTTTCTATATTTTATCAAATCAAGAAATTCTTTATTATATTTCTAATAAAATTTTCTGCCTCATTCTGTCTCTCCTCATTCTTGTATTTCAGTTACATGCGTATTAGACCATTAGCTATCATCTAATCAGTTCCCTAGTCTGTCACCTCAACCCCAATCTTTTATCCTCCTTTTCTTTATCTTGGGTAGTTTCCTATTTCTTTACTGATATTTTCATTCATTGAGAAAATATTGTGTTTTAGTTAACTGATGATAATTATAAAAGTCATTTTTAAATCTTGTATGTTTCAGCATCTTGTTTATATCATTGTCAAATTTTATTGATATTCTTTTCTTAAAAATGCATTCTAGTTTCTTTTTTTAACATTAGACAATTTTGAATTATATTCATTGCATTATAAAAGTTGTAGAGATTCTGGATTTTTTTATTTTTCTGTAATGAAGGTTATTTTATTTTTCAGCAGGTAATTGTCTTGGTTAGATTTGAACTATAAAGTCTGTTGCTTAGGAATCAGCTCTGATCTTGATTTAGATCTTTTGTCTTTGAGCTGCATTGAGTCTGTTCTGCTTTGAGTGTATTCAGGGTCAGTTGGAGATATGGGCAGAAGAGATTGGGGATCCTTTCTCTGGTTTTTACCATTCCAGAATTTCCACACTTCTTCAATATTTGCCATTGTCTGGCTTTACTTTTCAGTTCTCCAGACCAGAAAGACTGCACATTTTCCCATGAGAGCCCCTCTCAACACTCTATGCAGCATGTGGAATGCACTTGGCCTCAGGCTAAAAGCCAGAAAAGATGGGAACTAATTTGTGGAACATACCCTTTTCCTGACTCCATGAGAGTGTATACTTCCTATCAGATATGATGTGTTCTGTTCATTCTCCAGTACCTTCAGATAGTTGCTTTTTAAATGTCTCTCAAAGTTCTAAGTTGCTTTCTGCAGAGGAGTCCATCTAGTAGACTAAATTTGTCCTACTTGGAGGTGGAAAGTTCCAATGTAATCTGAACCTTGGCTGTTAAGGACACAGTGGTCACTATTGGTTTCATTTTTATTTCCCTCTCAGAGAAAGGCAATATTCTCAGGATCATAGGCTCCCGGCACATCCTGCAGTTCCACTATACAGAGAGGCCATGGGTACCATATGCTGCCAGTGGTATCCCTCTTGAGATTTAGGCATAAACTCTACAATTACAAAAATTCTGGGCGTTATTTTCTTCACCTACTTAGTAGTAGAATTGTAGTTCACATTATTTTCATTTTTTCATTTAACAAATATTGAGATTCTACTAAGTGTCTGGCATGATGCTATATTTTGGGTTATAACAGTAAACAATGCATACATGGCATATTTACAACAACATATACCTGATAGGACAGTTTATGTTCTGTTGAGAAAGACATTATCATTAATAAAATAAAGTGTGATGTAAGATATTATAGGGAGAGTTCAGGGTGGTACAGAAGTCCACATAAAAGACATATAATTTAGCCAAGATACCTAGAGATGGCTCTATACCAAAGTGATATTCAACTGGTACCTTAAGGGTAACTGAGAATTATTCAAGTGAGGGAGTAGAGGCAAGGAAAGAGTAGTACATGCAGAGAGAACACTATGTGCTGATGTCCCCAACAAAGTAAAAATATGGAAGATTCTAGGATGTAAAAGAAAGTCAGAGTGACTGTAGCATCTAGAGTGTGAGAAAATGATGGTGAGCAATGGTAGAAAGGTCTGGTGTGTCATGTGCGCTCTATGTGCTGCATATCTTCTAGATTCCACATGCCCTGCTCTCTGCCAGAGGCTGACACGTGTGGATTATGTCAATGGTGGGTTCTGGTTGTGTTCTGTCAATGAGGCGCCCAGGCAGTAAACCGGGAGAGGGGAGGAGAATAAAATCAGGGTATTTTCTTCCCAATTGTCCTTCCTATGGAGCCGTCTTGAAGTAGCTTTGTTCCACACTGAAGGTCCCACCTTGTCTCAGAGAGGCTTTCTCTACATGATTCTCTCCTTTTTTCCTTTCACCTTAGGGATAACAATAGTCCCGGACTACTACACTATCGGCAAATTAGGGAAGCAGAATTTCTACGTATTGTGGAATAAAGAATTATTACAGAAATAAGACTTTACACAACTGTGGGAGAATCTGGGGGAAAATAATGGTCTAATAGGGAGAATTGGAGGATCAGAGAAATATCACAAATAAGCCTTTTGAAGCACTGGCAGAGGGGGCCGAGTCAGAGCTTGCCAGGGAATCTGTGAAGTTAGTCACATTAAGCTGCTGGCCTGGGGACAATGAAAGAGAGCCGGTGAAGAAGTCTTCACCTATGGTGAGACTGGGGTCGCTCTTGGTCAGAAGAGTCAGGAGTTGGTCAGCAGCCGAACTGGACATGGGGCAGGGAGAGCAAACAAGCGGGATCCATTTTCGTTTCTGTATCTGTCCTTTACTACTCTAAAACACCTACTTGCAGAATGTAATGGCCCCTGCCTCACTCTTGGCTTCCAAATCTCAAAATAATTTTCTCTTCTGGTCAACTTAAATCCAGAACCATACAGTAAAAAAAAAAATGGGGGGAAAATGTGGTTCTAATTTAGCCAGACCGACATGGTAAAATCCCACCATGCTATTCTTTATGGTTTCCCTGCATCCCACCCACGATTTAGAAAATCCACCTGAAATAACCCCAATTTAAGTAGGCTATATCTTTCCCATTAGTACCCTGGCTGATACTGCATTTAAATATGCATGGGTTTATCCTCAGGAAAATAAAGAACTTTTGGATTTCACATAAGGAAGTAATGGAGTGGATCTGGATATTGAGGGATTATTTTAGACGCAAAGTATAAAGAATGAAACAGAGACATAGAATTGTGTTAGCTATGAATTAGGAGAAAATGGATTTGGAAAAAAAATTTGGAAGCAGGGAGATCAAGACCAGTTGGAAATCTCTTGTAATTATTATTCATGTGTGTGGCAGTGGAGACGGAAGAAAATGGAAAGATTTAAAAATACAGTCAAGTGCTGCATAATGCCATTTCAATGATAGATCCCATATATAATGGTGGTCTATAAGTTAATAATACAGTATTTTTACTGTACCTTTTTTTTCTGTGTTTAGATACACAAAAAATTTTCATTGTGTTACAATTGTCTATAGTATTCAGTACAGTAACATGCTGTGCAGGTTTGTAGCCTAAGAGATATAGGTTACACCATACAGCCTAGGTGTGTAGTAGGCTATGCCATCTACATTTGTGCATGTACACTTGTGTTCACACAAAGACAAAAGTCACCTAACAATGCATTCCTCAGAACATATCCCTGTGGTTAGGCAGCACCACATGACTGCAGTTATATCAGGCAGAAAGAGTGGGTTTGATTACTAACAGGGGAAAGAAAGAGAGAGAGAGAAGGAAAGAGACAGAAACAGAGAGGTTTCCCTGCAGACTGACATGACAGGCACCACAGAGGGAGATATAATTGTTATTACACCTAATAGGAAATTCATAAATATAAACTGATATGAATGAAATCTACAATTTTAGAGAGGTGGGCATTATTTATATGGTACAGTGAGCAAAAATGTAACTTCCCATATAATTCTTTATGAAGCCCTTATCTAATGTTGGTAGAAGAAAAAGGAAAACTTGCCAATTTGAGGTAACTTTCTTCTAGCCTTTAGCCATCTATTTCCCTCTGACTTAACATTGTGGTGTAAACCCTCGGCCTCTCTGGATTTCTTCCATCTCTCTTCTCCTTTATGCCTCTTTTTTCTCCAACTGTGGAGAAGGCTTGTGGAAAGCAGCCTCACTGTGGCAAGGGAGGGGAGTCTAGGTCATGTTAGTGCTCTCTGTGGGCTCTGGCTGACTCTCATTGCAGCCATTGCAGCACAGCCTGGGCTTGCATATATTCTAGCTTGATCTTTTCACACAGCCAAGGCCTAATGGAGCTCCACACTGATTTTTCCTGAAGGCATGATTGACCCTTGGAGGCCTGGCTGCAGCACCATTTTTAAAATCCAGAATTGGCATGTTCTTCCCTTTGTCTTTCTGCTCCAATGCAAGTTTTGTTCCTCATTGTGATGAAACATCTCCCACAACCACCGATGGACATTTGAGAACATCTGGATTCTTTTAACATCACACAGATCAAGGAGACTCGGGTCCAATCTCCCAGCATGGTCTACCCAGACCCATTTCTGTCTTGTGACTGTCTCATTCTGTGCCATATTGGAAGCAGTGAGGAAGCTTACCACCAGCTTGAAAATCTGACAGTTTTTCAGACTTTTTTTCTCAACGCTGTATTCAGAAACCCAGAGATCAAGTTTTCCTAGTCTTATTCTCTCCACATCTCTTTACATTTCCCAAAGATTTTCTACTTCCTCTTCCTGTCAGATGGCAACATTTCCTTTTGTCATATTATCTATCCTTTCAAAAGTAATATTTATAAAACTCAATGGACATAAAGCACCTTAGGGCTTCGATATGTAAAGGGAGGCTTCGTCTCTCAATAAGGCCCAGCTATCAAGCCTCCTGGAAATCACCATGGAATGAACAAATTAAATTTGCAACTAAAACTGAGCAACATTGTCTGTTTTAAAAGCTGTATCAGTCCTTGCACTGAAGCAAGGAGTGTCCTTGGATTAATAGCTTAGGTTTCTAAAAGTCAAGGGGAATTAAAAAATACATGAGCTTGATATATAAAAAATAGAAAAAACTGCTTATTTGGAATAATGGTTGTAATCTGTCATAAAGCGTTACCAGTCAGAAGCATGTAGAAATCTATAGAGAATCGGAGGGCTGAAGGGATGGATAAATTTGGGCCTATCTCTGCAGATATTATGGAGCCCACCTCTACAGTTGTGATGTTACAACACCCAGTATCACATAATTTGCTTAAACTTAAACATACTTAAACATTGCTTTTCACTGGTTCCAAGCAAATAGATTGCTTCTAGCTTTGCTCACCAGCTCATGTGAAATGGAGACAGAAGGAGTTTTTATGTAATATTCAGATATTATCTAACATTGAACTCTCCCTCTAGACTGGAAGGAGATCCTGAAAAACAAAGTTATAACAGAAAGGGCAATAAACTTTGAACCTTTACTCCCAAGGTATTGAATTAAAACCTTTCCCAGGGAAAATGTCACTGTATTACGAAAAATATCAACAAGCCTACTGCAAAATTTTGACATGAAGGCTAGTAAGTTCAGGCAGAGGGCATGCATGTCCTCATTCACGTGGCACACGAAGCTATGGACCGGAGAAGAAAAGACTGAAAAATGACACCAGATTCTAAGAACATTAATATTTAGATATCATCCCTCCTCCTTCCTACTCTGAAGTTTTTTCTTGTTGACATTTAATGATTCTGAAGGTTTACTGGTTCTTTTTGACATTCTAGAATTCAATCAAATTGAGCTAAAATATTTAAATATCCCAGGAATACATTTGAATGAACACAGCTAAACAGTGGAGAAAGGTCATTTCATTTTGAAAACAAAAATAAATTACCCTCAAGTATTAAAAGTCATTATTATAAAGATTCTGGAAGTCTCTCCTGTTGATCTTTGTGATTCTGATATAAGCTGGCCAAAGCTTCCAATTTCTGAAGGATTACTGAAAAGTAGAGGGACTGCTAAAGCAGCGACTTAGCTGGTGCCTCAAAAAAGAACTCAGAAGGAATAGAGAAAGACATTGGAATCTGCATTTGAGTTACCCAAGGGCTGGTTTAGGGTTGATAAAAAGATGTTTCTCTGATATGTTTGCCTAGGGAAGAGACTGCCTACTGTGATGATACTTTTCACTGGTTTGTCTCAGAAATACATTATTTTCATCTCCATAACATGTTAGTTGTCTCCAAATGATTTCTAAAAGATAAGCTTAGATTTTCAAATTTTAGGTCGTATCAAGAAAGCTTAAAGCCAGTGGTTTATAGGAAGGACATGGGATAATATGAGGAAGATGCATTTTAGGAAGCAAAAAGAAGATTTTAATGAGCAGCTACAGTGAGCCACTTGATACAGAAACATACTGAAACTAATTCTTAAAATTACATTTCTAGATTACCTTTGCATTATAAAATTAATTTTTCTTCAGGTTAGAGACATATATTTCTAAATATAGGGGCCAGCTCATTATGCTGCTTTAGGATAAGAGACTAATATCCACTGTGGCATAATTAGTTGAGACCACTGTCAAAATTGTTCTGCCTAGACAATTCTCCTTTCAGTCCCATGTCATTTAATAATACCAACAAAGGAGCACTATATTGGATGTGCTGGGAATAAGGATTGGCTGGAGAGAGTCGAATGTGTTTGTCCTTTCTTTCCCGTGTATCAGCCATGGCAGCCTATGTTTGATGGCCCACTTTTTGGGGCAGAGGTGACAATAGCCTGTATGAGGAATAATGTCTTTATAGTCAGCAAAAAAAAGCAACACTTTAAGCCCATACTATTTCATAGATGGGAATGTTTTCAGTTGTTCCTGTCTCTCACTTGAACAGCTTTTTGTATTTATAGACAGATATGACATCCCCATTAATTATGTTTAGATGCCAGTAGAACTTATCATTTTAAGCTAGTTGACAGAGAAAGATATTTTCAAATTATAAAATGTATCTTATCTTTCAATCACATTTAGAAATTAGGAAAATCATTGCCTTAAACCTGGGAATTTTCTAATACATCCATGAAATCATCAAAATTATACTGGTATCTTAGAGTTGTACCACATGTTCAGAAAGTGAAATTATCCCTTTAAAGACAAAGGAAAAAATTGTTCCAGTGTCAGGAAAGTAAATTAATAGATTTTCAGAGCCAGAAGAGCACTACAGGGACAGATGCATGGGGTTGAGAGAATGTTTTCTCGGCAGTTTTGATTTATCAGCAACTGAAAAGGCTACAAATTAGAAGTCCTGTGGAGATTAAAAACACTGCCTTACATACTATTACAGCTAATTTGTTTATGTTAAGGAAATAAAGAATAATTATAGACTAAGCTAACAGGAACAGCCATTATCAGCTTAATTAAATGCTTCTTGTGACATTTTGCAATTATTCGTCAACAAGCACTGTTTGGATGGAAGTAGCTGGTGAGGTGAGTGGACTCATTCAGGCTTGTTCTTTACTGTTGTTGCAGTTGTCCTTTTAATGCATAATCCTATGAAGAGACTTGCTTAGTCCCGAGGGAGAAGACCAGATATTCCTTTTGCTGTTAATCCTTTCTTCTCCCTAAATAATTATATGGATATCATATTCCTCCTCATATTCTTTTCAGTTTGGGAAATGTGCTTCAATATAGCAGTTAGGTGCTTGGTGTTTTTTTTTTTTTTTTCCTTTTTTTTTTTTTATCAGCTATGTTCACTTGGTCCCCTTCCTTGTCATTTTGACACCAAATATACTCTGAGTTAGTTAGGTTGTTTCAAGTTTTAATGATCAGGGACACTTCAGGTAGTACCAGCCAATTAAGTATACTTTCCTTTACGGCCTCTGGTTTACTCATGGCTTCTGTGTACTGCCGTTTCTAGGTATATATTTGAGATTATGCCCACTGCCATCACCTTCTGATTCTTTCTAAGGTTTTTAGATTCAAACTCCCTAGGATAAGGGATGTTACTGATGTTATTGACATTTAGGCACTTCTGTTCCTATTGGGCCAATCTGTCATGCCAAGTCACTTCAGATGATACTGGCCATAAAGAGATTGGCTACTTGTGGGAGAGACATAGATCTCTCTTCTACTCTGGAGTGATTTTTAAGACATTTTAAGGAGCTCTGAAAATGCACATAGAGCATACTAGACTTCCACTTTATACATACAGAAATGTAAAATCCTGTATCATAAGTGACACCTGCCACTATTGAGTGTTTACCATGTTTCAGATTTTGAATTGAGTTTATCAAACGCCTTGAAACATAAAAGGCCCAGGACAAAGTTTTATAAACAAGGAAGTGTAGTCTCAGAAAGGTTAAGTAATATGTTCAGCAGTGTTATATCAGTAAGTGGTAGAGCCAAGTACCCTTAACTACATTCTAGGTAACTGCAATCCTAATTTCCTTGTCTACTACATTGTATTGCATCTGAGGTTATGGAAAAGACTAGGATTAAGAGGAGCTGGCTATGCTTTAACTACCAATTTGCTGAATATATTACTTCAAGTTTTTTAATACATTTTCTCACTTGGAAGAGTTTGTTGTCAGATGTTAATACTATCTTTTAAAACAGAATTTATGTAAATAACAAATGAGAGGTTTACGTGAAGCTCCTAATACAGTTCTTGGCATAAAATAATCACTTAGTACATTATTATTGTTGAGGCTGTTAATCTACTACTTCAGGTAAAGTTTCATGATGCATAGATTAATTACTTGCTAATTCCAAAGGCAAAATACAGGTGTGACTATACCCATTTAAATTATCTTATTTCCAATGGCTTATTATTCTTTTATCATTGATTATTTATCTCTCTCCCTTCTCTTCTAGGCTGGGCCTCTAGGCATATATAGTGAAGTCGTGTGCCTCTCCCTGTAATGATAAATCACTGGGGAAAGCAGAGGGACTCTATAGGGTGCTTGTTGGCACAAACACCCTAATTGTTTAAAATCCTTTATTGTAATTAAGGATTTTTGTCCTTAAGCATATCCTTGAATAAGAATGGTAAAACAAGCTGATTGTGTTACTGGGAAATAAATTAAGTAATTCATTCTTCATCTAACCAGTATTGAGTAATATTTGCTACGTAATGAGGGCATATTAACACACTAATATGTAATCTGTTGCTTTCATTGGATTTTGATGCAAAAAGTCCTCAGATTAGCTTAAATATAAGCTTAAATATAAATGACATATTGGTTAATTATTATTTCTAGCTCATCATTTTTTAATATGGTCTCAAAATTACAACTTATGACTCATTGTCAGTGATTCACAAATCAAAAATTCTACAACATATATACTATGGATGATTTGTAGCATTGCTCCCAACCAGCCACCAGAAAAAATTGTGACCAGTAAGTATGCTCACATGAAAAATATAAGAAGATATATAATAAATTAAGAGTCATATATAGCAAGCATTAACTTCACCATTTTTGCATTTTGAAGACTACATATAATTCACATAAATAGGCATGAGGTTTTAATTCTAATTATCTATGCTTCTGGTTTCAATGAGTTAATCTATTTTTAAAGGGATATAATTAAAGTCTGGGGAACTAGTCAACATATTTACCCAAGCATTACAGAGCTTTATAATACGTTAAGAATCAACATGATTCAACTTTGAATTATTGTTGTCTTGCTACTTAAAACATGAGCTATTTTTTGAAATACACCCAGGGAAACATTTTTTAGAGTAATTTTGTGGCTAATCTGTAAAAAAGTGCATTTTGGGTTTGATATCAAGGTTTGAGCAAGTTGTTTCTACTGATTAAAATGAAAAACTGATCCAAATCTTAGTTTGCATCAAATAATCCAATATGTTGTATTTAGCTAGGATGAGATTTACATCAGTGACAACACTGTTTGAAAAGGTTGATTTTGATTAGGCCCCAAGAGGAAAAGCACTTCAGGATTTGTGTGTCTGTGTTTGCACTTACATTTATATTTTTATATTAAAATTCATAGGCTCTGATGTCTTTATTGCATAAAATACAAGTTTTCCATAATCATGGCAACTTTGTTTTTATATAGAAATTAGAAAAAAATAATATTGACATAGGCATTCCATATATGGTGAATACACCAGAAGGAGAAATAAAGCATAATCTATAGCCACACAGAATACTCTGTGATGGCTCCCACAAAGATAATTAAGATGGCCAGAGAAATTCTCTAAATAATGAAGGTCATGCCCCCCTTCCATATCATTTAGAAAACCTGATTATATTTGTGCCCAGTGATTGGGTTCATCAATGAGAAGAAACAGTTTTTTGCTAAAAGCAATCGCTACTGAATTGGTGCTTTGATGACACTGCTACCATACAGGAGCTGATGCATTGAGAAATGAGCCCTGAACTCATGGAACTTACACTTTAGCCTAGAAGAGGCATCAGGTTGATATTAATTACAAGTGGTATGTGTATGCTAATTAATGAACAGGTAGCTTTGACCAATGGAACCTAAATATAACTTATCAGAGGCGTCAGGAAAGGTTACCTGTCTGTTTATCTGTCTGTCTGTCTCTCTCTTTCTTTTAATATGGATTTCACCTAGATGGTGATTGTGCCCGGGAGTCTGTTTTGTAAAAGTGCACAAGGTGACATTGATAATGTTTACTATGGTTGGAGTGATTAGAAAAGTAATCATTTGGAAAACAGCATTTGAAATTCTCTATGAATTATAAATAGATTTAGTTTGCTAGGCAGCAAGAAATGGAAAGAACATTTTTGAATGGGGACGAAGGAAGAGAGAAAGACACAAAGCTGAGGGTTGGAAGTTATACTTGGAGGGAATAGAGCAGAGAAATCTATGTGGTAGAGTATAAACTGAAAAGGTAGGTAGTGCAAGGTCTTAGACAGCTTTGAAGGCTAAGTTAAGCTTGTGACCTCTTTTTTAAGAGATCTTCCATTCATTTCTACCTCTTGTGCTGTATTGGCAATTCACAAAATATTTTCATTACTGCTTCATCTGCATGGTTTTTATAAATAGTGGCAAAGTCTCACTAAAGTATTTCATATTAACTATATTGTTAACCCAGAATTTAATGGAATTTACAGTTTCCTAAAAAATGTAAAGGGAAAAAAGGAAGCTCCAACTATTTCTGTTAAAAAATATTGTTTATTTAAAGTGATGATTGGCTGAAAAGATAGTTTAAAAATAAGCATTTGATAACTTGCTTACATTTTTCTTTAATAGAAACTTTTATTGTTTAACAAAATTTTGCGTGCATATATGTTAAGGAATAAATGGTAGAAATGAGATACTATTCAGAAATGAGAATGAATGATCTATATTCATGTGCAACAATATGGATAAAACTTTCAAGCGGGATATTCAAGGGCTTCAGTTCTGGAAGTTTTTCTTTAAAGGTTTCCCTTCCTCTTCATTTTTCCTGCCATCTCTTTTTGGAACTTCTAGCATTCAGATGATGGGCCTTTTGGGTGATCCTCCAATTATTTTATCTTTTCTATTGTGCATCTTTTGTCTTTGCTGATCTATTCTGTTAGATTTCCTTGATTTTATCTTCCAGTCCCTTCATTAAGCTCAATTTATATGAGCCATCACAGACTTAATGTTCAAAGGCTCTTTCATATTCTGTGACTTTCCTATTTAATAGCACTTTCTTTTTCTTTCTCATCCTATCTGTCAGAGGATATTAATGACAGAACTATAAAAGATTCTACTGCTCCTTCCTGTTTTGTCTGCCTCTGATTTTTTTTTGTCTGTTTTTCTCTCTGTCTTTTATCTTGAATTATTTTTTCTTTTCTAAGTGTTTTGTTCTCCTCACTTGTCCATAGTTAAGGGTAAGAAACTTAAAATTTTTAGAAGTTTTGTGAGTTTGGACAGATTTGCAACAGGTTCATAATAGTTTAGGTGACTAGCTTGGTTATTGGTGGAGATGTAGAACTTCTCTCTGGGAATTTTCTTTTTCCCTATAGAAGAAACTTCTAGTCTCCTGCTTGGCCTCCAGTGTCCCTGGACATAGGTGGAGGAAGGTGGCTGATGGTGGGCAAGAAGAGTGTACTTTGGGAGGCCTCATCATTCATTATGCAACCTTTCGGATATGCCTTCTCTATTCAGTTGGGGCCTCCCCACACTTGCCTGTGCCTGGTGTTGCTGAAACTGGAGCCTCCACAGTTCAATCCTCCAGATCCATATCTACTAATTTGTTTCAGGAATAGGGGAGGGATGGTTGCTTCTTTCTTTGGAGTCGGTGAGGGTATCTGGGATTCCAACCAGACTTTCAATAATATCTGGTATCAGCCCTTTGTGTTGTCCTTGACTTCTGTGTGCCTGTTGATTCCAAATCCTGAGCTTCTCTGGGATCCTCCAAGTGAATCTGTTTGCTTCTCCGTGTGCATAATTGCAAGCAGTACAATTTCACCTAAGTCAACAATTATTCTTGTGTCCACTTTCCATCTTGCAAAATTTGGATGACCTTTCTTGTCTACTCTTATTTACTCTCTACTTCTCTTTTTCCTTTAGGGCTCACATGTTTGGTTCCCTTATTCTAATTTTAATAAAGCTTCTGAAGGAAACAGATTATTTTTCAGTACAATCTACCGTGTTTAATAGAATATCTGTAATAATTTTCACTGGACTTTTATAGAGCTGTCTACATGGCTTCTGGAGAGGTAGGTCTGGAGTATAGAGTCAAAATTCTATAGTTGGGCTTCCTGTCATGGGTCAAATACTTTCCCTGCCTTCTTGAGTTGAGTTTTCAGAGGCTGACTTCCTGAATGTCCCCAGGTCGTTCCCACATAGGTTCTTCCTATTTGGCTGTTGATGAGATTTCCATTCCCATCCTCTACTCTTGTGAATGTCATCCCCTTACCTGGATAGGCCAGTTCCAGCTACCCACTGATGTCAAATTACAAGTGAGGAGGCTTTGTGTATCACACGCTTAGTTCAAATAAAGTCATAAAATGGCATAGAAACTTATTTCCTGGCCAGTTAGGATTTGCAGTTTTCCCAATTTTACAAGGTGTCAACGGAGCTGAGAAAGGGGAAAGTCTTTCCTATGGTAGGGATCTGATTTGTCGAGATGTAGGAAATGCAAAGGGAGAATAATGAAAAGATATAAAGTTAGATTCTTTCAATTTGTGGAAGTGTGACCCCATGTTACCTTCTCTAAGCGCTTTGTTACATCTTCATGCATCCCTTTCTCTACTTCAAACAAGTATTATCTAAGATCACTAGGTTCTGTTTTAAGGTTTTATCGTTGTTGCTGTTGTAAATTTTTGCTTATGTTTCTTAGTAATACAGTAACCCTACATGGGCATGTGCACTAACCCAAACTGCACATGAAAGACTTTACATACTGTCGTCCTCTATTGGGCTTCTTGGGTGTGAGACATTCCTGTCTATAATTACATGTCTTTTCTTTCTTCAAAAGACTGACATTAACTTATATTCAATACATTTATACTGAGTTGATAGGGTGGTTCCCAAGTTAAGATAATTATTGGGACAGGGGGACAAGGGACAAGGATTTTAGTGTTAATGACATAAGCACATTCCAATTAAAGTGAAAAATATCCTGGAAAGTTATCTGTGGGGAAAAGAATATGTAGGAGATGGATATAAAACTTCTTACCACAAAGACTCATAGCCCAGGTACTCCTGGAGGACAGAACCTGTGTTTTATTTATCCATATAGCTCTGAAAACTTTGAACATAATAAATGTTTGATAAATAATTGCCGAATAAATGAAAAAATAAAAATATTAGTGAGGTGGGTCCTGCCTGTCAGAACTACTTTTTGAGCCCAGACTTACAGGAACTTAGACAAGGCTTAGACAAGAATGACAGTTTTGGGTTCTGTCCCAGCATAGGGCACAAATGATGACTCAGGGTAGTCCAGCTGGTATGCCCAGATAACTACTAGGCCCTTGGTGGTGATTTTTAAGGACAGTTTTGCTGTGTTGTCATCCTTTTTCTCCATTTCATGCAAAGCCACACTCTTATAATTTCCTCAAATGAGACACTTGCACATTGTCTGCATTAAATGCTCTGTTTGGCCATCATACATCTGTACCTTGAAATTTCTAAGCATCCTAAATGATAGATGAGTTAATATACAATTAAAATATGCCTTAGTAAATTCATATATTTTAATCATTGAAGCTTGTTTTTCTTGTATTTTACTGATGTGGTTTGATGTTTTTTATACCCTGAGGCTGTTTTTATAAAGGGCACATTTTTAGAAACTCAAGAAAATAAACAAACAGATAAATTGTCTTTGCATAGCTCTACATCAGATTAAATGCTCATCACTGGAAGTTCAGTTCTTGCAGGAAGTAAATGAAATGTTCTCATCTCAGCTCGTAAAAATCAAGTATAAAGTTTATCTCTTCACAGAGAGTCACTTGGCTCTCTGGGAGGCAAGAGCCTAGGAAGCATCAGCAGCTGATTTTATTGGTATTTTCCCCAATCCCAATCAGCATGTTACCTGGGCAGAGTGTGAGAGTGTGTACCCCACTTTTGTGTAAGACACAGATTTAGTCCATGTCAGCCCTGAGTGGGGGCTGTTAAAGAAAAACATTATTTACTTCTTCAGGAACATTAAGGAAGACTTTATTCAGACCATTACAATAGGTGCAGGGACCACTGCAATGGGGTTTTGCATTGGGGAGAGAGATTGGCTCCATTCTGAGTACAACAATAAAACGTGGAAATTTACAGCCAAGGAGATGAGTTAGGGGAGTTGGTGGTTGAAATATTACTAAAAGGAAACGTCAGGGGTAACAGGGGATTCGGGCTAAACTGACCTAACAGGATTCTTGCTAAAGGCAGGCCAGGGTGATCAGACATCACCTGGAGGGTGGTAGAAGATGAAGAACCTAACCAAGTATCAAGGGAGATCAGATATCGAGGGTGGGAGATTCTGGGTAAACTGATTAGCAATATTCCTGCTAAAAGTGGATGGTACAGAAGGAACCTGGAAGCCCAAGAGTCAAGGCCTAGTTGAGAAGAGTTCAGAGGAGACATTAGAGTTTGTTCAAGTGGAGACTCTTTTGGTCACCCTCTTGTTCAAGGAAAGAAGAATGAACAATAAAAGTCCATGTCCCATTCAGTCATCTTTTGTTTATTAAGGATCTGCAGAATTATATATTGGAAATTGGTAGTAGAGGATATTTGCTGGATGATGCTAGCAGGCAGGTATTTAAAAAGGGGAGTTTCTATGAAAATAAAAGAAAAACAGAAATTAATGGTTGGAAACCCAGTTTCTGACTCCAGAGGGCAGCAAGTCAATATTTCTAAACTTGGGCTGAAAGCATCTTTAGATGGTGAAGTGAGAATGGTAGTGGCCATCCAAGGAATTTCTTGGTTTACAGTTTGAATGTCTTTGGTGATGGCATTGGTTATTCTGTGATGGCATTGGTTGTTTTGGTGAACTTTCTGAGTGACCCATATAGCGCAGGCACAAACATTGACTACACATGATCTGTTACCATTATTTCTTTAAAGTTTATATCAAGTTGTCCAGCTTCAGCTTGCAGGGCTTCTGTTTTAGTTCTCAGCCAAGTCAGGAGGGTAAGATAAAATTTGGAAATGTTAGTCTAGAGGGTTGTAGCTGGATATGAAAGGAAACTAGAAAAATTTAGGATTTAATCCAGTTTACAGGTACATAACAAATTAGAAAGTAAAATGGAGTTTACGGAGGTAAAAAATAGCTGAAAGACAGTCAACGGGATTATAATCAGGTACCCACCATGATGTGCTATAGCCTTCCATTGAAACACACACTTTCTGTCTATAATCATCCTCATTTCTGTCAAAGATAATAAAAGTAATATTCTTGTTCGCAAAATAAATCTTGTCTCATTAGATTTGGCTCAATTATTTTCCTAAGTCCAGCAAAAATGGTAACTGACTACGTAGGTCTTTTTCAGTTTGCTTTGCTGGAGCTTTTAATAAGGAATCTTATGAAAGGAATTAAGACTTTAAAAAGCCTCTCAAAGCTGGGAAGCCAAGCCAGGAACTCACCAGCAAACTTCACCTGCAGTACCTATAGATCTGGGTGAATTCCTCTCATCTTGAGGTTTTCAATTATCTTTGGGTTCTTCGGCCTCCAAGAAAGTGAACTTCCCTACCCATTTTTAAGGTTGAGAACCCTGTAAGCCAGGGGGTAGGGCAATTTTTCCAAGAGGGCTTTGTAAGCATTGGATTCATAAAGTCAACCTTGGTTCCTTAAACTTATCTGATCTTATCTGATCATATCATATTCTATGCCTCATTCTCAAATATGACATTCCACTGAAAGCCTTTGTAAATAACCAAGTTTTGCAATTGTGTCCTGCTGCAAGAACAGATTCTTATTGAACTTATGCAAATAACTATATTCCATGAAATTAAGAATAGTAAGTAAGAGGTTCAGATTTTGAAGCGATTATATAGGAAGAAAAAAATTTCATTTTTTTTTGGCAAGCTCTTTTAGGAAAGCATCAGAGTAAAACAAAAACTATCTGTGGATGACAAAGAAAAAAAATGCCCATGGTTAAAGATCTGAGAGTTTATTTGACAAGAAAATTTTTTTTCTTTGACACACAACAAAAATAATAATCAGAATTATGACTGATAGCATTATACCAAAATATGTCACGGACAGTGAAGTTATTGGCAAATTTCTATGAATTTCATACAATTTATGAAATATTTATATTAAGAATATTTTCCCATACAAATATAACTAGGGAATTTTAAAGCAACTCTTCTAATTTGATAATGTTTTTAATACAATTTAATATATCAAATAAATTGATTTTTAAAAAACATTTTACAAGATGAAATAAAGAATCCTTTGAAATTTTCCAGGAGCTGTCTGGGAAATGAGTTCAGTTTAAGGACAAGAAGATTTCATTAAGGATTTCATTTTGGGAAGGCAAAATTGTCAACAATGTAAAAACTTTAGTTCATTTAAAAGGGAGAGGTCTTAGTTCTCTTAAATAATGAGGACATGATAAAAGTTAACAGGAAGCACAAAATCTTAGTTTCCTAGTCAATTTACTTAAAGGGTAAAGAAAAACCTTTTACAATTTCTTATTGTGAGTCCACCCATAATTCAGAAAACTTTGTTATTTTAACAAAGAGAAAACCAAATTCTAGTTTTACATTGGTGTACTTTTGATATTAAAGCTCATTTTTAATGAAACATAAATTAATTTAAATGTTTAGTCAGCTTAACCACACATAAAATTCCTTTATCACAAACTTTTGCAACTTTCTTATATGCATTCAGGGTTTTTTCACCCCCACATTTTCCTCTTTCTTATTATAGAACAGTAAGTAATTCTACCTTAGAATAAAATTTCTTACTTTTTTTCCTGAACAAAAACATATCCTTCAAACCTTCTTATGGCTCCCATAATAATACACCTTATTATTCTTGAATATTTTTCAAAGTTGTTTCCCTTCACCCATATAATTAGTAGTTTCAGTTACATGTATTGAATATAATCTTAACCATTAGTAACGTTTTACAGAGAAAACTGGGAAGTGGTCAGTCTATCACATATCAGCATTCTGTATCAAAATAACAAATGTATGAATACATCTTTTCATAATTTCTATAGGTACCATTTTCCTTATAGTTAAATAATGTGTAAAAAAGAATATTAACAGACTCAAATATCTGTAGTCTCTCTGTAAAAAATTTAAAAGCCAAAGTAAATGCACTTATGTTTAGCAATTAAAGTTTCAGTATTCTATCTATTTGGGAATAATCTATTCCTTGAATATTCATAATTAACCAGTGGTAACTTTAGGTTTCAAGTTACCAAAAAGATTGTAGAAACTATTTTCAGGCAGACTTACTGTAACAGTGCAGCTAACCATCTTCTTTTTTTTTAATTATTATTATACTTTAAGTTTTAGGGTACATGTGCACAACGTGCAGGTTTGTTACATATGTATACATGTGCCATGTTGGTGTGCTGCACCCATTAACTCGTCATTTACATTAGGTATGTCTCCTAATGCTATCCCTCCCCCATCCCCCGACCCCATGACAGGCCCCAGTGTGTGATGTTCTCCTTCCTGTGTCCGAGTGTTCTCATTTTTCAATTCCCACCTATGAGTGAGAACATGTGGTGTTTGTTTTTTGTCCTTGTGATAGTTTGCTGAGAATGATGGTTTCCAGCTTCATCCATGTCCCTACAAAGGACATGAACTCATCATTTTTTATGGCTGCATAGTATTCCACGGTGTATATGTGCCACATTTTCTTAATCCAGTCTATCACTGATGGACATCTGGGTTGGTTCCAAGTCTTTGCTATTGTGACAAACCTGACAAAAACAAGAAATGGGGAAAGGATTCCCTATTTAATAAATGGTGCTGGGAAAACTGGCTAGCCATATGTAGAAAGTTGAAACTGGATCCCTTCCTTATACCTTATACAAAAATTAATTCAAGATAGATTAAAGACTTAAATGTTAGACCTAAAACCATAAAAACCCTAGAGGAAAACCTAGGCAATACCATTCAGGACATAGGCATGGGCAAGGACTTCATGTCTAAAACACCAAAAGCAATGGCAACAAAAGCCAAAATTGACAAATGGGATCTAATTAAACTAAAGAGTTTCTGCACAGCAAAAGAAACTACCATCAGAGTGAACAGGCAACCTACAGAATGGGAGAAAATTTTTGCAATCTACTCGTGACAAAGGGCTAATACCCAGAATCTACAAAGAACTCAAACAAATTTACAAGAAAAAAACAACCCCATCAAAAAGTGGGAAGCTAACCATCTTCTAAAGCTATTTCTAGATCATCTATTTTTAACCTTATATGACTTGTAAGCCCAAATAGAATAAAAATGTATGCTCGTATTATATTTAATGCTGATAATGCAGAATACAAAGCTGTTTTTTTTTTAAATTAAACCAACAATATTTAATCTTATTTACCAAAGATTTGAACTCAGGAAACATTTGTGTTAGTTTTTTATTTCTGAGAGTTTGAAGAATACTTAAGTTATATAAGTGCTCTTTTTCTAAGCCAATTTTAGAACTCCAAGAAGGGATTTTACAAATTAATTTGGTGATATCCTCCAGAGGTAGAAAAATATAACATATATCTAACATGCATATCTAGACATACATAAACACAGACAGATGCAAAAAGAGGTCTTACAGCTGTCATTATTCAATTTTAGTCCTGGGACAGTAAAACATAGCAATACAAGTCTGAAACTCACTGATTCTTCTCCACTCTATATTTTTATCCAAATTGTTTCTCTGACAAAAGTGGGGCAAATTGAGATTATCTACTCAATAAGCTTTTAAAACTTTTATTTTCTTACCAATATTTATGGAGAAGACCTTTTAAATTTTGTTTTGCCCTGATATGTAATTTTAGGAGGGCTGTGGACTATATCTTAGGCTGAGGAGACAACCATGAGCTGTCTTGATGTCTCCAAAGCCCATCTGAGTTGATAAAATATTCAATCTATTTTCATTTAGTCTTTCTGCTTTTTAGCCTCAGGTAGTTGCTTCAGGGGGCACCCTGAGTCCTTTCCCTAGGGGCCCCCAATAGTGATAGAGGCCTTACACTTCAGTGACTGTAGAGAAGTTGAGGCTGAAGTGAGAAGGGAAAGGCCTGGCAGGCCTGGGGATTTGGATGGAGGAGGTAGAGGTTCAATTTAAGGAACCTAAAGGGAAGACTGAAGGTGGCTAGAGGAGAAATAAGGAGCAGAAGCAATGGGAATGGAGAGGTCTTAGAGGAGGGAGATTTAAGTTTCCCAAAGAGACCAATGAGGTTCCCAGTTATCCTCAGCAAAATTACGCCAATGAGAAGGAGACAGAGAGAGTTGGTGGAACATACAGTCAGGAGGGGTTCAATAAGGGAGTTTCAGTAGACTGAGATGTTTCTCTGGAAGGAGCTCGATCAAATAGAACAACAAAGCCTCACAAAGAGCTAGAAAAAATTTTCTATCTCAGAAATTAGAGAGTGAATCGCCACTTAAAAAGCCAGGAAGAAGTACTTTCAGCTCAGGAGTCAAGAAATAATCCCCACTAGAGACAGAAAGCTGTCCTCTGTTTGTCTGGGACTAACCCAATTTCTACAGTATCCTCAGAATCCTAGGAATAAAAATCTCTCTTTACCAGCTTCCACGGATAATTGTTCAGAACAATGAATGGTTCAGGAGTCTGACTGACCAAAGGATTTGTGATCAATCAGTAAAAAGTGAAGACAAAGGCTTCATAGGTGCACACACTTAAGGTACTAAGTGAGAGGTCCAGGGGTCCAATGATATATCTGATCCTGTTTAAGTCACAGCACATAACGGCTAAAGGAAACAATAATTCATTCACTTAAAAAATGGTAAGGCAGAGTTTATTCAGGACCATCACAATAGTTATAGGGACCACCGCAACTGATTTTTACAGTGGGGGAAAGGAATTGGGGTCCATCCCAAATATAATAAGGAAAAGTGGGAATTTATAGTCAAGAAGCAGAGTGGTGGGTGGCAGTTAGTTGATGAAAAATTACTAAGGGGAAACGTCAGGGTTAATAGGAATTTTTCGCAAACTGACCTAACAGAATTCTTGCTAAACGCAGGCCAGGGTGATCAGACATCACCTGGGAGATGGTGGAAGACGAGGAAGCCAATCAAATGTCAAGCGATCAGAGTAGAGGATTCCGGTTAAACTGACTTAGTAGAATTCTTGCTAAAATTGGACAGTGCAGAGATAAACACAGAAGCTCAAAAGTCTGAGTCTAGGTGAGTAGAGAGTTCACAGGAGCCTGATAAGAGTTTGTTCAAGGAGAAAATCTTTGTCAGCACTTACCTTTGAAACAACAAATTATGACATTTTGCTTTCAGTCCAAATCTCCCACAAACTTTTATTTTTACTATTATTGTTACTGCTATTTTATTATTTAAAAATATATTGTGATGATTTTTATACTATTATAATTCTAGTTCTACTTTATATATTATTCAGAATGTCTACACATTGTATCTACTATTCTCTCACACATAAAATAAGGGTGGTAGCATCATCTATTCAAAGCCAAAAGGGAATATTAAAGATCCAGAAGTTACCCATCTCCTGTCACATTTCTAGAATTGTTTAAGGTAGACAATGTGCATCTTTACAGATACCTCAGCAAATTTTAATTTGCAGAACTAAATTAGATAAGTAGAATGAAGTGCAGAGAAAAGGTTGCCTAGGAAAATTCCTTAAGGCACCAAAACTTGAGTAATCCCATGGCAGCAGTTTGTGGGTATATCTAGCACCATCCTCTGCTTACTTGATATTGTCACTTTCCGTGTGGCCCTCAAGTTGAATGTCACATTCACAGGCTTTCACATTGTTCTCTATTTTAGGTTTGAGTTAGTCATTCTGTGACATTCTAACACAGCAGAACAAAACTTTCTAATGTATCTGTAGTAGTTAACCAAGGAATGAAATGAAGGTTTAACCAAAACAGAAAAGAATGTATATTCATACAGACAGATGGACTATATGTATATTTGTGTAGAAACCAATTAAGCTCAGAAATTCTGAGTCTGTTTCAAATCCTTGAAAGCTTTTCTTAGAGCTATAATTACTTTCATTGTGGCCCTTGTTGGCTTTCTTCATTTTGAATTGTGCACTGCAGGCAGTTCTAATTTCTGTATGCATCCCTGCAGTTCCATTTAGAAGTTAAAGTGTAGCTTTCCTTATAGATGGGTGGCTACTATTGCCTTTGAAATTGCTTAACTTTCCAAATAGAGACGAATTCCTGAGATAACTTATGGACTCCTAAAAGCATGTGTTTTGTATGGAAATCGCTAATAGAAAGTACTAAAACACTGGCCAGAGCAGAGCACTTGCCTTGATTTCACTGACGTCAGAAAATAAGGCAAAAGATACTGTAGCACAACCTTTATTTCAGCATCTTGATTGTAGCTTGAAGGAAATAAGCTCATTATCATTGTGCCTCCTACAAAGTAAAAAAAGAAACAGGAGCACAGTAAGAGTCTCTTCTATAATATTGCATAATAACCATCACTTTTCCACATGACTTTTTAAAAAGAATAGTTTCGGTTTTTTATAAGGAATGGAATGCCATGTGGCTCTATTATTAGGTTTTTCTTGGCCCACTGCACGGAAAGGATTTTTTTTTTTTAAATCCAGCCATTTGTAGTGCTTCTGAGAAAGCACTTTAGAAATACAGGTTGGCAAAGTCAGTGATCAGAACTGGAGTCTCTGACCTTATAGTATGCATCTATTTCAGATTAGGATTGAGAAAAAGGGAGTTGTCAGGGTCACCATGCAGCTCTTTCTTTCCTTCTTGGGCTTCTGGGTTAGAGAATCTTGTAGAGTGAATTTTTTTTTCTTATTCCCTGTTTGTGTAAGGAGAAAGAGAGAAAAATAGGAGACGTATTTTTTAGAAAGAATGTCTCCTCTTTTATAATTCTACCATTTTTAAATGTTTTTGTTGGTCTAGAGGTTATATATGCTGTACATTTTAACCCTATGATTTAACATTGTGTGTAGCAAGTTCCCAGTAAATACTGCTGAGTGATGAAGAAATGAATAACAATCATCACAGAGATTCTGTCTGTAAAGACCAACTTAATTTTAAGAATCCCAGTGGTCTCACCTTTAGATTTACTTCCTTCTGTAAAATTTCAGCTAAAACAAACTACTTGGACTTCCTCAATTACCATCTCATTCTTTCCGGCTCCTGTCTTTTCTTCTTTTCCT